>NC_000006.12:168883227-169504144 GCF_000001405.40 Homo sapiens | reverse complement strand
TATTCTACTGATAATATTTTACCACATTTGTTTTATCACATAACTACACACTGTTCATCTATCTTTTTATCTATCCACTCATTAATGTCCGATTTTTTATGAATTGTAAAGTAAATTTTACACATCAGTACACTCCTCCCATACTTTGATATGTAGCATACTTTTAGCTTGGCCTTTTGCTCCTAATTTAAACCAGAATGTTGTCTCACTTATTAGCATGACTTCCTTTTCAGGGATGGAAGTTCAGCACACCACACCAGGGACATAATGAAGAATGGACTGCTTAGCTTTTACTCCTGTGTTTTTTGGCTGAAATCTTATGGAAGTGGCATGCTAGATTGATATAGGTTCAAAATAATGAGAAAAGGATGTATTAATGACTAGAAATTGAAAATGCATTCTTCTACTTTCTGTGGCTGTGGGAATACCGGGCAGGCCCAGGAAATTACAGCAGAAATCAGAAATGCCAGGAAGCCACATGTACTGAAAAGTTCCCAAAACATGTAGCTAACACATTTAAGTTTTTATATGTTTTGTCAAACTCTCTCATCTTCTTTCCAAAAAAAGGAGCATCTAATGAACCAGTAGATGACAGGCTGTAGTGTCTGGGGACGGCTCTTGGAAGCCTAGAAAGAGAATCCTGTTCCCTGAACTCCTTCACTCTTATTTCTTCCCAGAAATGTTTACACATTGTACGGGTGAGGGATAGGTCATCTGTTGTTAAATTAGCAAAGGCCATCTCACTGACTGGAGTATCAATACATTTATAATTGTCTTCAACTTTGGACCTACGATTACATACCCTTGATACAACATTCTCTTATGTTGTATGAAGTTCCATCATGGCTGCACAGTCTCCAAAGTTTTCCTCCCAGTTGTCTGTGACCCTGTCATGTTAATTAGCGTCAGAAGCTGTTACAGGTTGCTTGAACTCAGGCTTGTCCTCTGAAGGCCTGAGCATTCTCAGCTGGGCCTCCTGATGTTTTCACCCCAGGCCCTGCCTCTTTCTCGTCACTCTGCTCACAGCATGGCAGAGGGTGTCTTGCTTGAGGACACAGCCAGAGACAAACCTCCCAGATGTCTTGTGGTCCATGTACTCCGCAGAGTCTCATGAAATGTGATGGTCACCTCATCTTCCTCTATTTTGACTAGGTAGACATTTCATGGAATTAGCTGCCAGTACTTTCATGGACCTGTCAAAAGTGTTTGGGGGAAGCCTATAGAAGAAGTGGTTCAAGACCCTCCTCAGCAAATCCATCTACTCGAATCTTGGCTTCCCCTCAAGAATGGGTCAGTGTCTGTGGTGAGGAAAACCGTGGTCCTGGAAATGGCCAAGTCCTAACCCCTGGAACGTGGGAAATGCAAGGTTGAAGATGGCACTGAGGCTGCGATCGGCTGACCTGGAGATGAGGAGAGCACCCCGGGTGACCCAGGGCCCCAGTGCGATCACGAGGGAGCTTAAGAGGGAGGCAGAGGGAGCGCCGGGGAGTGAGACGAGACGCTTCCGCCTCCGAAGGATGAGAAGGGGCCACAGCCCCGGATCGGGGTCGGCCGGGAAGCTGGGAAAGACACGGAAATGGATTTTCTCCTGAAGCCTCCAGAGGGAACCAGCCCTTTGCTACTTGATCTTAGCCCAGTGCGGCCCATTCGGGACTTACGACCTACAGACCCGGAAGAATAAACTGGTGTTGTTTTAAGCCACTAAGTTTAAGGAAATTTTTATGGCAGCAACAAAAAAACTACAGTGTAAGCCCTGGACCCTCAAGTAGGAGGCCTGCGACAGGGACCGTCCGTGTACGGAACGCCACATCGCCCTTCAGCTTCCGGGGGAATCTTTCAGAGGGACGCACATCCCCAGCACGTGAGTCCGGCCTGTCCAGGTGCCTGGGTGTCTCCCGCGGCCGCGCTCTTCAGAGGCCGCGGTCGTCCCGCCAGAGCGTCAGGCGTGCGGCTTCCTCTCCCTGCATGGGGGCCTGCTGCTCTCCTGCCCTCCCTCATCTCCTCACCAGATCTACTCCCTCATTAATGGCTTCCCAGCATCCCGCAGCCCCGGGGCGGCTGCCCTAGCCTGGGGGGAGGTGGTGCGTGCGGCTCCGTTCAGGGCATTGGATGCCCCAGGCATGGCCACCGGCTCCGTGTCACACTGGAGCGATCCGGCCCAGTCCTTGGCTGTGATCTTAGGGGAGAGTCTGAAGCTGTTCAGCCTACTTAGTGTGAGTGGAAAGATCTGGAATAGCTGGATTCAGACCTAAGCATGTAGGGAGGTCTTGCTTCATTGACGAAGTCCTGTGTTAGCACCTCCTCGACCAGCTTGAGGGAGGGGCGCGCCCGTCTCCACCAGGCAGGGCAGTCGCGGGCTTCGCTAGGTTACTGAGCAGACAACCGCAAACTCCTGCTTTAACCAGACCATGTGCATCCTCGGTATTAAAGAAAAGGGTCGGGAAGATAAGGAGTCAACCAAGACCCCAGTCACAACAGATTCACCGAATGAGAACATGCAGGCGAGTCCTACAGTTCGTGGGAAAGTGCTGCTTCCTCATACATCTTTATGCATTTTAGCTACTGCTGGTTCAAAAGTTCACTGCATCTTTTCCTGCGGGCTAGATAGATTCATTTTTGTTAAATATCTTTTGTTTCTGGCTTTGTGGGATAAATTATTTTATTCATCTTCGTACAACACCAGGCACATAGAAGGAGCCTAGTTCTCTCTGTGAGGTTGGGAGCAGGCACATCTGCGGGCTACTGCCTTAAAGCCGCGTGACTCCCTCGGTGGCTTAGAACAGCCACCCTCTGTCCTCACAGACACATGGGTGAGTGTGTCTGGCTCTGGCCCAGCTTCTCCTGCTGGACCTGCAGGCCGTCTGGACACTGGCTGGTCTGGGCTCCCTGCCGGGCCACTCTGCTTCAATCCGCAGGTGGATCGGGTTCGTCTCATCTCCAGCCCACTTGGGAAACTTGCAGTGATTTCAGCTCCTGCTGGATCAAAGTGGGTGAAAAGAATGCCCAGCCGCCAAATCCCACACACCTGTTTGCCAAATGGCAGGAGTGACAGTGTCTTCTCCCTCTCTACTGCCTTCAGATCTCACACGGAGGCTTCTCCTGCTGGTTCCTGTACTGGAGCCTTGGTGGCAAGGAGTTCGAAAACGTAGAGAATCCCGGCCTCTGACCTGTGACGGGGGAGAGCAGAGAGGACAACGGGGCATTTCTGGTGTCCACATCTAGGGAGCATAAGCATGCCTGGTCGTGCAAGTGTCCTGCCCTGCACGGGGCCCTGGGCTAGCGCAGCTCGCGTGGCTGTTTGGAGCTGTGCAGAGGCTGCTTAGGTTTCCAGTCAAAGTCAGCAGATTTCCGAGCCCCTCAGTGAGTAGAAGAATAGCACTAACTGTGTCACTGCGGTCTCCACCATGTCGTGTGCCTTCTCCTTGAGGTGAGAACAGTGATGTGCAGCGACTGCTTCCACTTTGAAGGAGAGATCCCTAGCACTGGGCAGCCATACCTCCCGGAGGGCAGGTCCTGGGTACTCATTGCCCCTCCTCCACCCTGCAGCACTCACGCGCACTACCTGCCACTTCTGCTCCGCAGGCCCTCTCTGCGTGATGCCTTCTCGGTCGTAGACCAGCGGGAGGTTTCTTAGGTCCCAGCTCAGAAGTTAGTGTGGCCCTGAGGTGAGAAGATGAAGATGGGTGACTCTCCTTGATAAGAGAAAACAGATAGCTCCTGGATTTTCAGCAGCTACTAAGCATTAGTTCAGCAGCAGCTAAGCATTTGTGAGACAGTAATGGATAACCTGAGGCCAGGGGCTGCCCTGGCTTGTTAGTACAGACCTCATTTGGAATAGCAAGCTCAATTTTAGTCAACATGTTGCTATAAAACGCACCATCATTTTCCAAGCGGCCTGTATTCCACATAGGCCAAACTGGTGAGCTAAATCAGGATAAAAGGAAATAAAAACTCAATATTTTCCAAGTCTTTGATTGTGGTGCTAATCTCTGCAATTCCCTCATGGATGTGATATTGCTTTTGGCTTAAAGTTTTATACTGAGTAGCGCTCCACGTTTCCTTTCCTAGGACAATAGCCCGCATTTTGCAGAGCAGGGAGCCAGTGTGGGAGCCTGCCAGTTGCTGAGTACGGCCATCTAAGTATGCACCCAGCAGCTGGGGGAAGGAACCGTGGGCATTCACAGAGCCCTCAGGTCCCCCGGACAGACTTCAGCCCTTTACCAATCTCCTATGGCTGTGCACAGGGACTGCACGATTGAACATGCATGGGTTCTGCAGCTTCCATGGTCAGTGGGCTGCTCCCAGCCACTGCTTTGGGCCAGGACCCTCCTGCTGCCTGTGACGGGCCCATCTCTCTAATCTAGAAGAGGAGCTCAGGTGGCCCACTTGGCAGGGTCCCAGCATCAGCAGTGAAAACAGGAGCCTGTCTGTGGCAGTGCCTTCTCCTGTGTTCTGGCCTATGCAGGCTTGCAGCTCCAGGGCTTTATCAGAAATGTCAGTTCTGTGCTCACAAATGTATTTCCTTCTCAACACTGCGGGAAGCGACTGTCTTCTGGCTGTCTTAGGTGGGGAGGCATCATTATTTGATGGTGCAGGTGATAGTGACTTCACACTCTAATATCACGACGTTTTGGATTTCTTTTCTGATCGTATTCCAGGATGTTCCTGGCATCTCCTCACATTTAGCGCAGGTTTAATTCTGCCAGTCAGATGAACACCTGGAACTGTGTGAGGCTGCTGGGGCAAGTGCATGGAGTGCTGAAGCTGCCATCCAGATGCTGTCATCACACTGTCTTTGTCCCAGCTATTCAGAGCCCTGCCTCACACATCCCTGCAGTGTGCATTGGGAACAGCGCAGCTCCGCGTGTGTAGCCTTCTGCTGTGCACCCTCGGTGCTGACGCTGGGCTCCGGGAGAACATACTTCACCTTGCAAAGGAGGCTTGGCTGGATTTGAAGTTTAAATTACTGAGTCCCAGTGAAGTTCTTGCTTTTGAGATGTGCAGCCTGCTGAGCTGTAAATACAGCGTCTGTTTCCGCTTAGCAACATGAGGACGTTTCCATGTCAGTGCTGTAGCTTAAGACACTGCTCATATTTCTGAGTAATGGGGTATTGCTGTTGACATAATCTGATGCTCTTGTTCACATTTTCCTTTTGACTCGTACTCGTGTGGGTGCATGTTTGCAGTTCTGCGCAGGTATGCAGTTCCGTGCAGTATTATTACATGTGTCTAGATTTGTGTGTCTGCCACCAGTCAAGATACAGACAATCCTCACACAGGTCCCTCCTGTTGTTCTTTTAAACCACGCACGCTCCCCCACCCGCATCCATAACCCCTGGCAACTGCTATCTGTTCTCTATTTTTATAATTTTGTTAAGAATGTCATGTAAATGGAATCATACACTATGTAACCTTTTAATATGGGCTATTTTCACTTCACGTCTTCTCTGAAGTTTCATTTAGACAGTCACATCCATCACAATGTGCTCCTGGTTCTGCTGATGAGAAATCAAGCAAAGCTTTTGATTCTGATGGAGACCAATTTATTTATTTTCCCGTTTATGCAACCTCCTTTTGGTGTCAGCCCTAGATCCTGAAGATTTTCTCCTATTTTGCTTTCTAAAATTCCTATAGTTTTACATTTAAGTCCCTGATCTATTTTTTCTTCCATTTTTTTATTATGGTAAAATACACATAACATAAAATTTGCCAACCTAACCATTTTTAAGTGCATAGTTTAGCAATATTGAGTGCATTCATCATGTTAGTGTATCACCACCACCTATCTCCATAACTTTTAATCTTGTAAAATTGAATCTCTGTACCCATTAACACTAACTCCCCATTCCTCGCTCCCCACAGCCCCTGTAAACCACCACTCCAGAATAGAATACAGATCTGTTTCTGAATAGATGAGAGATTTGAATCTGTCTCTGTGATTTTCACTCTAGGTACCTCATATAAATAGAATCATATAGCATTTGCCCTGTTGTAACTGGCTTATTTCATTTAACATAATGTCTTCAAGGTTTGTCTGTATTGAAGCATATATTAGAATTTCCCTTTTTAAAGCTGAATAATATTCTTGTGTATGGATATACCATGTTTTGCTTATATACTCATCCATTCATGGACAATTGTGTTGCTTCCATGTTTTAGCTATTGTGAATGATGCTGTTATGAACATGTTTGAACAAATATCTCTTCAAGACCCTGCTTTCAGTTTTTTTGCATATATATATATCCAGAAGTGGAATTGCTGAATAATAGGATAATTCTATTTTTAATTTTTTGGAAAAAAATGCCATGCTGTTTTCCACAGCAGCTGTACCATTTTACATTCCCACCAACAGTGTACAGGGTCCAAATTTCTCCACCTCCTCATCAATATTTGTTATTTTTATTCTTTTGATAGTTGCATTCTAATGGGTGTGAGGTACAATCTCATTGTAGTTTTGTTTTGCGTTTCCCAAATGATTAGTGATGTTGAACATCTTTTCATGCACTTCTTGGACATTTGTGTATCTTCTTTGGAGAAATGTCTATTCAAGTTCTTAATCCATGTTTTAACTGGATTTTTTTTTTTTTGTAGTTTTAGGAGTTCCCTAGATATTCTGGATATCACTTATTATATACATGATTTGGAAATATTTTCTCTGATCCTATGGATTGCTTTTTTATTGTGTTGATAATGTCTTCTTATGCACAAATTTAAAAAATTTTCACGAAGTCCAACTTGCCTATTTTTTTCTTTTGTTGCTTTTTGCCTTTGAGTGTTATACCCAAGAAATTCAATGCTGGAAAGCTTTTTTCCTGTGTTTTCTTCTAAGAGTTTTATTGTTTTCAGTCTTCCATTCAGGCCTTTGGCGCACTTTGTTAGTTTTTGTACATGGTTTTAGGTAAAGTTCCAACTTCATTCATTTGCACATTAATACACAGCTTTGCCAGCACCATTTGTTGAAAAGACTTTTTCCCCATTTAATGGTCTTGGCACCCTTGACCATATATGTGAGGGTTTATTTCTGGGCTCTCTATTTAATTCTATTGGTCTATATGTCTGTCTTTATGGCAGTGTTATTCTGTTTTGATTACTGTAGCTCTGTATTAATGTGTGAAATTAGAAAGTGTAGGTCCTCCAGTTTTGTTCTTTTTCAAGATTGCTTTGGCTATTCACAGTCTCTTGAGACTCCATTTGAATTTTAGGATGGATTTTTCCATATCTTCAGAAAACATCATTGGGATCAGTACAGGGATTGCATTGCATCTGTAGAGCACTTTGGGTAATATAGATATTTTAACAATATTGTGTTCCAATCCATGAACATGGAATATGTTTCCATTAATTTACGTCTTCTTTAATTTTGTTGCAGCAATGTTTTGTAGTTTTCATTGTACAAGTCCTTCACTTCTTTGGTTAAGTTAGTTGCCAAGTATTTTATTCTTTTTGATGCTATTGTGAATGGAATTGTTTTTGTAACTTCCTTGTCATAGTGGTGATGGTTGGTATATTCAAACGCAATTGAGTTTTGCCTGCTGATTTTTTATCCTGCTACTTTGCTATATTCATTTGTTCTAACACACTTTTGTGGAATCTGTAGGGCTTCCTATATATAAAACATATCTGCAAACAAAGATAATTGTACTTTTCCCCTTCCTATTTAGATGACTGTTATTTCTTTTTCTTGCTTAATTAATTTCTGGCTAGAACTTTTAGACTGTGTTGAATAGAAGTGGGAAAATTGAACATTCTTGACTTGTTCTTGATTTTAGAGGAAAAGCTCTCAGTCTTTCATCATTGAATAAGATGTTTGCTCTGTGTTTTTCATATATGGCTTTTCTTGTGTTGAGGTAGTTTCCTTCTATTTCTGCTTTGTTGAGTGTTTTTATCATAAAAGCGTGTTGAATTTTGTGAAATGCTTTTTTCTGCATCAATTGAGATAATCGTGTGTTTTTTCCTGCACCAATTGAGATAATCATGCATTTTTTCCATTCATTCTGTTAATGTGGTATACTATGTTAATTGATTTTTGTATTTTGAACCATCCTTGCATTTTAGGAGTAAATCCCAGTTGATCATGGTTTGTAATCCTTTTAATATGCTGTTAAGTTCTGTTTGCTAGTATTTTGTTGAGAATTTTTGCATTAATGTTCATAAGGGATATTGGTCTGTAGTTTTCCTTTCTTTTGGAATCTTTGGTTTTGATATCAGGGTAATGCTGTCCTCACAGAATGAGGTAAGAAGTGTTTTTTTTTCCCCCAGTTTTTGGAAAAGTTGGAGCAGAATTGGAATAATTCCATTTTAAATTTTTGGCAGAACTCACCAATGAAGTCATCAGATTCAGGGCTTTTCTTTGTGGAAATTTTTGGTTACTGATTCATTATTCTTACTACTGATAAGTGTATTCAGATGTGCTATTTTAGTGTGATTTAGTCTTGGTAGATTTTATGTTTATAGGAATTTGTTCATCTAGGTTATCAAATTGTTTGGTATACAGTTGTTCATAGTGCTGCTCTCTTATAATGCTTTTTATTTTTGTAGCATCAGTTGTTATTTCTGATTTTAGTAATTTGAATCTTCTTTCCTTAATCCACCTGGCTAAAGCTTTGTCAGGTTTTTTTTTATCTTTTCAAAGAATCAACTTTTTGTTTCATTGATTTTTCCAATGGTTTATATCTTCTTTATTTTATATTTCCTCTAATATTTCTTATTTCATTCCTCTGCTAGCCCTGGATTTAGTTTACTTTTAGTTTTTTAGTTCCTTAAGTTGTAAAGTTAGGTTGTTGATCTAAGAATCTTCTTGTTTATAAATGTAAGCATGTATAGCTCTAAATTTCCCCCTTAGCACTGCTTTTACTGTGTCTCATATATTAGGAAACGCTACAAGAAATACTAACCTTATAGCTTTATCTGTTTATTTATCTATCTACCCATCCATCCATTTATCTATGTATCCATCTATCATGTATTATGTTGCTATCTTTCTATGTATCATCTGTCTTTACCATCTGTCTACCATCTATCACCTACCATCTATTTCTCTTTTAATTTATGTATGTTTATATTTATTTTCTAATGTTTTCATGAACTTATAATTTACAAGATTCACTTATTAAATTACATTATGTATTTTAAACATTGACTTACGGTAATGTGTATGTGGTTTTTAATGTTTGTGCAATTTCTCTTTCAGCATTATATCACAGCATGTAAGTACTTAAAGGAGTAAATAATTGCCTGAAAAACAGTGTTGACTGGAGCACTTTAGTAAATGCTTTCACATGTGTTTGAGCAAGCATATTGATTACTGGAGCTTGAGACAAAATATTCCACAGGAAAATTTACCTCTGGTTAATAGGTAGATACTAATAAAAAATTCATTAATGCCAGTTTTCCAATCTGATGCTGAGCTTACTTTGGGCCTGACTTGGTGGTGCTCAAAATAGAAGAGTTTTGCAGTGGCCAGCAGGCTGCAACCTTTGTGGGTAAACCTTTCTGCTTAGAGAGGAAATGCTGTAAATGCAGTTTTGCACCCCATAACAACATTTCAGTCAATGATGGACTGGATATACAATGGTGACCTGTTAAGATTATAATGGAGCTGGAAAATTTCTATTGTCTAGTAATGTCACAGCCATTTTAACATCATAGTGCAATGCATTGCTCAAGTGATTGTGGTGATGCTGGTGTAAACAAATCCATTGCACTGCCAGTCTTATAGTGGTGTGGATTATAGTCTGAAGGCAATAGGTTCAAGACCCAAGAAGAACTGATGTTTCACTTTAAGTACAAAGGAAGAAAAACACCAATGTCCTAGCTCAAGGTAGTCAAGCAGGAGGAGGTTCCTTTTACCTAAGGGAGAGTCGGCCTTTTTGTTCTATTCAGGCCTTCAGCTGATTGGATGAGGCCCACCCCCATTAGGGACGGCATCTGCTTTACTCAATCCACAGTTCCAAATAATCTCATCAAAAACACCCTCATAGCCGTATCCACAATGGTGTTTGAGAAGATATTTGGGCACCCCATCACACAGTCAAGTTGACATAGAATATTAACCATTATAATGCCACTACTCATTGTGCCATATATACAAACACAACAATTAAATAAATCTATATTGTATCTAACTGTAATTGACAGTCGAAAGTATCAGAGTCAGAAAAGAGAAACTCACACTTGCATTTGGCCCTCATCTTGCTGGAATTATATTTTTATCTCATAGGAAAAATGCTTCTTATTATCAACTGAGGTAAGAGATTGAGTTATTTTTCTTTCTTTAACAACGTTGTTAGATATGGTATTATTTCTCAAAAGCCTATGCAAAACTTACATATGTATGTCATATATATTACATATACTACCTGAAAATCATACAAAAATATGACTTATTTAATAGCATCATATATGTAAAATATTGCTCTTATAAAATGTCTTCTTGATGTGCAGAAAAATGTGGGTTCAGTATCGCCAAATATGTAATACCTTTAAGATATTTTAAGTAATATTTTCCTTTATATTCAATTACTATTTCATAACAAACCAAAGACAAAAATAAAAGCAATTGGTTACTGGTGGTTACATTAGTGGAAATGGAGAAAAACAGGTTTGGAGAAAAGTAGTTCTGGGGTCAAAGAAGAAATAAAAAAAAATTTGAACATCTTAAGTTTGATACTTCTGTTAGACAGTTGATTGAGCTGTCAGTGAGACAGTAGTATATATGCTTCTGAAGTGGATTTCTTAAACTTTTTTCGTTGGCAAATATCCTTCTGGCCTAGCTTTAGGTATTTTGATGCTATATTTTTAGGTGCATAAAGATTGTGATTGTTTATCTTCCCAGAGATTTTAATTTTTATTATTATTTTGCATTTATCTTCTTCCCTACTTATGTTTTTGGACTTAATTTCTTTTATATTAACAGTGGTATTGCTAACTTTTTATTGGTTAATGTTTATGTGGCAGACTTTTTCCAACCCTTTACTTTCAATCTTTCTGGCTGAATTTATTAATCCAATTTTATAATTTTAATCCAATTTTATAACCTTTTTAATAGAAAAGATTATCTTTTAACTGGAAAAGTTAGCACATTCACATTTTTTTGGACCAAGGAATTTCCGACTTATTTCTACATATGAATTCTGCTATTTCCCTTGTTCTTTGATTCTTTTATCTCCTTTTATGTCTCTGCATGTTGACTTAATTTTTACCTTTAATATTTTAATTTATATACTTAATGACAAATTTTAATGAAAAATGTCTAAATTATCCTGGATATCAGTTTTCTCCTAGACAAGGAAAAGTTCTTAAGTGGCTTATGTAGTAGATATTACTGTTATTGTTGTCTAGAGGTTTGTTATTGCTGTTGTCAATTAGAGTTTTGTTACTAGCACATTTTTATCAATTTCTTTGGTTTTTCTCTTGTATCTCATTTCTTCCTTCTAGGTTCCATTCTTTCACTGAAATTCATCATTTCATAATTTTTTTTTTCCAGTGAGGTATGGAAAGTAAGTCGTAATTTCTCTTAGTTGTTGTATATCTGAAAATGTCTTCATTTTGCCCTCACACCTAAATGATAATTTAGCTTGGTATAAACTTGAAGATTGATATATATTAAGAGTTATTATAAACACTTTAAAAACATTTTTCTCCTGCCTTCGGGTGTCTAATGTTGCTGATAAGCAATTTGCTGTCCTTTACTTCTTCAAATATTGTTTCTTCAAAATTGCCTTTGTTTTTCTGGATTTGATGAGACACATTTTTGAAACTCTCAAAGTATTATCTGTGGCTCTTAACTGATTTTTTATATTTTTAAGCAAATTTGTCTCTGTAAGCTGAATTTGAGGTAATTCTTTAATATTATATTTCATTGAGTTACTTCTTCAAATGTGTTTTGTCTAGGCGAGCAATGATCTGCTGCTTTTTTTTTTCAAAATTCTTATTTCTAATGTGTTCTCTAACATACCCACCTTCCTATATTTTATTACAATTTGTAAAGTAATTTCTTATTTTTATTTGATCTTTGCCCATTCATCTCTTTGCAGACTATAAGCATATTTCTTTTAAAGTATTATTCAGACTATTTTCTTATTTAAAATTCATCTGGAATGCAATTATCTTCTAATTGTTATTTGGTTGTCTGTCCTCTTAGCATTCAATATCAATATGTGTTTTACAATTTTAATTTATAGATTTATTTTTAGTTGAAGAATATTCTCATTTTTTTTCTCTTTCTCAGCTTATCTCTTCCTACTTGATTTTGCAGTTGCTTCTTTCCAAAGTCTTTGGGACCTCATGTGAGGAATTTGCAGCAGTATTTCTCATCTCAGGATGTTAGGATACCCAGTTCTAGACATCTAGCCATGTAACTACCTCAGTGTCTCCTTGGACCTGCTGTTGAGCTTAAACTGTGATTCCAGGTCCCAGCACACATCATTAGCCTCTTTTAGAAGCAGTGGAGCCCTGCCAGCCCTGGGTTCTGGTCTTTCGTGGAATGTGAGCTCCCTGCCCTTCCTGCTTAATTCTGCACCCAAAGCCAGGATGTCCAAGACTTAAGTTTGTGTTTCTGCTCCTTTTCTGTTTATGGAGAATTTTGTTTTGTTTTGCTTTTAAGCCTGGCTATGTCAATTTATTTCTTCTCTTATATTTTATATATAATTTCTATATATATGAAATAAAGAGATGCTTCAGAGCATGAATTAAAAACTTCATCTTGACTAGTTTCATTTAGATATTGAATAATATAACTGTAAAAGAGGTTAAAATTTTGGAATTTCACATTTCAGATATAGTTAACAAAAAATAATTACTAAGTAACCCCACCCTACACCCTACTCCCGGCAATAACCTCCAGAGTTATTGCTCTAAAGTTTATTTCACTTAGTCTAATAAAACCTAGAGAGAAATTTGATGCATTATCTTTAAGGAAATAGCCATATTTTCTTTTTGGTCAGCTCCTTCTTGGATAATGGCTGGAGCTGATCTCATTCATTTTCCAGGAAGCTCTTAAATGCCCGTGTTCTTTAGTAACCCTTAGTCACTAACTCTTTAGTATCTTTTCTCTCCTTTTAAGAAAATGATTGGGTTCTGTCTCAGTGAGTGGATTTGCTACTTGGAAAGTACGTAAGTCCACGTTTTTCTGTGCAGCATTGCCTTTGTTTTTTGTGGATGATGAGTGGTGTACGGATGGCTGAAAGTAGGGTGTGGCATTGGGGGTCACTTGGAAGTTCAGGAGTCCAGCTTTGGGCCTGTTATCCTGCAGGGGATGTTTTGGGCAGTTCAAAGTTACGATGCTGCAATCTGGAGATTTCTAGGCCATGAAAGCACTCCATGACTCTTCAGAGATGCAGGCTGAGACACAGAGACCACAGATAATTATAATTATGTGAAGTACACTGTCTTTCATTCTCTGCCTGTTTGAACTGGAGGCTGAGATACTAAGGAAACCCCAGCCAGTAGCTTGTCTTGTTTTCAGCCCCACATCTTTAAAGAATGTGAATTGTTCATTTCTCTTGTGCTGATAGAACAGATATTGAGAGAGTAGTAGAGTCCAGCAACCTTGCTTCACTGGCAAAGCATTTAGCCCCCACCCGCAACTGATATCGGACCTTGGCAGGTTTGTGGGTCCTTCCCTTTCAGACAGATAAGTACATGCAGGCTCTGCAGCCAGCTGCAGTGGAAAGTCCACAGAAGCAGCACGTGCACTCCTTCTGCGCACACACCTGGCTCCCTGATGATTTGATGTTGTACTTGCATTGTTACAAGAATAGTTTGTCATGTACAATCCCAAACCTTCTTAGAAACACACTGGCACAGTGTTCAAATTCCACATGGGGTCTGTCTCCTCCACACGTGAGAAGCAGCCAAGTCCTGCTGGCTGACTGCAGTGACGGCTTTGCTGTCTACACAGGCTCAGCACAGAGGTTAAACCTATTCTAGTAAAAAGTGCAGGGGGCAGAACATGATTACTTGAATCTAGTTCTTGCCAGGACACCTGGCTTAAACCTTTGTGCTGAAGAAATATGCCGTGGACCCTTTAGTGGTGACAAGTGTTTTCTGACCTGTTTAGGGCATCCTGAAAGCCTACGGGTCCATGTCCTGTTCAGGAGCGACCCCTGTGGGAGGGCCTTTCCCCAGGCCAACTTCTTTGTCTCCAACCCAGTGTGAATGCCCTGCACACCCAGGGCAGAGAAGTTGCTTAGAATGTAGTTTGTGAAGTTGAGTTACTGGAACAGCTCACAGGGAGGAAGCCAGAAAGACTACCACAAAGCACTTCCACATGTTGGGACTCAGGAACTTTAAACACAGTGGAAATATTTATCCTGGATTAGAGACATTTGAGAAATCATGAAATTATAGAATTGAAGTCTTTGGAGAGCTGAGCCTTGGCCACACATTGCAACCATCTGGAGGGATTTCAGAAATACGGTGCCCAGGCCCATCCTGGAAACGCTGAGTGAATTGATCTGGAGCGGGATCTGACCAATAGCCAGTCATTCCTCACGAGGTCTGAGTAAATCAAGACAACTCCTTAAACTGAGGCATGCAATGTCCTGATCAGGTGGTAGAAGTGCCTTTTCACAGAGACGTGCAATGCTATGTCATGGGACTTTCTTTCTCCGAAATCTGTAGATCACAGCGGGCGACGGCCTTGACTGCCCAGTGCAGAAGTGTGACCTTCGTTCTCCGAAATCTGTAGATCACAGCGGGCGATGGGCGTGGCTGCCCAGTGCAGAAGTAGGAGACGGTCATGTGCCCTTCCACTGCTGTCTGCCATAGTCTCACAGAGCTGGCATTTTCTAATACAAACTGTCTTAGGCTTTTAATCCACACTAAATCTTGGCAATCACTGCCTCTGTCAAAGAAAAGTACTTGCTTGAGACACTGTTAAGAGTCTCGTCTTACAGCCTGTGTGCACGTTGAGGCATCTGTGCAGGTGCCATGCACAGGAGGTGCTCAGCGGGAAGTTGGAGCACCTGGGTTCTCATCTGCCTCTGCTCCTGGCTGCTCCTTGACTTTGCACGAATGAACGGAACATCTCTGCATCTGCACCAGGGTCGGGAAGTAAAAGCACCAAACTAGATGTCTCTGAGATCACCCTCATCTCTGAAATCATGTGGCCTAACTAAATGATTATGTATCAACAGAAATCAACATTGGAATTTACAAAGGATTTGATTAAGAGAAATGCAAAAAAAAAAAAAAAAGGGGGCATCAAATGTGCCATTTGACGCCCACCCACACTGGAGTGAGTTTACATTAATGTGACCTATACGTGGTGTGCATCAGTTCACACTCCAAAAGACGATTATGCTGCCATCCCCACCGAGGTACAGAGGGTGCAGGCAGTTCACTTGAGCTCCGTGACTGGGAGCTCTGGCTTGCGAGTCTGTGTTGCTCCCACCTCAGTCACAGTGCTGTCTGTGTCCCCTTGTTACATTTGCTCCCTGCTAGCCTTTAAGTTTGTTTTTCACAAAGTTAGGAAAAGGGAAAATGGTTGGGGAGTTCTCCTTTATCTGCAAAACAAACAGAATGCAGAAGTATTACAGGACAAGGGGGTTTCAGTAATGGATTGCAAAGGTCAAAACCAGCATCCACTGTGCATATGAAGACACGTAACTGGAGTTGGCTGTAGCCAGGTGCTTCTGACACTGCTCATTTTCTCCTTTCTTTGCTGCTCATTATCATGCTAGAAGAACTTGGATAAGACATGATCTTAAAATTCTACTTGAGGCAACATTTGAAAGTCTTCTCATTTCTAGATTTCTGCTTTTGATGGATGAGGCTGAATAGTAATTTCCTTTGTGAGACGATTTCAGACCTTTTGCCTCTTCCACCATGGAGATCTGCAAAGCACACAAACAGGCAGATCCTGGCTGCCTCTCCAGCAACAGCGGCAACCACGCTAGAGACGCTGCTCTAAGCTGGTGGTGCAGCCCCAATGCATGAGTGTTTCAATTAGGCAGGCTTCCAGGCCCATCAAGTAAATGCTGTGGATTTCTCTCTTTATTGCAACTACATGTTGGTTTCTGTGCCTTTATGCCATGTTAATAAATGGGGAAATCTCTAAGGAATTATGGAAAGTGCACTTCCCCATTGTCCATCATTTCATATGCCAGGTTTCTGTGATTTTCTCATGACCCCCAGCTGGGGGAGTCAGAGACTGGAATTTTCAGAGGGGAATAGAGAGAGTGCTGTGTCTGTGGGAGTAAAAGGGCTCAGCTGTTAGGATAATTTTCAATCAGAGTTTCAAGCAAATTAGACTAAACATGCTTCTTTTATGGCATTTTTCATCAACTGTCCTTAAAACTCCAAACTATTAACCATGACTGAAGTAGAGATTTTCTCATACTCATTGATCAGAGTAAATGTGATGATTTTGCTAATTTTCTGCAAGGATGTTCTGAGTTTGGTGATTCATTTACATTTAGAAAATACAAGTCAAAGGATGGCTTGTAGATGACTACAGTGCCATATTTTTAAAAAGTCTTATCTTGGCCATATTCGTGCAGGCAAAATAATACATTGGAAAGTTTTGGATTTTTATTAGAGGGAGGCTCATGGCTCACTTTGGGTTATATGCCAATATCTTCCCCACTGTAACCTCAAGCATGAGGTTTGCGACCCCTTTCAAGCGCCTCGACTCTGTAATCCAGGGAGCAGCGAGGCCCACAGTGTCTGAATAGCCCTCACGTGTGAAGCCAGGGTGAGCACGCACCTTCTGTTTCCTGACACTCCTCCTCTTTGCAAACGGCCTTCTCCCCAGCTTCTTTGAGGAGGCACATGGAGCTAGCAGGTAGATTCTGGTGCTATTAATGACATTGTTCTACATTCAGATCAAAGTGGAGGAGACATATTTCTGGCATGTTCCTAGTTGTCACAGAAGAGGTCGATGTTCACATTATAAAAAATAATGGTATTCGCTGTATGTCAAGTATTGCTACAATTATTTATATTAACTGATTCAGTCCTCACATGAACCCTCCGAAGAGGATGCTGTTATTGGCCCCATTTCATAGATAAAGGAGCTGAGGTGGGTGAGACTCCGTAACTTTCCTTAGATGACATGGCTGGTGAATGGCACTGCCAGGATTCAAATCCAGGCTGCTGGACCCAGTCCGGTCTGCTCAGAATTGCTGTGCTGCCCTCCAGTACCCATGGGCACCAGGACTTGCTTAGGGAATAATGAAAGCATGAAGGTTCTCAAGAATTTGGATTGTAGAGAAAAGTCACTATTTTTAGAGTTAGATGTGATTTACTCCTCCTTTTGCAAACTTGGAAGATGGCTGTCAATGAATAAAGAAACTGGTCTCAGTGCCTGTGAAAACATCGAGGAAAAGGACAGCTTTAAAAACTTGCCTTCTGGCCAGGAGCAGTGGCTTATGCCTGTAATCCCAGCACTTTGGGGGGCTGAGGCGGGTGGATCATGAGGTCAGGAGTTCGAGACCAGCCTAACTAACATGGCGAAATCCCGTCTCTACTAAAAATATGAAAATTAGCTGGGCGTGGTGGCATTTGCCCATAATCCCAGCTACTCAGGAGGCTGAGGCAGGAGAATTGCTTGGACCCGGGAGGTGGAGGTTGCAGTGAGCCGAGATCGCGCCACTGCACTCCAGCCTGGGTGACAGAGTGAGACTCTGTCTCAAAAAATGAAATGAAATGAAATGAAATATAAATAACCCTGCCTCCTGGTGGAGGAAACAAAGGCTGCCGGAGCCTGCAAGGCTGGGTAACCACAGGAGGGTGGTGGACAGGGACATTCACAGCCTGTGCTGCAGTTAGGGTGGGACCCACATGATAGTACACTGGGTATATACTTAATAATGGCTTTGCTGGGTCAAATGGTAGCTCTCTTTTAAGTCCTTTGAGAAATCTCCAGACTGCTTTCCACAGTGGCTAAACTAATTTATATTCCCACCAAGAATGTATGAGTGTTCCCTTTCTCCATAGCCTCACCAGTATCTGTTGTGTTTTGGTATTTTTCTTACAAAAAAAAAAAACCTTTTTAAGTTCAGGGGTACATGTGCAGATTTATTATATAGGTATATCATATCAAGGGGATTTGTTGTGCAGGTTATTTTGTCATCCAGGTACTAGGCCTGTCACCCAATAGCTACTTTTTTCTGATCCTCTCCTTGCTCTCCACCTCCACCCTCAATACGCCCCAGTGTCTCTTGTTTCCCTCCATGTGTCCATGTGTTCATCTGGCTCCCACTTGTGAAAACGTGCAGTATTTGGTTTTCTATTCCTGAGTTAGTTTGCTAAGGATAATGGCCTCTAGCTTCCCTTGCATCCCTGCAAAGGACATGATCTCATTCTTTTTTATGGCTGCATAGTGTTCTGTGGCGTATATGTCCCACGTTTTCTTTCTCCATTCTACCATTGATAAGCATTTAAGTTGATTCCATATCTTTGCTATTGTGAATAGTGCTGCAGTGAACGTACACGTACATGTGTCTTTAGGATAGAATAATTTATATTCCTTTGGGTATATACCCAACAATGGGATTACTGGGTTGAATGGTAGTTCTGTCTTTAGATCTTTGAGCAATCACCACACTGATTTCCACAATGGTTGAACTAACTTATACTTCCACCAACAGTGTATAAGCGTTCCCTTTTCTCTACAATCTCACCAGCATCTGTTATTTTTCGACTTCTTAATAGCCATTCTGACTGGCTTGAGATGGTATCTCATTGTGATCTTGATTTGCATTTCTCTCATGATAAGTGATGCTGAGCTTTTTCTCATATGCTCATTGGCCATATGTATGTCTTTTGAAAAGTGTCTGTTCATGTCCTTTGCCCACTTTTTAATGGGGTTGTTTTTTCTGTAAAGTTGTTTCAGTTCCTTACGGATGCTGGATTTTATTAGACCTTCGTCAGATGCATAGTTTGCAAATACTTTATCTTATCCTGTAGGTTATCTGTTTACTCTGTTGTTTGTTTTGCTGTGCAGAAGCTCCTTAGTTTAATTAGGTCCCATTTGCCAACATTTCCTTTTTTGCAATTGCTTTTGGTGTCTTTGTCATGAAATCTTTGCCTGTTCTTATGTCCAGAATAGTGTTGCCTAGGTTATATTCCAGGGTTTTTATAGTTTTGGGTTTTACATTTAAGTTTTTAATCCATCTTGAGTTTATGTTTGTATATGGCTAAAGGAAGGGGTCCGGCTTCAATCTTCTGCATATAGCTAGCCACTTATCCCAGCACCATTTATTGAATAGGGAGTCCTTTCCCCCATTGCTTGCTTTTGTCAGGTTTGTCAAAGATCAGATGGTCATAGGTGTGTGGCCTTATTTCTGGCCTCTCCATTCTGTTCAATTGGTCTCTGTGCCTCTTTTTATACCAGTATAGGTATAGGGCTACTGTAGCCCTGTAGTATAGTTTGAAGTTAGGTAATAAGATGCCTCCAGCTTTGTTCATTTTGCTTAGGATTGCCTTGGCTATTCAGGCTCTTTTTTGGTTCCATATGAATTTTAAAATAGTTTTTTTCCAGTTGTGTGAAGAATGTCATTGATAGTTTGTTAGGAATAGCATTGAATTTGTAAATTGCTTTAGGCAGTATGGCCATTTTAATGATATTGATTCTTCCTATCCATGAGCATGGAATGTTTTTTCATTCGTTTGTTTCCTCTCTGGTTTCTTTTAGCAGTAGTTGTAATTCTCATTGTAGATGTCTTTCACCTCCCTGGTTAGTTGTATTTCTAGGTATTTTATTCTTTTTGAGGCCATTGTGAATGGGAGTTCACTCATGATTTGGCTCTTGGTTTGGCTGTTGGTGTGTAAGAATGCTAGTGATATTTGTGTGTTGATTTTGTATTCTGAAACTTTGCTGACGTTGTTTATCAGATCAAGGAGCTTTTGGGCTGAGACGATAGGGTTTTGTAGATATAGAATCATGTCATCTGCAAACAAAGATAGTTTTATTTCCTGTCTTCCTATTTAGATGGCTTTTATTTCTTTCTCTTGCCTGATTGCTCTGGCCAGGACTTCCAATACTATGTTGAATGGGAGTGGTGAGAGAGGGCATCCTTGTCTTGTGTCAGTTTTCAAGGGGAATGCTTCCAGCTTTTGTCAATTCAGTACAACATTGGCTGTGGGTTTGTCATAGATGGCTCTCATTATTTTGAGGTATGTTCCTTCAGTACCTAGTTTATTGAGATTTTTAAATATAAAAGGATGTTGAATTTTATTTAAAGTCTTTTTGGCATCTATTGAGATAATCATGCATTTTTGTCTTTAGTTCTCTTAATGTGATGAATCACATTTATTGATTTGTGTATGTTGAACCAACTTTGCATCTGGGGATGAAGCCTACTAGATTGTGGTGGATTAGCTTTTGGATGTGCTGTTGGGTTTGGTTTGCTAGTATTTTCTTCAGGATTGTTGCATCAATGCTCATCAACGATATTGGCCTGAAGTTTTCTGTGTGTGTGTGTGTGTCTGTGTGTGTGTGTTTGTGTTTGCCATGTTTTGGTATCTGGATGATGCTGGCATCATAGAATGAGTTGGGGAGGAGTCCCTTCTCCTAAATTTTTTGAATAGTTTTAGTAGGAATGGTACCAGCTCTTCTTTATACGTCTGGTACAACTCAGCTTTGAAAACATTTGATCCTGAGCTTTGGTTGGCTGGCTATTTATTACCAATTCAATTTCAGAACTTGTTATTGGTTCAGATTCTTTCTGGTTTAGTCTTGGGAGGATGTATGTGCCCAGGGATTTAATTTATCCATTTCTTCTAGATTTTCTAGTTCGTATGCATAGAGGTATTCATAGTAGTCTCTGATGGTTGTATGTCTGTGGTGTTAGTGGTAACATCCAACTTATCATTTCTAATTGTGTTTATTTGGATCTTCTCTGTTCTTATTAGTCTAGCTAGCAGTCTCTTACTAATTTTTTCAAAAAACCAACTTCTGGATTTGTTAATCTTTTGAATTGTTTTGTGTCTCAATCTCCTTCAGTTCAGCTCTGATTTTGGTTATTTCTTGTCTTCTGCTAGCTTTAGGGTTGGTTTGCTCTTGCTTCTTTAGTTCTTTTAGTCGTCATGTTACTTTGTTAATTTGAGATATTTCTACCTTTTTGATGTGGGTGTTTAGTGCTATAAATTTCCCTCTTAATACTGCTTTAGCTTGTCCCAGAGATTCTGGTATGTTGTATCTTTGTTCTCATTAGTTTTGAAGAACTCCTTGATATCTGCCTTCATTCTATTATTTACCCAAAAGTCATTCAGGAGCAGGTTGATTAATTTCCATGTAATTGTATGGTTTGGAGCAATTTTCTTAGTCTTGATTCCTATTTTTATTGAGCCATGGTCAGAGAGAGTAGTTGGTATGATTTCAATATTTTGCATTTGTTGAGAATTATTTTATGTCTGATTGTGTGATTGATTTCAGAGTATGTGACATGTGGTGATGAAAAGGATGTATATTCTGTCTTTTTAGGATGGTGAGTTCTGTAGATATCTTATCAGGTCCGTTTGGTCTAGTGTTGAGTTCAAGTCCTGAATATCTTTGTTAATTTTCTGCCTTGATGACCTGTCTAATACTGTCAGTGGGGGTGTTGAAGTCTCCCACTGTTATTGCACAAAAGACTAAATCTCTTTGAAGGTCTCTAAGAACTTGCTTTGTGCTCAGCATCACTGATTATAAGAGAAATGCAAATCAAAGCCATAATGAGATACCATCTCATACCAGTCAGAATGGCAATTATTAAAAGTCAAAAAATACAGATGTTGTTGAAGTTGTGGAGCATAAAATTAGTTCAACCATTGTGGAAGACAGTGTGGTGATTCCTCAAAGACCTAAAGAGGGAATTACCATTCAACCTAGCAATCCCATTACTTGGTATATACCCAAAGGAATATAAATTATTCTATTATAGAGACTCATGCACATGTATGTTCATTGCAGCACTACTCACAATAGCAAAGACATGGAATCAACATAAATGCATACCGGCAATAGACTGGGTAAAGAAAATGTGGTACATATACACCATAGAATACTATGTAACCATAAAAAAAGATAAGATCATGTCCTTTGCAGGGACATGGGTCAAGCTGGAGGCCACTATCCTTAGCAAACTGATGCAGGAACAGAAAACCGAACACTGCATATTCTTATTAGTGGGAGCTAAATGATGAGAACTCATGGCACATAGAGGGAAACAACAGACACTGGGATGTACTCAACAGTAGGGGGTGAAAATGTGTCCGGAATTGGTGTGTTCTTGGTCTGCCTGACTTCAAGAATGAAGCCGCGGACCCTCACAGTGAGTGTTACAGTTTTTAAAGATGGTGTGTCTGGAGTTTCTTCCTTCTGGTGGGTTCGTGGTCTCACTGGCTTCAGGAGTGAAGGTGCAGACCTTTGCGGTGAGTGTTACAGTTCTTTAAGGAGGCACGTCTGGAGTTGTTCATTCCTCCCGTCTGGAGTTGTTCATCTCTCCCAGTGGGTTCGTGGTTTCACTGGCTTCAGAAGTGAAGCTGCAGACCTTTGCGGTGAGTGTTACAGCTCATAAAGGCAGTGCGTCTGGAGTTGTTCGTTCCTTCTAGTTGGTTCATGGTCTCACTGGCCTCAGGAGTGAAGCTGCAGACTTTTGCGGTGAGTGCTACAGCTCATAAAGGCGCCACGAACCCGAAGAGTGAGCAGCAGCAAGATTTATTGCGAAGAGTGAAAGAACAAGGTTTCCACAGCGTGGAAGGGAACCCGAGCAGGTTGCTGCTGTTGGCTTGGGCAGCCTGCTTTTATTCTCTTAGCTGACCCCACCCACATCCTGCCGATTGGTCCATTTTACAGAGAGCTGATTGGTCCATTTTACAGAGCGCTGATTGGTCTGTTTTACAGAGAGCTGATTGGTCCATTTTGACAGGGTGCTGATTGGTGCATTTACAATCCCTGAGCTAGACACAGAGTGCTGATTGGTGCATTTACAATCCTCTGGCTAGACATAAAAGTTTTCCAAGTCCCCACTAGATTAGCTAGACACAGAGCACTGATTGGTGCGTTTACAAACCTTTAGCTAGACACAGAGTGCTGATTGGTACATTTACAATCCTCTAGCTAGACATAAAAGTTCTCCAAGTCACTACCAGATTAGCTAGATACAGAGTGCTGATTGATGCATCCATAAACATTTAGCTAGACAGAGTGCTGATTGGTGCATTTGCAATCTGTGAGCTAGACACAGAGTGCTGATTGGTGCATTTACAATCCTCTAGCTAGACATAAAAGTTCTCCAAGTCCCCACCAGATTAGCTAGACACAGAGCACTGATTGGTGCGTTTACAAACTTTTAGCTAGACACAGAGTGCTGATTGGTGCATTTACAAACCTTGAGCTAGACACAAAGTGCTGATTGGTGCATTTACAATCCTTTAGCTAGACACAAAAGTTCTCCAAGTCCCCATTAGATTAGCTAGACACAGAGCACTGATTGGTGTGTTTACAAACCTTGAGTTAGACACAGGGTGCTGATTGGTGCATTTACAATCCTCTAGCTAGACATAAAAGTTCTCCAAGTCCCCACCAGATCAGCTAGACACAGAGTGCTGATTGGTGCATCCACAAACCCAAGCTAGACACAGAGTGCTGATTGGTGCATATAAAATCCTCCAGCTAGACATAAAAGTTCTCCAAGACCCCACCCGACTCAGGAGCCCAGCTGGCTTCGCCTAGTGGATCCCGCTCTGGGGCCTTAGGCAGAGCTGACCACCAGTCCCACGCTGCACGCCTGCATACCTAACCCCTTGGGCAGTCGACAGGACCGGGTGCTGCAGAGCAGGGGGTGGTGCCCGTCAGGGAGGCTCGGGCCACGTGGGAGCTCACGGGAGTGGCAGGGGTGGGGCTCGGGCATGTCAGGCTGCAGGTCCCGAGCCCTGCCCCGCGGGGAGGCGGCTGAAGCCTGGCGAGAATTCGAGCATGGCACGGGCAGGCTGGCAGTGCTAGGGGACCTGGCGCACCTTCCACAGGTGCTGGCCCAGGTGCTAAGCCCCTCACTGCCTGGGGCCGGTGGCACCGGCTGGCTGCTCCAAGTGTGGGACCCGCTGAGCCCGCATCCACCTGGAACTCACGCTGGCCCGCGAGCGCCATGCACAGCCCTGGTTCCTGCCCACGCCTCTCCCTCCACACCTCCCCGCAAGCAGAGGGAGCCGGCTCTGGCCTTGGCCAGCCCAGAGAGGGGCTCCCACAGTGCAGTGGCTGGCTGAAGGGCTCCTCAAGTGTGGCCAGAGTGGATGCCGAAGCCGAGGAGGTGCCGAGAGCAAGCGAGGGCTGCTAGCACATTGTCACCTCTCAGAAGGAGGGAGAGAATCAGGAAAAATAACTAATGGGTACTAGGGTTAATACCTGGGTGATGAAATAATCTCTACAACAAACTCCCATAACACAAGTTAACCTATGTAACAAACCTGCACTTGTAACCTGAAGTTAAAATAAAAGTTAAAAGAAATGACTTCATGATTGACAGAATGCTGATAAGTAGTTATAAAGCAGCTAATGTGCACATATCATTTTAGATACATGGTTCAAAATGAGAAATAATAACTCATTAAATTGGATTTTGTTTGTTTCATTCATTTTTATATCATAAACACATTTTGTTTGACTGTCACCATATAAAATCTAGATGCCTAAATCATTAGAATCTGGATGCTCCTGTCTGGAGTGCATATATGTTTAGGACAGTTAAGTTTTTCTTGTTAAATTGAACCCTTTACCATAATTTAATGTCCTTCTTTGTCTTTTGTGATTTTTATTGGTTTAAAGTCAGTTTTCTGTTTTTTGGCTTTTTAATAGCCATTCTGATTGGTATGAGATGGTATCTCATTGTAGTTTTGATTTACATTTCCCTGATGATTTCTGATAATGAACATTTCTTTCATTTGTTTGTTGGCCACTTGTATGTCTTCTTTTGAGATGTGTCTATTCATGCCCTTTGCCCATTTTTCAATGAGGTTGTTTTTGCTTCTTGAAGTTTCCTATAGATTCTGGGTATTAGGCTCTGTCAGATGCATAGTTTTCATCTGGCAAAAGATTGTCTTTTTGCTTTGTTGAGAGTTTCTTTTGCTGTACAGAAGCTATTTCATTTCATTAGGTCCCATTTGTCAATTTTTGCTTTTGTTGCAATTGCTTTAGGGGACTTAGCCAAAAATTATTTGCCAAGGACAAAGTTAAGAAGAGTATTTCCTAGGTTGTCTTTCAGGATTTTAATAGTTTACAGTCTTACGTTTAAATCTTTAGTCCATTTTGAATTAATTTACATATATGGTGAAAGGAGTCCAGCTTCCATATTCTGCATATGGCTAGCCAGTTATTCCAACACCATTTATTGAATAGGGAGTCCTTTCCTCATTGCTTGTTTTTGTCAGCCTTGTCGAAAATCAGATGGTTTTTGATGTGTGGCTTTCTTTCTGAGTTTTCCATTGAGTTGTATTGGTCTATGTGTCTGTTTTATTGTTGTTGTTGTTGATTTTACCAGTACCATGTTGTTTTAGTTACTGTAGCTCCATCTGATTTTTAATCATTGCTTTTTAAGATTGCTTTGTTGTGGCACATAAGGTGTGTGATGTTATAAAGAAAAGCCATCTTTTTTTTTTCTTTGGGCATTTAAACATCTAGAGTTTTAAAAATTAGTTTATGATATAGGCTTATAATTCTTCATAATAAAGTATTACTGTACATGTACACCCGACTTAACCTGAGGTACAAGCAACATTATTTTATTAGTGCCATCTTTTACATGGCTTAAAATGCAAAAATCGTATTTTATTACTCAATAAGAATTTTTGACATAATTTCTTTTGAATAATCTTTTGCCAACTTCCATTATCTGCATTACTTTGTCCAACATGTGGTAGCATTTATTTGTTTTAAATGAAGGCTTATTGATATATAATTTATATATGGCAAGATTCATTCTTGTGTTGCACAAGTAAATGAGAATTTATAGTTGCATCATCATGTGACCTCCACCACAGTCAGGATGAAGAACGCCCCCACCCAGAGAGATCTCTTGGCCCCCCTTGTAGGCATCTCCAACCCCCAGTCACTGGCTGACCCTGGCTTGACTTCTGTCCCTCCAATCTTGTTTTTTCAGGAAGTCATGTAAGTTGGAAAGTACAGTGTGCATTTAGTGTGTGTGTTCCTTCATGAACATAGTACTTTTAAGATTTGTTTATGTATCAATAGTTTTTTTTATTGCCAAGTCAAGTTCCATTGCATAGATATGTCACATTTTGTGTATTTGCCAGTGTGTGGATGTTTTGATTGGCTCTAATTTTTATCTATTATGAATGAAGCTGCTAGAAACATTCATGAACAGCTCTTTGAATGAATGCATATTTTTATTTTTCTTGAATAAATACATATGGGATTTCTAGGTCATGTATTATTTGTATGTTTTACTTTATAAGAAACTGCCAAAAAGTCCAGGCACAGTGGATCACGCCTTTAATCCCATAGTGAGGCCAAGGTGGGTGGATCACTTGAGGCTTGGGCTTCAAGACCAGCCTAGCTAACATGGAGAAACCATGTCTGTACTAAAAATACAGAAATTAGCTGGTCATGGTAGTGCATGCCTGTTGTCCCAACTACTTGGGAGGCTGGGGCACAAGAATTGTTTGAACCTGGGAGGCGGAGGTTTCAGCGAGCTGAGATTGCACCACTGCACTCCAGCCTGGTCAACAGAGCCAGACTCTGTCTCAAAGAAAAGACAAATTAAAAAAAATTAAGAAACTGCCAAACTGTTTTCCAAGCAGCTGTGCAATTATACCTTCCCGCCAGAGGGATATATAAGAATTACACTTGTTTTAACAGTGAGAATGGGGTACGTTTTATTTGAACACCAGCTAATATAATGCAAAAAGGCAATTATGGGCCCATTTCAGTTATGAACAAAATTATGTAAATCCTAATAAAAGAAGAGCCAACTGAATTCAACTGTGCTCTTAAAATGCATCTTGACTAAGTAGGGTTTACTCCAAACTCAAGGTCAGCTAAGCATCAGAAAATCTAATGACTTGATTCACTACTTTGATACAGTAAGGAGAAGATACTTTCTTATCTCAGTAGATCCTGAAGAAGCATTTGGTTTTGTTACTATTTAGGATTTAAAATGAAATCTAGCAAAGTAGGAATAAAAAGGAGATTCTTGATCTGAATCTGTTTAGTTAAAGACACAAATGTCACTTTTACAACTCCTTTTGACACAATACTGGAGATCCTATCCAGTATAACAAAGACAAACAAGAGTGATGACTGGTAGAGATAAAACTCTCATTATTTGCAGATGATTTGATTAATTTAGCTTGAAAGACCAACAGAATTATTATGCTATTATAACTAACATAATTCAACAAGGTCACTGCATGCAGTATCTAGTTACAACAATAATTACACTAACAATAACTAAGTAAACTTAAAAATAAGATTTCCTTTATAATGGCAACTCATACTTGAAAGTGTCTAGGAACTTAACTAAAAAAAAATAGCCATGGGGAAAATTTTAAATCTCTAATAAACTGCTGTTGGGGTGATCAGACCCAACACCAGGTCATGGGGGTGACGAAGCATGGTGGAGTCAAAGGAATGAGAAAAGACAGTTTAAGAGAGAAAGTGGGTCCAGGGGGCCAACACGAGTATGAAGGCTGCAAAGGCCCTGAGCTCTGGAAGCCCAGACTATTTATTGGTGATCAAACAAAGAAACAGGTGGTGAGAATGTGGGGTTGAAAGGGAGCATTGCATTAAGCACATGATTTACAGCTGTGATGGTTTAGCATATGCTCTGCTACTTGAGATAATGGAGAGCAGGTTCTTTTAACTCAAGACACAATCGACCCTGGGAGAGCAAGGAGCAAGGAGCCAGCAAGTCTAGACACATTCAAGAGCCACAAGCCCTGGATTCTATCCAAGCCACGAGGGGTTTTATGCCCTGGGCTTAGATTATGGTGCATCAGGGTAGCCTTCCACCCTTTAGCACAGAGCTTGGTGTTCCAAAGGCCACAAGGGGTTTGAGACCCTGGACCCTGGACATGTTCCAAGACTCTTTTACATTATGTCAGACATGCAAGCCCTGCCTCAGCTTCTCTCCCAACACTCAGCTTTTCTCCCAACAGCTGCATAGAAGATCTAAGTAACATTCCATATAATTCCATAGCTTAAGTTACAACTTAATGTTATAAAAATGTCAATTCTCCATTAATGTATAAATGCACTGCAATCTCTATCAAAATTCCAGTAGAACTCAGTAAAGTTATTCCAAAAAAATATGTAGGAGAAGAATGGTCCATAAAAGATAAAGTCAACTTTATATTTTCCCTATTAGAGAATTAAAAAAATGCTTTCAAAGACACAGAAATAAAAAAAATGGAGCAGTGGCTCAAGAACTGCAATTAAGCCAGAAGAATGTAGAGAGGGAAGTGCAATTAAGCCAGAGAATTCAGAGGGAGACCCATGTATATTTTCAGGCTTGATACATATTAAATATGGAAGCACAAAATAATGGGGAAAAGATGGGTTATTTGGTACAATGTTTAGAGAAAAACTGGCTCTCTCCATTGTGAAAAATAAAACGATTTCTATTTAAATATATGATTTAAATATCTCAATTGAAAGGTAAAACTATAAGTAAGTAGAAGAGGCCAGATGCAGTGGCTCATACCTATAATCCTGGCACGTTGGGAGGCTGAGGCGGGTGGATCACCTGAGGTCAGGAGTTTGAGATCAGCCTGGCCAACATGGCAAAAACCCGTCTCTACTAAAAATACAAAAATTAGCCAGGTATGGTGGGAGGTGCCTGTAATCCCCACTACTTGGGAGGCTGAGGCAGGAGAATTGCTTGAATCCAGGGAGGGTGGAGGTTGCAGTGAGCCAGGATTGCGCCACTGCACTCCACCTGGGTGAAAGAGCAAAACTGCGTTTCAAAATGAATCAATCAATAAATAAGTAGAAGAAAATATAGGATAATATTTTTGTAAACCCTGTGCTTGGGAAAAACTTTTTAAATAAAACTTGAAAAGCATAAAATGTGACAAAAAAATGTAATGTAGTTACAGAATTATTTTCAATGAAGGACACCATGACAAAGTTAATGGCCAACAACTGACAGTAAGGTTTAAAGTGGAGAAAGGAGTAATATATTAAAAAGTGTGCCTTGATTCTTGCTAGACCTCAGAGTCACTGGGGGCTCTTCTCTACACTTGTTGTACCTCACTGAACACTAACTGAAACCGAATTTCTGTGAATGGGATGGGCACTTTATCAAGAGCTGACTGCCATGTGGTATAGATTCAGAATGAAGCCCCATTGATTTAGAAAGATTATTGCATGTCCTATATGAGAGATTTGCTAATAATTTAGGTCTGGATTTATTTTTATCATTCCTGGAACTCATTTTGCTCTTCCTTAATAATGATTTATTTTTTCTTAATTATGGGTAATTCTCATTATTATTCCCCTTTATCTTTTCTCACTGTTTTTTTTTAATTGTAGAACTCTTACTAAATGAATATCGGGATTAGTCTGTCATCTGAACTCTCTTGCACATTTTCCATCCTCTCAACTCTATGAGTTACACTCTGGATGATTTCTTTATATCAGTTTTCCAATTCACTAATTCTCTCTTCAGCTATTTCTTAGCAGGTCTTCACCCATGAATTAAATGTTTATCATCAATGACTTCACTTGTATTTCTATTATAACTAATGTCTTTTTCTTTTACCATGTTTCTAATAATAAAACAAAATTTAGTTAAAGACTGCATATTACAGTTATATTGTCTAAAGTTCTTAGTACTTTGTTTCTGCTGTTTATTGTCAACTAATTCTAATTCATGGAGAGATGATCTTCAGCAGAGTTTATTTATCCTTAAGGATTGCATGTGACTTTACCTGAGAATGTGGCCATCCAAGGAGCTCTAGGTTTGCTTCTGTAGGTGCTCCAGGAATATTACTAGGCAACACCATATTTCTTTGTTAGTTTCTCTAGTTGGTTATATTTAAATCACATAGACAGCATAAATTAAAACTGAAAACTTGCATAAGGGAAGCCCTGTGGTTACAGATTTACTCTATGGGGGACATCCTAATTTATTTTAGGAAAGGATTTGTTCCTGTCCTTCATAGCTTGCCTTTCAGCCTACTGCTTTTCTGGGAAACTTCCATTCGCCACACACAGTTAACCATGGGGGCAGCTATCACTGACACCTGGCCCCAGTTGGGCCAAATTTTGAAACTGAAACAGAGAAGCAGAGGCCAAAGGTGAAACCTGATAGCTGAAGAGATCCCAGCTTTTTGTTGCTGTTTGTTTTGCTTGCTCATTTTGTTTTCTCTGCCCATGTGGATTACAGGACTGGAGACACATGGTTTCCAAAGAGAAAGAAGTGTAAGGAGAACACCTATCAGTGAATAGACCCAGGTGATGAAACTGAAAGGAAGTACTGGTGATTCTTGCATCTATGGCTCTGGTTTTCCCCAAACCCCCAAATCTGTTTTTTTTTTCTTTAGCTCCTTTAGACATTCTAATAACCATATAATAAAATGCCTTTCTGCTAAACTAGTGCAAGTTGGGTTTCTGTCCCTTGCCATTGAGTTAGTCATTCATTTTAAATTATTACAGCACCTTTTCTTTCTCACTGAAGAGACATTGGGAGAGTTTTCCTTTTTTCTCATTCTAGGTTGTACTTTGTCACCTTGCCCAAGAGACTCCTAACATCCCTATGTGTCTTTAAAAATCTCTTTAAAAATAACTCATTCCCTGTTTTCTGTTGCCCCATTTTCCATAAAATAAAGCTCAACACTAGTTCATTGAGTTCCACAGGAAACCGAAACTGAGCCTCCTTCCCTTTTGTCACTCTTCAGTCTCCAAGCGCACTTGCCTCTGGGGATGAGCTGATGTGGACAGAGAGCTGGGTCAAGTGGCACATCTTCTGTTTACATGGACAGAGACCGGACATTAAGAGATCTGGTTCCTAGCCAAATTCAAAGTGTATTCATGTGAATAAGTCCTAATATGTTTATCTGCTGGACTTTGTTGCTTTTTCTTTGTTGCCATTTTCTTTTTCTTAATGGTTCAAGAGTTTGGAAATAGAAGTGCCAACAGCTATCTGAAAAGTATTTTTATGTTGTTTCAAGAGCTGTCCTAGGCAAGTTATTAATGTTCCAATATGTCATTAGTATAAAATTTGTAGCAGTGTTTTGCAGACTGAGTTATTTAAAACAGATAAGCCTCACTTAAAAAAATCTAGAATGTGTGTGGCTTAACATTGCTGTCTCTGATATAATCCAGTTAAGGAGAAATTTTAAATTTGACATGTCTATGAGGGTAAATTTATTTTGGGACTTTTAAATAAATGCAGTTTCACTCCAACATGAAATCAGATATGTTTTTTAGCCTTGAAATAATTAATTTCTCCCTCCAGAATAATAATGCTCACACAGGCCAAAACCTGCTCTATAAATATTAGTTTATTACTTATAGGAATAAGAGTAAGTTATATACTCAGTCTGAAATTTTCACATTTTTTCTTTCTTATCTATATCTATCATTTGTTTAATTCATAACATTTATGTAATGCTTTCTGTGTGTCTGGTATTATGATAAATGCTTTATATATATTAACTAATTCAATCCTTACAACTTTTAGATAAGTAATATTATTACCCCAATAATTGTCCTAAACTGAGGTAAAGAGAATTTAAGTAACTTCCCTCAAATCATGTAGCAAATGCATGGGAGAACCAAAGTTTGACTCTAGAGCCTGTGTTTGTAATCACTGCACAGAAACTATAGAAAATATTTTAAAATGTTAACCAAGTAATAAAAGGTCTTAGATGCTTCTCTGTGCTTCTTCTAATGGCTCTGCAAGTCTTCTCTAATGCAGGACATTTTATGTATGTATGTATCTAGCAGACTCAGGGCATTGCCTGTGTGAAATAAGCTCTAAAAAAGCCCTGTTATTGTTATTTCTCTTTTTTTATGTTTGATTCCCTTAATCAATTATGAAAGCAAACATCTATCAATGTCAATCTAAAAATGATCAGCCTAGGAAGCTACTGATGGATTGGTAACACATGACCTGCTATGGGCTGAATGATGGTGTCCCCTCAAATTTCATGTGTTAGAACCTAATACCCAATGTGATAGTATTAAAAGATGATTAAGTCATGAGGGCTCCACCCTCATGAGTGGGAATAACACCTTCTAAGTGAGGTTGGAGGGCATGCTCCTGCCCCTCCCGCCATGTGAGGAAGCAGCAAGATGCACCATCTTGGAAGCAGCGAGCAGCCCTCACCAGACACCAAATCTGCTGGTACCATGATCTTGGACTTCCCAACCTCCAGAGCTGAGCAATACATTTCTGTTGTTTATAAATTACCCAGTCTAAGGTATTTTTTATAGCAGCCCAGATGGACTAACAGATCACCTAAGATATTATTGGGACACCTTAAAACTAACAATGTCTTACGAAAGAAGAAATGTGACAATTTTGGAAAAGCCAAGGTGGTCAGGGAATACTTACTCTAATAAGTTAAGAGGCTAGAACATTTGTCATACCACTGTGGTTCTTTTCTATGGACACCTGTTTTCAGATGACATAGTATTCAAGCCATGGACATTTTAAAACTTGCCTCCTTAGCCTTTAGAATGGAAATAACTTTATTCGCTTTTCCTTTTTCTTGATGGTTTTTAAATCAAACTCATGAAAATGACTCCTACCTCATTTTAATTTAAAAAAATAAAATCTACTACTCTTTGAGGGCAGAAAGACACCTGGGATCTCTGAAACGAAGCTTTCCCAATTCTTTTGTAATTAAGAAGTTTGGAACCAACCTGAGGCCTTGTGGGAGATGATGATTGGCTGTGAACAACCATGCAAACTCATGGGTCAGGATGAAGACTGAGATTTGCAGCTATGGCTCTAGCTCTGTATTCTTAGACCTGACGCTGATTTCTTAGTTTGGTGCAAAAGTAATTGCAGGTTTTGCCACTGCAGTGACAAAAACCGCAATTACTTTTGCACCAACTTAATATGACTAGAACTGCACCAAGACTCTGTAGTCAGCCTAGGACTCAACTAGCTAGCCTCTAAATTTAGATGTTGCTGAGAAACATAGTAAATGGAAAAGCTACTATCAACCACCTGCAAGAGCGAAAGCCCCATGTGGCTGCACTTAGTGGGTCTGAGGGTGCTGGCATAGGTATAAATAGCACTCATTGCCCTTGTCTGAGTTCAGAGGCTGATTAGGGTTAGATATAGGAGTCAGACAGAATGAGAGCAGAATGCCACTTTTGTTATTTAAAAAGCTTATAAAGCCACATCTTGTGCTATGGACCAAATTGCATGCTCCTTTACCCCAAAATTTTTATGTTGAAGTTCTAGCCCCTGACATCACTATACTTGGAGATAGGGCTTTTAGGAGGTGATTAAGGTTAAAAGAGTTCATAGAGGTGAGATCCTAATCTGATAGAATTGTTGGCTTTGTAAGAAGAGGAAGAAAGATCTCTCTTCTGTCTGTCTCCCTCTCTTCCCACTCATGTGTAAACTGATGGAATGTCACGTGAGGACACAGTGAGAAGGCAACCGCGCAAGTCCTCACCAGAATGTGACCATCCTGGCATCTAGGTCTCAGACTTCTAGCTCCAGAACTGCAAATGATAATTTCTATTTTTCAAGCCATGTAGTATATGGTATTTTGTTACAGCAGCTTGAACTAAGACAGATTTTAGTAGCAGGAAGTAGAGTGCTGCTGCTGTAACAAATACTTACGAATGTGGAAGTGCCATTGAAAGGTGATGGATAGAGTCTGGGGGAGTTGTGATGTGCATGCTGCAGATGCAGACAATAGTGGTGACTCTGGTGAGGGTTCTGAAAGGAAACAGGAGAGCTGGAGAGAAAGCTTCTATCTTCTGAGAGGGAATGTAAATAATTATGAACAGAATATGGGTAAAAACAGGAATGTTAGAGGCCATCTGGTGGGGTCTCAAATGGAAGTGAAAATCACGTTACTGAAAATTGGAGGAAAGATCATCTGTGTTATAAAGGAACAAAGAAATTGGCTGAATTGTATTCTAGTATTTTGTGCAAAGTAGAACTTGTGAGCAATGGAATTGGATATTTAGCTGAGGAGGTTTCTGAGCAAACAATTGAAGGAATGGCATGGTTCCTCCTGATTGCTTACAGTAAAATGAAGATTTGGAAAATTATTAGCCTATCAGTATGGCAAAAAATAGGAAAGCTTGTTCTAAAAAGACCACTAAGGGTGTGGCTAAAAAACATTTGTTAAAGAGATTATGGGTGTAACTCATGGACTTAATCAGCTATCTCAGCAGATGCTGGGAATAGAGATGGGATTATACCAGTGGAAACATTGCCAGTGTAAACTAATGGGAACAGAGAAAGAGGAGGAACAGAATGAAGGAAGCCTGTCAGGTGCTTTGGAGTCTATAAAACAGAACTGTAGGGCTCTTTGGCTGTAAATGTGCACTATTTCTCAAGAAAAGGGAATGATCCTGAAGATGATTCAGTGGTGAGCAGGGCTGCCACTCCCACCACAGGCCCCATCAGGCAGCGCTAATTCCCATTTGGTTTCACAGGGTACAGCTTGTCTGGCTTTAGTGGGTCAGGAATGTCCCTGCTCAGTGCCTTGGGAGGGACCACTCTCCAAGTCATGGAGATGCTGCTGCCACCCCAGTGGGCCTGAGGGCAGGGCATGAAGCTGAGAGGGTTTTTCTCAAACCTTAAAATTAAATGGAGTTTGCCTTGCTAGGCTTTGGGCTTCCTTGGGACCTGTCACCCCTTCCTTCTTTCCTGTTTCTCCCTTTTGGGATGGGAATGTCTATGTTATGCCTGTCCTACCATTGTAATTTGGAAAAATATAACTTTCGTTTTCAAAGGTTAACAGATAGAGATTTAGATGAGACTTTGGACTTTTAGACTTTAGAGTTGATGCTGGAATGAGTTAAGACTTTTGTGTCTGTTTGGATGGAATGAATATATTTTACATGTAAGAAGAACATGAGTGTACAGGGGCCAAGGGCAGAATATTCTGAAGCACTTGTATTTCCTCAAAATTTATATGTGGAAGGCCCAACCCCCAGTATGACTGTGTTTGGATATAGGCCTTTTAGGAGGAAATTAGGGTTACATGAGGTCATAAGAGTGGAGTCCTAATTCTATAAGATTGGAGACATTATAAAAGAAGAAGAAAGAGAGATGTTTCTCTCCACATGTGCCAAGGGAAGGCCATGTGAACACAAAGTCAGAAGGTATCCTTCCGCAAGCCAGGAAGAGAGCCATCACCAGAACTCAACCAAGTTGGCAAGTTGGTCTTGGATTTCCAAGCCTACAGAACTGTGAGAATTACATATCTGTGTTTAGGCCCCCCATCTATGTTATTTTGTTATGGCAGCCTAAGCAGACTGAGACATCTGGCAAAAGAGCTTGTTAATACTCTCCTGAATTTACCCTCAAAATGCAGATCCTGCCCCGCCAAGTTAATATTTGGTGGACAGCTGATATGATTTTGCTGTGTCCCTGCCCAAATCTCATCTTGAACTGTAGTTCCCACAATCCCCATGTGTCATGGGAGGGACCTGGTGGGAGGTAATTGAATCATGGTGGTGGTTACCTCCATGCTATTCTCATGATAGCAAGTAAGTTTTCACAAGAGCTGATGGTTTTGTAAGGGGATTTCCCCCTTTTTCTCAGCAATTCTCCTCCTACCATCATGTGAAGAAGGACATGTTTGCTTTCCCTTGTGCCATGACAGAAAGTTTCCTGAGGCCTCCCCAGCACTGCAGAACTGTGAGTCAGGTAAACCTCTTTGGGTATCTTTACAGCAACTTTGAAACTGTGTAACAGGCAGAGGTTGAAAGAGTTTGGAGGGCTCAGAAGAAGACAGGAAGATGTGAGAACGTTTGGAATTTCCTAAAGACTTGTTGAATGGCCTTGACCAAAATGCTGATAGTGATATGGACAATGATGGACAATGAAGTTCAGGGTGATGTGGTCTCAGATGGAGATGAGAAACTTTTTGGGAACTGGAGTAAAGGTCCCTCTTGTTACACTGTAGCAAAGAGATGGGCAGCATTTTGCCTATGCCCTAGAGATCTATGGAACTTTAAACTTGAGACAGATGATTTAGGGTATCTGGCGGAAGAAGTTTCTAAGCTGCAAAGTGTTCAAGATGCGACTTGGATGCTCTTAAAAGCATCAAGTTTTATGTATTCACAAAGATATGGTTTGGAATTGGAACTTACGTTTAAAAGGAAAGCAGAGCATAAAAGTTCAGAAAATTTGCAGCCTAACAATGTGACAGAAAACAAAAACGTATTTTCTGAGGAGAAATTCAAACTGGCTGCAGAAATTTGCATAAGTAATGAGGAGCTAAATGTTAATCACCAAGACAATGGGGAAAATGTCTTCAGGGCATGTCAGAGCTCTTCATGGCAGTGCCTCCCATCACAGGCCCAAGGGCCTAGGAGGAAAACATGGCTTTATGGGCTGGTCCCAGGGCTTTGCTGCTTTGTGCAGTCTCAGGACTTGGTGCCCTGCATCACAGCCGTGGCTAAAAGGGGCCAACATACAGCTCAGGCCATTGCTTCAGAGGGTGGAAACCCCAAGCCTTGGCAGCTTACACATGGTGTTGGGCCTGCAGATGCACAGAAGTCAAGAATTGAGGTTTGGGAGCCTCCACCTTTATTTCAAGGATGTATGGAAACACCTGAATGTCCAGGCAGAAGTTTGCTGCAGGAGTGGGGCCCTCATGAAGAACCCCTACTAGGACAGTGCAGAAGGAAAATGTGGGTTTGGAGCCCCTACAGAGTCCCCACTGGGGCACTGCCTAGTGGAGCTGTGAGAAGAGGGCCACCATCCTCCAGACCCCAGAATGGTAGACCCACCAACAGCTTGCACCATGCTTCTGGAAAAGCTGCAGACACTCTGTTCTAGCCCGTGAAAACAGCTGGGTGGGAGGCTGTACCCTGCAAAGCCACAGGGGTGGAGCTATGCAAGTTCATGGGAACCTGCCTCTAATGAGCATGACTGGGATGTGAGACATGGAGTCAAAGGAGATGATTTTTGGAGCTTTAAGATTTGGCTGCCCCACTGGATTTTGGACTCTTCTGGGACCTGTAGCCCCTTTGTTTTGGCCAATTTCTTCCATTTGAAATGGGTATTTACCCAATGTCTATACTCCCATTGGGTCTGGGAAGTAACTAACTTGCTTTTGATTTTACAGTCTCATAGGTCAAAGGGACTTGGCTTGTCTCAGATGAGACTTTGGACTTGAACTTTTGGGTTAATGCTGGAATGAGTTAAGACTTTGGGGGACTGTTGGAAAAGCATGATTGTGTTTTGAAATGTGAAGACATGAGATTTGGGAGGAGCCGGGGCAGAATAATTTGGTTTGGCTATGTCTCCACCCAAATCTCATCTTAAATTGTAATCCTCATAATCCCCATGTGTCTAGGGAGAGACCTGGTGGGAGGTGATTGGATCATGGGGGTGGTTGCCCCCATGCTGTTTGATTGGTTTGGCTGTGTCCCCACCCAAATCTCATCTTGAATTGTAGTTTCCATAATCCCCACATGTTGTGGGAGAGACCCAGTGGGAGGTAATTGAATTGTGGGAGCAGTTACCCTCATTTGTTCTCATGATGATGAGTGAATTCTCATGAGATCTGATGGTTTTATAAGGGGTTTTTCCCCCTTTGCTCAGTACTTCTCCTTTTTGCTGACATGTGAAGAAGGACGTGTTTGCTTCCCCTTCCACCATGATTGTAAGTTTCCTGTGGTCTCCCCAGCCATGTGGAAATCTGAGTCAATTAAACTTCTTTCCTTTATAAATTACCCAGTCTCAGGCAGTTCTTTATAGCAGTGTGAAAACAGACTAATACTACGGCATATAAGAGAGCTGGCCTTATTAAGCTGACTCCCTCCAAAAAAAGTGTGAGGATGGGCATGACTCATTTTTTATCCTAACCAATATATTGGGTGAGCCGTCTCTGCTTTTCTGGACAGAAACGGGGCAAGAGACCCATGTTCTGGGCTCCTCTCGACCTGAAACCCCATTACAAATAATAGTAAGAAGTTATAGAAATGTATTTCTTTTCCCAATTTTCTATTGTGGTAAAATACACATAAAATTCATCATCTTAACCATTCTTAAGTCTATAGTGAGTGGTGTTAAATATATTCATCACATTCTACAGTCACCACCACTATCCCTCTCCACAATTCTATCTTGTAAGCCTGAAACTTCATGCCCATTAAGTAATAATTCCCCATCCCCTTCCTCAGTCCCTGGCAACAACCATTCTACTTCCTGTATCTCTGATTTTGACTATTTAGGTACCTCACATTTATCTTTTTGTGACTGCTTTATTTCACTTTGCATAATGTCCTCAAGGTTCATTTATGTTTTAGCCTGTGCCAGACTTTCCTTCATTTTTAAGACTGAATAATTTGCCATTGTGTGGTCCACACTTTGCTTATCCATTTATCCATTGATGGATGCTTGGATTGCCTCCATGTTTTAGCTGTTGTTAAGAATGCTGCTATAAACATAAGTGTAGAAATATCTCCTAGAGACCCTACGTTCAGTTCTTTTGCATATATACCCAGAGGTGAAATTGCTGGATAATATGATAATTTTGTTTTTAATTTTTTGAAAAAAATTCATACTGTTTTCATAGCAGCTGCACCATTTTACATTCCCACCAACAATGAACAAAAGTTTAACTTTCTCCACAGCCTCACTGACACTTTTTATTTTGTTTTTTTAATAGTCATGTCCTAATGAGTGTGAGATGGCATCTCCTTGTAGTTTTGATTTGCATTTTACAAATGATGAGTGATGTTGAGCATCTTTTCTTTATTTCTTTTTTTTTTTTTTTTTTTTTTTGAGATGGAGTTTTGCTCTTGTTGCCCAGGCTGGAGTGCAATGGTGCAATCTCGGCTCACCACAATCTCCACCTCCCAGGTTCAAGTGATTCTCCTGCCTCAGCCTCCCAAGTAGCTGGGATTACAGGCATGCGCCCCCACACCCAGCTAATTTTGTATTTTTAGTAGAGATGGGGTTTCACCATGTTGGTCAGGCTGCTCTTGAACTCCTGACCTCAGGTGATCTGCCCACCTTGGCCTCCCAAAGTGTGCTGGGATTACAGGCATGCGCCCCCACACCCAGCTAATTTTGTATTTTTAGTAGAGATGGGGTTTCACCATGTTGGTCAGGCTGGTCTTGAACTCCTGACCTCAGGTGATCTGCCCACCTTGGCCTCCCAAAGTGTGCTGGGATTACAGGCATGGGCCACCGTGCCTGGCCGAGCATCTTTTCATGTGCTTCTTGCGCATTTGTATATCTTCTTTGGAGGAATGTCTATTCAAGTCTCTTGTCCATTGTTTAAATTGGGCTGTTTGATTATGTTGTTTAGTTTTAGGGCTCCTCTATATATCCTGGATATTAATTCTTTGTCAGACATCCCTTGTTAGAAGTGGAGAGTAGGCTGTTACCAGACACCAAATTTGCTTCTTGTCAGGTAGATGATTTGCAAATATTTTCTTAAATTCTGTGGATGCTATTTCACTCTTTTAATAGTACCTTTTTATGCACAAACTTAAAAAATTTTTCCACTTGTCTATTTTTTCTCTGATTGCCTGGGCCTTTGTTGTCATATCCAATAGATCATTGCCAACCCTAATTCTGGAAGCTGTTTGTCTATATTTTATTCTAAAATTTTATTATTTTGGATCTCACATTTACGTCTTTGATGCATTTTGAGGTAGTTTTTCTCTGTGCTGTAAGGAAAGGATCCAGCTTCATTCTTTTGCGTGTGGATGTCTATTTTTCCAAGCACCATTTGTTGTAAAGGTTGTCTTTTCTCCATTGAATGGTCTTGGAGCCCTTCTCAAAAATAATTTGACCCATATATGTGAAAGTTTACCTTTGGGCCTTCTATTCTATCCCATTTGTCTATAGGTCGATCTTTATGCCAGTGACATCTTGTTTTGATTATTGAAGATATGTATTAATAGTAAGTTTTGAAATCAGAAAGTGTGAATCCTCCAGTTTTGTTCTTCCTTTTCAAGATTGTTTTTACTATTCAGAGTTTCATATGAATTTCAAAATGGGTTGTTCTACTTCTGTAAAAAATGTCATTGGGATTTTGATAGGGATCATATTGAATCTGTAGATCACTGTGGGTAATATAGACTTTTTAGTGATATTAAGTATTCCAATTTATGAACATGGGAAGTGTTTTAATGAATGTCTTTCGTTTCCTTCAGCAATGTTTTGTAGTTTTCATTGTACAATTTAATTTCATCACCTTGGTTAATTCCTAAGTATTTTATTATTTTGATGCTATTTTAAATGGAATTGTTTTAATAATTTCCTTTTTAGAGTTTCAGATTGCTCATTGTTAGTTTATAGAAATGCAACTGGATTTTGCATGTTGACTTTATATCATGCTATTTTGCTGATTTTATTAATTCTAACAGGCTTTTTGTGAGTGGAATGTGTAGGGTTTTCTATCTGTAAGATCATATAATCTGTGAACAGAAATAATTTTATTTCCTTTTCAATTTGGGTACTTTTAATTTATTTTGCATGCCCAAATGCTCTGGCTTGAACTTTGATACCATTCTAAATATAAATGATGAAAGCGGGCATCCTTGCCTTGTGCCTGATCTTAAAGGAAAAGCTTTTAGTCTTTCACCATCGAGTATAATGACCTGTGGTTGGTTTTTCATATGTGATGCTATGGTTTGAATGTCTGTCTCCTCCAAAACTTACATTAAAATATAATTGTGATTTTGACAGTATTAAGAGGTGGGACCTTTAAGAAGTGCCTAGCTTATGAGAGCTTCATCCGTATGGGTGAGATTGGTGGCTGATATCAAAGGGCAAGTTTGACACCCCCCTCTGCCCTTTTGGCTATTCCACTCTTCTTCTTCCATGTAAGGAATAGTATTCCTCCCCTTTGGAAGTTGTAGTTTTCAAGATGCCATCTTAGAAATGGAAACCAGGCTCTTAGTGGGTACCAACTTGCTAACAGCTTGATCTTGGAATTCCTATCTCCAGAACGATGAGACATACTTTTTTTGTTGTTGGTTGTTTGCTTGTTTATAAGTTACCCAGTCTGGTAGTCTTTTATAGCAGCACAAAATGAAGTAATATATACAGCTTTTATTGTGTTGATGTAACTTCCTTCTATTCTTAGTTTGTTGGGGGTTTTTTAAATTATGAAAATGTGTTGAATTTGTCAAATGCTTTTTCTGCATAAATTGAGATGATCATGTGGGTTTTGTATCATTAATTTTATTAATGACATTTATTGCATTGATCAATTTTTGTTGAACCATCTTTGGATTCCAGGAATAAATTCCAATTTGTCTTGATGCATAATCATTTTAATATGCTGCTGAATTCCATTTGCTAGTATTTTGTTGAGGATTTATACATCAGTGTTCATAAGGAATATGGGTCTGTTTTCTTGTGGAATCTTATTTGGCCTTGGTATTGGGGGAATGAGATAGGAAATGTTTCTTTCTCCTCAGTTTTTTGTAAAAGTTTCAGAAAAAATGGTGTTAATTCTTCTTCAGATATTTGGTAGAATTCACTGGCAAAGCCATCGAGTCTAGGATCTACTCTTTCTTTCTTTCTTTCTTTCTCTCTCTCTCTCCCCCCTCTCCTCCCTCCCTCTCTCTGTCTCCTTCCTTCCTTCCTTGAGACAGTCTCTCTCTGTTGCCCAGGCTGGAGTGCAGTGGCACAATCTCAGCTTACTGCAGCCTCCACCTCCCAGGTTCAAGCGATTCTCCTTCCTCAGCCTCTCGAGTAGCTGGGATTACAGGCACGTGCCACTACACCTGGCTAATTTTTAGTAAAGATGGGGGTTCACCATGTTGGCCAGGTTGGTCTCAAACTCCTGACCTCAGGTGACCACCTCGGCCTCCCAAAGTGCTGAGATTACAGGTGTGAGCCATCGTGCCCAGCCTAAGATTTTTCTTTATCAGGAGTTTTTTTTTTTTGGTTACTGATTCAATTTCCTCACCAGTTATAGGTCTATTCAAATTTTGTGATTCAGTCTTGGTAAGTTTTGTGATTCTGGGAATGTGTACATTTTATCTAGGGTATCCAATATGTTGGCATACAATTGTTAATAGTACTTTCTTACAATGATTTTATTTCTGAAGAATTAGTAGTAATGTCCATAACTTTCATTTCTGATTTGAGTAATTACTCAAATTACTCACTTATAAATAAGACTCACTTATTTATTTTTCTTAGTCCATATAGTTAGAGGTTTCTTAATTTCGTTTTTCTTTTCATTGAATCATTTTTTTGTTTCCTTGTTTTTCTCTGTTTTTCTTTTCTCCATTTTGTTTATTTTTGCTCTGATCTTTCTTATTTACTTCCTCTGCTAGCTTTGTGATAACACTTGTTGTTCTTTCTCTACTTTGCAAAGTTGTAAAGTTAGGTTGCTGATTTGGCTCTTCTTGTTTTGTTTTTTTTTTAATACAAGCATTTATAGCTATAAATTCCCCCCTTAACATTGCTCTTGCTGTGTCACAGATTTTTTGCATGGTGTGTTATTTTTATTCATCTCTAAGTATTTTCTGATTTTCTTATTATTTCTTCTTTGATCCCTTGGTAGTTTGAGTGTGTCATTTAATTTCCACAGTTTTTGACTTTTCAGGTTTAACTTATATTATCAATTTCTAAATTCATCCTATATGGTCAGAGAAGATACTGTGTATGATGTTTATCTTTTTAAATCTATTGAGATTTAATTTGTGGCTTAACATATGATCTATTTTGGGAAAATGTCCCATGTGCACTTGAGAAGAAGATGTATGCTGTTCTTGTTTGGTAAAGTGTTTAGCAGATCTACTTGGTTTATCATGTTGTGTAAATTCTCTATGTCCTTACCTATGTTCTGTCTGGTTGTCCTATCCATTATTAGAAGAGGAGTATTGAGACCTCCAGCTATTATTGTAAAACTGTTTATTTCTTCCTTAAATTCTACTAGTTTTTGCTTCATATATTTTGATGGTCTGTTATTAGGTATGTAAATGTTTATAATATTTATATTTCTTTGTATTATAGCTTTTATTAATCTGTAATGTCCTATTTTGTTTCTTTTAGCCTTTTTGACTTAAAGCTTTTTTTTTTCTGTTATTGGTGTATCTACCCCTGCTTTCTTTTGATCACCATTCCATTCAAAAGGAATGCATACGACAGCTTATGCAACTGACACTTGAACAACATGGGTTCAAACTGTGCAGGTCTGCTTGTATGTGGATTTCTTTAACCAATGCAAATAAAAATTGCAGTATTTATGGGATGTAAAACTCGCATATATGGAAGGCCAAGTTTTTGTATATGCAGGCTTTACAGGGCCAACTATGGGACTTGAGTATGTGCAAATTTTATTTTATATGGGAGTTCCTGGAACTAATACCCCAAGTATATTGAGAGGCAACTATAGTTGAATTATGTGTTTTTAATCCATTCTGTCAATCTGCCTTCTCATTGGAGAATTTAATCCATTTACATTTAAACTAATTACTGATGACGAGGGACTTAACTACTGTCATGTTTCTGTTTGTTTTCAATATACCTGATAGTTTTTTGTCCCTTATTTTCTGCATTACTGCCTTCTCTTCTGTTAAGTAAATTTTTTAGGTAAATGCTTCAGTTTCTTTCTCAATTTCTTTTATGTATATTTTATAGCTGTTTTCTTTGTGGCTACCATGGGAATTACATGTAGTATTCTAAAGTTATAACACTCTAGTTTGAATTTATACCAGTGAATTTCAGTAACACAAAAAATTATGTTTCTTTACATCTCTGTCCCCACCCATCAGTTGTTGATATCACAAAATTACATTTTTACATATTTTGTTCTCCAAAACATAAAGTAGTGATTCTTTTAAATGCATTAGTGTCTTCAATTATTTAGAAAATAAAATGTGGGGTTACAAACCAAAGTTATGATAATACTAGCTTTTAGACTAATAGTTTTTTTAATGTTTTAGTCTCTTAAATCATGTGGAAAACAAAAAGTGGAGTTATACAGTGTTGCTATAATAATACTAGCTTTTATAACTGCCCATGTACTTACCTTTATTAAGGTCTTTATTTTTTCATACACCTTCAAATTCCTGTCTAGGGTCCTTTTATTTCACCTTGTGGGGCTCCCGTACACATTTCTGGCAGGGCAGGTCTAGTGGTAACAAACTTCCTCAGCTTCATTTATCTGGGAATGTCTTAATTTTTCCCTTACTTTTGAAGGGCAACTTTGCTGGTATAAGATTCTTGGTTGAGAGTTTTTTGGGGGTTTTTTTGTTTGAGTTTTATTTTAGCCCAGGGAAAAAGACCATTGCCTTGTGGTCTGCAAAGTTTATTATGAGAAATCTGCTGATAATCTCAGAGAATCCTTTGTGTGTGATAAGACTTTTCTCTTGTTCCTTCCAGAATTCTCTCTTTGCCTTTGGCCTTTGAAAGTTTGATGATGATGTGTCTCAGTGTGGGACTTTTTGAGTTCCTCTTAGTTGGAATTTATTGAACTTCTTGGATATACATTTATATGTATACATTTATATACATATATAAATGTATATATATACATTTATAGCCATTTCATAAAATCAAATTTGGGAGTTTTCAACTGTTATTTCTTCTCCTGCAATGCATAAGTTGGTCCCTTTGATGGTGTCCCACATTCCCTTTAGGCTCTGTTCACTTTTTTCAGTGCTTTTTTTCTTTCTGTGCCTCAGACTTGATAGTTTCTATTTTTTCTTCACCTGCTCAAACCTGCCTTTGAATTCCTCTAGTAAATACTTTATTTCAATTATTTTATATTTTTAGCTTGAAAATTTTTTTGTTTCGTTTTAGGTTCTCTTTTTATTGATATTTCCATTTTGTTCATACATAATTTTCCTCACTTTATCCACATCTCTCTTAATTGTTTCAGTAATTGAAAACAATTGTTTTAAAGTCGTTGTGCTGTAGAAGTGCCATCAGATTGCTTTCAGAGGCAATTTCTATTAATTTGTTTATCTTTTTCCTCTGAATAGGCCATACTTTCCTATTTCTTTGAATGCCTTGTGATCTTTTAATTGAAAACTTGACAGTTGAATCTAGTATTGTGATAATTCTGAAGTAAAGTTCTCCCCCTTCTCCTGGGTTTGATTTTTTTTGTCATTGTTTTGTTTATTTTTGTTTATTTTGATTGTTGTAGCTTGACTCTGTGCCAAGGACCAGCCTCAGATATAAACTTCAAATCTTCTTAGTTCTTTTTTTGAGCCTTTCCTGTGGTATGCACAGTCACTTTCTTTTGTTTTCTTTTCCTTTGTTTCTTTTTTTTTTTTTTGAGACAGGGTCTTGCTCTGTCACCCAGGCTGGAGGGCAGTGGCATGATCTTGGCTCACTGGAATCTCCCCCTCCTGGGTTCAAGAAAGTCTCATGCCTCAGCCTCCTGAGCAGCTGGGATTACAGGTGCCTGCCACAACACAGCTCATTTTTGTGTTTAGTAGAGATAGGGTTTCACCACATTGGTCAGGCTGGCCTTGAACTCCTGACCTCAAGTGATCCACCCACCTTGGACTCCACAGTCACTTTCTAATTTTTCCCAAGTACATAGTTGTTTTTGAATGTCTGGCTCCTATACATTTTTTACTGTCTGGCTCCTATAGGGGGAAGAGAAAATTGAAGGAGGGTCAAGGGCGCTGACTCCTTCAATGCCCTGGAAGTTGCTTCTCCTGGAGGAAAGGGGCTTGTAGCCATGTGGGAACAGTAACAATGGCTGCTCGCCTATTTGCACCCTCTGTAAGAAGAAGCATCCATCGCTGATCAGAGAACAGGTCCCTGACATTTGGAGGATGGGTGCTTTCTGCCCATCCTGGGTTCTGCAGGCCCTATGGAGACCACTTTTGAAAGGTGTGCATGAGGGTGGGGTCAGGGAGGTGGAGCTGCTAATGTGCCAGAATCTGAAGTTGACAAAAATTAACCACAGTTTATAGTTCAAGTCTTCCTCTGGAAGTTGCAAGCCTTCAACAGACTCCATAAATTGAAAGTACTGGAAGTACGTACATCAGAGTTTGCCAGTACAGTTGCTATCTGGGTGGGGTGGATTCCTGGCACCACCACCACCTCCTCCTCCTCCTCCTCCTCCTCCTCCTCCTCCGTCAGGAGTGCTCTCCTGCGGCCAGCTCCTCAGCTCTGCCTGGAAGGAGGTGTGTAGGCGCTAACCAGGATGTTCCATGCCCTTTTGTGCACCATAGAGGGATCGGCTCTGACCAGGGCACCTAAAATTATTAAAACAGCAGTGAAATGTAGTTTGAATTAATTAATCATCAGCATAATATCTGTTGTATATATAGATTCTACTATGTTAATGTATTTTACTCGATGTTCCAGAACATTAAAAATAAGGAAAATAACACACTTTGGGCTTATTTTCTTATAGAGTTATCAATTAATAAAAGGCGATTGGAATTACATGGTATTTTATTTTCAATTACAGCTTGCCACAGCTACCTTGGATGGTAAACTCCAGCTCTTTCTAGCTGAGTAACCACTGACCTGTGAGCTGGGTCCAGGAATGCTGTGAGGAACAACTTAAAAGTAAGAAGTAGTGGTTCATCCATCAGGGGGCCAGAAGCAGCAACTGTTTTTCATATTTTGAGACTTGCCTCAGATTTCCCCCGTTTGCAAGCTCCTCCCCTCTGTGTGTGCCATGTCAGAGTTTTATGTCTTTCTGCTCCTCAAAAGGGATCCCCTTCATTGGGAAAATGGAAATGGCGTCCAGTACTTCTGCACAGAATTTGGTAAAGTTAAAACAAAATATCTTTCAATAAAACATAATATAGTATTTGTTTGATAATTAGAGTTGGAAGAAAAAAGAGAGAATTTCTTTTGGGCAGTGAAAATAAAGCAGTTAACAGTCCTAACTGGCTCTGGTCTTCTGATTAGTCGGCCCATGGCTCTGCATGGTGAGCGTGGGTTCTGTGTGGTGAGCGTGGCCTCTGCACATGGCTCTGCATGGTGAGTGTGGCCTCTTCCCGTGGGTTCTGCGTGGTGAGCCTGGCCTCTTCCCTAGGTTCTGCATGGTTAGTGTGGCCTCTGCTCGTGGGTTCTGCATGGTGAGGCCTCTGCCCATGGGTTCCACGTGCCGAGCATGGTCTCTGACTGTGGGTTCTGCTTGGTGAGTGTGGCCTCTGCCTGTGGGTTCTGCGTGGTGAGCGTGGCCTCTGACCATGAGTTCTGTGTGGTAAGCGTGACCTCTGCCTGTGGGTTCTGTGTCGTGAGCATGGGCTGTGTCCGTGGGTTCTGTGTGGTGAGTATGGGCTCTGCACATGGGTTCTGTGTGGTGACCGTGGTCTCTGCCCGTGGGTTCTGTGTGGTGACCGTGGCCTCTGCCCATGGGTTCTGCATGGTGAGCATGGCCTCTGTCCCAGGACCTTTGTCTCTGTGCACAGCATGGCTTCTGGGCCCTCCTCCCACAGTTGATGATTGAACAACTGAGGCAGGGCTCCAGAGGCTGCCTGTCCTGGGAATTGACTCTGCATGTATCAGACTCCTAAGATCCCAGGACCCCACGGTTATAAGATCCTAGAAGAATGAGGATGCTTCCAAGGCAATTCAAGATTCCAGATAACCTCAGCAGCCTGTGATGCCCCATGTGAGGACTCCTGGGACCAGCCGGAATGCCCTGATCTAGAGTGGTCTCTTTTATCCGTGAAACCAGGGAGCTGGGGGCTTTCATCCCACCCAGAGCTTCACCAGCCACCACTTGTCTCTATTTTCACAAGAGACGCAGTGTGCTGTGACCTCACCTTCTAAGAAATGTCACAGGGTTGACTTCCTGGGATCCTTACTGGAACTTTCACACATCGACCATAAATGTGCCTGCATTTTTCTCGTAATATTTTTGAGAAGCAAAAGTTTAGAATAACTCATTTTTATTTTTCCAATACTTAGAGTTACCTAAACATTTTAAAATATATTGTTTCCCCTTGGTTAAAATGAAATTTATTTAAAACTAGCTAAAAATAGATAAATAAAGCAGATGTAGAAAGCCCAGAGTCTTATTTAATATTCTTAATTTCAGTAAATCATTTAAAATTTTGACATACTGTTTCTGACACATATTGCTATGGTTTTTATATAAATTTTTCCAATGTCAAATGTGACTTTAAGAAAAAGAAATATAAAATTATTTAATCTAAATAATAATTGCTGAATAAATGTCAAAGAAGAAAACTCTAATATGTAAAATACCAAATCTATTAGAGACCTCTATCAGGGGAAGACTTAGGACAAAACAAACTTGGCAAAGCCACTGCTAGGAAGAGAGCTGTGTCAGGTTGCAGCATAAGAATAGCAGTATAAGTCCTCTGCCCATGAAGACTTTCTAGGAAGACAGCAGCCAGGAAAGCAGAGAACAAAGCCAGGGGGCATGGAGGGCAGGGCTCTGGTGTGGCCTCTGGCCTGGGGTGAAGGACTTGGCCACTGTAGACTCAAGAGGCTTCCCTGCCTGGTTCCGATCAGCAGTGCTCCCCACACCACTCAGAGGAGGAGTAGGTGGTGCTGTGAGTGGATGCCTTAGAGATCTGCCTTTCTAATGGTGGGATGTATCATGTTTATTTTTTATCTGTACTATTCTATCCATAATGAAATGTTCTGAAGTAGTGAACAGTGTGTTGTAACGTAAAACTGGTTGGTTGCTCTGCCTTCATCAAAAGGTAGTAATAAAAATAACATGTTTATGTAGAGCTTTTTAGTTTTCACTTGATTCCAATTCATCGTCTCATTGTTCTAATAGACCTGTGTGTTTGATAGGCATTGTTGTTATTCTTAGCCTCACTTTCCAAATACTTATCAAGAGCTGTGCCACAGAGAGAAGCCATGACATTCTGTCTTGGAAAATCCATTTAAAGGCATACTGCTCCCGTGCAAAGTCTGTCGACTTGATCAGGCTGAGAGGCCCTGGCCTTTTCCAAGGTCTGTGTGACGAGGACTGAGCCAGGCTTTCCAGCTGCACCTCACGCAGGACAGAGCAGCCAGGGTGTCCGGGAGGGCTCAGCTGCAGGCCAGGGCGCTCAGGTCTCAAGGAAAGTCCAGGTTCAGACACTAGGCCGGGTCGCCTGGTACCAGAGCCCGCAGTCTTTGCTCACCCATGCCCCAGGACAGCTTTCTTGATCTGTGGTGGTCCTGCTTCACCAACCGAGTGGACACAGGCTGGTGAGGAGCCCACGGCTGGGCACACACCTGTGGACAAGTGCTGTCCACCTGCAGCCCTGGCAGCCCAGCCATGGATGTGCAGGGGAGGAAGGATGAGCCCCGGCTCTGTCTAGCCTGCTGTCTCCGTGATTACAGGCTGTGAAGATTCCTTCTGGTGCTTGCGTGATAAGATGATTCATATCATGTGGCACATGTCATGGGGCTTGCACAACTTTGGCAAGTCCATGTTCTTTAGACAACAAAGCAAGAATGTGATCGTGGTCCCAAGTCTGGCCACCAAGGGGGGTGGTCTGAACATGCTGGAATAAACAATATCTGTTCGTTTTTGACATTCTGTTTAAGGCATTCTTTGCAGATGTGGGAGCTCATTCTTTTTCCTTAGCTTAAAGAAAACTGTGTGTATTTCAGACTTATTGAAGGAGGACGCCTGGGTGTTTTCAGAGTAAAGGTGCTGTTATCACTGTTTGGCAAATGATTGGCTACTTAATGGAGAAAAAGATAACCTGTGTGAGTCATGTACCCACATGCAGGTCAAGCAGCCTGGAGGAACCAGGTGGCAGCACCAACTCACCGTTTGACAGGACCACCAAGAAATCTTTCTCAGATACCTAGCAGATATCTCCGTGGTGATAAGACTAGACTGAGCCATACCCAATGACCAACATGCAAATGGTTTTGAATAGCAATTTCATATAGCTCACACAAATATGTTTTTCCAAAAAGGGAGCAGAATATAAAATCCTGCCTCCTCTCTTTTATTTCTCTCATTTCTTTTCTCCTTTCTGACAAAAATTTATTTAGTGCCAACTTTGATTCAGGTCGTCATTAGGAATAATGTAATCAATTTCTTTTTTTCTGTATGTTCCCAACTTAATTTTATTTTTACTGTTATTGTAGCATTAACATACTCTCAGAACACACTGCAGCTGCCAACCCAAAAGAGATGGTTCATGAAAGTATTGTGCACCATGGAGAGCTAATCCAAATTTTATTTTTTTGTCTGAGATAGTTCTCCAGTGGACAGCTGACAGTTAATGTTGGTGATCTGCTTTGTGTTTAGGTTATAAGTCCCTTGGGGTGTGAAATTACCTTAAGCTATGAAATTATCTTACATTTAATGAGCCCAAATTCTTACTAATCTGTATCATATTCAGTAACGTATTTGGACTTTTCAACAGAGAATTTAAGAAATGATACAATTTAATGCCTATTTTTGTCACATAAGAGGCCAAAGATTCCAGATGGTTAACATTTTAATTGAAGTTAACATGGAAGATAAATGAAACAAGCTTGACTGGTCAGTAGAAATTAGGTTCTCTGCAATTTTGAAGGTGAAGAGAAAATTGAACTGTCACTAACATGAGGACTTCAAAAGGAATAGTGGGACAACCCAGGAGAGAAAGCGTGGGACTCCCAGAGATGGAGGCTGAGGCAATGTGTCCCAGCATGTGAGCGGCAGGCTTGGATGTGGATTCCCTCCATGTAGCAACAGCACGAACCAGCCCTAGACTTACTCTTTTTTTTTTCCCAACGGATGACCTGGACATTCTGAAGTTGCATTAATAGCAAGTTTATATTCCTAATATAAATACATCTCCTCTGAGTCTTGGAAAATGGGATCAACTTAATTGTCTCCACATGTATGCTCTGGGGAGCCTGGTCCTCACTGAACCCCAGTTACAAAACCTACAGCAAATTTTTGTCCAGATCACTGTCCATCCAGCTTGCCGTGTTCTGGAGGAAGATGTTTTGTTTTATAGTTTGTGCTATAGTCATGAGAACAAGCAGCTTGTGTTCTATATCTTCTTACTTTTTGAAGCAAGTGTGCTGGGTACTGTTCACGCTGATCAGCCCTAGGCCTGGGGGCCGTGCCCTTGCAGCCACTCTGAAGCCAGTGCCCAGCCTTGTGCCTGGGAGACCAGGGAGGCTGGGGAGGGAGGCCGGGGAAGCTGACTGCACGGCAGCTGAGGTCACAGCTGCTTGTGGAGAGAAGCTTCAAGTTGACATCACTGTGAGCTAAAACCGTGGCTACCCTCCGGATAACAAAGCAAGCTATTGGCAGGAAGAAAGGGAAAATTACGAAAATTAAACAAGGCAAGCATTAATGCCATATTGCCTTTTCTCTCTGAAATGCAAGATTTGGCAAAGCCAATTTCCACATTTGGCCGTGGCCTCTCAGGCTTCTGTGCCATCCCCGTGGAACGTGGTGCTGATCCTGGGTCTCCCCTCTCCAGCCCTGGCTTTGTCCACTTTGCCCCTCCTGGGCTCCGCCTTGCCCTCCTCCTGCGGCTGCCATGCCCGTCCTGAACTCAGCTCCTCTCTGACCCCACGCACGGCTCCTCTCTGACCCCACGCACGGCTCCTCTCTGACCCCACGCACGGCTCCTCTCTGACCCCACGCACGGCTCCTCTCTGACCCCACGTCCGGGGCTGCGTCCCGCCTCGGCTGCTCTCACTGCAGCCGTTTCTTCACAGGGTGATCCTCACAGAAACACTCAAAGCCTTCTGTTACGTACAAAGGACCGCGTGTCAGTAATCTACAGCCATTTACCAGTTACCAAGAAAACACGGACGTTTCCACTAAAAATCGCAAACGTTTCTTTCAAGCAAGGAGCGCCCTGCGCCAGAGGCTGTGGGAGGAGTGAGGAGTCTGGGTTCGTTCCAGCCGCAGTGAGTAAGGCGTGGGTGACTCCGAGCATTGCAGAGGCATGAGGAAACGAAAACAAAACCTGCCGAAGTGGGGCCTTACTGACTTATCTTCCACTGTGAAATAAATAAAATAATGTTTTTCTTTCAAAGATGTGGAACAAATCCATGCAGTTTGCTGTGGTTGTTTTAAAACAAACTAGAATTTTAAAAACATTTTGGAATAGCTAAGTTGACCATCTTGTCTCCATAAATGGAGAAAAATATTTTGCTCTTCAAAAGACAGCATTAGGAAACAATAAGTAGACCACAGAATGGGAGAAAATATTTACAATATTATATCAGCCAAAAGACGTGTGTTAAGATAATATTTAAAAAAACACAGTTTATAATAAAAAGCAATAAAAAATGAGCAAAATATTTGACTAGGCACTTTAAGAAAGAAGACACATATATGACAATATGAAAGAAAAAATTTCTCAGTATTATTCCTCATTAGGAAAATGCAAATTAAAACCAAAACGAGATGTCTCTACACATTCACTAGAACAATATCAATAACTTAAACATATTGACAATACCAAACGTTGACAAGGATGTGGTTCAGTGGAAACTTTTAAATTCTGCTGACAGAGTGTAAAACGGTATAGTTTGGAAATATGTTCGGGAGTTTCTGAAAAAGTTAAACATACATTTACTCATGTCTAAGCAATTCAACTTCTAGGTACTTATCTATGAGAAATGAATATACATGTCCACAAACACCTTTGTAAACCAAAAAGTATCTGAGACAAGTCTCAATAAATTTAGAAAGTTATTTTGCCAAGGTTGAGGACGTGCCGTGACACAGCCTCAGGAGGTCCTGGTGATGGTGGTCGGGGAACAGCTTGGTTTTATACATTTTAGGGAGACATGAGACATCAATCATTATATGTATGATGTACATTGGTTCTATCTGGAAAGACAGGACAAGTCAAAGCGCGCAGGGGGCTTCCAGGTTGTAGGTAGATAAGAGACAAATGGCTGCATTCTTTTAAGTTTCTGATTAGCCTTTCACCGAATGCACAATTTACTGGAATAGTTACGTATGCCTTAGTCTGGCTGGGTGAAACAACAGGGCGGAGGAAGCATTCCGATCTGTGTTTGTCTCATGTGAGCGGAGGGATGATTGAGTTCTGTCTGTCCTTGTTCCACAAGGAAGTTCCTTGTGAGCAAATTGTGAGGGAGGAACAGCGTTTTTATCTTTGTAGCTATCTTATTTAGGAATAGGATGGGAGGCAGCTCCCAGCTTGACTTTCCCCTTTGTTTAGTGATTGATTTATTTTCCTTTCATACCTAATATGAGACTGTTCATAGGAGCTTCATTCACAGCAGGCGGAAGCACTCATCTGGTGTCTATCCAGTGTGGATAGATGGTGGTGTTCCATGCAGTAGAATTTTCCTCAGCAACACCAAGGAGCAAACCGCTGATCCTAGCAGAGACACGCTGGATCTCGGGACCGCTACGCTGAGTGGAAGACACCAGATGGAAAAGGGTGCCTGCTCTGTGACCCAGATTCTATGAAGTCTCTAGACTCACTCAAACCACCTCTGACTAAAGAAGCCAGACCCAGTGTACTCTGGGGCCTGCCTGGATGGGGCAGAGACGTTCTGTGGGGTGATGGGTGAGCTCTGTCATCCTGGGGGGCTCCCTGAGCACGTGCCATGTATGTGAATGATATCTCAATACATTTCCCTTAAACGGGAGAGGCACACCCTGTCTGCACATTTCCAGCAGTGGTGGTTGGGTGAGGGCCGTGACAGGCAGCTCAGCTGTAGAACTGTGGCCTCGCTCCTGTGCAATTCCGTTCATTTACTCATTCAACAGTATCTTTAGAGCAGCCACTGAGTTCCAGGCTCCGTCTGGCACTTGGGAAGCAGCAGTGAACAAAGGAATGAAACCCGGAGCTGGCATTCCCGCGAGTCTGCAGAGGCAGCTTCCTCCAGGGCTCCCTGCTGCCTGGGGCTGCAGCCTCCTCTCTCCAGGGGATTTGGCACCACCAAAGCTCCCCGCTGGCAGCTGTCGGACTCCTTCATGCAGAGCAGAGCGGTGCCCATGACGCTGTTGCTCCCCAGTCTTCGTAATGATGATGTAGTTTCCTTAAAGTCCTAGACTCAAAAGTGGGAAAGGGTCAGAGGCCATATCTCTAATTTCATTGGTATAATTGCAAAAGAATAGATTTTGGTGAGTGTGACTTCTGGAAGAAAGGTAATAAATTAAAATATACAAAGAAAATTTTAAAATATTGAGTAATTATTCACCCCAAATAGTCAAGCACCATATTAAGCTTCTTAAATTATGGTGCTGGCTTCTTTCTCGCTCTGTTGCTCAAATATTGTGGTAGTTTAGTGTGCATGGGCTCTCCCTTCTGTATTTCTCGTCAGAAGGCCTAGTTAGTTTCCACGATGGTTATGGACATACGCTTTGGTGTGACTGTGTTCCCTGCATTCGGAAATGCCTTCCTAGGTCGGGATGCTCACCTTCCACCACATGCTCCCCAGGACCTTGCTCCTCCTGCCGGATTTGAAAACTGGTCCGCATCCCTCTCCTATCCTTCTTTCTCATAGCTTCTGCCTTTGACACTAAGAGGGTGGCCAAATGACCTCCAGGCAAGAGATGGTGGGGCTGGGGCAGGCAGGGGAAAGGACTGCAGTCCCGGTGCCCACACGGCTGCTCAGGCAGGCCCCAGGATGAGCCTGCAGAGTCAGCATGCTAAGGCCCTCTGCTTGCCTAGGGTCGACGTGTTCCCCTTCCCACGTTGGAGGCATGTGATCCTGTCTGCTGCACTATGTGAAAGAAAACACCACTCGTTGCACAATTTTCCTTTGTCTCCATAGATTCAAACTTTGTGAGATATCTCAGGAATTCCCCTGGAGTTTGTACAAAATCTTTGCATATATTATCATTTACCTTAGGTGAAAACATTTGAAATCAACTATTTCAAGGACTGGGAATAGAGGAGAGAGGTGAATGAGTGGCTCTTACTCATTGGAAAGTTAATGCCATTCAGAATGTAGTAATCCATTTAGAGGGCATAAATCTGAATACGTGCTCTGTAGGCTACATTCTATATGGCAGAGTTTTCATCCCAGACATCCATTGCTCATATTGCCAAAAAACCATGACTGGAGAGAAACTGTCAGCCTTTGAAACAATACACGTCGTAGGCAAGTTTTTTGACTAAACGTAGAAAATATGACCTATGTTTTAGTTCTTATATGCCAGCTAGTGATAATTTTTGGTGTGGGCTGTGATATGATAAGGAAACAGAAAGGGTGGAAGAGATTTTGGAGGGGGAGTTAGAGGCTGCATGCACTCTTGCCGTGATAATGTTGGTGGCTTTGCACAAGGGTGGGCCGGGCTCTGCTCTGGACATGGGTTAGAGCCCTGCAGGTGTCTCCTCACTGTGGGACAAGTGCCCACCTGGATCGGTTCTGCTTATGGCAGAGGACAAAAGTGCAGGATGCCAGCAAACTGCAAGCCCATCTGTAGGCTCTCCCAGTGTCTGCTGTAGTCCAGAGTAGGCCACACGGCCACGTGCAGGTCGGTGAATGGGATGAAGGGGAATGTTCACCTCTTCTCACCAGGGGCACAGCCAAGTCACTCGGCAAAGGGCTCAGGACACAGGTGCAAGGAAGTGTATATTAGGAGCAGCAGTGCAGCCGCCACCGGCTTCCGACAGCTATTTCGGGCTTCTGTGTATTGTGGCACTCAGCTGAGTACAGGTGTGTGCCTTGCACATCATACTCCTTCTCTTTATGCACCTCAACTGTATCTGCACAATAGTAAAAAAATATATATATATACATACACACACACACACACACACACACACATAGAGACAGAGACAGAGGGAGAGAGAGAGAGAGAGAGAAAATCAACAACAGCAAAAACAGCACAGCAACCATACTCCCTGTCCCAAATGGTGGTGATAAGAAAAAAGGAAAAAAATGGCCTAAACGCTACTATGAATGATAAAAGAAATGATCCCACCAATTGCCCGATAGAAAACACATGTAAAATATGGCCAGGCACGGTGGCTCACGCCTGTAATCTCAGCACTTCGGGAGGCTGAGGCAGGCAGATCACCTGAGGTCAGGAGTTTGAAAACATACATGTAAAATATTAGTATATTATAAAATCTTATGCACTTCAACATTATTAATAGTATAACAAAATAGCATTCTTGTATTGAGAGATGTTTGACCTAGGGAAATATTCAAGAGTAGATTTAGTATAAATTCTAAAGTACTAATAGAGTTTTAGTTAGGAACCCCTTACTGTTGTATCATTTTTGGTGAGGGAAGTAAGTATAAAATCCAACTCATTGACTTCCCAACTCTGACCCAGAAATTGATTTAAAAAGTTTTTATTGCAGATGAATTATTCTGTATATAGACATTAGTGATTGTTAATAGCCCCAGTTAGAATCCCTGAAGAGACATTCTTGGAAGAAAATAATTTGTCCTGAAGGAAGTACCAAAACAAACAAGTAAATATCCAAAGTAGTACTTGAATACTTGAGACAAATGAGATTGATGGAAACCCCACCTGTGTCGGTCCACCCACCCTGTGGATGAAGTCAGAGGAGGTGTGATGGCCTCCACTTGAGAGTTTGTTCTGAAAATCCCTAGACTCCAATATTGCACAGTAGTAATCACAGAGTCTCCTTATGTAAAAACAAAACAACACAGAATTACTTGTAAATTGGACTTCCATGCTCAATGATGGGTTGTTGAAATCCAAGTCGTTATTGCTTTGTCCAGTTTTAGCTTCAAGAGAAGAAATGGAATCTGAAGACCACCCAGAGATTTCCCACTAAAATGCCTGATGACCCCAGGAAGTTTTATCAAACATTTAAAAAAATTGAAGAAAAACTTTTTATAAAAGATTTGTTGAGGATAGTATTTTCTTCAAAAACTGGCTTTCTTCCCTGACATATTTAAATTGCGTATAATTGAAATATACTAACATAAAAACACAGCTCATAAGTGTGAAGCAAAAATTCAACTTTGGAAAAATGTTGTTAAATTTGGTTTTCCAGTCATGTGTAGTTAGTGCTATAATATGAATCCTAAAGAAAAAAATTAGTACAGAAATACCTGCATCTTCTTATGGAAAAATTTTATTGTGACTTTGAAATACTTGATTTTTAAAAGTGCCATTAGATTGGAAATCTTTTTGCATTATCATAAGAAATTTCAACTACGTTTTTCAATGAGAGAAAATAAAAAAAGATGTATAGAATGATCACATGCTTCTCAGCCCATTTTAGAAAGACCAACTTTTCCAATTTTTGTGTAATGGCCAGACAGGACATTCAGTCAACCAGGAGAAGTGGCCGCTTTTAATCACTTAAGCGTGAGAGCAGGACTGTTGTCTCTCAATACAAGAATGCTATTTTGTTGTACTATTAATAATGTTAATAACCAAGTGGTTATCACAGTGACTCCTTAAATTCTGAGTCAGGAAATTCTTGTAGCCAATTTACTCATAAAGCTTGGTGTAAAAGAGTTATGTTTGTAAGAACAAGCTAAAATTTTCATTTAAAGTTTGAGTAGACCTTTGCTGGAAGTATTGTTCAAACTCAACCTTTTAAGATCTTTCCTCCTGCTTTGTGTTTTACTTTTCTTTCACGATTACATAACATAAAAAAGGCATTTTCTCCCTCCTGCCCCCTGCAGATGCTCCCAAATCCTGTGGTTTGCCCCGGTGTGCCACAGACTTTTCTGTTTCTGTGTGTGCCATGGTAAGGAAATGTTAAGAAGTCCTGGACCACACCACAGAAGCCAGACCTCGCCTTGTGCCCGGCCCCTGCCCACCTTCCCTGCACCCTGGTCCCGCCTTGTGCCCGGCCCCTGCCCACCTTCCCTGCACCCTGGTCCTGCCGTGGGCTTCCAGAGTCCTTTAACTCAGGACTGGCTTCCCAGAAGTCCCCCCACCCTGCCTCTGACCTGGGTGCTCAGGTGCCCATCACATGCCACCCTCAACAGGCTCTCTGAAGACAAGCCTGTGGGTCATGATTTCCCGCTCCCCCAGCTCGTGCTGCACGGCAGCTCAGCAGCAGGTCTGCTCCTCTGTGCTGAACTGAAGGGAGCCGAGTGCTCGCCCTCCGTCCGGGCCGGAGCTCAGATCGTCCTGCCTCACGTACAAGAAGTAACCAGTTCTTTGGCCTTCAGACTCCCTGTTTCACTGGGTAAGTGACAGAGCCCTTTCATTAAGTGCCACACCTCATTGTGGAGCCTGTGTAAACACAAATCACAGGCTGGGGCAGCCAGCTCTGTTGCAGAGGGAGGGGGGCCTGCAGGGGCCTGCCTCCCCCCACCCCACCCAGCCCAGCCTGCAAAGACTCAGTCAGGGCTCGGGGGTCCAGGCGTCACCGGCTATTGCCGGATTCCTTGAGAAGCTTCGAGAGCTGGGAGCACCGCCTCGGTCTGCAGCTGCAGGCAGGGATGTGCTGCCAGACCTCCGCTGTGATGGGAGGGACTGCAGAGCGCAGGTGCAGTGCTGGCGGCTGAAGCAGGGCGGGCCCAGAGGAGCTCTCAGGTGCATTTCATAGTTCCTTTCATCCCTGGACTTTCAGAAGGGACTGACAGGAAAGCTCCATGGCAATAACTAATCTTGTTTTTAGATTTTCGTTTGTAATAATAGCTAATGTTCACAGAATGCTTGCTGGGTGACGGCCACTATCTACACATTAACTCATTCAGTTCTCCCAACACCACCATAATGTAGGACCTACAATTAATTCTGTTTTACAGCTGGGGAAACAGGGGCAGAGGGTGGCATTTACAGCCTGGTTGCTAGTGGTGGAAGTGGGAATTACACCGGAGACCCTACACCTTCGCGGTCCAGGCTCATGATCATGACCTGCGGTGGAGACCCCAGGAAGTCTCCTCTGTGTATTTATTAGGGATTTTCCAGCAGCACAGAGGACTCCCCGTAGTCTCAGTGAAAGTAGGCAGGGCTCTAAATTTATTCAGGATCAACACAAAACCAGCAAATTAGAAGACTTAAGAACTAGAACCCAAGCCATCATCTGCACGTGTGACAATTCTTATGATAGCATCACGCTTTTGCTTTTCCTACAGTGAGTTTGGTATTTTTACTTAGCTCAGTGGGCTGGGACCACGGCAAGCCAGCCATCGTTATTGTTTGTATTTGAAGTTGATAAGGACTGGACACACGAATCCCATCCTGTGTGCCAGACACTCTTCTAAGCTCTTTACCTGTTTGAACACACTTGATCCTCACCCTGAGCTTACAGGTAAGGGATAGTATTGTCCTCATTCTGCAGAGGAGGACACAAGAGAACATGCTTGATTCCTGCATGCACAGAGGGCTGTGCAGCCTCTGGCAAAAGGGCAGCCCAGGATTGGGCTACTTGACATAAGAACAGTGACACTGTTTGCCTCAGACCCTGGGAATGACAGAGGCCCCTGTATATACACTTTCTTCACTTGGATTTACTTGGATTTTGCCTCTAGCAGGATCTGGTTGTTTCTGAAGCTGCAAAATCTAAACCGTTGCAAAACAACAAAAGACGAAAAAAAAAAAAACAAAAAAACAGTCCACCATCTCTTGAGGACTGGCTCATAAGTCAACCTCTAAAGTGAAGGCACCAATCACTGGCTTGGGTCTCTGGAGATGTTGCTTGTAAAGGAGGCAGCGGTGGTTGGCCTCAGACGTGTGGCCCCTGCCGGCTCTGGCCAGCCCTGGTGGAGCTGGGACAGCAGGGACTCTCAGAAATGCTTCTTGAGTTGCATCAAAGGATCCCAAAGAGACCCATCTCACAGTTGAGTGCTGCTGAAATCATCCGACACGGGGCTGTATGATGAATGCCCTTGGCAGCAGACACAGGCTAATGAGGGACAAACACACTGCACAGTCTAGAGCCAAACACATTCTTTTTAGAGGAGACCATCATTTGATGATGCATATATAGGGCAGTTATTTGGCTCCTGGGAAGTAGAGGGTGGGCAGGTGATGGAGTGGGTAGCAGACTCACTACCAGGCCAGGAGCGCGTAAGTTTTTGCGGGAGTTAGATAAAGGATATGGGCAAATAGGGATCTGGCAGAGCACCTGTGCTTGTGGGGATGGAATCATGGCCATTTGCAAAGCCATCTGGACACGTGACTGGGAGTCTCATGCACTTCAGCCCCAGACCCTGGGAATAGAGCCAGCGTTGGCATCCAGCATCTGAGCACGTTGACTGCAACCTGCTCAGCTGAAGGAGGGGCTATGGCAAGGAGCTCATGTCTATGCCGCCATCTTCCTTTTATAAATAATGAAATCGACATCCCTACGTGCCTTGCTGGAGGTGGCAATGCCAGGTTGGAAACCCAGGCCTGAATGACTCTGTTTTGGACCTCTTGGGAGGCTTTGTGGACTCAAAGAAGGACAAGGTTCTTAGTATACATGAAGTCTTCTATTGGAGGCAGCTGCCCCTGCTATGAGGACCCAAGAGCTGCTAGGAACCACCTTCATGTGCATGTCCTTGGTGGCTGAGCGATGACATCAGGCCTGAGCTCCCTGCCTCTGAAGGGTCTGTCCTGAGTTCTGTGGCTCCTCCTCAGCCTATGTGTGTCATCCAGGTCCCTTGCAGGATTGCTGGCTTAGCTCTAGTATTTCCATTCTTACTGCTATGGACACGACCTCTGGCATGGACTTCCTGTTGGTCAGCAGGGCCAGAGCACCCAGCCTTCCAGACATCTCTAAATCTTTCCATCTTACAGTTATCCAAAAATAAAATGTACACACAGCACCACTAATGTGTACCCCAGGTGCAAATTTCCATATGTTACTGTAAAGTAGTATTTTAAAATAGATTAGAAAACATGCCTATCAAAGCGAATGGAACCATTCTCTTAAATATTAAGATGAATCATGGCTATCAAAGTTTGTGTTTCAAATGAATAACAGGAGAGTTAAACAATCTCTTAGTTCCAAGTACCCAGCCTGGGAGGCGAGGGTCCTGCTGAGCTTGGGTGACGGCACGTGTTGCTGTCCACGCATCCATTCTGTGGCTGACGTGGCAGGGGAGACCAGAGGACATGGAGGCCAGATCTGGCTTCAATCTGCATGAACCATTTAAACCTCATGAAAATATGTCCTGTGTTCCCAACCTCAGCCCACTTTCCTTGCATGTTTTGTGTCATAGGTCTTCACTCAGACATAGGTAATTCTTTCTTTAAATGCTCATCACATTGTCTTTTGGAATGTGGTCTCCTCTCATTGCCATTGGTAGTCTGTGACTGTTGGCTTTGCAGAATTGTATCAGTTATTAGAGTTTTTTGGTTGCAAGCCACAGAAAATAACTGTGGCATGCTTAATAGCATTGGGAATGTGTGGGGGTGGTGGTGGCCTGCAGAATCCCCAGGCAGCAGGAGGAGGTGTGGGCTCAGGTACAGGCTCAGTCGTCCTGCATCCGTCAGGACAGGACAACTCCAAGGCCAGGTGGCCAGATATGCTCTCCACTGAGCTTCCCACCTATTCTCACTCCAGACTCCAAGCTGTGGTCCCACTCGGTTATGTGCCCACTCCTGGGCCAGGGAAAGGCAGGAGACCACAGGGGACACAGCCAGAGCCACCACTACTACCTCATGAGAAGACAAATTCTTGAAGGGGAGTCAAGATATTTCTGGAAAAAAGAATGATTGTTTGTGGAGGGTGAAAACATGATACAATATTTTCCTAAAATTAGAAGATCTTAAGGAAATAAGGAGATAAAAATATAAAGTTTTACCTTTTACCTTTCACCTGTAAAAGAAAATACAAAACAAACATGAAAAGGGAGGTTCCATATCTCTCCTGATTCTAGATGCTGGGTGTCTATTTTATAAGAATTCTTTCAGACATAAAACATTAACAGGCATGTGTAAATATGGTTTATTGTTTCCAGTAATCTTGGCAGTTACTTGAGTCTAAATTATTTGCCTCAGGAGAGCATATTGTGAGGGCAATAAAGGGAGCCTTTTGAATTCTATTGATAAAGATGTGATTAACACCATTAAGAAGGGAGGAAAAGACTTTCAGTTCCAAACACAACACTGAGAAAACAGAGATGAGGATCCATTTAATTCTTGCTGTCTGAGTGTTTATAGCAGACGAACCTGGCCCATGGGGCAGGGCATGGCTGAACTTTTCAATTCTGGGATGACTTTTCTTATAATTGCCAATGGCCATCACAAGTCAGGGGAAATATTTTATTTTTTTGGCTGAATATCCCAGTTATGTATATAGATAAACATAAAAATAGAACCTATGTGATGGTTTTCCCAAAGCCGTCCTCTTTTTTAAAAACATTTTGCTTCTGAGGTGGCATATGAGTATTGTCAAAGTCAAATAAAAATATATACATGAATCTCTAAATAAAGTGTTTTATTTTAGAGAACAGACTTCAGCTTGAAGCATACACACAGACTAGGTGGTCTTCAGTATGTCCAAAGAAGAAAGAAGATTAAGGGTCTTCTTAGAAAGAAAAATGTTATGCATTGTTGTGAAAGAAAATTCATTGGCACTAGCAAGGTTTTAGGGAGCTGGCAAGCTCGGATTGGTGAGTGACAAGAGTGGGTAACACTAGTCTTGGAGTCACAGGAGTTTGTTTCAGCATCTCCTGCGTAAAAATGGCCTTAAGGTTGCAGCAAGTGACCTGGCAGCTGGCTGGTGAGATTGTCGCTGGGTAACTGACATGGCAGCTGGTTGATAGTGTCCCTGGGCAAGTGACTTGGCAGCTGGCTGGTGAGATTGTCCCTGGGCAAGTGACCTGTGCCTCGGTGCTTCCCACCTGCCGCTGGTCTGACTCTAATCTACTTAGGTGGACAAGTTAACTTCAGTTCACATCATTAATTCTCACATTTCCCCCTTTTGATCAAGATCTTTTTCTGAAAATGTTACTGATCAACTGTCTTGAAATTAGGTTTAATTGTCTTTTGGTGCTTAGTGGACCTGTCTTGGTGGTCTCTGGTCCCCCATCGGGGGAAGTAAGGTAGTCAACATCAGGGACCCAGACCGCATTTGAGTAACAAAGGTGCCAGAAAGAAAAACAGAATGAAACAACCAAAACCTTTCTTAGGGCAGGTTTGCCTGGAGTTTAGCATCAAGTTCTACCTTATTAGTCTCTTAGGCATTGTCAATAATCTCAAAGTATTTGGCTAACATCATCCTGTTGAGATAACTGATTTTTACAAAGATTAGACAAAACACAAGAACAGAGCTTAAATATCAAGAGCAAAATACAAGAAAAAAAAACCCAGCAACAATATAATAAATTTAATTTGTACAAAGGTTTTTAACCAAGAGCTCATGCCTAAGGGCAACCAACTCAGCAGATGAAAAAGCCATAGAGGAAGTGGGAAGACTTGTTGTAGCCATGGACTAGCATTTCATGATTAAGATGAATTAAAGCAGAGTGCCAGCTCTGTAGAAAGGACCATTAGTACAATTAGAACAAAAAGTTGTCTTGGGGGTATTGCCAAAATTACCCAACAGGTGGACTTAAGAATTGCTTAAGTCAGGTTTTGTTATGTTATTCATATCGGGTATGATTCTAAACTTTTAATTATGAGCTCATTGTAATTATTATTACAATAATAAATAGATTTTCACTTAAGTAATCTATTATTTAAGTGAAAAAGATAGGCATTAAGAGGGGCAACGGTCTTATTAGAACATGGAGTCTTGGTTTAGTGCTCTTGGGAAAAGTTGCCTACAGCATGAAGTTGGCAGTTTCACAGTTTGAATGTCTCCCATTATGTCACTGGGTGGTTTGGTGAACTCTGTGTAGCCCACACACTAGGCGTGAGGCTTGTCCCCTGAAATTTATTTAAACTAAAACTAAAAACTAAATTTAAACTGTAATTTGTTTATAGGGCGTTAGGAAATAACTATTTCTCTTCTTAGTAATTCTGTGAGAGAAAAATTGAATTACAGGAACTTAGGAGAGTTTAGTATCCTGTCCAGCCTACAGGTAGATAATAAAAACTCAAAAACAATGCATAGGGTTACAGTCTAAAAACAATATACTATAGACAGCCCAATTTTTACAAAAGATCATTAGAGTAACACTAATTTGTTTGTAACATAAATTCAGATTTATTAGATTTGGCCTGATTGTTTATATTAGTATAGCAAGCATAATGATTGAATCTCAGATTGGACCTTTGTTAAAAATATTTTGAAGCTAGGAAGCCAAATCAAGGCAGGCTTCAGATTTTATCTTCAGTATGTATGAGTATAAACAATGTAAAATATGATATATTAATTTTAAATGTGATATATTAAATAATTATATTACCAATATAATAATATTGGTAATATAACTACCAATATAATAATATTGGTAATATAACTACCAATATAATATTGGTAATATAATTAACGATTATAATTGCATCCTATTAAAAACCATACTGTCATAACATAAAAAACTCATGAATAGTTTTCAAGTTTTGAAGGGATCAAGTAGAAAAGTAAATGTTTTCACCTTTGTTTATTAAAGTGCACTTTACCAAATTGCTGTAAGCTATAGGCAGCTCAAGAAAGAAAGTTTTCTTAAATATGGAAAACAAAATATTTAAATGAATAACCAATAATGTTTCAAATAAAAGTCATAAAAATCATAATTTTTATCAGTTATTCAATCTCAGGCAATTAAATTTTGTTCTTCATTATCTTGGTTAGCAGTTTTATGAACCTGTTAGCATTTTAGAAATTTTTATTTAGTCCATTGATCTTAAAGTTACTAGACATCTGTACTGAGGAGTACTTGCTAGAATCTTTTTTATGAATCTTGTTGCAGATGCCACTAGATAAGAATCAGCACTGTAGATGACCAAAAAATTAGAACAGTCACAGTTATAATGTGATAAAAGTTCAGCAATTGATTAAGAAATTTAGTTATTTCTATTGTGTATGGCATTTTAAGATAACAACCAAAATCATTACTGATAGCATCACAGTAAGAACCATCAGACCTTTATAAATTTTATAAATGTTAAAGCATTCACATCAATAATGCATCCATCTAAATATAATTTTAGTAAGAGCTAGTGTCACTTTATTATTTGACAGTGCCTTTATACAACCCATCGAATAAGCATCATGGGAGATGCATCGTTTGATGTTTTTTTGGGGCCCAACTGAAAAATCCCAAAGTCAATTTAAGCTTAAAAGTACTTAAATTAGAATTTGATTTTGGGGAAGTTTGTTAAAGATGTTAAAAAAACTTAAAACATTTAATTAAAATATAATCAGATGTCATTGTGAGATAATTATTTAATCAGAGTGATTATTAAAAGACTTCAAAAGCAAATATAAAAAGTTACATAGTTCAGAGGGAAAAAACTTAGACCTGTACTAGAGATGACCTAGTTTTTCTAAGTAGTAAAAAACTAATAAAGACAGCACCAAGCACAAGAACTTATCTTAAAATATAAAATATCTGTTTCTTAGGCTGATTACTTGAAAGGTAAGTGAAAAGCCTCCTACAGTATGACTGCCTTTCCTATGGGAAGCCCATTTGGATAACCTAGAAGTTGAACCTCATGGAAAGGTACTTGAATCCAATTAGATACTGCGAGAGTATGTGTCCAAGATTATGAGTGTACACTTTATTAAAAAGGAATAAAGTAAACAAGAAAACCAGTACCTTGATCAGGGGAATGCATGGCTTTTAGAAAAAGTAAAAGCATGGCTGGGTGCGGTGGCTCACGCCTGTAATCCCAGCACTTTGGGAGGCCGAGGTGGGCAGATCACGAGGTCAGGAGATCAAGACCATCCTGGCTAATATGGTGAAACCCCATCTCTACTAAAAATACAAAAAATTAGCCGGGTGTGGTGGTGGGTGCCTGTAGTCCCAGCTACTTGGGAGGCTGAGGCAGGAGAATGGCATGAACCTGGGAGGCGGAGCTTGCAGTGAGCTGAGATCGCGCCACTGCACTCCAGCCTGGGTGACAGAGCCAGACTCCGTCTCAAAAAAAAAAAAAAAAAAAGAAAAAGTAAAAGTAAAAACACGTGAAATTGCCTGGTTGCGTAGAACAACTTAGACACATCAAGAAAAGCCACGATCTCACTTATAAGTGGGAGCTAAACATTGAGTACACATAGATATAAAAATGAGAACAATGGAAAAGAAGTTGGAAACAATGGACACTGCAGACTACTTGGGGGTGAAGAAGGAGGGCATGGGTTGAAAAACTACCTATTGGGTACTATGCTCACTACCCAGGTGATGGGATCCAAACCCAAACCTCATCATCACACAGTATACCCATATAACAAACCTGAACATATACCCGCTGAATCTAACATAAAAGTTTAAATTATAAAAAAAAGAAGAGCCAAGAATACAGTCTCATGTTACCAGAGAAAACTTTAAGACAAACGTTGGCCAGCATCGGGCCACAATAGTAGTATAACTTAAAAAAAAATTGCAACAACTAACAAAAAAGTTGGAGAGTGTTGTTCTATAAAAATTGTTTTTAGAGATTATATTAATGACATAAAAATACATTACAATTCAAAATTTCTATATAATTATAGTTAGCTATAGTTGAGGAACTATAGTTAAGCAACAATATGTACCTTTTTAAGGAACGAAGAAAGAACAGAAGGTAAATCACATGGAGTGGGTTGCATATAAAGCCTAGCCACTGAGATATGGGTCTGAAAAGCTTCAAAAGGAAAATTCTACCTTGAGAAATGAATTTTTTTCCTACATGAAGAAGATAACACTTCTAATTTGAAAATAGGTAGAAACTGTAAAATAAGAAAAAGCTCTACTTCAGAAAATGGTTGAAAATGTAAAAAAACAGATTTCAGAATTAAGATAAAAACCCCTTGCAACTTTTTTAAAACCCACAGCAGATCAACATTCTGAGAAAACCTTGCTATTTCAAACATAGAGTACCAGACTTTGGTCCTTAATCAGTGCACCCCTGACACCAATACTTAATTATTAGAAAAACAAACAATTTCCTTCCAGTCCTAGCCAACTCAATCACATACAAAACTCACTTTATAAGATCCATCCTTCATAAACTCTCCATGATTTGCTTAGACCTGCCAGTTTTTGTTCTATAATTTCCCTTTTTAAAATATTGGAACAATCACTCATTTTACCTTAGGACAAAATTTTACTTTTTCTTCCCCCTATCTTTGAGACCACACAAAATTCTTACTCATACACATTACTTTTGCATATACATTTTCTTTGTATATGGAACTACATATATTAATTAGAAGTCTTAATGTTTAGTAACTTTAATTTTTAGTAAATACCCAGGAAGAAATTTTGAATTATAATGTATTTTTATCTCGGGACCAATATGTATTTTATAATGTCTAAAAATGATTTTTATGGAACAACTTTTAATGTGGAACAGGACATGATATTAATTGACCAACATGCCTTTTGTCTTTTTATAAAATTTAAGAAGGCAAAAATAAAGAAACATTAATTTATATTTAGCAATTAATGTTTCTGTATTTTAGCTTATTTAGAAATGACTCATGTTTTATCAATGTCTATGATTTAATTCAATATAATGGTAAGATTTCAAATTACATGAAAAGTTTATAAATCTCATTTACATTTACCTAATTTATTTATTTTTAACAATTACACATACTTTATGAAAACTGAGACATTAGACAGAGCTAGTAATTATTTCACATTATCTTCTAATCATTTTTTTAACAGCATGTGAATATCAGGTGTTCATCTAAGTAAGACTCTTAAAGTTAAATATATGGATACTTAGCTGATAACTCAGAAGATACAGTTGTTTTCATTAAACCAATAATATTAAACTAGTCTTATTTGTCAATAAGTTACATCAACAAAAATTATTTTGCTTTTAAGCTGGATTTATAGTTTTATGACCTTAAAACATCTGGTAGAGAAAAATATAATCCTGTCTGACCAATAAACTCAGGAAAAAATGTATGCTGACAATTCTGAAAACAGCTCTATTTTTGCTTTATGAATAAATTTAAAATCAGCTTATTTTTCAAAGATTTACTTAAGTCATAAGAACTAAGAGATATTTGGGTTGATTTCTATATTTGTGATGAATTAATTAAATGGTTATTTTCTCCTTAACCCGATAGAGCTCTTTTATATATTCTGGTTGAAAAAATGTATACATATAACATAACATACAGAGATTTAAAAAGCATAAAAAATACAGATGACCAAAAAACAAGAAACTTTCAGCTTTTATTTAAAAATTAATTATGAGTAAAACATAATAATATAAATTCACTGGTGTATGAGAAAACAGTTGGATTCAAATTATATTTGTGACAACATGAGATAGACGCAGCCAAACCATATCATTCTGCCCCTGGGCCCTCCCAAATCTCATGTCCTCACATTTCAAAACCAATCATGCCTTCCCAACAGTCCCTCAAAATCTTAACTCATTTCAGTATTAACTCAAAAGACCACAGTCCAAAGTCTCATCTGAGACAAGGCAAGTCCCTTCTGCCTATGAGCCTGTAAAATCAAAAGCAAGTTAGTTACTTCCAAGATACAATAGGAGTACAGGCATTGGATAAACACATTCATTCCAAATGGAAGAAACCGGTAAAACAAAGGGGCTAAAGGCCCCATGCAAGTCTGAAATCCAGTGGGGCAGTCAAATCTTAAAGCTACAAAATAATCTCCTTTGACTCCATGTCTCACGTCCAGGTCACACTCATACAGGAGGTGGACTCCCACAGCCTTGAGCAGCTCCACCCCTGTGGCTTTGCAGGGTACAGGCTTCCTCCCAGCTGCTTTCATGGGCTGGCATTGAGTGTTTGTGGCTTTTCCAGGAGCACGGTGCAAGTTGTTGGTAGTGTTGGTGGATCTACCATTCCGGGGTCTGGAGGATGGTCCCTTTTCTCACAGCTCCACTAGGCAATGCCCCAGTGGGGACTCACCCAACATTTCCCTTCTGCACTGCCCTAGCAGAGGTTCTCCGTGGGGCTCCCACCCCTGCAGCAAACTTCTGCCTAGACATCCAGGTGTTTCCATACATCCTCTGAAATTGAGGTGGAGGTTCCCAAACCTCAATTCTTGACTTCTGTGCACCCTCAGGTTCAACACCATGTGGAAACTGCCAAGGCTTGGGGCTTGCACCCTCTGAAGTCATGGCCTAAGCTATGCCTTGGACCCTTTTAGCCATGGCTAGAGCAGCTGGGACACAGGGCACCAAGTCCATAAGCTGCACACAGCAGGGGTGCCCTGGGCCCAGCCCATGAAACCATTTTTTACTCCTAGACCTCTGGGCTTGTGATAGAAGGGGCTGCTGTGAAGACCTCTGACATGTCCTGGAGACATTTTTCCCATTGTCTTGGTGATTAACATTTGGCTCCTTGTCACTTATGCAAATTTCTGCAACTGGCTTGAATTTCTCCCAGAAAGTGTGTTTTCTTTTTTTCCTATTGCATCATCAGTCTGCAAATTTTTTGAACTTTTATGCTCCATTTCCCTTGTAAAGCTGAATGCCTTTAACAGCACACAAGTCACATCTTGAATGCTTTGCTGCTTAGAAATTTCTTCCAGCAGATAACCTAAGGGCATGACTCTCAACTTCAAAGTTCCACAGATCTCTAGGGCAGGGGCAAAATGCCACAGGTCTCTTTGCTAAAACATAGCAAGAGTCAGAAAAAAAAAGTACTTTAAATTTCATATGGAACCAAGACAATTGTAAAAAGCTGGAGGCATCAAGCTACCTGACTTCAAACTATACTACAAGGCTACAGTAACCAAAACAGCATGGTACTGGTACTAAAACAGATATATAGACCAATGGAGCAGAACAGAGACCTCAGAAATAAAACCACACATCTAAACCCTCTAATCTTCAACAAACCTGACAAAAGCGATGGGGAAAGGATTTCCTATTTAATAAAAGCTGGGAAAACTGGCTAGCCATATGCAGAAAACAGAAACTGAACCCCTTCCTTACACCTTACACAAAATTAACTCAAGATGGATTAAGGACTTAAATGTAAAACCTAAAACCATAAAAAACCCTAGAAGAAAACCTAGGCAATACCATCGAGGACATAGGCATGGACAAAGACTTCATGACTAAAACACCAAAAGCAATGGCAACAAAAGCCGAAATTGACAAATGGGATCTAATTAAACTAAAGAGCTTCTGCACAGCAAAAGAAACTATCATCATAGTAAATAGGCAACCTACAGGATAGGAGAAAATTTTTGCAATCTATCCATCTGACAAAGGGCTAATATCCAGAATCTACAAGGAACTTAAGCAAATTTACAAGAGAAAAACAACCCCATACAAAAGTGGGGGAAGGATATGAACAGACACTTCTCAAAAGAAGACATTTATGTGGCCAACAAACATATGAACAAAAGCTCATCATCACTGGTCATTAGACAAATGCAAATCAAAACCACAATGAGATACCATCTCATGCCAGTTAGAATGGCGATCATTAAAAAGTCGGGGAACAACAGATGCTGGAGAAGATGTGGAGAAACAGGAACACTTTTACACAGTTGGTGGGAGTGTAAATTAGTTCAACCATTGTGGAAGACAGTGTGACAATTCCTCAAGGATCTAGAACCAGGAATACCATTTGACCCAGCAATGCCATTACTGGGTATATACCCAAAGGATTATAAATCATTCTACTATAAAGACACATGCACACATATGTTTATTGCAGCACTATTCACAATAGCAAAGACATGGAACTAACCCAAATGCCCATCAATGATAGACTGGATAAAGAAACTGTGGCACATATACACCATGGAATACTATGCAGCCATAAAAAAGAATGATTTCTGATCTTTTGCAGGGACATGGATGAAGCTGGAAACCATCATTCTCAGCAAACTAACACAGGAACAGAAAACCAAACACCGCATGTTCTCACTTGTAAGTGGGAGTTGGACAATGAGAACACATGGAAACAGGGAGGAGAACATCACAAACTGGAGCCTCTTTTGGGGTGGGAGGCAAGGGGAGGGAGACCCCTGCTAATGCATGTGGGGCTTAAAACCTAGATGATGGATTGATAGGTGCAGCAAACCACCATGGCACATGTATATCTATGTAACAAACCTGCATGCTCTACACATGTATCCCAGAACTTAAAGTAAAAAACAGACAAACAACAAAAAAACAAAAAACATAGCAACAGTCACCTTTACTCCAGTTCTCAACAAGTTCCTCATCTCCATCTGAGACTACCTCAGCCTGGATTTTATTATCCATGTCATTATCAGCATTTTACTCAAAGTGATTCTACAAGCCTCTAGGAAGTTCCAAATTTTCCCTCATTTTCCTGTCTTCTAGCCCTCCAAGTCTCTAGGAAGTTCCAAACTTTCCCACATTTTCCTGTCTTCTTCTGAGCCCTCCAAACTGTTCCAACCTCTGCCTGTTACCCAGTTCCAAAGTCACTTCCACATTTTCCGGTATCTTTACAGCAGTGCCCCACTACCTGGTACCAGTTTACTGTATTAGTCGATTTTCACACTGATGATAAAGGCATACCTGAGACAGGGTAATTTATAAAGAAAAAGAGGTTTAATTGACTCACAGTTTCACGTGACTGGGGAGGCCTCATGCTCATGGTGAAAGGTGAAAGGCACGTCTTACATGGTGGTAGTCATGAGGAAATGAAAGCCAAGCAAAAAGGGAAACCCCTTGTAAAACCATCAGATCTTGTAGGACTTATTCATTACCACAAGAACAGTATGGAGAAAACTGCCCCCATGATTTAATTACCTCCCACTAGGTCCCACCTACAACATATGGGAATTATGGGAGCTACAAGATGAGATTTGGGTGGGGACACAGCCAAACCCTATCAGCTGTGAACAAAATTTTTGGTAAAGCTGTTTGAGTCAGTTACCAGTATACTGGATTGGACAAAGCATAGTTAACTGTGAAAATGTGTCTGAATTAGGTGAGGAGATTTAAAAGATAAGAGTTATTCTAATAAAGTTTTACAGTATGTTTTTGGTCTCAGTTCCTCATCCTTGAAAATAAAACGATTGTCTTTCTAGTGTAGGGAAGGCTACTTCTACATGGCAATTTTCTCTTTTGCTTTTGAGAAACACTGCAATGCTAAAAATGTTTGTGTGTGTGACTGCTGTTTTTCAAGTGTCTTCACTTAAATAGTCAATATGCCAGAATAGCTGAGGAATTTTGAAAAAAAGAAAGTTTAGATTACAGGAGGATAAAAAAGAGGACGTGTAGGAAGTGGAGGAAAATGCCCTGAAGAGAAAAGACTCTGAGCTTACTCGGAGACCGTAGTTTGCAGTGAGGCAATCTTTGGGTTCTGAAAGCATTTTGGAACCTTAAGATACCAGTTGAGAAATGTGTTCTATTTAGATTGTATATTTTATATAAAGCCACAATCTTTTACTTTAATTCTAAGAAAAATAAATTGTTTGAATGATCCTCATACTGTTTGAACATGCTGGAGTCCCAGGACGGAGGTACTATCTTGGCAAGTATTTAAACTTTGACAGTCCATATTGTAAGCAAATTTATATAGGTGATTTAGTTTAATATCAAATGCACAAAAACTGAAATAAAATCCAAGTGGGCAAATGAACCTAAAGATAAAGTACATACTCATCAGGAAGGATGGCAAGCCACCTTTAACAGGGAAAAAAATCCCTCATAAACAGGAGGCTTATAATCAGGAGGGGAAAAGACACATCTTAAATCCCAAAGAAAACCAAATAATCAATATAAAAATGGGAGCTCCATCCAAGAAAGACTCACATAGGAGAAAGGTGACCTGGGAAAGCAGAGGGCTAAAGAGCCCTAAGTGTGGGGGCTGCGTGTTGTAGTTTCAGCAGCTGTTGATGTGTCAAGTGAGTGCTTTGGATCCCACTTCTGACACCAAGAATGTCAAAGTCAAATGAAAATTTAGAGAGACCCCTCTAAATAAAATGTTTTATTTGGAAAATCAGAATTGCAATTTAGGACACACATACAGACTGGGGCAGTCTTTGATATATCCAATGCACAAAGAGAAGTTTGAGGGTTTTATTAGAAAGATAAATATATTATCTTGAAAAACAAATTATTGGCGCTAGTGAGGCTTTGGGAGCTGGCAAGCCCTAACTGGTGAGTGACAGTTGCAGGTAACACTGGCCTTAGAGCCATGGCAGTTCACTTGGGCAGCTACCAGGTAAAACTGATCTTAGGTGACAGCAAGTCATTCAGCAGACAGAATCCCTGGGCAAGCAGTGTGTGCCCTGAGTGCTCCCACCCCCGGTCTCTTGACTATAGTTTATATGGGCAGGACAAGATAACTCTGATTCATATCATCCATTTCTTCATAGTAGGCACTTGAGAGGGGCCGCCTATGTATGATGCCATGGTTAAAGAAACTCCAGTCAACTTCCTCCCCACCGGGAAAAACTGTTCCAGCTAATCATGGGGTTCACAATTCTAACAAGAAAAGATTCATTTACGTTTCTTTGAATGACTTTCAGCTTACAAGGTTCTTTATAATTACTATTACAGATGAGGACAGCTCTGTGCCAGAGAATGAGCTGGGATCTGCCCTGACAAGTGGAGCCTCGTTTGAAAGTGTCGGTAAAGTTTCTTCCAAGTTATGATGTTCCTGTTTTCCTTCTTCATCCTTGTGGAAGCTACAGCTTTCCATTTGAACTTCCCTCGTCCTCATTCAGGACATATAATGAGGCCTACTAGGTTTCCGGCACTTGGGGCTGGAGATGTAGGAGGGACAAAACAGCCACAGAAGCCACTTGTGCAGAGCTTGCATCTTTCCTGTTGTTCAGCCCAACATGCTGGATTCATTTCTGACTCCTTCCTTTCTTTCACACCACACATCTGATTCTCTACCAGACCGTCTGGTCCTGTGTCAAAGCATACCCCTAGCCTAGCTGCAAGCTCCTACTACACTGTGGGGCCTGTTCAAAGGCTGCCTGGCCTTCCCTTGCCCTGTAGCAGGTAGGCGGGTGCTCACCAAGCTCTCCCTTCTTTCTTCAGGTAACAGGCTCTGTGTCTGAACCAAAGTTTCCCTTGCAACCTGGTGTGGCTGCATGATGGAGTTTGGGCCGTGACATATGGTGGGTTTGACGTGTGCCACTCTTAGGGCCAACTTCTAAAGCCTCCAAGACACAGCCCCATGCCCTGTGCCCTTCTGCAGCTCAGAGCAGATGAGCCCAGTGACCTTGAGGCCCTTGAAGATGGTGGAACCAGGAGACATGAGGGGCCTTGGCCTGGAAACACAACTCGAAGGGAAATCACTCATCTGGAAAACGTGTTTGGACCCATACCACACCGTGGCAAATACCTGGTAAAACTGTCATCTGAAATTGCTTGGAAATAGGACACTACCACCTAAACCCACAGCTCGTAGGCCAGGGCACCTCAACTGTAGTCCCCAGACCAGCAGCATCGGTGTTACCTGGAAAATTAAAAATGCAAAGTTTTGGGCCCACTTCAGACCCCAGGTCAGAAATTGTGGGTTGCAGAAATCTGTGTTTTAATAACCCTTCAGATGACTGTGGTGCCCGACAAAGTTGAAATGCCTGCTCCCATGTGTGCTGGGTTTAGTTTGTGCTTTAGCAAAGCGGGATAAGAAAGAAAGGAGGCCAGGATGGAATTCGCTGGTTTCCAACTAGAAGTGACAGAAAATAGAAAGAGTCCAGTAATGTGAGGTCTTGAAGTGTTGGGAGAATTCATTCATCACTTCTAGATTCCAGACAATCAGAAATAAAATTTTAAAAGTCTTTCAATGACAAACTAAGACTTCTCAGTTGGGAAAAAAAAAAAAAAAGGACTCAGTCTTGTTGCAGACATGAGATGAAGAGTGTGGTCTTTTCACAAATGCCTGTGCAAGGGAGTCAAGGACAGAAGCCATCCGGTGGGCTCCTTGGCACGGGGGCGGCTGAAGCAAACCAACCAGGAGCCCACGCAGCTGTCAAGGGCTTGTGTCAGCAAGTAAAGCCTAGACTGCTTGTGACTGTGAAGTGTAAAAGTGCCCCTGGGTCCTCAGGCCTGTGGACAGGACAAAGCCAAAGCCGCCCAGCGCCGTGTGATGCGGCCACAGAGAACACGAGCCTCGGGAGAGAGGAGCCTGGGGCTGGAAAACAAGGGTGAAGGACGCTCCCCTCTGGCTGCAGGAGAGGGGCTGCTGAGGGCAAGATCCATCATTTCTTGGGACCAATGATGCTGCTTCCTACTCTCTGCTTTCTGCCTGGGAGTTTTGTCTGGGACGCCTGTGTCTGCCCCACTCACTGTGTGGTGCAAGCTCCATTTCCAGTGAGGACAACCGTGGCTGCCGAGAGCACCTTACAAGCCAGGCATCCTCCTCTGAGCTCAAGGCAGCCTTGAGAAGTGGGACGAAGACTTCCTTCACGGGAAGAGGAGCGGCTCAGAGAAAGGAAGAGGCTAGTCCAGAACCACCACGTGGACATCTTCTGTGAAGGCAAGGGCTCACCCTCACCCTGACGCCAGCCACCTGCCCCTCTTAATAGGAGGGCGGGCCCTCCCCGCACAGCAGGCACTTCACTGCAGGCTCTGCTGCCTTTGGGAAATGTGCCTCCCTTGTAGAGCTCTGTGGTGCAGATTCGGCTATCAAAGGAGTAGAACCCCCCCCTCCCCCCCGCCACCGTCCCACCCCCACAGAGCAGCTAAGAAAGCTGTTTGATTTAACCCGTGGTTTCCCAAATACTTTAGACCACTAATTAATTTTGTTTTCTGAAACATTCGTTAATATGTTCACAGAAAATTGTGGCATTCACTTTGGAAAATATATCTGTTTAAGAACAGATAATGAATACATAACAAATTTAGAACTGTGTTAAGATTCCATAACTAAAACCACTCTAAACTTTCTGAAATGGCTGAAAACGTTTCCCTAACTTTTCTGAAAGTACTTGCTGGGCTTCTTGGAGACTGAATCATCCCTTTTGAGCCCACTTAGGGGAAAGTTCAAAAGACCTCAGAGAAGACAAAAAGCAGGGCAAGAGAGACGGCCCAGTCTTCTAGCTCTCCACTGGAGAAAATGCATGTGGGAAAGGCTGGGGGTTTCCATCCTCAATATTTAGTAAAAGATAAAGTAAAAATTACAACTGCCTTCTGAATGGCTCCCCTCCCCTGACTTCATGGGAGTGATGACTCAGCCCTCTGTTTTGTAACTGCGGAGATTGAAAGTGGAGACGGGACCTTTGGCATTTCAGAAAATGTCGACGCCGCTTTCTTCTGCTTTCTCCGGGACCCCTCTGGGGCCTCGCCTCCTCCCCTCCCGCTGAAAGCCTGCTGTGAAAGGAGCAAGGATGTGAAAAAGATGTACGACTCTTTGCTTCCTTATGCTCGGCCCAAGTTTATCAAAAGCTGTGGAGTTTGCTAAAATAATCCAGGGAATTCGCCTGGAAATGGTTTTTTTTTTTTTTTTTGGTTGTTGTTTGTCTTCACTTGTTCCAAAGAAGCAAAATAAGACAGGGGCTGCCCCTTGTCCTGTCTCATTCATTTTTGACACCCTTGTTTCTCCACACAGGCCCTGGGGTGAAGGGCACAGGTGGGATTCAGAATAGAAATGACTCGAGGGACGCAAGGAGTTGGGATCAGAAGAAGCAGCAGAAACTCCTGCTCTGCAGACACAGCAGACATTACTGGGAAAGACACCAGAGACCCAGGAGTTCACCCAAGTCCTCTGCACACTGTCTTCCCAGCCCTCTCTCCTGGATCTGAGATGATTTCACTTAAAAACACAAGCCTTTGCTTAAAGGTAGATGAACATTCCTTTCAGTTTCTAAGATGGGGGGCCCACGGTCCTAGGCGCTGAGTCAGAAACTTTTTAGATGTCCCCAGAGTGCACAGGTTTAAGGACAGAGGGAGATTCTCAGTCTTCCTGGGTCCTCCCTGTCTCTCAGCCCAGTCATCACACTCTAAATCCCAGGGACTTGACTCTGCCTTCCAATAGTTCTCAGATCCACCTACTTTGCTCCCTTCTTTCAGAGCGCAGGTAGCCACTTGCTCTCCCAGAGAGTGCTGCAGCGGTGATGATCGGTTTCCCCCCTCCCCACCTGCTCAGTCCTGCAAAGCCTGGACTCTGCTCCAAGGCCTTTGGGACCCAACACCTGCTTTCCAGCCTCAGGGCCTCAGGCCTGAGACCACAGGGGCTCTTCCCGGCGGCTGTACCTCCTGCCATTCACCTGCTGATTTCTTCCTCATCTGTTTATTCCTCTGATCCAACAAGGTCAGGATGGTATGCAACCGCCACCCCCCCCCCACTGCCCCCACCACCACAGCACTGCCACGACCCTTGTCTGGGACGGATGATGTGGGGCTGCACTTCCTCTGTCGGCCCCCTGCCCTCGTCAGGAGGCCCAGCATGTAGCAGGCAAGCAGCAGGCAGCAGGCAGGTGCTGAGTGGGTGTGGAAGGTGTGGCCCCTCACACCTCTGTGTCCTATGCTCAGCGCTGTGCTTGGGCATGGCGAGGCCTCAGCAGATACTGTGCAGCACAGTGACACCAATGGAACCCAGTAAAAAGACAGTTTCCAATTTTCCTCGCTGCTGGGGCCCACCCAGATCCTGGAGCAGAGCATGGCCTGCAGGAAGCACAGGCTGGTGGACTGTGGCTGTGTCACGGCGAGCTTCCAGTGGCTCTCGCAGAACTCAATTGGCACGGTAAAGGGACAAATGAAGTTTCCAGCTTTTTTCTTTTAATAGCTCAGATATCAATTTTATAGCTCTGATGGACATAATTTATAAAATAAGTCTATATCTTACTGTAAATTTGAGACGGTTAACCTTTAATAAAGTTAATAAGGGGCTTGTCAAAACTCCTGAGCTGAACTTTGCTTGCTCGTTACATAATAACAACGAAGTGATTTTAACCTAAACTGCAGCTATTTTGGCCATTTAAAGGTGAGGAAAGAGAGGGGATGGGCAGGAAAAGTAGTTTTTCCATCGTCCTGGAAGAACTGCCAGGTGAAGGTGATGGGGAGGCTGGCGTTTTAATTCCTCTAATGGCTCAGATCAGCTGCACCTGGGTGTGTGTCCCTTGCTCATCAGCGCACGCTGGCGGGCCTGCGGAGGCACGAGGTGTCTTTAAGCCGAGAGCAGGAAGCAAAGTTTCTGGAAAAACTGAGGGGCGCAGGGAGCACGGACTGGGTCTTCAGGAGCAGTGTGGCTGAGCTGTGGAAATGGACACATCCACTGTCCCAGATATTATGAAAATGAACCCCTCACTCTGAGCTCTTTCGAGAGGAATCCTCAAGTATGGAGCCCAAAGAAAAAGGGCTGTGTCCATGCCTGGGCTGGGCTCTGCAAGAATGCACAACAAATCACCACCCCAGACAAACACTTCCAGGCACCTCCCGACATACTCCTAAACACTTCCCCAGGCACTCCGGGCGCCTCCCCACACGCTGCCAGGCGCCTCCCCACACGCTGCCAGGCGCCTCCCCACACGCTGCCAGGCGCCTCCCCACAGACTCCCAGGCGCCTCCCCCCACGCTCCCAGGCGCCTCCCCACACGCTCCCAGGCGCCTCCCCACACGCTCCCAGGCGCCTCCCCACAGACTCCCAGGCGCCTCCCCACACGCTCCCAGGCGCCTCCCCACACGCTGCCAGGCGCCTCCCCACACGCTGCCAGGCGCCTCCCCACAGACTCCCAGGCGCCTCCCCACAGACTCCCAGGCGCCTCCCCACACGCTCCCAGGCGCCTCCCCACAGACTCCCAGGCGCCTCCCCACAGACTCCCAGGCGCCTCCCCACACGCTGCCAGGCGCCTCCCCACAGACTCCCAGGCGCCTCCCCACAGACTCCCAGGCGCCTCCCCACACGCTGCCAGGCGCCTCCCCACAGACTCCCAGGCGCCTCCCCACACGCTGCCAGGCGCCTCCCCACAGACTCCCAGGCGCCTCCCCACACGCTGCCAGGCGCCTCCCCACAGACTCCCAGGCGCCTCCCCACACGCTGCCAGGCGCCTCCCCACAGACTCCCAGGCGCCTCCCCACACGCTCCCAGGCGCCTCCCCACACGCTCCCAGGTACCTCCCCATGGTCCCAGCTACCTCCCCACAGATTCCCAGGCGCCTCCCTGCACGTTCCCAGACACCTTCCCAGGCGCTGCCAGCCTCCTCCTGCGCACAGATCGGGAGGTCCCTGGACTTCCACTTGTTGAGCTGGACTCAAGCCGGATCGCCTGGAGGATATTCTCAGGGCACAGCGGCTGCCTGCGCCTGAGCAGTGCTGAGGAGATGCCAAGGTCAGGCATCAGCTTTCAGAGAATGCAGCTGCGTCAGAGATGGAGACACGCAGAGCCACGTGTCGTGGAGAATCTAAGGAAGTTCGCTGGCGCCAGCAGCGGGAAAAGGCCCTGGCTTGATGAGGGGAACTCGCAGCCTTGCAGCGCGGGTGGGAGCCCCGGGCGGAACCGCAGAAGCATCCCCGGCCGTGGGGTTTTCTCCTCCAGCTGGAGACGTGGAGGGAGTGGAGCAGAGATGAGCTGTGAGCTCAGCAGTTCACACAGGACGGGATGGGGGAGGAGAACCCAGGGATGGGAGAGATTGGAGAACAAGGAGCTGCTGGGTCTCAGCCTCGTGTAGACGACAGGGCCTGTGGGGATGGCCACGCGTGAATCTGGTCCTGGCGGGGAGCGTCCGGCGCGATGGGAGGGACCTGCAGCCAGTGATCCTCCCGTGGCATCGCTTCTAGAGTTGAGAGGAGAAAGCCAGTAGCTGCCGGTCTCTGGTGGGTCTCACAGATGCTGGAGCAGGTGTAGGAGGAAGCGCCTCCAGCAGGAGTGACACCCCCATGCCGCCCAGGAAGGTGTCGCGCCTGTTAGGAGGGAAAGGACTCAGGATGTGCGTTGCATGGGGTTGTGAGTGAGTCAGTGGCAGCCCCCCCGCCTCCTCCTCCTGCTTTGACCTGATGCAGGATGGACTCAGCACCCCGCCGAAGGCACTCCCATTCCCCTCTGCATATGGTTTTCATCATGTGGACCTTCAATAGCTATTTTTGATTGATGGGTATTCAGTGGGATTCAACATCCGTAAACGTTCTGACCCAAGTCCTGTTGATCAATGGCGTCACCGCACGGCCTTTTTGACCCAAGTCTGCACCATTCTGTCTTTCCTGGAGTCACCCTTCGAGTGCTCTATGTGACCGTGGCCTCCTGCGGAGTCTGCCCTTGGCTCACGGCTGGACAGACATTGGCTCTTGGCGTCTCTCATGTTGGTCACCCCTCCAGCTGCTCTGCAGCAACAATGCCCCTTTCCATTCATAGAAGGTCGTTATCGTGCTTGCACTCGGGACTGAGTTCACATTGCCTTCTACCTGCCAGAGAAGCTCTGAGCTCCTGGAGGAATGTTCCTTTTCTTCTGATGAAAAATGACGAGGTGAACCCCTCGTGCCTCGGCGTAATGTGGTCATCAGAGGTCGTGAGAAGAGCACAGAAATGCGTGTTTCTCATAATCGCCTGGATGCTAATCACTGCGTCAAAACCTCCCGTGAGCCGCTTTCTCCACAGAATGGAGGTGGCCGGGCGCGGTGGCTCACGCCTGTAATTCCAGCACTTTGGGAGGCCGAGGCGGGTGGATCACGAGGTCAGGAGATCGAGACCATCCTGGCTAACACGGTGAAACCCCGTCTCTACTAAACATACAAAAAATTAGCCGGGCGTGGTGGCGGGTGCCTATAGTCCCAGCTACTCTGGAGGCTGAGGCAGGAGAATGGCGTGAGCCCGGGAGGCGGAGCTTGCAGTGAGCTGAGATCGCGCCACTGCACTCCAGCCTGGACGACAGAGCGAGACTCCGTCTCAAAAAAAAAAAAAAATGGTGGAAATGCCCCTTCCTCTAACTGCAGCTGTGCACATCCCCCTGGGGACAGACCCAAGGCGCCTTGAGATGCTGAAAGGCGTTCTCTGTGTTCTGAGTGGAAGTACAGCCTGGAAAGTCCACGGAGACTCTGCTCTGAGTGAGCCGAGCTGGACAGAGGGGCTTTTGAGTCAAAGTTTTCTCCTCCTTGCACTTTGCCAGAAAATCTCAATTGCTAGTGAGGAATTCTTTTCCTTTCTTTCCCTAACGAAGTGAGTGATGAGACTGGCTCTTTTGCATATTTGCAGGGAGTAAGCATTGTCTGGATTTTCACTGAGTTTACCTCAGCAACTTTTTAAAAACTTTACTCCAAAGGGAGCCAATGTGCCCTTCCTTTGACGTAGAAAACTATTATTTTAAAATTCTGCCATTCGGCATTACTCTGATTTTTCTGAATAATTAGACTCAAAACACTCTGGTTTATTCCCATCTCAAAGGTCTTAGGGCAGTGGATGCCGCCTTTGCTTCTGTTTGCTGCAGCCTGTTTGAGTGGCAGGCTCTTTGCCCTCGTTGGCCAGTCCCCACATTCTGGTGACGCTTTTCTCCTGCCTCTTGGCCCCCAGTCACATTTTCCATGGTGACTCTTTCAACCTCAGCCTTCACGTTTCAAGTCATGCATCCACTTTGTTTTCCTGTTTCAGTAGACCCCCCTCTGAGTTTACTGAGCACTTTGAGACCACTTGGTACCAGGGCACAGCCTCCTCATCTCCAAACGCATGGGTTCCATCACAAGCGGGCCTGATCGCACATGGCAGCTCTCGTCTCCCAGTTATTGCATGCACATGTGTGTTTGGCCAGGTTGGCTTTAGGTTCATTAAAGGCAGTGCCTTTTCTTCATGTTTTATTTCTCTCCATCTGCAATGTGTTGTGGAGTGGAGGCACCGTCCGTTCACGCACTCAGGCCTTCAGAACGTAGCTCCCGAGTGCTTGCTGTGGGCCCCATTCCACCTGCTGGCTGAGTGGTGAACAAAGCTCAAGGAGCTGCCTCCTCCAAGCGAAGGGAGGACACCAGGCACAACAGCGTAGAGTGTGGAGTCAGGAGCGTTTGGAGAAAAGCAAACAGGAAAGGTATGGAGCACCCACCGGGGGCATCTATGTAGAATTATTGGACATGGAGTCAAGGACAGGATGACATTTTAGGGGACATATAAGGATATGAGGGGCAGGCAGTTTGGATGACGAGGGGAAGGGCATCCATGCAGAGGAATAGGTAGGAGGCCCTGTGGGAGGCACATGCTCAGCATGGCCAGGGATTGGCAGGAGGACCCTGGGGCCGAGTCAGGGAATGGGGCGGCAGGAGATAAGCTCAGACGTGAACTGTCAGGTAGGGCGTGGCACAGGCTTGTAACGAGGCCATGGTGGGCTGCTGGAAGGACTTTGACACTGGAAGCCACTGGAGGGTTTTGAGCAGAAAAATGATTAGATTTCATTTTTCCAAAACATGACCCTGGTGCAAAGAGTTTAGACAACGAAGTTGGGGGGCATATTGCCAACATTACACTCACGTCTACCCCAAATGCAGGTTCCAGGCTTCCGAAACAACCCTCAGCTTCAATGATTCACTGGATGGACTTGTGGAATTCCCTGAGAGCTGCTGTGCACATGCTGACAGTTTATCACAGGGCAAGGGTACAGATAAAATAAGCTGGGGCCAGAGCACACGGGGCGGCATCCAGGAGAAGCCCTGAGGCAGCACTTCCATCACACTCGGCCCAGGATGAGCTGCTTCCTTGGCCTCCGTGTGTGACAACCCGCAGGGCTTCTGCTGCTGCCTGGCCTGGAGACCCCACTCAGTCACACCATCACCATCCAGCAAGCCCAAGGCACCCAGAAGGATAAAGATCGCTCCCAGGACCTGAGGACAAAAGCAGACATTTTGGGGGCACGGGTAGATTTTTACTACACACCTGGCTTCTGTGTGAATGAGAAACCATTGAGTCTCAGGAAATGCTGTCATCTTCTATCTAAATTTATTTTCTTATCCAGGGAAGGAACTGCAAACACAACTAATATTTCAGCCTCTCTTGGAGGAGGATGAATTCCTCTGAATTGATGATGTGTCTGAGCTGCCTGTTCTAGTTAGAGAAACACTAAGCGAAACATTCACGGGTCATGTCCTGGATAATTGATTTTAGCTCAGACCTTGGCAATATCATCTTTAGAAAAGAAAAGCTTTCTCTAATGCTTGGTCACTTCTTTGTTCCTAGGGAGATATAAGTGACAGCCACCTGGTGGTCAGGAGAACAAACTGCCGCCGTGTCTCCACACCCTGTGTGTCCTGAACACCGCTGGGAAGCCGTCAGCAGACGCTCCGCAGGCCACCGGGGCGATCGGGGCACTAAAGGCCAAGCAGGCTTCACACACTGCCAAAGTCCAGGTGACCAGAGAGTATGACCGGACACAAAGGTGGGACAAGCCGTTTCTCATTGTTACTGAGAAGCAACTGTGAGTGAACAAAGCTTACAGAGAGATCCGAGATCAGATGGGTACCCATGGCAGGAGGGGAGGCGTTTATGAGAGTCCCCGGTGGGCACATATTAAAAAAAGCTAAGTAGAAAAATCACTGAGAACTCATAACTGGTCAATGAGTTCAGGTAGACAATGAGGGAGGGTTTGGAGGATGGCGAAAGATCAAAGGGGCCCTGATGGAGTGGGAGGTTCAGAGGGAGGAGACGCTGCCATGTTCAGCCTCCAGGAGCCACCACAGGTTGTGCATAGGTGCTGTGTTGACTTCTGCTGAGGAAATTCACAAAATATACTTCCCCCAGAGAAGGAGGAATGTGGAGCAGGCGTTAAAAAGCAGCCTGCACTCACCTTCGGAGGCCCTCGGTGGGATGTCCTCTTCCCAGCCCTTTCCTTTCTCTCCCTCGGGTGCCTTTTCCTGCCTGGTTTCCTTGGTTATTGTGTTTGGAATGCAACTTTGACTAGTTGTTGAATGGTGAAGTGGCAAATGGTAGGTGGATTCTGGCTTGCCGCACCCATCCCACAGGTGGAGGTCTTGTGAGAACGACTCCAGCAGCCTCCAGACAAATGACTGTTGACTAAAGTGAAATGTTATGCACATGAAATGCAAGAGATGACTAGACACGCACTGGATGGAATTCCACAGCAGGTGGGAGACTTGGGAAAGATCCTTGTTTTCGTAAGAAAACACAATCTCAGCTGGGTGCGGTGGCTCACGCCTGTAGTCCTGGCACTTTGGGAGGTCGAGGTGGGCAGATCACCTGAGGCCAGGAGTTTGAGACCAGCCTGGATAACATGGTGAAACCCCGTCTCTACTAAAAAATATGAAAATTAGCTGGGCCTGGCGGCACCTGTGGTCCCACTTACTCGGGAGTCTGAGGCAGGAGAATCGCTTGAGCCCGGGAGGCAGAGGTTGCAGTGAGCCAAGGTTGTGCCTGTGCACTCCAGCCTGGGCAACAGCGTGAGATCCTGTCTCAAAAAAAAAAAAAAAAAAAAAAAAAGAAGAGAAAGAAAAAGAAAACACGGTCTTCAAATCCCATAACCTGAGCACAAAAGACTCTTGGCTCGCTGATTCGTCTCCCACCTCCTCCTCCCCGCACAGGGACAGATACTGACCGGGTGTGAGAGTAAGGCCCCGTGAAGACGAACCTTGGGGAGCTCACTGGGGTCCCTACTTGGAATTTTAAAGCAAAACCATGTTGCTGGAAGTGAAATCCTCTTCAGATTTACGAATTATGGGGCTCCATTGGAGGAAACAATCCCTATGGGCCAATGACCTCGTTTCATCCCAAATTATCCTCTGGTTTTACAACTGGTTAGTTTCTTGTATTTCCAGGATTTATAAATTGCAAGTTTGCTTGTGAAGTGGTAGAATCCATTTTTGAATTTGTTTCTTAACTATTGATAGGGCTAGTAAAATTCAAATGATTGCATAAACCTTAGAAACTAAGGTCAGTTCAGTGAACATTCTTGGTGCTATTTCAACAATCCTTGAAGGTTTAACACGTCTGTGATATTACTGTGTGATTTCGTGTTATCACTGTCTTATGTGCATTCTAAGCATGAAACTGTGTCCAGTAGCTGTTTTTGAGGACCCTACTAATTATACAGCTGATGGTAGCATCAGCCGTTTGTTCAATGTTAAATTATTTTGTATTTTCTAAACAACTGACATTTTCTCCTAGCAAACTACTGATAGGAAATTGTATGTGCCATGTTTTCTTCCAACAGTCTTGAATATGCCACTGCATTCCTGCCTGGGTAAAAGAGTGAGACCCTCTCTCAAAAAAAAACTAAAATGAAAAGGCCCAGGATGAAATAGAGTGTTTCAAAACCCACAGCTACTCCCCATCCTTTTTCTATCCCAAGAGCTGTGCCTCAGGGATGTAATAAAATAAACATACAAACTTTCTAAAGGCTGATTTTACAATTTTTAATTAAATAAATACTACTCAGAACCTTTTCATGGGGTATAACTCAAGTTGTTTTTCAGTGTTTGAAGAAGATCAGGTTCACATTTAAGTCAGCTAATTATTAATTATCAGCAAAGGCATAAAATACACCTGGTGGTTATTTACTTATTCTCTTAGCTTTACTTACATCTTTCACTTCACAAAGCCTTTCTGTATAAATTGGGCTAGTTTGTCCTCTTGGATTTTATCTTATACACTATATTCGGAAAGTAAAAGTTAGGGACTTGGGACGTCAGTACTGGGTTTGTCCCCACCACCATGGAAATTCCTGTGTGAAGCATCTTGGCTCATTTTGTTCATGATGGGATATTCTGAGGACTCAAGACTTTCTCAAGAAACCTTTCCACCCCACGCCATGTTCCCATGGTGTCTGGTGAGGCAGCTAAACTGTAGTCAGGCCTCCCCACTTCTGTCTGTCTCTGAACCTCACGCTTGTGCAGGGCAGGCCCTGTGACTTCGGTCTTTGCATGCTCTTAGCATTTATCGTAGCACAGAGAGGCAGCTATAAGTCTCAAGTTTAGGGGGAAAACTCAGATTAATATAGTCTTGGTTAAAACATTTAATTTTTACTTCCTTACCATGGCCACCAAATTATTCACTCATGCATTCGTTCTTTCATTCAAAATATTTATTCAGCAGAATGTGCATTGCTCTCCCTAACGAGACACAGAAATTGGGAAAACAAACACGATTCCTGCACCAACAGAGCCTTCATCCTAGAGGGAGAAGAGAGACGAAAGTCTCTGTTGCAAACAAAGATCACTGGAAATTGGACTAAAGGACATATGAGAGTGAATCAGAATGGTTCATGCCTTCAGCAAATACCCACGTGTTCCTTCCATGTGGCAGGCACTAGCAGATGTTGGGCACCCAACAGTGAAGGTGCCAGAGGCCCTGCTGCCCTGGGGCCCTGACCAGTGAGGAACACAGCAGAAGGCCATTTAGACACAGTGGCCAGGGAAGGTCTTTGTGGTGAGATACCACTTGAGCTGAGACCCAGAGAGCAGAGTTGGGCACGTGAGACAAGCTGAGAAGAACATTTCAGAAAAAAGGAAAAGTGGGAATCCAGGGTTTGTGGTGGAGCAGACCTCAGGCTGGGGTGTGGTGAGGGAAGAGGGAGTATGGTGAGGGAAGAGGGAGTGTGGTGTGAGATGAGCTTGGAGAATGACTCGTGGACCAGGCGACCTAGGGCCTTGTCAGCTGACACAAACAATCTGAATTTTACCGTAAATTTTTAAAACAGAAGCTGTTAAATAGTTTTAAATGGGGGAGTGAAATGATCAGATATTTGTTTCATTTTGCTTTTTTAATTAAATAGTAAAATATACTAATATTTAGTGCACATTCTGTGGCTTGATAAAGTTTTGCAAATATGGTTACCATAGATCCAGCGGTTCAAGGTACAAAACATTACCAATTCCCCAGAAGCCTGCTTCCTGCCCTGTCTTAGTAATAATCTACTTATTCCCTATGAGAGAAACCATTATTCTGATCCTTATGATAATAGATTTGTTTTGCCCACTTTTGCTTATTATAAATGTAACAATACCATAGTTAGTATCTTGTGACTTATTTTATTCACCATTATGTCTGTGAGAGTCTTCTATGTTGTTACATGAAGCAGGTCTTTCTTCTTTTTTATTGTGCAATACATTCTATTTACACATCGAACTGATTTGTCTAAGTATGTTGGATATTTGAGTGGTTTCCAGTCATAGACTGTCATGAATAGTTTCTATGAACATGCTTGCATGTGTGTTGATGAACATGTATTTATATTATTTGGGGCACATATCTAGAAGTGAAATTTCTAAGTCATGGGTTATGATCTGTATAGTTTTAGTAGATACTGCAAAACATTTTCCTAGGATCAACTTACATTCCCAGGAGTAGAGTATGCAAGTTTCAGCTGTCTCACATCCTTATGAACAACTGATATTGTTAGTTTTCAGGTATTTTAAAAGAAATTTTAGCCACCTGGAATTGGTTTACAGCAGCATCACATTATGGGGCCTAATTGGTTGTTGCTAGTATGTAGAAACATACACTTTTGTGCCCTAGAATATCGAAATACATGATTTGTATACTTTGGTGTTGTTAATTCATCTCTATTACCTGCACATATATTGATGATTTTGTTGCTTCTATTTTGTTTTAGTTTAATTTTATATTGGTTTAATTTTGTCTTGGTTTAATTTCTTAAGATATAAGCTTAGATCCTTGATTTTTTAGCTTTCCACTTTTTTAATGCATTCATTTAAGGTTAGAAATTTTCCTCTAAGTGCAGTTCTAACTGCGCACCACCTGTGTTGAGATGTCCTGTTTTCCTTAGCTATTCTAATTTTTATTTGGGTTATAAGAATCTACTATTATTACTTTATTATAAAATATCTGATAATTTTTCAGTTTTCTTTCTGTTTTCAATTTTGAGTTTAATTCCACTGCGTTCGGAGAACATTCTGTACTCCATGTGCATGTGAAAGGAATGTGTGCTCTGAAGTGTTTAGGGATAGGTCTCTACACATGCCAAGTAGGTCAAGTTTGTTATGCAAATTGTTCAAATGGTTACTGACAGAGGTATCTTAAAATCTACTGCGGTTTAAGGATTGTTTTTTACTTTGTTTGTTTCTGATAATTCTTGCTTCAAGTACTTTGAGTTATTGGGTGCATAAAAATTTAGGATTGATATATCTTTGTACTGAATTGAACCTTTTTAATATTTATGAAACATCTTTATCTCTAATGATACGTTTGCCTTAAAGTTTATTTTATCAAATGTTAATATAGGTGCCTAAGCTTTTTTTTAGCTAGTATCTGCATGGAATATCTTTTATCCATCTCTTCATTTTCAAATATTCTTTGTTCTGATTGTAAGCTGCATCTTTTGTAAACAGCATATATTAAGTTTTTCTTTCTTATAAATCTGAAAATTTTCACCTTGTAATCAGATGACTAGTTCTAATTGCATATAAAACAATTTGTTTTAATTATTCCTCCTTTCTCTCTTTCTTTCAAATTAATCAAGTATCTTTAATTATTCAACTTACCCTGTATTAACTGGATGATTATATATATTTTTGTTATTCTTTAGTTAGTTACTCTAGACATTGCAATATGCATCCTTAAGTACTGTTACCATGCCCAGGACTATGCAAAATCTTAGCAAATTAACTTCATTCACTACTCCCACCATCTTTTGTGCAATTGTTTACATATATTTTAATTCTACATATATTTCAAACTCTGAATAATAATATTATTTTTGTTTTGAATATTAATTTAGAATTACCAACATGTTTAACTCTTCTAGTGCTTTTTATTTCTCTTTAATTTTTTTCCTCCTTTTCAGATGATTTTCTTTCATGCTAGGAAATCCCTTTGTGTATTTCTCTTAATGTAGATCTGTTGGTGATAAATTCTATCAGCTTTTATTTTTCCTAAAGCATTTTTTAAGGACATTTTTATGGGACATGGAATTCTAGATTGGCAGTTGTTTTCATTTCGCTCTTTCAACATTCTTTCCATTTTCTTCTGTCTGCCATGGTTTCCCTCGGAAACATCAGCTGTCGGTCTTATTATAGTTGCTTTGAAGAGAATATATCTTTTTTTCTGGCTGCCTGCTTTTAAGATTTTCTCTTCATCTTTGGGTTTCAGTGGCTTTCCTATGATGTAACTTGGTGAGGCTTTCTTCCTACCTGCCCTGCTTGAGATCGTTTGAGCCTTAATCTGTGGTTTCATGCCTTTTGTTGTTATTGTTTTAGGGAAAATCTCAGTCAGTGTCTCTTGTCTAATTCTGCTTCTAATGCATTCATATTCATATTTTCTCTCTCTCTTCCCACTCCCCTATTTCACCCTCCCTCCCTTCCTCCTCTGTTTCTGGAATCAATTTATACAAATGTTTAATTTTTCATACTGCTGCAAATGTCCTTTTGCCTTTTAAAAATTTTATATTTTTTTCTTGATGCTAGATAGAATATTTTCCAATGATTGATCTTCCAGTACTCCACTTTTTTAACTATGTCTGACTGCTATTAAACCCCCCTACTGACGTTAAATTTTAGCTACTCAATTTTTAATTAGAATAATTATCGATTGCAGTTCTTTAATCAAATTCTCTATATTTTCTTGGATATACTAATTAAACTTTTATTAAAGTCCCCAGCTAAGGTCACTTGTAGGTCTATTTGTATTATCTGGCTTTTCTTCTTGGTTTTCAGTTGTTTCAGTCCTGCTTTTTGGCATGGATGGTAGTTTTTAATTGAATGCTTGACATTAGTGTGACTAGTATAGACATCCTGGCATTTTTCATCTTTATCTATGAAAGATTTAATTTTCTTCTTGCAAATAGATAGAATATTGGCAAATCATTTTGATCCAGTTTTATCCAGTTTTAGGTTTTGCAAACACTGGGCTATTTCCAAATTGTCCTTATTTCTGGGGCATAGTTCTTTTGGAAACTCAACTGAAACCCCAAGGTGTTTGGCAAGTCCTCTCCTCTTTGTCAAGCCTTGAACTCTAACTTCTGTTTCCCTAGCACTGCACAGCAGCTTCTACTTTATCCTTCCAGTTCCTGTTCCATGCTGGTTTCTAGAAGTCTTTCATGCACAGCTTAGAACCCAAGAAATGCCCCAGGGAAAAGGTAGACCCAGAATTTTGAGCATAAACCTCTGCATTTCTCTTTTCCCACTCAAGTCCTGACCTCCTTTTTATCCTTAAACTTTAACTTGGATCCTCCCAAACCAGCCAGAGTACCAAAGCGTCTGGCCACTACTTTCTGTTTGGCCTCTTTTCTCTAGGTTTCAATTTATAAACGTCCTGAGGGAAAAAGCAAAAGCAAAAGTGATGCTCACCTGAGTCTACTTCTCTTCTTTTGTGGCTTTTGGTCCCTCAGTTCCTACCTAACTCAGCTGCCCTTGGGTGCCTTCAAAAGCTTGCTTTATGTTGTCATTGTTTCTGTGTATGCATCCTCTTTGGCTTTTAGAGTTGTTCATGGCAGTAGGGTTGGAGAATTAAGCTGATGTTTCGATAAAAGCTGTTACTTTGTGGCCAAAAGTAGAAGTGTCCTAATTGACATTTGTTAACATGCTCTAATTATGCTGTAGAAAATACAGGGTCTTGCTCTGTTACCCAGGCTGGAATGTGTTCGTGCAATCAGGGCTCACTGCAACCTCTACCTCCCAGGCTCAAGTGGCCTTCCCATCTCAGCCACCCTGAGTAGCTGGGACTACAGTTACACACCACCATGTTTGGCTAATTAAAAAAAATTCTTTTGTAGAAACAGGTTCTTACTATGTTGCCCAGGCTGGTCATGAACCCCTGGGCTCAAGCCATCCTCCCACCTTGGCCTCTGAAAGTGTTGGAATTAAAGGCATGAGCCATGGTTTATTTGGCACAGTGGTCTCCTATAGGACTCTGGAATACTTATTTCCTTTCTTTACATGGTTGTTGTGAAGCTCTAAATAGATAATCATAGGAAAGTGCTTTGTAAACCACAATATGCCATATGTTTAATACATAACCTGGGGCTGGAAATCACCTTGGATTATGAAACGCCAAAGCCCATCTTAAAACGTAGAACTCAAGTGCATAATGTTGTGTGTCTATTTTTGACTTCATGATTTAACCTTGTCCAGTACCATTTACGTTTAGTTAGCAGCCTGGCCCACATTTGGAGAATTCAAAATTCCTAAAAGGAAGATTCTTACGGTTGTTAGTGGGGTGGAGCTTTGCCACTTTCTCCCTTGTCTGAAGTGTGATTGCAGTGCTTCTCTCCATGGTCGGCCAGTGCACCTGCTCAGCTGCTCAGCGTGAGAAATGCAAGCCCAGGAAATCATGTGAGCCAGCAGAGACCCTGTGAAAATTTGCCCCCAGGCTGCATTCCACACTCGGGTGATGGCTAACCCTGCTTGCATCACTCACCTTTGCATCTGGCTCTTTGCCCCATTTGACTCCATCTCACAGCTTCTGCTCCCCCAGACCCAGGACCATGCAGCCTGTGCTGTTTGCCTGGTCCCAGCTTTACTCTCCTTAGGAACATTGACATTCAACATTTGCCAAAAGACTTTGTACTTACCTTTCTGAATAGGCTGGTGGGTGCTGCATGTGTCGGCTCTCACCTTTGAGAGGCTCTCCCTGGTCATCTGTGTAACAGGAGATGAGCCCCAGCAATGGCAGTGTGCTTTGCATTTTAGGTTAGGCCAATGTGTTCCTAGAGACATCTTTGTGGGAGTCTCATAAAATCAGTCCTAGGTTATGATCTGATTGGAGGTGAGATCCACATCTGACAGCGAGTGAGAAGAAATCTCATCATCAGGGGTTCTGCATCGTGGACACTCCTCTCCCACAGCACGGCCTCCGTGCACCTGATGGAGAGTAACCCGGCAACCCCAAAGGGACAAGACAAGGCCATTGCAGAGAAGCCCTCTTGCCCCAGGTGGGGGGAAGAGGAGACCGAATGTATGGGGGACTGGGGCTCTGTGTGCCCCAGGACACCAGTCCCTTAAGAGGTGCCAATAGAAGGAGCATGTTCAGTGCAGAGTATCATGGTAAAACACTGAGAAATCTCAGAGCAAACAGACTCATACATTTTTATGGTGGTTACTGAACCAGCATCTTCTGCACATGTTGGCCATGGGTCAGTTGTTTTCATGGAATGTCTTAATAACACTCAGAACCAGCCTACGTGAAACATGATTGGACAGTCGCTACCCCTACCTAAGCCCTGGTTCTGATCCAAATGTTAAGCCTTTGACAACCTAGTCTGTGCCCATTTATCCTAAGGCTGGCTGTTGTTTCAGACCCTGTCATACAGAAAAAGTTCTATTTTCCCAACTTGTGTAGAAAGCCTGTCTTATATAATCATGTAAGGGTTCCCCTGTCCTTTTAGGTTCTGAGACTCCCCATCCGACTGCACAACAGTCCTCATGGATGCTGTGTGGCAACTGGCCATGAGCTCACACCGGGGACTCCGGGGGTTCCTCATCTCTGGGAAGAGCTCACACCAGGGACTCCAGGCGATTCCTCATCTATAGGAAGAGCTCACACTGGGGACTCCAGGCAGTTCCTCATCTATGGGAAGAACATATGTCAAGGACTCCAGGTGGTTCCTCTGTGGGAAGAGCTCACACTGGGGACTCCTGGGGGTTCCTCCTCTGTGGGAAGGGCACGTGCTAGAGACTTCAGGTGGTTCCTTCTCTATAGAAGAGCACACAGTGGGGACTTCAAGCAGCTCCTCATCTATGGGAAGAGCTCACGCCAGAACAACCTTCCAACATAAGACTAACTTCCCTGTTGTATCTAACAATGCGGAGGCTCTTGGGAAGTGGGATCACCACATAAGGCAGGGACTGGGGCAGGGAGGATCAGCAAAGCTCCCCTCGGCTCTGCCATGGCTGGCAGGGCAGCACCGCTGGTATGGACAGGCCACACGAGGTGGGGTCCTCAAGCCCCGGGAGAATGCATTTCTGTGTTCCGTGAGGGTCACCTCCCCACTCTGATGAACCCGCCACAGCCTTCAGGGGCTTCCATGCATGGGAACATTGCTGGCACCAGCTTTTCTGCTCCTGAGCCCAACCAGCATTCGCAAAGCTGGGTCTTCACTGGGACCAGGAATCAGAGCCAGAGCCACAGGGCAGCTGAGTAGACATCTGCTTCCAGGTTCCCAGTAGTTCAGAAAGGCACTTTTCAGACTTCTCTTATCTGGGTCTGTTAGGTCCAAGGATCATAATAACAAGTCTCGTTCTTGGAGATCCACATCCGAAGCTTGGTCATGTATCCAGCAATTTGTCATTTATTATGTTTTCTGTAACTGAGCATTCATCCTTTGATTTATTTGACCATGGAGTATTTCTCCAGCACACTTTCTACTGCTTGCCCCTCTTAAGCCCAGGAATTCAGGCCTTTTCACAAACTGCTTTTAATTAGGGGTAATCATTTGTTTCTCTCAAGTCATTTGGGGCTTCTACGAGATAATCCTTTCATCAGCATCTCCAGACTTCTTTGAATGTGTCCCACAACCCTAACTGAAAAAAAGAAAACAACAACAGAGCTTTCATGATCATCTTGCATTCTCTTGCACAAAACTTAGAATCAGCCCCTTTTCAAGGGGCCCTTTTTGATAATTTGAGAATAACTGGGGAGACTGAATCCTGGGCACTGGGGAGGCACAGCATGTAATGAAGATGAGCGGAGCAATTGAGACATTTACGGACACTTCCAGAAAAAGCAGAAAACCTCCCTTTTTTAAAGAGTCATACTTTTTTGGTCAACATTTGTGATTTTACTTAAGATACATTTACCCTGTTCTAAAGACAGGGTTTACTAATCCAATCTTTCCTCTTCTTGATTTTGAGCTACCACATTCTGTTTACTGACTTTGATGTACCATGACTTACCAGGTCATTAAAACATTTGATTTAATTATAAGTTTGCCCAATCTCTAGAATCCTGCATTTATTTTCTTTATTGGACTTCAGCTTAAACATCCGGAAACTAGTGGCTAAGTCTGTGAGTCCAGATAATGTTCCTTGCTGGGGTGGTAAAAGCATCCTCAGTCTGAAAAGAAGCAGTGCCAGCCTCTATCCATGGGACATGCAGGCCCAGGAGGCCTCTCAGGTCAGACAGACCCTCATGTAGTTAATAGATAGCAGGCCAGTGCAGACACTAAATACCTTTCATAGTGCATTTGCTAGAGAGGGTGGACAGGCAGAGAGGGAAGGGCAGGACCAGGGCCCCAGGGAATGTCTAGCCAGGCAACTGTCATAGCAATTGTCAGGCAGCTTCTTCAGGAATGATAGGTGGTCATGGCTGGTGCCAGGGAATGAAATATTTCCCAACAAACAGGAAACATCTTGAGCTTGTGGGCAACAGCTTCCCACTGAGAACTTAAAATATGTCCAGGCATGCGCAGAAAGGGGTGAAATGGCGAAGTCTGAACAGTATATGACCTTCCTCTGGGGGAGCTAGACCAGGAAGGGAAAATTTCCCTAAGACAACATGCACATAACTTCAACCACCAAAGGACACATGTGGCCCCTCCCAAATGCTGGCAAGTCACTGCGCATGTGGGGATTAGCCAACAGCCCACCCAAGGGAAAAGACAAGGGGAAGAGACCAGAAAAAAACAGGAAATAGCAAATCTATGAGAGCCCCAAGCCAAAGGTCCTGTGGGACCCTCAATCTTTCGAGTGCCTGCTTGGTTCTGCCGAGTGTACTTCCTTTACTTCCATAAACCTTCACTTCCGCCTTAAATCTACTTCTGTCTCTTGGCTGAATTCTTTCTTCCAAGAAGACAAGAATCGAGGACCATGGACCCCACCTGGGCTCGCTGCTGATAACATATTGACTTCTGCTCTTTATTTTATGATTGTCTCTTTTTTCCCAGTTTAATTTGTTGTTTCTTTTTTAGCTTCTTGATGTAGAAGGGTAGATAATTATTTTTCAACTTTTTCTACCTCCTGTGTGTGTGTGTATACATCTATAGGTATTGTAAAAAACATATAAATTTCTGTCTTGGCACTGTTGAGCTACAACCCACAAGTTTCGATTATTTTTTTCAACAACTTTATTTACATAAAAGTGATATACAGTGAACTGCAATCATTCTGATACAAACACTTAGCAAAGTAAGAGTAGAAGACAACAGCTATTAAAGTCTTCAGCCCATTATTTTACCAGGTTATTAGTTTGTATTAAAGGACAAATACTATGTAATTCCACTTTTATGAGGTCCCTAGAGTAGTGAAAATGATAGAGACAGAGAGTGTAATGGTGGGTGCCAGGGGCTGGGTCTGGGGGTTAGGGAGTTAGCATTTAATGGGGACAGGGTATCAGTTTTACAAGATGAAAAGAGTTCTGGATATAAATGGTGGTGATGGTTGCACAGCAGTATGAATGTACTTAATGCCACTGAACTGGGCACTCAAAAATGGTTAAGATGGTAGGTTTTACTTTATGTGTATTTTACCATAATCAATAATTGGAAAACAATAGAGAGGTGAAGTACTGATACATGACACAACATGGAAGCACCTCAGAAGCGATGTGGGAAGTGAAAGAAGCCAGACACACAGAAACACATCTGATCTGACCACATTTCTATGAAATATCCCATACAGGCAAATCCATAGAGACAGGAAGCAGGTTTGCGTCTGCCACAGGCGAGGAAGGAGGAGTTAGTACTTAATGACCGTGGAGTTTCCTTCAGGGTGACAGAAATGTTTGAGAACAAGTGAGTGTTGAGGCCGCACTACACTGTGAGTGTCCTAAATGCGCTTAGTTGTGTACTTTAAATGATTATCGTGGTGAATTTTAAGTTATGTATATTTAACCTCAATTTACAAAATCTAAAAAAAAAATTAAAAGAATAGAAGAATAAAAACCAACTACATTGTTACGCTTAGAGGTGAATTATTAAAAGCCCATTTCTCCATGTGGGAGAAGAAAGACAAGCCCTGCTCAGAGTCCTTGAATAAAATCCCAGCTCCTTGCGAAAGCCAGAGTCACCTGGAGCTTAAACAGTGTGGGGTGTGAGCGGCAGGAGGCTCTAGACTTGCTACTTCAGGTCAGAACGCTCACGTTAGGGCCCGAGTTATCACCCATGTTGTCTGCCTGCTCTTCTTAGCAAATTGCTCGTGCACCTTGGATGTATAGACCTGGACCTAATGCACCTACCAGAGAGTATTTGGGGATATAAAAATAAATACTCCTAGAGCAAAATGTCATAAAATTGGTTGGATGGAAATATAAATTTTTAAGTTCTTTACTACTCATTATTTCAACCTAGTTCAAAAGTTTCTTAGAAAATATATTCTGGTTTTGAAGCTTGTCTCTTGCAAAACTATATTTAGCAGAATTTTCCTTCTCGCCCACCTTAATCCATCCCAGCCCTACATCAGTTTGCTGTCATCTGGCAAAGCAATTGCAAAGAACCATTCATCAAATAAAACCTCTTGAAAAAATAATGTACTCCTCAAAGTAAAATAATATTAGTAAAAAAAAAATCGAAACCTGAATTACTGTGCCTAGCCTTTATTCTCTTTCATTTCCAGTTTTATCATTGCAAACGTTCATGTTGGATGGGCTCAGCCAATATGGGAGTAGCCCCTGAAAAAACAAAATGATTCTTTTAATGGCCAAAGGGAAAATTAAAGAAAACAAAACCTAACATGCTGAAATAAAGACTTTTAGGACAGTTTTAGCCATTCTACCAAGTTTTATTTTGTTTGGAAAGCAATGAAAAATGATGAAAATCTCCTTTCAAGCCCGAATTTCAATAGGCCATTAGTCAGAATCATCTAATCCAACATCTTATTAACAATTTTTGGGCGTGTTATGGAACTACTTGAGATAGCAATTAAAAGCATCAACGTTCAGACAGTCCTGGCTGTAAGAGGTTTTTTATTTTTTCGTGTGCTGTAAGGGAGTGTGCAGAAGTGAGCCCTGGCTGCAACTGAAAACCTGGAAGTGGCAGCTATTCCTTGTTTTAGTTCCTTAGCTATTTTCAGTTCTCCTTTCTCAGGAGGGAGAAAAATTAACTTAATTTTTTTCTACCTCTTATTTGAAACTAAAAACGTGTAACATTTTGGGAAAGATAATGAAATGCAGAGAAATGTGTATGATTATAATAAAGTTGAACGACCCTTTACTCAAAATATTAATTAAAAAACACACACATTTTTATTATGACATTGTTAAATGGAGAAACTGAAACTCTTTAAATTCACACTGATTTAAGAGATTACCATTTGCAGAAAAATAAATATGCTGCACCCAAATGTAAGAGCAACATCTTTCACTCTCTATAGCTTGCACAGTCCAAGGAAGCAAAATATTTTCCACTTTATAAAAGCTTTAAAGCCGCCAGGGGAGATGTGCTGGCCTTCTCGATGCTGGAGCAGAGAAGCCTTCAGCCCACAACATGGCAAAAACTTGAGGAGAGTGGATTTTTCCGGCCGTAATTCAGCAGGAGCTCGGGCCTTGCTCCCAGCACCAGAAGTCTTAGGAGGTGACTGGGAACACTACACACAGCTGAGGTTTTGGACTTGGATAAAGGATGAGGGTAAAGAGAAATACTCTGCACACATAAAAGTCATTTGCAGTAGTGATGATGCCTTTTCTCAACTTTTACCCTTAAAATGGCACTACCATGATTTTGCGTGTGTGAAAAATAATACAAAGAAGGTTTTTTTCTGCAGGCAACATTTATGTGGATAAGAATCTTCCAAAGAAAAGATAGTATTTCTAAGTTGATTCAGATTTTGTTTAAAACAATATCTGGTTTATCCACTCATTCAAACATTCGTGATCTGTTAATGAAGTCAGCAAATTCTGATCAGGCCCCTCTCCCCAGCTTTGGATGGAGGGGGCACGTCAGCGCGGATTAGGAGCGCGAGTCCAGGGTCAGAGCGGATTAGGAGCGAGAGTCTGGGGTCAGAGTGGATTAAGAGCGAGCGGGAGGGTCAGGCTTCCGGGTTCAAATCTGAGCTCCAGCATTCCGTCTCTTCATCTGTGCGGAAAGAATGCTACTGGTGATCATGTTGTGAATTTGTTGTTTCCTGCACTGTTAGGTAGGAAACACAGGGATAAACATTTCTGCCTGTCAACAACCACACTTGTTGCTGCCTTTTGTGCCTTTGTCAGCAGTTACACCCTAACTACGTGCTAATGGGTCAGATCCAGTGGAGTCACCACTGCGTCAAACAATTTTCTTCTCTCTCTGTTTCATAATATTAGTGTAATTTTATGATATTCATAACAACTGTAGCATATATTCTGGCTAAATAAGACTCTAAACATATGTGCCTTATGTTTTTAATTTAGCAAAACATCTGGGGATACTTAAGTTGCCACATTTGCCCTCATACCTAAGTCAAATATGACTTTATCCTATTTGGGATTTGGGATCACATTATGTGATTACATACAAACAAATAAAAGTCAAACTTACCCCTAAAATTATGTGCATACTTTTTAGCATTGCTTTGAGTCCTTCCTAGACCATACACATACCATGATTTACATATCTAATCCTAATTCTAGTTATTCATTAGAAAGCACATTTAGTTCAAAAGTGAACTAGAGAAAAAAATAAGAATGCAAGATGCTTAAAGTAATGTCTGGCTAGCAAGATCCATGCAATGCTTTACATCCAACATTACAGCAAATATAATTAAAGACAGAAATTCTTGACATTAAAAATTCAGACCAACAGACGATCTAATACCAAAACTTTGCAGTTATAAATACTAGTGGTGATGAAGATAAATTAAGAAGAGCCAACCAAGGCTTCAGTCTTCTTCATGGAAGGCCCCAGTTTTAGTTCTTGGCAGTTGTACCTGAAAAAAGCACTGGGAAGTTGCTTCATAGCTTCATAGCTCTTCTCCGATACGTTCCTGGCCAGAGCACAGAAGCAACCAGAAAGAGGCGCAGATCACTGTCCAGGCTTGACAGCTTTGAAGATGGCCCTCTCCATCTCAGGGGTGCTCAACTCTAGGTAATATTCACCCCTGACCGATGGTTTCACCCACTACTTCTAATGAAGAGAGTATGGCCAAAGTAAGAAAAACAGGGACATAACTTTGCACATTAGATTTTAAAATGCATGTGACTACCATCTGAGGCCTTCCATTGCTACCGCTCTCTTTTGCGCTCTCAGATCTTATGCTGGGGAAGCACATGTACCTGTTGTGAGCAGCACTCTGAAGACCTCCTTGCAGCGTGGGCAAGGACTGAAGGCCTCCTTCCAGTAGCCACGAAGGAGCTGAGGTTCATCCCATCAGCCATCTTCTTTGTGAACTCTACACGAGACCTTTTCCCTGCTCAATCCTCAAAAGAGAACAGGGCCCTTGCTGGCAGCAGCTGCAATCTGAGGAGGGGCCTGACCACAGTTCCAGCGGAGAAGACTGGTGGAGAAGCCTTATGGTTTCTTGGCCTACATGAACTATGAGATGACACCTGTTGGTTGCTCTAAGCCACAAAGTTTCAGGTACTCCGTCATGCAACAATCCATAATAATGCACACTCGAAACTCCTTTGAAACTGTGCGAGGTAGAATTCTGAAGGACAGATGACTTTCCAACTTCTCTTTTTCCTGTAATTTTCTGAAGGTCACACAGTACTGCAAACATTAGAAAATGTGTTGACGCGAATTACAGGAAAACCAACTGTGACCCAGTATATTCTAAGTGGTGAAGTTATAGGAGTGAATTTTTGGAAGACATCTAAGTATTTAATCTGGATAATATCATTTTCTATGTACAAGGTAAGCTGAAAATTATAATCAACCATTAAACCTGCCTTCCTCACTTTCTCTCCAGTTATGTTTGAGAAAAGATTTTAACCATTTTACTAATGGACAGAGAATGAGACTAAGGAAAATGCACTTATTCTTGCTATAACCACATGAAGTGTACACAAAATGACCTTGTTTATGAATAAATAAAAAGGGAAAACAGTATTATTTGAGCCTGTTACAAAGATATCTAAATAAAAATGTAGAAATGTAAAAATTTTTACAGCTAAAATATTTAGGTGCAAAGGGAAAGAATGTGTTAGATATTCTCTAAAATGCAGAAAATTATTTCCAGAAACCATTGGCCAGGCATGATGGCTAATGCATGTAATCCTAGCACTTTGGGAGGCTGAAGTGGGCAGATCACTTGAGATCAGGAGTTCAAGACCAGCCTGGTCAACATAGTGAAACCCCATTTCTACTAAAAATACAAAAATTAGCCAGGCGTGGTGGCTTATGCCTGTAATCCCAGCTACTTGGTAGGTTGAGGCAGGAGAATTGCTTGAACTCAGAAGGCTGAGGTTGCAGTGAGCCGAGATCACACCATTGCACCCCAGCCTGGAAGACAGATCAAGACTCTGTCTCAGGAAAAAAAAAATTGCTAATAAAATATAAGAAGACATGTCAGCTAAAAATAGAAACCTACTGAAGTGGAAACGGAGTGAAATGACAACAGGAAGTTTTGGACAGAGCTACCATTCCACTCAACAATCTCATTATTTGGTATTATACCCAAAGGAAAATAAGTTGTTTTACCAAGAAGACATATGCACCCATGTGTTCACTGCTGCACTATTCACAATAGCAAAAACATGGAATCAACCGAGATGCCTGTCAGCAATGAACTGGATAAAGAAAATGTGGTACATAGACACCATGGAACACTATGCAGCCATAAAGAAGAAGGAGATCATGTCCTTTGCAACAACATAGACACAGCTGGAGGCCATGATCCTGAGCAAATTAAGGCAGGAACAGAAAACCAAATACTGCATGTGCTCACCCTCAAGTGGGAGCTGAACACTGAGTACATGTGGATATGAGGATGGGAACAACAGACGCTGGGGACCACTGGCAGGAGGGAGAGAGACAAGGGTTGAAAGAACCTCTGCTGGGTACTATGCTCATTACTTGGGTGATGAGATCATTCACACCCTGAACCGCGTCTTTCAGTATACCCATGTAACAAACCTGCACATGCACCCCTTGAATTTAAAATAAAAGTGGAAATTATTAAAGAAAGGAAGCTCTCTAATAAAACTGATACTGGCTATCTGAAAGATATTATCTATTGGAGGCAGTGTGAGCATGATTAACAATGCTGCAAGCCCAGCTCGTCAGTCACTGTGACAGACTAAAAGAAGGACACGGCAGTGAGGGTTGTGCCTGAGGAGATAGGAAACTCAAATGAAAATGTGTGGGGGCCAAGACTCGCAGAGCCAGGCATGGCGAGAGGTGTCATGTAGGAGATGTGTTCTGTGTGTGTGTGTGTGTGTACGCGTGTGCACATTTCTGGACAGAGAAAGAACTTCATGGGCCAAATTAATAGAATAGTTACAGAAAAACATATTCCAGCAGAAGTTGTATTCAACATTCTGATAAAAAACAAAATAATTAAAAACAGATAATAACAGATTACCTAGCAGGCATCTCTGCAACAATAAATTCCAGGAGATAAGGAGAAAGATGATCAGATAATGAGAGAAAAATACTCTGTAGAACTGCCTACTAGCCAAGATGTTCAGGTGCAAAGATGAGAGGAAGTTCTCATAAGTCATGTTGACTCAGAAAACAAATTGATAAAATACTCTCCTTGAGTAAGAGTTCCTTGTAGAGATAATTTGACAATGTCAGTGATAGAACTGAAAGTGAAGGTATTTGAACCAGTAATAATTTTAGAAAATTATTTGACAGAATCTACAGAGGATGAACACATGCCTACCTTCTAACAGTTGCACTCCCAACATTCACTCAGTAGCAACCCATCCATTTGGTCGCCTAAAAATATGTATAAGAGATTTTTGTTCATGGCCGTGATGGGGTAACTAGCAGTTTTACCCTCCTGTTTTAAACAATGGTAAAACTAGATCAATGCGTGAGTTAACATTGAATATAAAAATCCTACATAGGTAAACCAAGAACCTTGAAGAATTTGAAAGAGTTGGCAAAAACAAAACAATAACAGCAAGAAAAAAACCCACAATTATCATGATAAAGTTCTCCACAAAACAACCTTAGTCTTGTAGGTGGCTTTGTGGTAGAGCCTATAATGCTTTTAGAAGCTGGTAAACATCCATTCTGTTTGAAAACACCTACAGCCTTAGGGATATCAAAAACAATAAATGCTTGACGTGATGAATTACCTCGATTTGGTCATTATACATTGTATACATCTATCAAAATATCACTCTCTACCACATAAATATGTATAATTTTTATGTCAATTAAAAATAATAATAATTTAAAAATATAACAACTGAATACCCTGGCAATAGCAACTGCATTTAAGACTACAAAGACAATATATTTGCAATGGAATATTAATAAATCAGCTCATTTAAAAAATATGCATATATTATGACAAATCTGTTTTTATTCCAGGAACAAAAGGTGTCCAGTATTAGGAAGTATATTAATATAACTCACAACTTATGATCATCTTGACAGTTTCCAAGAAAGCATTTAGAAAGATTCAAAATCTTACTTCATGAATATTACGGAGTACTTTTCCATCTTAATAGGCAATAATTATCTGAATCTATCAGACAATATCATAGTCACCATTGAGACTCTAGAGGCACTGGCACTAAACTTAGAGCAAAGGCCAGAGCAGCTTGATGTGTTTTACAGAATTCGATAAGTAAGCGAAGAGAAGCAAGTCGCATGTACCACAAGAACTAAGAAAACAGGCTTTTGGCATTTGAAAATGGTACAGCAAGCTACGTGGAAAGCTGAAGAGAGCTAAATGAAAAGTTATTAGCGCAAATAAGTGAGCTAAATAAAAATCTTTACATACTTGTAATAAGCATAAACTCTAATAAAACTATTCACGATAACAATTTAAAAGTATTAGGAATAACCATAACAAGAAAGTTAAAAATATTTTATCATGAACATATAAAAATTGAGTGAAAAATGTTAAAATAAATGTAGAAGACATATCATAAGGATTTTCATTCTCTTTAAGTTAACCTGTAAGCATTTTTATGATTCAAATAAATTTTTAGGAGATAATGACAAAAATAATCTGCAGTTCTTCTGGAAAAATAAAATAATATTCATACTATCAAACAATTTTTAAAGTGTCTAATTAATACATTAAAGAATGCCACAGAGGGCTGGGTGAGATGGCTCATGTCTATAGTCCCAGCTACTCAGGAGGATGAGGTGGGAGGATCACTTGAGCCCGGTAGTTTGAGGCTGCAGTAAGCTATGATGGCTCCACTGTACTCCAGCCTGGGTGACACAGAGAGATCTCATCTCTAAAAGTAAAGTAAAATAAAAATTAAAAAATTTTTAAAAGCCACAGCAATAGAAATATTCCTATTTCTAGAAATATCTAGAAATATATTCAAGAATAAATGGAAACAGTGTGAAATTAAGATGGTATCTCACACCAATGTGAAAAGGAGGTCTTATTTTATAAACAGTATTGCATAAAATGACTATAGTTAATAATAATAATAATTAATAAAATGAAATTAGAATCTGCTACATACCTTATATCCAAACTAAATTCCATGGGGACTAAAAATGTAAATGTTAGAAAATAAAATATAAAAGTGGTAGAAGAAAATATGGATTAATTTTTATATAATCTTAAGTGGGAAAGGCTTTTTCTATGTCTGACTCAACTAATTACGTGACAAAGGGAAAGATTTAGGCTTGAATATGTACAATTCTAAAGTTTTCATGTGAAAAAAAGTGAAAAATCAAGAGCAGCCTGGTAAAAGTATTTGTAAGAGAAACTAACAAAGAAGGAAGAAAGCAATGGACATCATGATAAAAACTTAAAACGTGGCACAGAATGAGGTAATTTACTATAGAATAAATGCATATGAAATAACATATGAAAACAGGTTTAACTTTACCATTAAAAACAATGCATAGCCCAAATGTGGTACTGATTGTAATCCTGAAAGACAAATAAACACCCTAATCCCAAATGTTGAAATCCTGAAAGATCAAAATTCCTAAAGTCTAGAGTCCCAAAAATAAATCCTGAAAGATCAAAATCCCAAATGCTGAAATCCTGAAAGCTGAATTCTGGGGAAGGGGTTAGTGTGCTTTGGCTGTAGTCAGGACAGTTGTGTCCTGTTAGTTGCGTGATGTTAGTTGCATCATGCTAGGAAGAGCTATTACCTTGTTATTGTCTTAATTTGCATTTGGTGGAAAATTCAGCTGAGTAGATTGGCCACGTGATACGGCAACGATGAAGCTTCACTTTAAAAATGCGTCATTTGCCTGCATTGGTGTTCCTTCCAGCCAGCGACACTCCAAGAACTCTTCATGAATTAAAGCCACATTTACCTGCAGAAGCCAGTGAAGTTACCAACTGGCTCAAAAATAATCATGTTCAGGGTAGGATAAGAAGATGCTTACACAACGGTGCTGCTGTTCTGTCACCAGCATTGTTTCCAGCAAATGTGCGGCCTGTAGATGAGAGTGCAGGCATCATGGATGTCCAGGTATCCAAAGCAACGTAAAAGCATATGGGACAGAAGATGGGAAAATTTAATAGGAAATGTATATGTCAGCACACGTCAAATCATAGGATTTCAAAAAGAGCAGTGCCACATAGAAAGTGAATGTGAACATATTCTCCAAGGAGAGCCATGTCCTAAAAGCAAAAAGCCACCGCTCATCACAATGCAAGACTTCAAAATACAGTTCATGACTGTGAAAGTCAGGCAGATCGAATGGGCTGTCTCCATGCAATTGCCCATTGCCCATTCCTGTAATATGCTTCTTCATATGTCAATTTACTTTTAGTTTTTCTGCTTTTTTTCTAGTTTTTTTCCCCCCCCACTATCTTAAGTTGTCAGCATTACTTATTAGAATTCACTATGTATTTCGTCTTCACATCATTTCCAGTCCTGGATGTATACGTTGTGTAAAGACTTCAAGAGAGTTCCAATTTGTTTTATGCATTTTTTTTTTTTTTTGCAGATTTCATTCCATGAAAGTATATTATCACAATGCTGACTTGGAGTGTAAGCACTGTGCAGATACATAAAAACATTGAAACTTCCTCTGTAAATGAGGAGATGCCCTTTTTGTACATCTGCATTTGTGAGAGAGAAACTTTCTGGGGAAATAATAACAACCACTGCAAAAAAATCTTTAGAAATCTCCCAGACTATTAACGTGACATCATATAGCAACATTTATTTTAACACTAACATTTAATCTGAGAACAAAGGTCATTTACAGTGAATCTCTTTTGACTTGTGGAAAGCCCACCCTGACTGCCTCAAGGCTGATATTTTGCAGTGGCTGGTCTGGGCAGTGTCTTAGTCGAGGAAATAAAGAGTTGAGTTATTTCTAGATTGAAAGTTTCAAAGGGGGTGAAGCCAGAGAGAAGTTGTTGCAGGAATCAGAATAAGATGAGAGTCAAGAGCTCAAAAGACGGGAATGAAGACGTGAGGCCAGGAAGCAGTGAGGTTCTGGGAGAGGAAAGAGAGATTCCAAGAGAGCATGGAGATGAGACCTGGCATGTGACGTGAGTGGGAACGTGGACTGTTATAACCAGAGACAAGCTGAGGTTCTGAGTTCAGGATTTGGGAGTGGGGAACCCGGACTGTTATAACCAGACAGAAGCTGAGGTTCTGAGTTTGGGATTTGGAAGCAAAGTGGCCTGGGTAGCGTGCCTGCCTTGAGTCAGAGCTGCAGCCATTGGCTGGTCCAGCTTCATGGGGTCCTGAGCCTGGCTGTCTCTGGATCAGGAAACAAATGACCCTGGCTTCTTACTGGAGTGTTTTCTTCAGGAGCCCAACTTTGATTGCCTGCAGGGTGTGGTCATTTTCTCCTTGACCTCATGATAAATCTGTTTCTCATCCAGTTTCCTTGCGGTTTGCTTAGACTCTGGGCCAAGACAAGGCTTGCCTCTGTCCCTGGATACAGAAGCAGGCGTGTCATCTGACCCCACGTGCACTGTCAGTGTGGCCATCCTGGGCCGCCTCCTGCAGGGTCCCTGGGCTGCGAGTCTCCCCACATTCTGTCTTGCAGAACCATTCCTCCTGTCCGGATGGCATGCTTTAATCAGCGCCTTTCACTCCAAATCGAGTGATTCTCTTGTCTCTTTTCATTTACTGCCTGTTATTCACCATTTAATTACCAAAACAGAGACACACAACCCTCCCCAAGCAGGGGACGGTGTCTCCACATAAAACAGGATTCTTTCTCCTCTCGTACTCACCTGGAAGTTTTTAATCCTGTAGTGTTTAGCATGGAGAGAAAATTCACAAGACATCCAGCCAAGGTAAAATAAAATACACTGGAAAGTGCCTTCAACGAGGCTCTACCACACACTGAAAAGTACCTTCAACAAGGCTCTACCACAGCCCTGGCTCACAAGGGTATGTCCTTTACGAGATTGTTTCAAGGGGCTGTTTCATGGAATTCCCGGTAACAACCTTGTACGGGAAGAAGACTCAGGTTCCAGGGCACGCGTGTTGTGCTCAGGGTCACAGGCTGAGGGAGAATGCGTGCCCACCCAGCCCATGGCCGGTCTGCCTGAGTGCAGGCTCTGTTTTCTGCATTGCAGGTTCTGCTGATCACTGGCCTCAGGCACGACTCAGCAGATGTGGTCCAGCGGCCATGCAGTCAGTGAGCAATTGATGCTGTTTTCATCTGGCCGCCCGTTTATGTGCTCATCAGACACTAAAGGAAGGGAACCCACCTGATTTGCAATGGCGTTATTTAAATGCTGGCACTACCTCTTTGCCTATATAAATTATCATGATGGCATTTTCTTATATAAATTATCATGATGGTATTTTCTACGTCTAGGCATCAGGCAAAAGTTGAACTGGAATCTGTCACGATTTTCCATTAAATGTTAGTCATCCTTTCCCCAAAGGAAAGATTGGGGCTTTCCCCATTCCTCCTCCCACCACCCCCACAAAAGAAAAAGATAATGTGACTTAAAAAATCATTATCAAAGAGAAAAAACACCCTTGCCGACAAGATTTTGTCAGTCTTTTGGAATGGCATTGGAAAAAGGGACAGGAAAAAAGGAGAATATGGAGGCATGTCAGATTGTCTGAGGCAGTTTGGTGTCTGATCTCCAGGACTATGTGAGCAATATAATTGCAGAGACAAGGTAGGGCTTATAATTGTATGATATGATAATCTAAACAAAATTTATTTGCCACATAGAAAGGCAGCATGTAACACACTCACAATATCCAGCATCCAGACCGGGCGTCTGATGTAGACTTTCAGGAACTTCACTGGGTCGTAGAGAAATTAGGAAAGGTTTTTAGGATGAACATGTCTCTCCCATCAGAAGGCAGAACCCGACGGGGAGAAGAACAATGGACAGAGCATTGGCTGTTTGTGGTGTATCGCATGGGTTTCCTACGGTGCTGGGCATGAGTCCCTCGGATTAGTACCCACCTGTTATACTCGGGCAAGTGCCCTGCATCTTCTGAGCCTTAGCGTCCTCCTGTGAGTGCTGATTTTGCACTCTCGGAACCGCATATTTAAGAAGGTGCTGTCCTGTGGAGGAGCAGTGTTATTTCGCGAGAGCTCCCTGAGTGGGGGGATGACTTCTTTCTTCCAGCACAGAAGTGAGCCTGGTTCTCTGTAGGTGCTCAATGCACATCTGCACCAGGATGGCATCCAAACCGCGGGCTCGCTGGAGAAAAGCAGGGCTGCTCATGCGGCTAATCTGGGTTCTGCAGAGCATGGCATGGCAGCTGGCCTGCTGGGCAGCCGAAAGGGGAAGCTGAGGGGGTGTGGGCGGAGAGGAGGATGAGCCAGAGGGCCCAGAAGAAGAAACCTGGGGAGAGGTTCGATTTATGAAGTGCATGTTCATTAGACTCGCTGGGTGGCAAGAGCTGTGGCTCCCCTCCTCCAGTCTCCTGTGGAGTCTTCACTCCCTGTGACTTTGGTTGTCTGCAGGGTGAGGTCATTTTCGGTCCCTGTGACTTTGGTTACCTGCAGAGTGAGGTCATTTTCAGTCCCTGTGACTTTGGTTGTCTGCAGTGTGAGATCATTTTTGGTCCCTGTGACTTTGGTTGTCTGCAGGGTGAGGTCATTTTTGGTCCCTGTGACTTTGGTTACCTGCAGAGTGAGGTCATTTTCGGTCCCTGTGACTTTGGTTACCTGCAGGGTGAGGTCATTTTCATTCCCTGTGGCTTTGGTTGTCTTCAGAGTGAGGTCATTTTTGGTCCCTGTCGCTTTGGTTGTCTGCAGAGTGAGGTCATTTTCGGTCCCTGTGACTTTGGTTACCTGCAGAGTGAGGTCATTTTCGTTCCCTGTGGCTTTGGTTGTCTTCAGAGTGAGGTCATTTTTGGTCCCTGTGACTTTGGTTACCTGCAGAGTGAGGTCATTTTTGGTCCCTGTTGCTTTGGTTGTCTGCAGAGTGAGGTCATTTTCGGTCCCTGTGACGTTGGTTGTCTGCAGGGTGTGGTCATTTTTGGTCCCTGTCACTTACCTACAGGGTCTGGTTATCTTCACTCCCTGTCACTCATGCCTCCCAAGCTCTCACAAAACTGGACTTTTGTGAGGAAATAGTGAAGCCCTCAATGCAGCCCTGTCAGAGAACACGGAAGAACAAAATCTTTGCACATCATGTTTGTTGAATAAATTGTTTATTCCTCAGGACACTTGACCACAGTAAAATGTCATATTTTAAATTTTTTCTTTCATCGGCCAAGCTTACAAAAGGTGGACCCTCTGCTAGAGTTAAATGCAGTGGGCAGATGCCTCATGCAGAGAAGGCTGGTCTTGCTTGGTTAGATGAGGCTGGTTTCACCTGGATTACAGGACACTGAGTCATTAGTTTCATTTGTCCCTTCAAATGCCTACCCAGCTGTTTATGAAGTAGCCACTGCATGCTAGGAAATGCAGGAGCAAATCGTGACAACATCCAGGCCCTGCTACCAAGAAGCCCTTGGGCTGGTGGAAACGGTGGTTCAGTGGCTGAGACACAAGCTGGTGAAGGCTGACAACAGAAGCGAGAGACTGAGGCAGGTGTCTCAATCACTGAGAGGTGTGATGCCAGCTTTTGGACATGTCCTGGAAAAACCTGACCCCCCCACAACACATCTACAACTGCTGTTCCGAAGAGGTTTTCAGGAGGGTTAGTATTGATGTTCCCTTATGATGAGGGGGCCTGTAGAGAGAAGGGCAGGCAGGTGGCAGGGGCATGACTACACTTCCCTGAGACCTTGGTACCTAGCAAATCTATGTTTTGAGAGCAGCAGGAGGCAGCCAAAGGCCCACGCAGGTGGGGCAGGTCCCTGGTGAAATCCCACATCCAAGCCAAAGACAGTTTAAAGCCTGGAAACCAAGCTACAAGTTAAATCCTTGGACCAGATTGAGGACTTGTCTTGCCGTTCAGCTTTCCCCTGATTGGTCCCCACCCTTCACCTATTTTATACATACCCACCCTTTCCTAATTGGTTTCTCTACACTATCGTGCCCACCATTGAGTGGCGTCTTCACTTTAAACTTTTCTGCATACTCACAAACCAGTCAGCACACACTCCCCATTCTGAGTCCATAAAAGACCCCAGACCAGCCACACGGGGGTACTTTCTGTTTTCGGGTAGGGGACCAACCCCATGTTCCCTCTCTGCTGAAGACAATTTTCAATGCTCAATAAAATTATTCTCTGTCCTTATCATCCTTCAATGTTCAGCATATTCCCATTCTTCCTGGGTGCAATGCAAGAGTTCGGGAACTGCCAATGTGGGTATAAACTGTAAGACAGGTGAGCTGGGACACACTAGTGTGGCTGAGCAAGGCCTGTGTGTGGAGTTGCTGCCTGGGGGTTCCTGGCTTGCAAAGTGACTGAGAACAAAAATCCTGCATCATTTTGGAGGCTCTCCCTGAAGGGTAAGTAAATGAAGACTTAAACTCTTCACCTTTTTCTGAGACCTCTTGTCATCAAACTTTTTTCTGAAGGCAGATGAGGCACCGAAGCTCTGGTGAGTCAATTAGGAAGGAATGGTGCCTTAGAGAGGACAGGATGCAGCCCTCCCGCCTCTCTCTCCCTTTTGGGTGAAAGGAGTGTTGGCTTTGTTTCCCTTCACAGAGTTCTAGCTGTCACAGGGGATTGGAATAAGGTCCTGGGGCAACTGAAGGCATCTGGCCAAGGCCACTCCTGGTGTTGCTGGAAGGCCCCTAGAGTACCTCTGTCCCTGACTGCCCATCAGTGTGTTGGCCAAGACCCCCAGACTTTTCTATGGTATTTTTCCTTCCTTCTTTCATGGTTTGAAATGGCTCCTGTCTCTTTGTTTAAACTGTTAAGGGTATTGCTGCAAACTGCAGAGTTATTACCAGGTAGAATGAGCGTTTGGCCCAGCCATCAGATACGCAATTCAGAACAATGTGATTTCTGTCTCTTCTTAGTGGCACGTTCTCCACCCCCGTCCTAATGGCCGCAGGCATGCATGATGGATGGACAGGTACACAGTGGCTCCCTGCCTCCCTCCCTTCCCAGCTGCGGTGCGTGCCCATGTCCACCGCATGCACATGCTGCGTCCAATGGCCTCAGGATGGGAGTGAGCCGCAGCTGCCGCCCAGGCCCGAGGGTGATCTTAAGGGCTAGGAGCCCTGTGGGGCCAACTGGCCAGTGTTTCCCACCCTCTACACCCTCCCAGCATGTGCCCACAGAGTCTTTTCCTTGCCTGGCAGAGCGGTCCAGCTTAGTCTGAACCAGAAGGAGCAAACAACAACTTAACGTTTTACTGTGTTGAAGGAACCCATTTGCATAGAGCAAGGGTTTTTTTTTTTTCCTCCAGGCACCTTCCTGCCCCTTTATTTAAGCTCTTTTTTCTTTTCTCCACCATGTCAGGAGTTAACACAACCCTGCGAATACAGGGAGATTTCCCATGTGAGAGGTGTTTTTGGAAAGGTGTCCTACTAGGCCAGGACCCCAATTCATGGGACCCCCTTTTCTCTCCCTTGTTTGAGGAGGACACCCAGCTCCACAGCTTCGCCTTAGGCTTCGACTTGTGGGGAGGCAGCAGCAGAGGAGCGACCCCACCGGCTGCTGGCTGCAGCCTGGTGAGGACCGCCTGGGTCTTAGTGAGTCCACGAGCCCTCCCAAGACACATTTTTGCCCCAAACTCAATTCCATGCCTCTGGTTGAAGTCCTAGTAAGGAAAACTGGATCTAAGGAATCCAGAGGCAGATCACAAAGGAAGCCAAGGGGCACAGCACAGGTAAGCATGACTAATTCCTGCCAATTAGGCCCCCCCATTTCATGGATAGAGGTCATATTAGTATCCATGGCACATATGAGGTCTGGGGAACTCAAAGGTTACCTACAGCAGCGGGGACAGGCAGTGTGTGGGTGAGCATAGATAATTCCCACCCCATAGGCCCCCTGTTAACATGGATGAAAGCTGCATTGGCACCCATGGGCAGCATCCTGCCAAGGTCGCTGGGACTCAGGGATATAAGGATGGAAGAAGGAAGGGGGATGCCTCTTTTTTCTGTCTCTCATGTGCCCTGGGCATTCACTGGGAAGTGAAAAGAACTAGGGACACCTTGTTCCCCTCTTTCTGGTTGGATCACTAATCATCTTCAGTCTTTACTTCTCTCAAATGCCTCCTGAATCACTGGGATTCCTTTGAAAAAACGCCTTATTTTTCTTTTTTCCTCCTCTGTCCTCCCTTTGTGGGTGGGTGATTTTGTTCCCGTACCATAGGACACTCCCCACGGATCCATCCCCAAACCTTAAACTGCTTAGCTTAAAATAGAGGTTGGGGGAAGGGAACCCAGAAGCCTGACATGCCAGCAAAGGGTTAAAAGTTTTTTTTTGACTAGTCAGACTTCTGGACTCTCTCTCCCTGTGCAAACCAGTTAAATGAATGATAAAAATCACTGTTTATATTCTCTGTAAATGGAAAAAAGGATTTGTGAGGCTAGTCTTAAGCTGTAGCCAATCTGGTGTGCTTTGTGTCTCTTTCTGTGTGGTTCTGTCATAAAGAAGGGTACTTCAGGATAGAATGGGGGCCTACAACCATATAATCCTGCTGTTCAGGCCAGCCCAGCAAACTGGTCAGTAACAAACTTTGCTGTAGTTCTCCATCTTGTTTTACATCCTTGGGAGCTTGACCTCATAACCACGTGGCAGTACTTTCTTTTGCTCTCTGCCATTTTACAATGGTGGCCCAGGTTCAATCCTGACTTAGGGAATGAGTACTTTCTGGTTAATATATGTGTGATTTTTACCATTTGCTGATTCTCTTCCCCTCCATGAACAACTTCTAGCTTCCTCTCTTAAATCTTCCTTTCTCTGAGCTACCTTCAAAGATGCTAGATTTTGTGAAAACTGCTTACCACCTCTTTGAAAATACCTCATACACTTGTGGTTAACTCATAACCGTAGTTGAGGCTTGTTGGTTTCACCTGTGAGGTTACTTCTGGTAAAGTTCAAAAGCCAGAAATATTGGCCACTTGGCAAGACTAAAGTTGGGTAACAAGAGATTTTTTCTAAAGATGGTTTATAATCAGTTATAGGACTTTGACAGGTGCTCCCAAATGCAGGTTTCTGATAACATTGGAGATTGTGACATTGGAATAGAAGAAAACACACATAACTCGTAAAGAGCTGAAATGTTCATGAATATCAAGCAGAACAAGAATTAATGGAATGGACTGAACTAATAGAAAACTGAAGTAATGTTTCTAACTTTTTGCTTAAAATGTTGGTGATTCTTGTTTTGTTTTTCAGAGTCAAGGAAACTTATTTTGAGCTATTTACAGCCTTTAATAATTGAGTAAGTTATACTCCTATGAACAAAATTTGGAGCATGTTTGTTTCTCTTCGCCTGGTTTCTCTAGAATTTGGAAACTATTTGTGAGTAATCTTAACTTATGGCAATATACTTGTTTTGCATCAGTGCAATAACAATCCATTTTCTTTTGTAACAGGATGCAATTGTAGAAACTGGTTGGTTGTTTTACCAAGGCTTTGACTGGAAAGTTGTGCTTCCCTTTAAAGAATCAAGCTTGATATGCAGACCCAATAAAAGCCCCTTGAGAAAACTGGCCTTCATACCTTGTCAACACAGTCCTGTATAGGGTTCTTAACCTGTGGTGAGTAAAGAATGTCACTTTCTAATAGGCCCAGGAGCCCCATGTTATCTTGAAACCTCCGTAAGAGGAAGTTACCCAACTCATAGGTATTTGAGGGTAAAAACCCATGGCTGGGCTCGACTTTAAAAAGTCCTATCTGAGATTCTTTGTGGAACAGAGCTCCATCAAAGCCAATTTTAAAAGCTTATGTGAAAAATAATTATTCTTGCTGCACTTTATGCAAATGATCAGTCCAAGTGGAAGACTAAAGTTTATTTTGCAAACAACTCAGTCCTATCATGATTTGTTTTTGACAAAAATAAGACTAAAGAGAGAGAAATTATGTTTCAAAACTCACCATATAGTAGTCATTAAATTCCAATGTCATCAGTTGTTTTTAAGTTTTTGCTTACATTTTAGACTAACCCTGCTTATTCCTGTGAAGCAAACAGTGATCTCTGGCTGCAGTTCAGAAGAAAGAGAAGGGATGGGTAATGCAAAAATCTGGACCAATATTCTAGTTCTAATTATTGTGCAAATCCTGCCAGGTGATGGGAGTAAATAGGGTGCCTATAACCCAGAGGTTTCCTTTTTTGGGAAGATAAGACCAAGGGAGCTAACCAAAGCTGAGTCCCATGCACTTATATCTTAGCAGGCTTAACTATAACCACTAGTTATCCATGCATGCCAGCAGCCTTGGTATTTTTGAGCTGTCCTTTACCCCTTGTTTCATTTTGATTCATGTCCTCTAATAACTCAGTTTGTCTCTTTTCACCTTCAAGCCATCAAACTCCAAATGCTCATATAACCGGAACCTCGGACAATGGTCCCTTCTTCCGGGGACCCTTAGATAGGCCTCGGAGGAAGCTCTGACTACTGTTTCCCAAAACAGCACCCTCCTGTCAGCAGGAAGCAGTGAAGACTGGTCTTTGTCCTTATCCTCATCCTTATCCGAATGGCACTTAGATGTACTTCTTTAGAAATTGGGCATGACAGCAGCAGGAGGCAGCCAATGCCCAGGCAGATGGGGTGGGTCCCCAGTGAAACCCCACCTCCAAGCAAAAGACAGTTTAAAGCCTGAAAGCCAAGCTACAGGTTAAATCTTTGGATCAGATTGAGAACTTGTCTTCCTGTTTGGCACGCTTTCCTCTGATTGGTCCCCACCCTTCACCTATTTTACATTTACCTACCCTTTCCTAATTGGTTTTTCTATGCTGTCATGCCCACCTTTGAGTGGTGTCTTCCTTTAACCTTTTTTGGATTCTCACAAACCAATCAGCATTCACTCCCCATTCTGAGTCCATAAAAGGCCCCGGACCCAGCCATATGGAGGAACTTACCCACCTTGGGTAGGAAGACCAACCCCACATCCCCCCTCTACTGAGAGTTATTTTCAGCACTCAATAATATTCTTTTCTGCCCTTCTCATCCTTCAATGTGCAGAGTATCCTCATTCTTCTTGGGCATGGTACAAGAACTCAGGAACCACCAAACATGATACAAGCTATAACACAGGCCAGTTGGGGCATGCCAGCATGGCCGAGTGGGACCCAGGTGGAGCACTGCCAGCTGGGGCTCCCTGCTCTGCAACGTGACTGAGAATAAAAATCCTACATTGGTTTTACGTAACAGAAGGTGAACATCTGATAAGAAAGGGTGACAAAAGGAAAAGTCAACCATGCAGATGTCTCTGGGTATGTGGGGGAGTGACTGGTCTCACCTTGACTTTATTCTGCACCTGGGCAGGTGGGTTTGTAATTGACACGACCAGTGTGCAACTGAACAGACTTTAGTTTTAGGAGCTGGACTTAGACTGCAGTCCTAAAGTTTCAATTGGCCTGTCCTCATTCATGAGAGGCCAGCAGAGAATTCACGCAGGGATCATCTGTGTGGGCAGCTTTTCCAGATGCCTGAGGCCTTTCCCATTCTCTTTGGGTCTGGCTGATACATGATGTTAGTGACAGTCAATTCATTTGGAAGAGGGAGTGCAATGACTTTCCCTTTTGCATAAGAAGTTTTGGGGGTACTGAGATTTTTAGTTTCCTTTACAAGACCTTCCCGCAAATAAGTACAAGAGGACCCAGAGTGTGGGGTGTCTGGCTGTCTGAGCAGTTGGGCCACTGACGCTGAGGACAATGTGAGAAAGCCTGTCCTGGTGGAAGGGAGAGCAAAGGTGGAGAGAAAGGAAGCTCCATGTTAGTTTTTGAAACACACCACAGCTGAAGGTCAGTCCCCAAAGCTGGTTATGGTTGAAAGGGAGGAAAAGCTGCTCCCACGTGGCTCTGGCTGAGGCTTCCGAGACTCTGCAGGTGGGGGCCGTCTGTCTTCCCCAGGTGGGAGCTACTTCTTTTTAGAAGCAGGCTCCACGGCGGTTTTCAGGTGTGGCCTTGCCCAGCGTCCCGATGTTTTGCTTCCTGCCTGGCCTCGGCGCTCTTTGATGACCTCCTCTTGCCACACACTGTGGTCTCCATAGGCTGCCCACTGCTGATCCGAGGCTGGTGGCCCCCAGCACACGTGGGTTTCTGAGGAACACGCTGAGACTCTCGGGCCATGCCGTGACACAGGGGAGACAGCGTCTGCTCTTTTTCCATTTTTGTTCGTTTTCAGTGCTCTGACCCTCAGGAAGCCCACTTAAGCATCCCAGAATCCAGACGGCCGTGAACAAAGCTGCTGTGGTTTGGGGCTGCAAAACTGGCCCACAGCCCACCTGGATAACTGAATCGAACATGCCTCAGCCGCCCTCACCACAGGCACCATCCCCCTCACAGAAGTTTGATGTCTGATCATTCAGCACTGGCTGAGCCTCAGAGCTAAAATGGAAAATGCATTTTATGAGCAGATAACACATTTTTGGAATGGCTACTTTAAACATTGTGGATACAGATTCACAGAGACTATTTTTAGATGAATTATTTCTTCTATTTACCATACTGATTTGCTGGAAGAAAGAAAAACAATATTTTAAAAAGGGAAAACATTCTTTAAAAGCAGTGACTCTAAATTTCCCCTGAAGAGCAAAATGCTGTCTGTGTCTCACTCAATGTGGTGGCTGCTACAGGAGGATCTTCCCAGGCCTTCTCAGGGAATTCCCATCAGGATCACAGGAATGGTACCTGGCAGACACAACCCAGTCTGCACCTTCCATGGGCCACAGCTGATGGTACGAGGAGAGGTGTGACATCTGCCTGACCTCAGGTAAGTGGTCAGGTTATTCCCCCTGAGAACTTGGAGCTGAGACCAAGGACTGAGAAGCTGTCGTGGGAGTGGGGAACCGGCTACAGGGTGCCACAGGGACAAGAGGAGGGAACAGCAGCAGCAAAGCACGCAGCGTGGAGAGGCAAAGACAACATAGAGATGAAAGGGCCCAGGTGTGCTCCTCATTTGGGTGGCATCAGTTGCCCTCACATCCTTAGAATAAATGTCCCATTTTTTAATTCCAGTGTAAGTGGGTTGCTGACATTAAAAACTGAAATGCGTGACTGAGGCAGGTCTCATCACCGAGGTTTGTTATGCCAGCTTTAGGGCACTTCCAGGACAGGAGCCACACACACATCTGTGCGTTTTTTGAGGGGTTTTCGGGGGGTTAGTGCCGATCTATTTCCTAATGAGAGGAGCCCTGTAGGCAGAGAGGCAGGTAGGTGGTGAGGGGAAGGGTTGCATTCCTGTGAGACCTTAGTTCATGCCCAGCAAATCCATGTTTTACATAAGAGAAGGTGATGAGGAAGGAGGACTCCAGGAAGATGTGTCTGGGTAGGTGGGGGAGTGACTGATCTCACCTTGACTTTGTTCTGCACCTGGGTAGGTGGGCTTAAAATTGACACGGCTGGTGTGGAATTGAACAAACTTGAGTTTCAGGAACTGGACTGAGATTACAGTCCTGAAGTCACAATTGGTCTGTCCGTGTTCATGGGGGGCCAGCAGAGCATTTGCTCAGGGATGGCCTGTGAGGGCAGTGATTTGGAGACAACTGAGGCCTTTCCCCCATTCGTGGGGTCTGGCTGCTGCATGAGCCTGGTGACAGCTGTTCCTTTGGAGGCCGGAGTTGTGTGCCTCGGCCGCCAGGCTTAACTTTCCGTTTCTCATAAGGAGTTCAGGGGTCCTGTGATTTTTTATTTTTCTTTACTCTATTTCTTACAACCAAATAAACTTCCTTATATGCCTACATCATAAATATTAGATGTTAGAAATTCACAGGTAATTTCCCTTGGACTGGAATTTGGGCTCATGGTTGGAAAACCCGGAGTCCTCTTTCCAGGTCCGTTCTCAGCCCCTGGCTCCTTCCTGTGCCTGTCTCTGTTCTGTGCTGGGGCTGAACGGGTTTCTAGCCTCGCAGGCTAACACAGGGGGCTCGAACTGCTTGATCCCGCATTCTGGGGTGTTGAGGTTCCTGTTGTCTCTCCTTGTCTAACTTTCTGTCTCTCAGAGATTAAAAAGCTGGGATCATCTCTCTCTGCACTTCAGAACGCCACAGGATTTGGGCGGAGAGGCCGCACAGGGAGTTTCTAGAAGGGAGCAGGGCTCAGCTCACTCAGCACCCTCTGCACCAGCTCTCACTGCGACTCTTAACCCGGATGAGCCACGTGTCTTTGCTATGGGGGTTTAGAGCTGCGAGAGGTCCTAGAATTCTATGGCTTCTGCATTTTTGGTGAGCAAACCAAAGCTTTGAGAGGATACGTTAATTCCCTGAGTTACAGAACTAATTAAGAACAGATTCTGGGACTAAAACTCAGTTTGCCTGAGTCCTAGCCCCAGGGCCCTTCGCGGTCTTCACTATCTTCAGCCGCGTTTGGAATGTACGTCCTGTCCTGGGCTTCACGGATGCTGCTTCTCACTCATCCTGAGCCTTTGCTTGGAGTCTGTCCCGAGCTGCTCGGCATCGTTAGGACAGCAGGGGATCCATGCCTTTTCTGGCGATGGAAGTCAGTCAGCAGTTTCTGCAAGTTTTTCTCTAACTCAGCCACAGGCCATTTCTTTCTTCTGGACTGTAGAAAATAATTACAGTTGCTCTATTTTTTGTGTCCTTTCTTTCTCCTCTCTGATTTAAAGAAAAACACACAAGATGTTACGTCTAACCATGACTCAAAGCCAGGACATGGCTGTGTTAGCAACCTGAGTCCCCAAATTTGTTCAATCAGAAGAAATTGCTTAATCTGTATTATTGATTTATTATTCATTTGCTTGTTTTTGTTTGGCAAAGCTTGTGCTTGTTATGACAATTGAGAAAGTACTAAATTTGGGCTTGAGGTGTTTGTTCAAATAAGCCATGCTGTTTCAAATGTTTCCGACCTCCAAAAGACTGAGAGAATTTCCACAAATAATGGAGCCAAATGAGCCAAATGTGAGAACAACCGCTTGGTGGTCTACTCAGACTTCGCTTCCTAAAAACGCAGCAACTTACCAACCTGAAAGAAGTAACCTGCTCTCAGGGGCTTGGAGGAGCCTCCAGAGGATGGACTGGCAGCCATGCACACGCCAGTGCTGCTTTTGAGAGTCTTCTGTCATCCACTCAGAGACAGCTATGCCAGGAAGATGAAACCAGGAGATGTGTATGAGAGTGTGTGTGTGTGCACACTGTGTGTGTGAGTGCAAGTGTGCATGTGAGAATGTGTGCATGGGCAGACGATGTGTGTGCATGTGTGAATGTTAGAATGCGTACATCTGCTGTGTGTAAGCGCATGTGCACATGTGCATGTTTTGTGTGAGTGTGTGTATGTGAGTGTGTGCATGTCGTGTGTGAGTGCGCGTGTTGCCGTGTGTGTGTGCATGTTGTGCATGTGAGTGTATACATGTGCACACCATGTGTGTGGGTGCATATGTGCATGTATATGCCTTGTGTGTGCATGTTGTGTGAGAGCATGTGCATGTGCATACCATGTGTGAGTGCATTTGTGCATGTGTATGCCATTTGTATGTGTATGTGAGAGTGTGTGTGCATGCCATGTGTGAGTGCATGTGTGCATGTGTATGCTGTGTGTGTGAGTGTGTGAGTGTGTGCATGCCACGTGTGCAAGTGCATGTGTGCATGTGTATGGCATGTGTGTGTCCATGTTGTATATGTGAGAGTATGTGCCTGCCGTGTGTGTGAGAGTGCATGTGTGTGAGAAAGTGTGTGACAGAACATGAGTGAGGGTGAGGTGCACTGGGCAGTACTGGGATGGAAACTGACTTACAGATCAATGGGAGGACACAGATGATCTTAAAACAGGTGAACAGATTTAAGGACTTAATTTATAATAACAGCAGCATCGTGTTCTAGTGTAGCAAAGGATTATTCAAAAAATAGTGTTTAAAAAAGTTTTGTTTGAATAAATTTAGACTATTATCTCTACCCTACGCCAAGGTAATTTCAAATATATTGAATTATATGTAAAACTGAATTGGAAAGACAACTATAAATCAAAGATGATAGGCTGAAAACAGATATCTCGCATATCTTTCTATTTTGAAAACGCACCTAATCTAACATAAAGGCATTTTGTTTGAAAAAAGCCACAGGGATGGTATGCCCTGGAGGGTATGTGTGGTAATGAAATTCTGGGAGAGGGTGAGCAGCTGGACTGGTGGTAACTGATTTAGTGGATGCAGCAGAGTCCTGAGGCAGCAGCAGGAAAAGCTGAGTCCAGCAGAAACGGTGCCACAAAGTCTTCAAAAACCTCAGGCATTGCCAGCATCCGTCTCTAGAACTGGGGATGAAGGGTGGAACTGAAAGAGAAATTTGGGGAAGGCTGTTTGAAAAGACATTCAAAAAGATCTCTAGGTCCGTTTCTACAGCCCAGGCCTCTGGCACACACCTGCCCTCTTCTTGACAGAAGCCTGGGGCATTTGAGCAGCACCTGGTTTTATTGAGGGTGCAGCAGCTACTCCCACACTGTCCCTTGTGTGCTCATGTGCACATTGCATCTTTCGCCACAGATTCTTCCTCCCTCCCAAGGTGCTGCCCAGGGTCAGCAGAAGGGATCAGGCCTTCTGCTGAAGAGACTCTAGGGAGGTGAAGACACAGGCACCCGTGTCCCAGCACGTGCCCGACCAGACCCCTGTGGTCACGTTCAGATAGTACAAGCACTGTTCATCTCCTTGGAGTCGTCAACCAGCTTTTTGGTCCCTGGGTGTTAATCATGACCAGACAGCCAGGACAGAATGAGCACCTAGGAGAATCGAGACAAAAACTGAAAACACAAGTAGAGAAAAACAGCTTGGAAGGAGCAGAAGCTGTGCTGGTGGAACAGAAGGAGAACTGCCATGACATCCCTGGAGAGATGAGAAGATGCCACACTCATGAGCTGTGAACAGGGCAGCACAGCAAAGGAGCATTCGGAAGAAATAATCGATCAGAGAAAATAATGTGTATATACACAGTAGATATTTTTTATTGCCATCATTATATAAAAACTCACTGGAAGTTGTGAAAGATTAAAAAAAATCACAAAAAGATCGAATGTGGGAAATAAAATATTAAAATATTGCAAGATCAGTCCAGAAGTTTTAATAACCAAAATAAAAGGATTTGTAGAAGAAGAAAATCAAGAAAATTGAAAAATTAACAAAAAATGTATTAGTCTGTTCTCACACTGCTGTAAAGACTGTCCGAGACTGGGAAATTTATAAAGGAATGAGGTTTAATTCACTCACAGTTATGCATGCCTGGAGAGGCCTCAGGAAACTTACAATCATGGCAGAAGGGGAAGCAAACACGTCCTTCTTCACATGGCAGCAGGAGAGAGAAGTGAGAGTGCAGGAAAAACTGTCATTTACAAAACCATCAGATCTTGAGAACTCACTCACTATGAAGAGAACAGCATGGGGAAAACACCTCCAAGATCCAATCACTTCCCTCCCTTGACATGTAGGGATTACAACTGGACATAAGATTTGGGTGGAGACACAGAGCAAAACCATATCAACAAAGTACAGTCATTCAAGAATATTCCCCAGGCTGGTGAGACATGAGTTGCCAGATCAAAAGATCTCACACATGAATGGAAACACTAGCATGAAGGCGTGCACCGTGGCATTCAGAACTCTTGGGAGCAACAGGAAGAGGCCTGAAGCTGTCAAAGCAAAAGACCGGCACACAGGAAGACTTTGTGCTTCTCAAAGAAACACTTGGACGTAGGACGACGTGGAGAAATGCCTTTGTGGTTCTGAAGGAAATTAATTTCTGACGTGAAATTCTACACCTGGGAAAACTGTCAATCAAGTGTCAGGAGAGAATAAAGATGTCTGTTGATATACAAGCTCTTACAGGCTTTACTGCCCAGGCACCATTTCTCAGGAAGCCAGTGGACAATGCACCCCAACAGGACAGCAGTGCATCTGGAAAGGACTCTGCCTTGACCTCTGGCTGGAGGAAGGACCTTGACCTTGAGTGGGGGGAAGCTCAGCCCATTTTTTCTGCCCACTCCCTGAGATCAGCCTCCACATGCTGCACAGCTGTGAGGCCTTGGACACCCTCTTCCTCCAGAAGGCCCCTGTCTGTCTCAGGAAGCCAAGGCCATCACAGCCCAGAGACCCTTGTCTTTCCCGGAGCCTTCCTGGGGAGGGGTTCTGTGGTCCCAGCAGCATACAGCTACTGTGTGCCTGAGTACATGTATGTAATTTAGGTGTGCATGTAAACTTTAGGATATGTATGTATATTTTAGGTTACATACACACCTGTTTCATATTGCATACTAATATATAGATGTATACATACATACATACACACTGGTCAATTCATAAAGAAGAGTAATGATTAAGACAGGTGAGTAGATAGCAATGATCTCTGGGAATGAGGTAGAAAGTTTGATTTCAGGAAGACCTTTTTCCTATCAATTTGAGTAATTTTAAATTTATGACTAATTATAAAATAATATTTGAAAATCCTCCTTAAAAATTAGAACCCTGCAAATAAATCCCAATGACAGATTCCTACTCTACCCCCCCTCACTCCCACCACATCTGGTCTGTTTTTCTCAAGTCCATTTCTAAAGCACATTGATACGGAGTGAACGTTTGCGTCCCTCCCTCCCCTCATTCTGATGCTGAGGCCCTGAACCCCACGGTGTTGATGTTGGGAGGTGGGGCCTTGGGAGCTTACGATGGGATCAGTGGCTGCATAAAAAGACACGCTGGAGCTTCCTCTTTCCACTAAGTGAGGACACAGGGAGGAGGCGCTGTCTACAGACCAGAAAGAACGGCCATTGCCAAGATCCAAAATGGCTGGCACCTTAACTAACCTTGGACTTGCAGCCTCCAGAACTGTGAGAAGTTAACTGCCTGCTGTTAAAGTCAGTGAGTCTGGGGTGTTTTGTTACAATAGTCTGAGCCGAATAAGATGTACACACACACACACACACCACACATACACATGCACACACAGATATACACACATACACACATGCACACACACATACATACACATACACATACTACACACACACGAACACACACATACACATACACACTACACACATACACACACAATGCACACACACACATATACACACATGCACACATACACATACACACGCTCACACACACATGCACACACACATATTTGGGCATTAGTTTGATCAAAAATAAAATGACTGTGGAGTAAGGCTGATTTCTTTGTTATAAGCTGACTGTCCTCAAAATTTAAAATACAAGTTTATTTCCCAGAAAGGAGTAGCCTGTGAGGTGAATGCACTGGCAGCCAACCCTCACTGAGATCTTGCATAGGGGTTAAAATTCTGCATTATGGTGAATTAATGCTGGTGGTATTAATAGTTATATCTGCCATATAACTATTCATCATCATTCTGACCATAAGTATATAATTAACTGGATGGAAAAATTAGAAAGCTAGTTTTGACTCTTTTTTTTTTTTAAATTACTTTAAGTTCTGGGATACCTGCGCAGACCATGCGGGTTTGCTCCATATACATGTGCCATGGTGGCTTGTTGCACCTATCAACCCGTCATCTAGGTTTTAAGCCCCGCATGCGTTAGGTATTTATCCTAATGCTCGTCCTCCCCTCACCCCCTACACCCTGACAGGTGTTGTCTCTGGAGTTAATTGCAAAAGAAAATGTGACGGAAAAGGAAAAAGATCGACAAAGGCACATGTGAAATTCTTAAACTCCGTAGAATTCTGGTCACTAACCAGCACTCAGGTTTGCATATGGCTAATTTCCATTTCTCTTTAGTGGAGACGGGTGAGCAGCAATGTTTTTGGATTCAGTAAACTTTTCTAATTAAACACAAATCATTTGAAAAAAATAATTTTAGTAGTATTGCCAGGCATTTTTCTGCTTAGTTTTCAAAGCATGGAAATTTTAAGGAAAATTTCATCCATGTGCGTGGTTAATTTAAATTGGAGGCACTGACGATGATTTTAAACATGATTTAATGAGTAAGTGGCTTTAGTGCCTAAAAACAAGCAGTCACACTGCTGCCGTCTGCACACTTGCCATGTGAATCTGTGTACCTGAAATTCTCGTCTCTGTTGTTGTACAAGACTATGGCAGTGGCCTGGCCGGAGACCCCATTTCCAGCCTGGAGCTCCCCTCATTGTGTGCAATTTCTCCACGTGGGCAGGAGGCTTTGGGTGGGCCATGTGACTGTGGTCCTGGGACGTCCCCACCAGCTGGGGTCCATCATGACCCGGCCGTGGTGTTTCCGTGCTGCCCAGCCTCTGCTCCTGGGCCTCCCTTCTCAGCCCCTCTGTGTCATTTCAAGAAGGTCCCAAGCTTTGTGGCCACTTTTGGTTGTTAAAACAGTGCAGACGAAGGCTCCAGGTTTCTCTCACTCTTCTCGGGCCAGGCTGGCCTGGGGCCCCACTGCTGGGCTAAGGCCTGACTCTTCTCTTCCTTCAGAGAGTGTCTCTGGCAGAAAGTTTTCCCTGTGAATGTCTGCTCAGTTACAACGTGATTTAGGGACATCCCTTCCCTTGCTGATGAAATGTTTATCATGAAGCGTTCCTGGCTTTTTGCAGTGAGGATGCTGCACAGACCCCAGGCTTTTAGGCCAGGCAGGTTCACAGTCATAAACCACACTGCCTCAGGGTCCTCATTAGATCTGACCTAGGGGCTATGTGTCACCATTAGGTGTACAAGGTTCTGGAATCACATGCTGGGAAAAAATCTATATGTACACACACACACATACACACACATGCATACCCATACACACATACATACACATGCACACATACACCTACATACATACGCATACACACATACACACCCCCACACACACACCCAATGAAATGCACCAAGTCACGATGGGGACATGAGTCAGGATGTTTGTGTTGCCTCGCACTTCCACAGGTGGTAGGTGCAGCTTTGCGGCCGGTGCCAACTGGACACAGCTCCGCATGTGTGAGAACGTTTCTGAGCCGTGTGGGTGAACGTTCCTGCACCTGCAGTGCAAATGCAGCCTCCTCTTTCCGAGGTAACTGCAGCTTGAAACTGCACAGTGCCAGGGCTTTGAGGGCTGGGCAGCCCCACTCTTCTGACCTCCAAGTTCTTTTCCTGGTCATTTGCAATCGTAAGAAGTGCAGAAAGACCCGGGAATTTCCTCCAGACAGGGCACCGCTGAGTGAACAGCGCTTCCTCAAGTTCAAGTCAGTGAGACCTGCGTGAAGCCCGATGGCTTTGGCCGTGTGTGAGATCCCAGAACCTACGGTGATGGAGAGAGGCAGCTGGGCTCAGGAGCACATGGGCTGTTGCCTGTGGGATGAGGCCATGTGGGCTCCCCGAGGTCCTGTCCCCGGGATGCTGCTGGATTTCCTGGCAGCCCCATGGCCAGTCCCCTGGCGTGGCTCCTTTCCACAGCATTGAGGGCGCTGCTCGCTGCTTTGCACTGAAAGGGAGCTTCTCCCTGAAAACATCATTGTATAATCCTGAGTCTTTTTTCCATGACAGCCCAGAGACTGATCTGTTCAGCAGAGCTCTTGCCAATGCTTCCTCCTAACTTAGAGGAAAATCCAGGCAGCTCTGGTGCTGGGGGAAGATTTGGGAGGGAATATATTTACTCATTAGCATGTGGATGGGGGTTGGACTCATAGAACCAAATAAGGTCACCTGCAGGGATGCAGAGAGACACGGGTGGAGGCTCATGGTCCTGCTCCAGGGAATGCAGACACTTGAAGGTCTTGGAAAAGCCAAAGAAGAAGGAGGAGAAGGGAAGCCATGATGGCGTGGCAAAGCCAAAGGGACGGCGAGTTCTGGACACCAGCAGAGGCCGCGCGTGGAAGCCCACGGGGACCTGGGCCTGCTGGGAGAATCCCGCACATCAGGAGAGGCCACGTGTGGAAACCCGCGGGGACCTGGGCCTGCTGGGCCTCTTGTGCGTGTGAAAATATGGAACACGGTTGGTATTAACCAAAGTTTTTTCATCAGGTTGTTATGGAGAGAAGGCAGACAGGGGACTGGTGAGTATGTAAGAGGCAGAGAGAGGGAAAGTGGTGCAAGTCACATTTTTGACAGTGTCTGTGTGCAGAAGAGAGAACCAGGCTGGCCATCAGAAAGCAATTCAGGGTTTGGAGGGACGTCGTTGGCAGGAGAGGCTGGAACATGTACACACGTCAATAGGACAGATTCCGGGTCAGGACATGTGCTGGTACAGATGGATTCTGAGATGGAACATTTGCTCGTACAGTTCCTGGGAGGCCAGAAGGGATGGGGCCTCGGCACAGACACGAGAGAGGAGCGTGATGCCCCTGCCTCCCTCCTACACCAGCAGGAGAGGAGAGGAGGCTGCTATAGTTTCTTGGCACATCTGGGAGGACTGTATGGGGCCTGGGGGAGTGATATCTTGTCAGGAAGATTCCGGAGCTCACTGGAGTTAGTGGTCACCATCCGTAGAGGACCTGTTCTCAGTGTGGGGATTTTTCTCTAGAAGTGGTGAGTTGCTGTGGGCAGGCAGAGACAGGCTGAGTAGTTCACTTTGTTTAGAGTTCATGTGGAGTTGAGTTTTTTCCAAATGGATGAGGTGAAAATTTAGCAAAAACCTGACGACGGCATTGGAAAATTAAATTAAAATTTTAATTTTAAGCTGGATGATGGTTGGTTAGACCATAACCAGGGCTGAGTGATGGAGCCAAGAGTGGCTTTTCTAAGTGCACACGGCTGGGCCATGGCCCCCTTCGTTTGCTCAAACACCAGCTGGATATTGCTGTGAAGATATTTTGTAGATGTGATTAACATCTAAACTAGCAGACTTTGAATAAAGTCAGTTACCGTTTATAATTTGGGTGAACCTCATCCAATCAGTTAAAGAGATTAAGAGAAAAAAACGGAGGTCCCTTAAGGAAGAAGGAATTCTGGCTCCAGACTGCAGCATAGAAATTCTGCCTGAGTCTCCAGACTCAAGGCTACACCATCCGCTCTCCCCTGGGTCTCCGGTGTGCCAGCCTGCCCTGCGGATGCCACGCTTGCCAGCCCCACAATTGCATGAGCCAATTCCTTACGATGAATCTGTGTATGTGTGTCCGGTTGGTGCTGCTTGCCTGGAGACTGCTGGCTGATGCCCTGATAATGATTATGTCGGGGATTTGGTGGTGGAGGAGCTGTTGGACAGGTTGGCAGGAAGGAGAGGAGGCCGTGGCCAGGTGCCGGGTTCCTCAGCTCACTGCCGCGCTCATGTGTTCCCGTAGATCAGGGTGTTCCCAGGAGAGGGGAAGGCCGTGGGCGGCTGGGGGGTGGCTGGGGGTCAGTAGAGCAGCATGAGCCTTCAGGTCAGGGTTGGGGTGCAGTTCATGTGGACACTGAGGTTACCTAGGAGGTCAGGGTCAGGGTGCTGTCCATGTGGACACTGAAGTCACATAGGAGGTCAGGGTCAGGGTGCAGTCCATGTGGACACTGAGGTTACCTAGGAGGTCAGGGTCGGGGTGCAGTCCATGTGGACAATGAAGTTACCTAGGAGGTCAGGGTTGGGGTGCTGTCTGTGGACACCGAGGTTACCTCAGAGGTCAGGGTTGGGGTGCTGTCTGTGTGGACACTGAAGTCACATAGGAGGTCAGGGTCGGGGTGCTGTCTGTGTGGACACTGAGGTTACCTCAGAGGTCAGGGTCGGGGTGCTGTCTGTGTGGACACTGAGGTTACCTCAGAGGTCAGGGTCGGGGTGCTGTCTGTGTGGACACTGAAGTCACATAGGAGGTCAGGGTCAGGGTGCAGTCCATGTGGACACTGAGGTTACCTAGGAGGTCAGGGTCGGGGTGCAGTCCATGTGGACAATGAAGTTACCTAGGAGGTCAGGGTTGGGGTGCTGTCTGTGGACACCGAGGTTACCTCAGAGGTCAGGGTTGGGGTGCTGTCTGTGTGGACACTGAAGTCACATAGGAGGTCAGGGTCGGGGTGCTGTCTGTGTGGACACTGAGGTTACCTCAGAGGTCAGGGTCGGGGTGCTGTCTGTGTGGACACTGAGGTTACCTCAGAGGTCAGGGTCGGGGTGCTGTCTGTGTGGACACTGAAGTCACATAGGAGGTCAGGGTCAGGGTGCAGTCCATGTGGACACTGAGGTTACCTAGGAGGTCAGGGTCGGGGTGCAGTCCATGTGGACACTGAGGTTACCTAGGACGTCAGGGTCGGGGTGCAGTCCATGTGGACAATGAAGTTACCTAGGAGGTCAGGGTTGGGGTGCTGTCTGTGGACACCAAGGTTACCTCGGAGGTCAGGGTTGGGGTGCTGTCTGTGTGGACACTGAGGTTACCTCGGAGGTCAGGGTTGGGGTGCTGTCTGTGTGGACACTGAAGTCACATAGGAGGGTGGCAGGGGCCACAGTGGAGAGGAAGATGGAGCTAGAAACCAGGGAATCAGATGCAACGTGAGTAAAACCAGGAGGTTGACAGAAGGCGGCGGTGAGGAGGCAGCAGCCACGGGGCTTCATTTCTACCGCCATGCAGTGAGGGCATCGGTGGGGAAAAGAGGACACTATTTTGGAAGAGGAGTAACACAAGGGCTCATGACAAGGCCAGTGACTTGGTGCACGGGTGTCATAGTCAAGGGCATTGAATCTTGTGCAGACCCAGAGAGCAAATATTCGGGATGTGCTGCACCATGGGTCTCCAGTCCATGCTACAAGAACAAATGTTTTTGAAAAAAGACAGGCAATATTGACAGAACTGTTAAAATTAAAACCATTTTCATTCAATGGAAGAAAAGGAGAAGAAAATTAGAATCCTCAGAAATGGCAACATCAGTAAGAAGTGGTAGAAGGGGAGAGATGGATTTAACACATCTTATATTTTGTTGTAATTTTAACAGGCTATGAAAAAATCTACATGAAATAAAAAGATGGGAATAAATTGATCATTTATGTTTTGAATATTTTAAAAGATGTTTTAATGTCATTGTGAGAATTCATTTTAATGTCAATGTGAGAAGTCATTGTGAAAAATAAGAAAAATGATAGGACATGAATTTCATGTAAAGTGCCTTCATAATTCCCAAAAACTTGATATTGGAATGCTCTAAGATCTCATCACATATTTATCTCTAGTTTTTGTGTGTAGAAGGATCTGACAGCTGGGACAATTTGACTTCAGATTTTACAAAAAAGACAATCCCTTTGCTCTATTTGCTCTGGAATGTGGGCTGTGATCAGAACCAAAACTTTTTAGTAAAATTAACTGTCTGTTCAAATTTTCCTCACCAGAAATCTAAATCATTCCTTTTGCAACAAAACAATAACAGTGGAGTGCGTTCCCTGAGTTTTTGGAGAGAAAAGAAAAATAAAGTTCAGAGGCAAAACTTGGTAGAAATTCTGAAGCCTGGATGACAGTGATGACTCCGCGCAGCAGGAACGTCGCGGGCCTTGCCTGGCCACGTCCTCTTGGCTGGAGGCATGAGTGTTTATGCCAGGCTGAAGAAGTCACTTGAACTCATGTCCTTTGACTGAACATTTTTTATGAGACCTGCATAAATCATTTCTTTAAAAATGGCATCCTGGGCATGGAGGCAGTCTGCTTTTTGCAAGAATTCTTATGGGCAAAGTCTCTTCAGATGAGAATGATTCTGCTTTAATTCCCTCTGCCTTCTGCCCTTGGGTAAGCTCACTGTGTCTCCTTAAACACTCTGGCTTTAACCAGTTTCTGCGTATCATTCAGACCAACATTCCTCTCAGTTATCAGTCAACTGAGAGACTGAGAAATAAAGTCAATAGAATGAAAAGAAAATAGTCATATACAGTAAGCTCGATTTTCTTCCTACCGCTTCCTCATATCTTTGCCAAGTCAAACCAAACTACCTCCTTCTAGAAATTTGTCTTATAAATTATCTTCATGACCTTCAGGAAGCTAATATATTTTAAGGTGTACAAAGCACTAAAAATACTGATTAAAAGATCAATTGGACTTCAGCAGAATTTAGAACTTCTGTTCATCAGATGACAACCTTAAGAAAGTGAAAAGATAAGTGCTTTCATTAGTTCCCACAACACAGGAGGAAGCCCTAGAAAATCAATCAGAAAAACACAATCCAATTTAAAAGCTGAGCAATAGCCTGTGTGGGCACTTCACAAAACGGGATATCCCAATGGCCAGGGAGCTATGAGGAGGTGATCAAGATCATTTGTTTTCAAGAAAATGAAAATTAAATCCACAGTGAGGGAGAATTGCACACTCACCAGGATGCGTAAGGCTAAAGAGACTGAAAATGCCAACTTCTGGGGAGGACTTGGTGATGAGAACTCACCTATTGCTCTGGGAATATAAAGTGGTTCCACCATTCTGGAAAAATTCTTCAGCAATATTTACTAAATTTAAAGATATGCCTATCCTATGACCCGAAATCCTGCTCCTAGCTCTAACTATGGGAAATGAGTGGCGCAGTCCACAAAAGGACATGTGCAAGAACATCCATAGCAGCTTTATGCACAGTAAATCCAAACTGGACACAACCCAAATGCTCAGAACAAGAGAAGAAATAAATACATTTTTATAGCCTTGCAATGGAAAACTATAGTGTGATAAAACAATAAACCACGAGTGTACCAAGAATATTGATGTTTGTTTCACAACAAACATGTGCGTGAAAGAAGCCAGACACAGAAGAGTTCCCACTGTCTGGTTCCATTTCCACAAAGTCCAAAACAGACACAACTAACTGATAATGACAAAAATCAGAAGACTGGTGATCTCCAGACGGAGGTATAGACTTAAAAGGGGCCAAGGGAAAATAAGGGGAATATGAACCCCACTCAAAGGTTTCACACACAAAGAGGCAGAGTAGATACAGAGTGAATAAATACATTATTTTCATGTGCATACAATAGATCAAGTAATAAAATTCTGAGAGCCGCACATATGTTATTTAGTTCATACAAAAACCCTGGGTTTATTCTGAACCCACCTATGAGATCACATGGAGAGACTGGCTCCACCTGTGAGATCACATGGAGAGACTGGCTCCACCTGTGAGATCACATGGAGAGACTGGCTCCACCTGTGAGATCACATGGAGAGACTGGCTCCACCTGTGAGATCACATGGAGAGACTGGATCCTGAAACACAAGGGTGTGCTGCATTTCTGGATACCATCGCAGACCTTTGCAAGCAGTTCCATGAAACAAGAAAGGAGCATTAGGATCAATGGCATGAGATTTAATTAAATTTGCATTGGTTTTTCTACGTTGACTTTCACTTTGCAACCAAAGAACACCATTCTCCCTGGCATTGTGGTAATTTAAAAGTGCCGGGGAGGTGTGGCTCACTAAGCTAAACTCAACCTCATCAGATAAAATAATTAGTTTTGAACCAGATTGTGTATTTATTTATTTATTTATTTTACCTTGCATGCATATTTTATTATTTTATTTTTATTTTACTAGTTTTGAGGGAACAGGTGGTATTTGGTTGCATGGAAAAGTTCTTTAGTGGTGATCTCTGAGGTTTTGGTGCACCCATCACTCCAGCAGTGTTCACTGTAACCAATATGTAGTCTTTTATCCCTTGCCCCGCTCCCACGCTCCCCCTGGGTCCCCAGAGTCCATTGTATCATTCTTATGCCTTTGCATCCTCCTAGCTTAGCTCACACTTAACAGTGAGAACATAGGAGGTTTGGTTTTCCATTCGTGAGTTACTTCACTTAGAATAATGGCCTCCAGCTCGTTCCATCCTGGTTGCTGCTAATCCATTATTAGGTTGAACCAGATTGTTTAGCTTTGGGGTTGTGAGTCCTGAATCCTGTTTTCGCAAAGACTCCCTGTAGGATCTTGGGCAATTCCCAAAAGCAGGGTTTCCTGCTTTGAGATGCTCAGTTCTCAGAGCTGTGTGGACTGCATGGCACTCTTCAGTCAGAGATGCCCGGCAGGTGTCTGGCTGCAAGAACCGGGACCAGTCACCTTCGAGGTGTGCACCAAATACATCCTCAAGCGAAAGAAGCCTTTGAACACAAAAGCACAGAGTGAGACGGGACCTGGGGCACCCACGCTCATTTAGAGCTCCTTGAATTCCGTTGAATTAAGATCTTAATCCTGGGGAGTGGCGTATGTAGTAGAAGAGTCTGGATTTGAGTAGTGCATGGTAACGCCAGTGTGTGTGTGTGCTGTGTGTGGTATGTGGTGTGTGTGTTGTGTGGCATGTGTGGTGTGTATGGTGTGTGGTGTGTGATGTGTGTGGTGTGTGTGAGATATGTGGTGTGTGGGGTGTGTGTGTGTGTGTGGTGTGTGGTGTGTGTGTGGTATGTGGTGTGTGTGGTATCTGTGGTGTGTGGTGTGTGTGTTGTGGGTGTTTTGTGTGTGTATGGTGTGTGTGTGGTGTGTTCGTGGTGTGTGGTGTGTGGTGTGTTCGTGGTGTGTGGTGTGTGTGTGCTGTGTTTGGTGTGTGTGGTGTGTTTTGTGTGGTGTGTGGTGTGTGTGTGGTATGTGGTGTGTGTGTGTGGTGTATGGTGTGTATGTTGTGTGTGTGGTGTGCTGTGGTGTGTGTGGTGTGTGGTGTGTTGCGTTTGTGGTGTGTGTGGTGTGTATGTGTGGTGTGTGTGGTGTGTGTGTGGTGTGTGATGTGTGTGGAGTGTGTGTGGTTTGTGGTGTGTGTGGTGTGTGGTGTGTTGTGTTTGTGGTGTGTGGTTTGTGGTGTGTGCCGTGTGTGGTGTGTGTGGTGTGTGTGGTGTATGGTGTGTGTGTTGTGTGTGTGTGGTGTGTGGTGTGTTGTGTTTGTGGTGTGGTGTGTGTGGTTGGTGTGTGTGTGGTGTGTGTGTGTGGTATGTGTGTGTGGCTTGTGTGTGTGGTGTGTGGTGTGTTGTGTTTGTGGTGTGTGGTTTGTGGTGTGTGCCGTGTGTGGTGTGTGTGGTGTGTGTGGTGTATGGTGTGTGTGTTGTGTGTGTGTGGTGTGTGGTATAAGAGTGGTGTGTGTGGTGTGGTGTGTGTCATGTGTGGTGTTTGTGTGGTGTTTGGTGTGTGTGTGGTGTGGCGTGTGTAGTGTGTGGTGTGAGTGTTGTGTGGTGTGTGTGGTGTGAGTGTTGTGTGTGTGGTGTTTGGTGTGTGTGTGATGTGTTTTGTGTGGTGTGTGTAGTGTGTGGTGTGTGTGGTGTGTGTGGTGTGTTGTGTGGTGTGTGTGTGGTGTGTGTTTTGTGTGGTGTGTGTAGCGTGTGTGTGCTGTGTGGTGTGTGTGGTGTGAGTGTCGTGTGTGTGGTGTGTGGTGTCTTGTGTTTGTGGTGTGTGGTGTGGTGTGTGTGGTGTGTGATGTGTGTGTCTGAGAGAGAGGGAGAGCCTTGCCCAGCTCTTCAGCCTGAGCATCGGAAGCTGCCGTTGTTTGTCTGCTTCCCTAGCTCTTTCTCTCCTTCACTGACAGAGCCCCCTCAGGGCCCTTCCTGGTGCTGCTCGCTCTGCTCCTTTTCCATTACCAGGCTGTCACTGGAATGCGCTGCTGGAGCACCGGGTGCATCCCTGGGAACCAGATGTGTGACGCAGATTCCAGCAAGGGACTCTATTTGGGTGGAGAACATCGTTGTCAATAAAAATATCAACAGGTGGCCTAGACTCAGTGTCCTGGAGAAGGACGGCGAGGGTCAGCCCAGCAGGGCACCTGCCCAGAGTGGCCACAGGGTTCCAGGACAGTCCTTGGGGCAGGACATGGGGTGAACTGAGTGGTTACATCAGACCCTGGGACCTTCACCTGCCAGCCACTCGTCCTGCCACCACCCACTGCAAGACGTTGATCAAATCCTACCAGCCTCTCTCTCCCAGGACTTCAAGTCTTCATGAGTCACAGGAGCTTTTTCACTCACCTTGTGGGGCAGGTACCCAAGGCAGCACCTTGGAGGGCCAGAGGGATGGTCACTGGTTCCCAGGGCCTCCCCCACGTCTGCCCTCTGGAGGTCTGGTTGTTTTGCTTTTTTTTTCTTTCTGTATTGAATTTTTTCTTTTTTTCCTTTATAAATGTTAAAAATTGTATATTATTATATATTTGTGGGGTTCAGTAGGATGTTTTGATACATGTATACATTGTGGAATGGTTGAGTCAAGCTAATGAGTCTGTCCATCCCCTCACACACTTATCTTTTTTTGTGGTGAAAACATTTAAAACGACTCTTTCAAGAAATCTGAAATATGCAATGTGTGATGTCTAAGGGAGGCTGTGGAGGGGCAGGAGGGGAGGTTGGTGAAAAGGTATGACGTTTAGCTGGACAGGAGGGATAAACTGCCGTGTCCATTGCAGGGAGCCGTGGCTTTCGTTTCAATTCTGTGAACCATCACCTCATGGCTTTCCAAAACATCCTCTGTTGTTTGTGTTTGCTGAAGTTTCTGAGTCACTTTCTTTGCCATCAAAAACAGCAGTAAAGAATGGTGAATTAAGGCGGTGGGTGGGGGTGGGATGCAGGGTGGGAAGCAGAGGCTGGGGCTGCCCACCGTCGGGGCCCATGAGGAAGAGTGAGCTCCAGTGGATGGGCCTGAAACACCACCCCATGTGCCCTCCGTGAGCCACTGTGCTTTCCTGTGAGCTCACGACTGCCATCAGGATGGTTCTGCACTGAAAAAAATACACAGTATATCCATTAGTGTGAAAAAACACCTGGCTTCTCTTCCTCCTCACAGCTCTGGGGGTTCCTGTGGGTGGACAGAAGGAGCCCTGGAGGCCCGGCCAGGATGCGTCATCTGTGGCTACCACGTGGATTCTCTGGTGTGCTGAGTCAAGGCAGCGATCTTCCAAGTGTGGTCGCTGTACCTCCATCAGCACCTCCTGGGACTTGTCAGGACGCTGACCCGGGCCCCAGCCAAGTTCTGCTGCTGCCTCAGGGGGACAGAGGCAGGGCCTCACTGTCTGATGATCCAGCCCTGCAGGGGGCCCGCTGCACCTGCAGGTGTGAGAGCCGCCGCTGAATTAAGGTGACTGGAAGGTTTCAGGGCATGGGAGGGAGGTAGATCATTTGGGGCTGAGAAGCACTTTTGCATCTCTTTCCTGCCCAGAAGCGACCAGAGAGGCCAGGCATTGTCACCTGGAGACTTTGGAAATGAAGCCCTGAGCTGATCTAATAATTTCTGGCAAATTCTATGGGGTTGCTTCATGAATTAGGAAAAGCCATAGAAACTCAAGTGTAAATCGTGTGTTATATCCCAGGGCCGCGCGCTTAATGTGGACTGTGGAGCTTGTACGCAGCCTGTCACACCCTGCCAGCCTCAATACGGCTCTCCTTACCCCGGGCCTCTGCACGCACATATGAAAGGCAACCTCACCTCTGTGGCTTGCATGGTTCAGCGATTCATACTGTGTTAGTATTCCTAATCTATTTCTAAGTAACTTAATTTTTCTCGAAAATAGTAATTTAAAATGTTGTCCATATAGATGAATAACAATCAGAAAACTTTCCTTAGGGATGCTAAAACATCATTAATTAGCAATAAAACAAATTTAAGTTTTATGAGCTGTCGTGGCATTTATCATTCTGTAAGATTGCAAACATAGTTTTCCATAGATGTCATAATTCATTAAGAGAAGTGGTGAAATTTGGATGTGTTTGAAAGAACAAGGAACTAGATTAAACACCCTCTGCTGCACCGCAGGGGCTGACGAGGGAAGACATAGGTGGTGTCTGAAACGTTCTGTGGCTACAGAGTCCTCTTTCATATCCTTCCTTTAGGGAGAGACTCGGGAGAGACTCAGAAGAGAGGTGTTTTCCGGCAATAGCAGAGCATAGGAACCTCTTGATAGACCACTGAGATGAGTCAGCATCGGCAGCCTGCACAGGGTGGTGGGGTGGGCTGGGGCCTCAGTGAGTGGGGTGCAGACAGGGGCTTCTCTCCACCTGCCAAGATTCCACTCAAATGCTGCGTCTCCCTGAAGCCCCTCCCATCTTCACAGACCTTCATTTAACACTTACTGAAGGGTAGATGGTTGTATAGCTCACTGAGGTGTCTGACTCCCTGACCAGACTGTGGGACTCTTCAGAATGAAACAGACTTTTCCTTCTTTATTTTCCCCGTTTCTAACTTAGTCATGCACAGAATAAACGCTTGGTAAGACTCTACTGAATGATGATACTTCTCCAGGACGAAGGTGCCTGTGAAGAATGGGAAGGCCTGGTGCCGTAGTGTCTTAGATTCTGATATGCCACATGTCCTGCTTATCACCCTGAAGTCTCAAAAGATAATCAACTTGTTAAACACTGTGCTTTGTACCTACTTCATTTTTTAAAGAGCTTTTATTTTGACTGTTGGACATCACGGTTATTCTTCCTGAACTCAGCCCTGATAGTGCAGTGCCCCAGTACAAGTCCCTGGCACATTGGCCTGGAGTTTAAGGCTCTGCATACCCCACCCGGGCATCCTGCTTCCCCTGCACAATCGCTTTGCTGGATCAGTGCTAGCTGGGTCTGTCTCTCCAGCGCTTTAGAAGCCGCCCTCCTGCTGTGTCTTCGCTCATTCTGTTCCCTTCTCCCGGTCCCCCACTGTTTGCTGCTTTGCTTTTTATTTCTCAAGGCTCAGTTCAAAAGCCACCATTTCCACCAAGACGTGGTGACCTCAACTGGATTGGAGACAACGCCTCTCCCCAGCTCCTCTGGAATATGGTTCTGTCCTCTGAGCCTGGTATCGGCGTCGATGCTGTCTACATGCGCTGCTGGCTGGTCGCCTACTGGATGTGTCTGCCCGCTGGGGGAAGGAACCAGGCCCTGGAATGGGATCCTGAGTAGGAGCACAGTCTGGATATTCCTGCAGGAGTGAAGAGACATTCTCAGGGCGGATGTTGCCAGGACAAAGAAACACAAGCAACAACAAGAACAAAACTGGAGGTGAGAGCTGTGATGGTGTTGAGAGTGGCTCCTCGTGCTTTTGAGCACCTTTAGCTTTCTGGAATGTTCCACATGGGGTGTGAGCCATGATGGTGTTGAGAGTGGCTCCTCGTGCTTCCATGCACCTTTAGCTTTCCGGAATGGTCCGTTGGGGGTGCGAGTCATGATGGTGTTGAGAGTGGCTCCTCATGCTTCCATGCAACTTTAGCTTTCTGGAGTGTTCCACGGGGTGCAGAGTGTGTCTTCAAACGTGGACACAGGTGTGCAGGGGTCTCCTTTTGATGCGTAAGGAATAAGGAGACACGGGGTGCTGAGGTGTCCTCTCAGGCCCAGAAGTTAGGCTTCCTAACACCGTGGACCAGGTTTAACCACACATGTGTTTTCCTCACAGTGCTGGAGGCTGGAGGTCCAAGGTCAAGGCTTGGGCAGGTTGGCTTCTCTGGGGCCTCTCTCCTTGGCTTGCAGACAGTACCTCCTCGTGGTGTCCATGTGGGTGCCCCTCTGTGCACATGGACACAGGGTGTCTCTGTGCGTCCTAATATATCCTCTTCTTCTAAGGACGCCCCTGACATGGATTCGGCACCCTCATGGCCTTGTTTTAACTTAATCAACTCTGCAACGACCCTGTCTCCAATTTTTCAAAGAGCTAAAAGTGGAAATACCATTTCACTCAGGAATCCCATGACTCAAAGGAAAATAAATACTTCTATCAAAAAGACACATACACTCACATGTTTATCATGGCACTATTCACAACAGCAAAGACATGGAATCAACCTAGGTGCCCATCAACAGTGGACTGCATAAAGAAAATGTGGTACATAGACACCATGGAATACTACGCAGCCATAAAAAAGAATCAGTTCGTGTTCTTTGCAGTCACATGGATGCAGCTGGAGGCCATTATTCTAAGAGAGGTAAGGCAGGAACAGAAAACCAGATATAGCATGTCCTCGTGCATCAGTGGGAGCTAATAGCTGGGTACGCAGAGGCACAAAGGTGGGAGCAGCAGACACTGGGGACCGCTGTAGAGGAGAGGGTGGGAGGGGGCAATGGCTGAAAAACTTCCTGCTGGGTGCCGTGCTCAGTGCCTGGGTGATGGGATCCATAGCAGCCGAAACCTCAGGGTGATGCAGTATACCCAGGTCACAAACCTGCACCTGCACACCCTGCATCTAAAATTAAAAAGAGAGAAAAAATAAAGACCCCGTCTCCAAACTCAGTCACACTGAGGGATGGGGGTTCAGGACTTGAGCATGAAAATTACAGGGACACAGTTCAGCCCTTCACAGCTCCTGACGCCCGGGCTGGGGCTGCTGCTCTTCCCTGCACTGTGAAGCCCACAGCTGTGTCTTCCCTCAGGGCCTTTCCCAGCTCACCAGGAAGACTTTACTGAGCACCTACTGCCTGCCGGGAACTGGCCTCCACACTGAAAACACCAGGGGGTCTCCGCCCATGGGAGTTGACAGAAGAGCAGATCCCAACAGTCAGAGGCTGCCACATTCTCCCTGCTGGGCTGTTTGTAGGCTGATGTGTTTATCCTCCTGAAAGACAATGGGAGACAGCAAAGGGACTGGGCTTCACCGCAGGGCCTGGGCCATCTTGTGCTTGGCACATGCTTGTTGAAGGAAGGAAGGAGCCTCTTTCTCTCTCTGTCTCTGTCTCTCTCTCTCTCTGTCTGTCTCTCACATGCACACGCCGACACACACTTTCCAAGCTCTGTGTGGTCTCGCTCCGTTGTAATTTGTTTAAGTGGCTCCAACCAGCGACATGTAAGAGATCCAGGACTGCACAGGGCAGTGCAGACGTCACCAGCAATGGCTGAGGCTCCTGAGCGTGCCTCCTGTGCCTGGCGTCCTGGGGATATTCCCACATGTGCCTCCTGTGCCTGGCCTCCTGGTGATGTTCCCGTTGGTGTTGGTCCCGCTGAGCCCCCACAGCCTCCCTGTGCCACAGCCATCCACGTTACCTCCATTGCATTTCAGGAAATGGAGGCTCATGCAGGTTTGGTAACATGTCCAGGTTTCCAAACTGGAAGGTGCCTGCTGGAGTGGGGACCTGGGAAACCTCCTGTCCCCGTCACTGTATGACCACCAGCTGGTCAGCAGGCAGCTTCCCTGAACAGGAGGCTGGGTGTGCCTGACCCCATGGCGGGGGCGATGCCCACACCTGTGGGACTGATCGAGACCCACGGCTGTGATGACTGTGGGTATGTGTGTTACTTCCCAAAAGATTTCCCCATTTGTTATATTTCCTCAAAGGCAAAATAACACACTGTTTTACTGAGGAAAATCCATCTTGCTAATGACTGAAACCTGCTAGAAGTGGAGTAGGGTGGTGGTGTTTTTCTGTTGTGAAGGGCTTGGCAGGGCGTGGCTGTTTATGCACCTGTGTTTCCAGACAGCGTTCATTTCCACCCGCTGGGATGTTGGGCCTCCAGGCTGTGTTCGCAGCTACGCGTTGACATCCTCGCAGCTGCCTGATGGATAGAGACTATTCAGCATGAACTTGAAAAGACATTTGTTCTGGGGAAAATTCTTGTTGACTTGGCCACAGCACTTCCACTCCCCCACTACCCCACCCCCCACAGAAATTCCTTCCCTGCCCCTCTTCTTCCTGATTATTGGATTCATTTTCCTAGGAGGTAAAATCGTGAAATGAACTCAACATTTTCAAATCCCAGTAAAGAAATCAACCAAGAGGCGAGAGGACAAGATGCTTGGGCTAAATAAAACGTGACCTTTCTGGCGCCTCTGAGTTTGACTTCCAGGTCAGAGCTCTGCAAATGCACCATTGAAAGTGTAATGATTTGGAATCCACCAAAGACAATTTTCCTACAGCAAATGTAGTTTTCTTTTGAAAGGATCCATTTACACTCATGCTGGCGTTCGCTGGTGTTTTTGGTCTTGCTCCATCGAGCTTCTGAAACCTGTGGTGCCGTTGGCCAAGCCGCTGGAAATGCACACACGTCCAGAGATGTTGGAAATGCACGCACGTCCAGAGATGTCCTGAAGGAAAATGCTCACAGGTGATCTTCAATGCAGGTGTGGCTGTGCGGTGCTGAGTCCGACTTCCACAACTGCTCCATTGATTCCGTCCTTTGTGTTGTCAAACTTCTTAGTATTTGCCAATCACATGTATCCTTGAGTGTGTTTATGGTTGTGAAACACTGTATTGCTAGCATCATCCATCATCCAACCAGGCCTTTTTTAGCCAATCCTGGAGAAATTGCCTCCAATTTTCTTGTCCCTATGCTACTCAGCCCTCTTATTTCATTCCAGTTGGTGCATAAAGTTACCTATTTGTCCAAAATTTTATTTTTTACAGACCATAATGACTTGAGAATTAAAATTTGCTCACCCAAATACAGCCATTGTTATTCCGTCACTGGGGATGTAATATTTCAGCCCCCAGTTTTCTCCTCAGAGAACTGAATAATCGCATCCATGGTTTACTTTTAATAAACCGAGTCCCAGAGCTCATTACACCCTTGGCTTGAGGGACGGACGCTTGTGAGCATAACACATGGCAGGCATGTCATTAGCCAAGTTGTATTTTTACTTTTCGCTGTGGAAGTAATAACCAACAAGGAAAAAGTTATCTTATTATAACCTTATAACCAATTTTTGAGATTTCATTTTGTGTTTTATAATGTATCATGCCATGTAATCGTGGTGTTTTAAATTTTCAAGTGTTATGCCTCTGGTTCACAATACTTTTTAAACAATTATCCCTGATATCATTCTAATAACTCCTCAGAATTGTCTTTGTTTGCTATGATGTTCCCTAGTTGTATTTGATTGAAAACAAATACTTTGAAATCCAAGTACTTTACCAGAGAAAGGTCCTGATCTATTTATTTCTTCTCCTGACTCTAGCTACAATCAAATTGTAGATAGGTAGGGAAATTGTTTTTAAGTAACATGAAATAAACGATCATTTAACACCAGTACCAGCAACAGTAATAGTTTATTCTTCAGGGGTCTCAAAGATGCTATGTCTTCATAATGCCTTATATTGAATAGGTGATCTATTACATTAGTGTAACAGAACATTAGCACAGGGATTCCTTCTGGAAGTCTCTGGAGATATGAGAGACAAAAACAGGTTTGAAGGTGGGTCAGGGTCGGAGCTCCAGCTTTTCCAGGGGTTTAGCCTGACCATGACCAAGGACACAGGCCTCCAACTTCTCACAGGTAGTGCAATTTCCTATCCTTGCTGTGAATTAAGTATTCCAAACTCCATGCCAATAACCAAATTATCAAATTCTGACACAATATTTGTGAAATAGGTTTATTCTCTGCAAATGCGAAGAGAGACAGAAGAGATACAAAGAGTCTGTTCACGAATACCAAAGCCATTACTGAGCACCCTGCACAAGACAGTGACACATGTGGGCTCCTCTGGGCCCTGGTTCCACCCACAAATGGTACTTGGACGCCTGCCCCGGGCCAAGCCCCACGTGAGACAGAGCTCTAGAGGCGACTGGGTCACGGTCGCCCTCACTTAAAGGGTTTTGTAGTTGAGTGTATAAGTTAACTTAGGGACAGTAACTTTTGGAGATGTTACACAGAAACAGTGATTGAGAGAGTGACACCCAATGGCAAAATTCGACATCTTTTGCTTGCCTCTTATGAATTGGGCAGGCTTCAAGCTCATTAACCTTTCTTAGCCTCACTCTCCTCATCTGTAAAATAAACGTAATAGGAATACACTCCTAAGGCAGTTGTGAAGCCCACAGGTACACTCACACATGAGCTCAGCGTGGTACCATCAGCACATGGCACTGCTGTTGTTTTTGCATCAAGAATAAATTAGCAGGAATCATTATCATAACAGTCAATCAGATTGAGAATGCTATATAAAAAGACTCAGGAAATTTATGATAGAAATAAGAAAGTAAGACGCAAGCTAAAGATGTAGAATTATAAAATATATTTGATAAAACCAACTACTGTTTTCTTTTTATATATTCCATCCATTATATATTACACACACACACACACACACAAAATTGCAGTATGGGGGATACATCTGTGTTAGCTGTTCCCTTAAACTTTTATAACTGGTTTCCTCCAATTCATGTTGTGTAATATAGACACAATTGTCCTTAGAATTTATCTGAGTGTTTATAAAAAATCTCCAAAGTTACAAGGTTGCATAATGAAGCAAATAAAGTAATAACTCAAAAACATTCAATAATAAACTCATCACTTGGAAAATCAAGGCCTCTCCTAAATGTTCTTTTTCATTGAACATTACCTTTGCCCCACTTACTGATCCAATTCGAATAAGACATAAATAGCAGGGAAGGGAAATCTCTTCATGAGATGGAGAGATTCGTAAAGTCTAGGGAAGTTACACTGGGGGACTGTTAAAATCAAAGGCAAATGCTGACAAGTAAGAAAAAGTTAGTTTGATAGTTACCTGAAAAAGGAGCAAAATAAGAGCTAAGTAACTAAGGGTGACAACACCCTAAGACCTTCAAACCACAGTTAGCCTTTTGAGTCATGGATTATTTATAAATTATTGTGAAATATACAAGGGCATTTTTGGATAATTTACTATTTATGATTACTAGATAAATTCCATCGTGGTCAGAGATCATACTGGGTAGTACAAAATTTATTGAGACATATTTTTAAGTTTATTGAGACATATTTTATGGCCCAGCATATGGGATATCTTGGCAAATATTTCATGTATACTTTTTTTGTTTTTTTTATTTTTTATTTTTTTTAAATTATACTTTAAGTTTTAGGGTATGTGTGCACAACATGCAGGTTTGTTACATATGTATACATGTGCCATGTTGGTGTCTGCACCCATTAACTCGTCATTTAACATTAGGTATATCTCCTAATGCTATCCCTCCCCCCTCCCCCCACCCCACAACAGGCTCCTGTGTGTGATGTTCCCCTTCCTGTGTCCATGTGTTCTGATTGTTCAGTTCCCACCTATGAGTGAGAACATGTGGTGTTTGGTTTTTTGTCCTTGCGATAGTTTGCTGAGAATGATGGTTTCCAGCTTCATCCATGTCCCTACAAAGGACGTGAACTCATCCTTTTTTATGGCTGCATAGTATTCCATGGTGTATATATGCCACATTTTCTTAATCCAGTCTATCATTGTTGGACATTTGGGTTGGTTCCAAGTCTTTGCTATTGTGAATAGTGCCGCGATAAACATACGTGTGCATGTGTCTTTAGAGCAGCATGATTTAGAATCCTTTGGGTATATACCCAGTAACGGGATGGCTGGGTCAAATGGTATTTCCCATTCTAGATCCCTGAGGAATCGCCACACTGACATCCACAATGGTTGAACTAGTTTACAGTCCCACCAACAGTGTAAAAGTGTTCCTATTTCTCCACATCCTCTCCAGCACCTGTTGTTTCCTGACTTTTTAATGATCGCCATTCTAACTGGTGTGAGATGGTATCTCATTGTGGTTTCAATTTGCATTTCTCTGATGGCCAGTGATGATGAGCATTTTTTCATGTGTCTTTTGGCTGCATAAATATCTTCTTTTGAGAAGTGTCTGTTCATATCCTTTGCCCACTTTTTGATGGGGTTGTTTGTTTTTTTCTTGTAAATTTGTTTGAGTTCATTGTAGATTCTGGATATTAGCCCTTTGTCAGATGAGTAGATTGCAAAAATTTTCTCCCATTCTGTAGGTTGCCTGTTCACTCTGATGGTAGTTGCTTTTGCTGTGCAGAAGCTCTTTAGTTTAATTAGATCCCATTTGTCAATATTGGCTTTTGTTGCTGTTGCTTTTGGTGCTTTAGATATGAAGTCCTTGCCCATGCCTATGTCCTGAATGATATTGCCTAGGTTTTCTTCTAGGGTTTTTATGGTTTTAGGTCTAACATGTAAGTCTTTAATCCATCTTGAATTAATTTTTGTATAAGGTGTAAGGAAGGGATCCAGTTTCAGCTTTCTACACATGGCTAGCCAGTTTTCCCAGCACCATTTATTAACTAGGGAATCGTTTCCCCATTGCTTGTTTTTGTCAGGTTTGTCAAAGATCACATGGTTGTAGATATGTGGCATTATTTCTGAGGGCTCTGTTCTGTTCCCTTGATCTATACCTCTGTTCTGGTACCAGTACCATGCTATTTTGGTTACTGTAGCCTTGTAGTATACTTTGAAGTCAGGTAGCATGATGCCTCCAGCTTTGTTCTTTTGGCTTAGGATTGACTTGGCAATGTGGGCTCCTTTTTGGTTCCATATGAACTTTAAAGTAGTTTTTTCCAATTCTGTGAAGAAAGTCATTGGTAGCTTGATGGGGATGGCATTGAATCTATAAATTACATTGGGCAGTATGGCCATTTTCATGATATTGATTCTTCCTACCCATGAGCATGGAATGTTCTTCCATTTGTTTGTATCCTCTTTTATTTCATTGAGCAGTGGTTTGTAATTCTCCTTGAAGAGGTCCTTCACGTCCCTTGTAAGTTGGATTCCTAGGTATTTTATTCTCTTTGAAGCAATTGTGAATGGGAGTTCACTCATGATTTGGCTCTCTGTTTCTCTGTTATTGGTGTATAAGAATGCTTGTGATTTTTGCACATTGATTTTGTATCCTGAGACTTTGCTGAAGTTGCCTATCAGCTTAAGGAGATTTTGTGCTGAGACGATGGGGTTTTCTAGATATACAATCATGTCATCTGCAAACAGGGACAATTTGACTTCCTCTTTTCCTACTTGAATACCCTTTATTTCCTTCTCCTGCCTGATTGCCCTGGCCAGAACTTCCAACACTATGTTGAATAGGAGTGGTGAAAGAGGGCATCCCTGTCTTGTGCCAGTTTTCAAAGGGAATGCTTCCAGTTTTTGCCCATTCAGTATGATATTGGCTGTGGGTTTGTCATGGATAGCTCTTATTATTTTGAGATACATCCCATCAATACCTAATTTATTGAGAGTTTTTAGCATGAAGGGTTGTTGAATTTTGTCAAAGGCCTTTTCTGCATCTATTGAGATAATCATGTGGTTTTTGTCTTTGGTTCTGTTTATATGCTGGATTACATTTATTGATTTGCGTATATTGAACCAGCCTTGCATCCCAGGGATTAAGCCGACTTGATCATGGTGGATAAGCTTTTTGATGTGCTGCTGGATTCAGTTTGCCAGTATTTTATTGAGGATTTTTGCATCGATGTTCATCAGGGATATTGGTCTAAAATTCTCTTTTTTGGTTGTGTCTCTGCCAGGCTTTGGGATCAGGATGATGCTGGCCTCATAAAATGAGTTAGGGAGGATTCCCTCTTTTTCTATTGACTGGAGTAGTTTCAGAAGGAATGGTACCAGCTCCTCCTTGTACCTCTGGTAGAATTTGGCTGTGAATCCATCTGGTCCTGGACTTTTTTTGGTTGGTAAGCTATTAATTATTGCCTCAGTTTCAGAGCCTGTTATTGGTCTATTCAGAGATTCAACTTCTTCCTGGTTTAGTCTTGGGAGGGTGTATGTGTCTAGGAATTTATCCATTTCTTCTAGATTTTCCAGTTTATTTGCATAGAGGTGTTTATAGTATTCTCTGATGGTAGTTTGTATTTCTGTGGGATCAGTGGTGATCTCCCCTTTATCATTTTTTATTGCGTCTATTTGATTCTTCTCTCTTTTCTTCTTTATTAGTCTTGCTAGTGGTCTATCAATTTTGTTGATCTTTTCAAAAAACCAGCTCCTGGATTCACTGATTTTTTTGAAGGGTTTTTTGGTGTCTCTATTTCCTTCAGTTCTGCTCTGATCTTAGTTATTTCTTGCCTTCTGGTAGCTTTTGAATGTGTTTGCTCTTGCTTCTCTAGTTCTTTTAATTGTGATGTTAGGGTGTCAATTTTAGATCTTTCCTGCTTTCTCTTGTGGGCATTTAGTGCTATAAATTTCCCTCTACACACTGCTTTGAATGTGTCCCAGAGATTCTGGTATGTTGTGTCTTTGTTCTCTTTGGTTTCAAAGAACATCTTTATTTCTGCCTTCATTTCGTTATGTAGTCAGTAGTCATTCAGGAGCAGTTGTTCAGTTTCCATGTAGTTGAGTGGTTTTGAGTGAGTTTCTTAATCCTGAGTTCTAGTTTGATTGCACTGTGGTCTGAGAGGCAGTTTGTTTTAATTTCTGTTCTTTTACATTTGCTGAGGAGTGCTTTACATCCAGCTATGTGGTCAATTTTGGAATAAGTGTGGTGTGGTTCTGAGAAGAATGTACATTCTGTTGATTTGGGGTGGAGAGTTCTGTAGATGTCTATTAGGTCTGCTTGGTGCAGAGCTGAGTTCAATTCCTGGATATCCTTGTTAACTTTCTGTCTCGTTGATCTATCTAATGTTTACAGTGGGGTGTTAAAGTCTCCCATTATTATTGTGTGGGAGTCTAAGTCTCTTTGTAGGTCTCTAAGAACTTGCTTTATGAATCTGGGTGCTCATGTACTGGGTGCATATATATTTAGGATAGTTAGCTTTTCTTGTTGAATTGATCCCTTTACCATTATGTAATGGCCTTCTTTGTCTCTTTTGATCTTTGTTGGTTTAAAGTCTGTTTTATCAGAGACTAGGATTGCAACCCCTGCCTTTTTTTGTTTTCCATTTGCTTGGTAGATCTTCCTCCATCCCTTTATTTTGAGCCTATGTGTGTCTGTGCACGTGAGATGGGTTTCCTGAATACAGCACACTGATGGGTCTTGACTCTTTATCCAATTTGCCAGTCTGTGTCTTTTAATTGGAGCATTTAGCCCATTTACATTTAAGGTTAATATTGTTATGTGTGAATTTGATCCTGTCATTATGATGTTAGCTGGTTATTCTGCTCATTAGTTGATGCAGTTTCTTCCTAGCCTCAATGGTCTTTACAATTTGGCATGTTTTTGCAGTGGCTGGTATCAGTTGTTCCTTTCCATATTTAGTGCTTCCTTCAGGAGCTCTTTTAGGGCAGGCCTGGTGGTGACAAAATCTCTCAGCATTTGCTTGTCTGTAAAGGATTTTATTTCTCCTTCACTTATGAAGCTTAGTTTGGCTGGATATGAAATTCTGGGTTGAAAATTCTTTTCTTTAAGAATGTTGAATATTGGCCCCCGCTCTCTTCTGGCTTGTAGAGTTTCTGCCGAGAGATCAGCTGTTAGTCTGTTGGGCTTCCCTTTGTGGGTAACCCGACCTTTCTCTCTGGCTGCCCTTAACATTTTTTCCTTCATTTCAACTTTGGTGAATCTGACAATTATGTGTCTTGGAGTTGCTCTTCTCGAGGAGTATCTTTGTGGCATTCTCTGTATTTCCTGAATTTGAATGTTGGCCTGCCTTGCTAGATGGGGGAAGTTCTCCTGTATGATATCCTGAAGAGTGTTTTCCAGCTTGGTTCCATTCTCCCTGTCACTTTCAGGTACACCAATCAGACGTAGATTTGGTCTTTTCATGTAGTCCCATATTTCTTGGAGGCTTTGTTCATTTCTTTTTATTCTTTTTTCTCTAAACTTCTCTTTTCACTGCATTTCATTCATTTGATCTTCCATCACTGATCCCCTTTCTTCCAGTTGATCGAATCGGCTACTGAGGCTTGTGCATTCATCACGTAGTTCTCGTGCCTTGGTTTTCAGCTCCATCAGGTCCTTTAAGGACTTCTCTGCATGGTTATTCCAGTTAGCCATTCGTCTAATTTTTTTTCAAGGTTTTTTTCACAAATACTTGAAAAGAATGTGTGTTTCATATTTGTTGAGTGATGTCTTCTATAATGTTAATTAAGTAAAATGTATTTATACTGCTGTTCAAATTGTTCATATTCTCACTATTTTTTTTCTATTTGCTTTATTATTAAGAGCTTAAATTATTCTTGTGAAATTGTCTAATTCTCCCTTTAATTCAATCATTATTTTGCTTCATGCATTTTGAAGCTCTGTATCTTCCTAATAAATTGATCATTTTGTTATTTTGGAGTTCTGCTTCTTATTCCTGATAATCTTTATTGTCTTGGAGCAGCACCGCTTAATATCCTGCTTGTCTGATATTACCGGGTATGCCACATCTTTTCCTACCGTTTATCTTTTGTTGGCTTGTGATTTTAAAAAGTCTGAAAATCTCTGTCTTTTATTGCAGTGCTTATTATATTTATATTTAACTGCTGATGTGGTTGAATTTGAGTCTACCATCATATTATTTATGTTTTATGTGTCCCAGCTACTTTTAATATGATCATTTTTTCTGCCGTCTTTTAGTTAACTGTATATTCTAGGTATACAGTTTGGTTTCCCCATGAGATTTTTGGATCTACCTGATTGCATTTAATTATTTTAGCAGTCACCCTACAGATTGCAAAGTAGATCTTTAGTTGATCCCATTCTAATTAAAGTTAGTATTGTAATACTTTTTGTAATGTGTAATAACCTTAAAATATTTTAATTCCATTTACTCACTGTTCTGCATATGACTATTTTTATATTTTACTTCTGTATAAGTAGTAGAGATATGGCAAATCAGGATTAAAATCTAAGAGTCAGCATTAGTCAGGATTGAAATCCGAGGTGCTTCACTCCAAACCACATGCTCTCTAACACTCTCCTATAGTACCTCCAAATTATTTCATGGGTTGCCATGTAGATATCTTAGTTGTCTTTCATATCGCTTGAGGTAAATTTTAAAGAAGGCTTTCTGAGTTAAATTAATCTCATCTGCATAATAAGGAATGTCTTTCTATTACTTAGATTTGAATAATCATCTCTTGTCTGCCTCACCCCATAACATCTTAAACTCTATCAGGGAAATAATTCCATCTATTTTATTCACAGTTGTCTCTCTCACAACTCAAGTGGAGCCTGAGGAATAACAAGAGCTCATTAAATATCTGTTGCATGAATGAGTGAATAAATGAAGGGAGGACTTTTATGAAAACACTTCTTTACATCTGGAAATGTTACCCCCACGTTTTCTGGCATCTGATGTTGCTGCAAATGTGAAGCCAAGGAGACCCTCCAGGATGCCCAAGCCTGGGAGAAATCCTGATGACTGGGGGTTGGAAAAGAAGCATGACACATAAGAAATGTTAGTTCTCTATTCTTATCATTGATTATCAGAGTAGATTAACCATAAAACTAACAATGCTGAAACTTGAGGACCTTCCCCAGAACTGCTGGGCCTCCAGCAGCATGATGCATAGGTTTTTGTGAAATTTTCAAAAGATTTTTAACTGCAATCAGCAAAAACGATTGTCTCTCTCAGTCCAACTTCCCAGCAGTCAAATTTCCCACAGTGGCAAATGATGTCAGAATTGCTACAGCATCTTTTGAGTCTGTCTAAGGGGAAGTAGAGCCATGGGTGCATTTGGTTCAGAGTTAGTGGAGTACGTGTATATGGTCATAGTCACTTCTGTGTTCTGATAGTGAAATGGTTTTGAAAACTACTCCAATAACCCACTCTGCTGACTTACCCAGCATCTTGGTGTTGCAGGAAATCAGGGACCCCGAATGGAGGGACTGGCTGGAGCCGCGGCAGAGGAACATAAATTGTGAAGATTTCATTTTAATATGGACATTTATCAGTTCCCAAATAATACTTTTATAATTTCTTATGCCTGTCTTTACTTCAGTCTATTAATCCTGTTATCTTTGTAAGCTGAGGATGTAGGTCACCTCAGGACCACTGTGATAATTGTGTTACCTGTACAAATTGATTATAAAACATGTGTGTTTGAACAATATGAAATCAGTGCACCTTGAAAAAGAACAGAATAACAGCGATTTTTAGGGAACAGAGGAAGACAACCATAAGGTCTGACTGCCTGCGGGGTTGGGCAAAAATAGCCATATTTTTCTCCTTGCAGAGAGCCCATAAATGGATGTGCAAGCAGGAGAGATATTGCTAAATTCTTTTCCTAACAAGGAATATTAATATTAATACCCTGGGAAAGGAATGCATTCCTGTGGGGAGGTCTATAAATGGCTGCTCTGGGAAATATCTGTCTTGTGCAGTTGAGATAAGGACTGAGATATGCCCTGGTCTCCTGCAGAACCCTCAGGCTTACTAGGGTGGGGAAAAACTCAGCCCTAGTAAATTTGTGGTCAGACTGGTTCTCTGCTCTCGAAACCTGTTTTCTGTTGTTTAAGATGTTTATCAAGACAATATGTGCACCGCTGAACATAGACCCTTATCAGTGGTTCTGCTTTTGCCCTTTCCCTTGTGATCTTTGTTGGACCCTTATCAGTAGTTCTGCTTTTGCCCTTTGCCTTACGATCTTTGTTGGATCCTTATCAGTAATTCTGCTTTTGCCCTTTGTCCTGTTCCCTCAGAAGCATGTGATCTTCGTTAGACCCTTATTAGTAGTTCTGCTTTTTGCCCTTTGAAGCATGTGATCTTTGTACCTACTCCCTGTTCTTACACCCCTCCCCTTTTGAAACCCTTCATAAAAACTTGCTGGTTTGAGGCTCAGGTGGGCATCATGGTCCTACCGATATGTGATGTCACCCCCGGCAGCCCAGCTGTAAAATTCCTCTCTTTGTACGGTCTGTCTTTATTTCTCAGCCCACTAACACTTATGGAAAATAGAAAGAACCTATGTTGAAATATTGGGGGCTGGGTTCCCCCAATATCATGGTACAAAGTTGCATGACCTTATGGTCATTTATGAAGAAATAAGAAAACAAAATGTAGCCAAAAACTGAAGTTAAAGTATTATAAAGGTGTGCTGTGCACTTTAACAATTTTTAAAAATGCTATTTTCTTGAATTTTGTGATGCCTGTGGTAACTATCATATTTAAAATATTTAATTTATCATAAATTATTTTCTTACTCTAAATAAATGTTCTCAACTCTTTATAATTTTATGCATGCAATTTTCATAGAGAGTTCTCCAAGTTGTACAACATTTAAGCCCGCAAAACCTGGGATCTCACTTCTGTTAAAAATTATAAAAATTGAGGTGGCTGGCAAGATGGCTGTATAGGAAGAGCTCCAGTCTGCAGCTCCCAGTAACATCAATGCAGAAGGCAGGCAATTTCTGCATTTCCAACTGAGGTACCTGGCTTATCTCACTGGGGCTAGTTAGACAGTGGGTACAGCCCACGGAGGGTGAGCTGAAGGAGGGTGGGGTGTCGCTTCACCCGGGAAATGCAAGGAGTCGGGGAACTCCCTCCCTTAGCCAAGGGAAGCGGTAAGGGACTGTGCCATGAGGAATGGTGCATTCCAGCCCAGATACTATGCTTTTCCCACGGTCTTCACAATCTGCAGACTAGGAGACTCCCTCATGTGTCTACACCACCAACGTCCTGGGTTTCAAGCACAAAACTGAGCGGCTGTTTGGGGAGACACTGAGCTAGCTGCAAGAATTTTTTTTCATACCCCAGTGGCTCCTGGAAAGCCAGCAAGACAGAACCATTTGCTCCCCTGGAATGGGCGCTGAAGCCACGGAGCCAAGTGGTCTAGCTCAGCAGATCCCACCCCCACAGAGCCCAGCAAGCTAAGATCTACTAGCTTGAAATTCTCCCTGCCAACACAGCTGTCTGAAGTTGACCTGGGACTCTTGAGCTTCTTGGGGGGAGCGGCGTCTGCCATTACTGAGGCTTGAGGAGGCAGTTTTTCCCTCATGGTGTAAACAACGCTGCTAAGAAGTTTGAGTTGGGCAGAGCCCACTGCAGCTCAGGAAAGCCGCTGTAGCCAGACTGCCTCTCTAGATTCCTCCTCTCTGGGCAGGGCATCTCTGAAAGAAAGGCAGCAGCCCCAGTCAGGGGCTTATCTGGGACAGAGCACCTGGGGGAAGGGGCAGCTCTGGGCACAGCTTCAGCAGACTTAACCATTCCTGTCTGCCAGCTCTGAAGACAGCAGCGGATCTCTAAGCACAGCGCTCGAGCTCTGCTAAGGGACAGGCTGCCTCCTTAGGTGAGTCCCTGACCCCTGTGCCTCCTGACTGGGAGACACCTCCCAGCAGGGCTCAACAGACACCTCATACAGGAGAGCTCCAGCTGGCATTTGGTGGGTGTCCTGCTGGGACAAAGCTTCCAGAGGAAGGAACAGGCAGCAATCTTTGCTCTTCTGCAACCTCCGCTGGTGATACCCAGGCAAAAAACAGGGTCTGGAGTGGACCTCCATCAAACTCCAGCAGACCTGCAGTAGAGGGGCCTGACTGTGAGAAGGAAAACTAATAAACAGAAAAGAATTGCATTGACATCAACAAAAAGGGCGTCCACACAAAAACCCCATCTGAAGGTAACCAACATCAAAGACCAAAGGTAGATAAATACACAAAGATGAGGAAAAGCCAGTGCAAAAAGGCTGAAAATTCCAAAAACCAGGACACCTCTTCTCCTCCAAAGGATCACACCTCCTTGTCGGCAAAGGAACAAAACTGGACAGAGAATGAGTTTGACAAACTGATAGAAGTAGGCTTCAGAAGGTGGGTAATAACAAACTCCTCTGAGCTAAAGGAGCATGTTCTAACCCAATGAAAGGAAGCCAAAAACCTTGAAAAAAGAGGAATTGCTAACTAGAATAACCAGTTTAGAGAAGAACATAAATGACCTGATGGAGCTGAAAAACACAGCCCAAGAACTTCATGAAGCATACACAAGTATCAATAGCTGAATCGATCTAGCAAAAGAAAGGATATCAGAGATTGAAGATCAACTTAATGAAATAAGGTGTGAAGACAAGATTAGAGAAAAAAGAATAAAAAGGAATGAACAAAGCCTCTAAGAAATATGGGACTATGTGAAAAGACCAAACCTACGTTTGATTGGTATACCAGAAAGTGATGGGGAGAATGGAACCAAGTTGGAAAACACTCTTCAGGATATTATCTAGGAGAACTTCCCCAGCCTAGCAAGACAGGCCCACATTCAAGTTCAGGAAATACAGAGAACACCACAAAGATACTCCTTGAGAAGAGCAACCCCAAGACACATAATCGTCTGATTCACCAAGGTTGAAATGAAGGAGAAAAATGTTAAGGGCAGCCAGAGAGAAAGATCAGGTTACCCACAAAGGGAAGCCCATCAGACTAACAGCAGATCTCTCTGCAGAAACCCTACAATCCAGAAGAGAGTGGGGGCCAATATTCAACATTCTTAAAGAAAAGAATTTTCAACCCAGAATTTCATATCCAGCCAAACTAAGCTTCATAAGTGAAGGAGAAATGAAATCCTTTATATACAAGCAATTCCTGAGAGATTTTGTCCCCACCAGGCCTGCCTTACAAGAGCTCCTGAAGAAAGCACTAAATATGGAAAGGAAAAAACAGTACCAGGCACTGCAAAAATATACCAAATTGTAAAGACCATCAACACTATGAAGAAACTGCATCAACTAATGGGCAAAATAACCAGCTAGCATCATAATGACAGGATCAAATTCACACATAACAATATTAACCTTAAATGTAAATGGGCTGAATGCCCCAATTAAAAGACACAGACTGGCAAATTGGATAAAGAGTCAAGACCCATCAGTGTGCTGGATTCAGGAGACCCATCTCATGGGCAAAGACACACATAGGCTCAAAATGAAGGTGTGGAGGAATATTTACCAAGCAAATGGAAAGCAAAAAAAGCAGGGGTTGTAATCCTAGTCTCTGATAAAACAGACTTTAAACCAACAAAGATCAAAAAAGACAAAGAAGGGCATTATATATTGGTAAAGGGATCAATGCAACATGAAGAGCTAACTATAATAAATATATATGCATCCAATACATGAGCACCCAGATTCATAAAGCAAGTTCTTAGAGACCTACAAAGAGACTTAGATTCCCACACAATAATACTGGGAGACTTTAACACCCTACTGTCAATATTAGACAGATCAACAAGACAGAAAATTAACAAAGATATTTAGGAAGTGAACTCAGCTCTGGACCAAGTGGACCTAATAGACATCTACATAACTCTCCACCCCAAATCAACAGATATACATTCTTCTGAGCACCACATTTCACTTATTCTAAAATTGACCACATAATTGGAAGTAAAACACTCCTCAGCAAATGCAAAATAATGGAAATCATAACAAACATTGCCTCAGACCACAGTGCAATCAAATTAGAACTCAGGATTAAGAAACTCACTCAAAACCACACAACTACATGGAAACTAAACAACTTGCTCATGAATGACTACTGGGTAAATAACGAAATAAGGGCAGAAATAAAGAAGATCTTTGAAACAAAGACACAATGTACCAGAATCTGTGGGACACAGTTAAAGCAGTGTTTAGAGGGAAATTTATAGCACTAAATGCCCACAAGGGAAAGTGAGAAAGATATAAAATCGACACCCTAACATCACAATTAAAACAACTATAGAAGTTAGAGCAAACAAATTCAAAAGCTAGCAGAAGACAAGAAATAACTAAGATCAGAGCAGAACTGAAGGAGATAGAGACATGAAAAACCCTTCAAAAAAATCAATGAATCGAGGAGCTGGTTTTTTGAAAAGATTAACAAAATAGATAGAACGCTAGCCAGACTAATAAGGAAGAAGGGAGAGAAGACTCAAATTGACACAATAAAAAATGATAAAGGGGAGATCACCACTGATCCCACAGAAATACAAACTACCATCAGAGAATACTATAAACACCTCTATGCAAATAAACTGGAAAATCTAGAAGAAATGGATAAATTCCTGGATACATACACCCTCCCAAGACTAAACCAGGAAGAAGTCGAATCCCTGAATAGATGAATAACAAGTTCTGAAATTGAGGCAGTAATTAATAGCCTACCAACCCAAAAAAGCCCAGGACCAGATGGATTCACAGCTGAATTCTACCAGAGGTACAAAGAGGAGCTGGTACCATTCCTTCCAAAACTATTCCAAAAAATAGAAAAAGAGGGAACCATAGCTAACGCATTTTATGAGGCCAGCATCATCCTGATACCAAAAACCTGGCAAAGACACAACAAAAAAAGAAAATTTCAGGCCAATATCCCTGATGAACATTGACGTAAAAATCCCTGATAAAATACTGGCAAACCAAATCCAGCAGCACATCAAAAAGCTTATCCACCATGATCAAGTTGGCTTCATCCCTGGGATGCAAGGCTGGTTCAACATACGCAAATCAATAAACATAATCCATCATATAAACTGAACCAACGACAAAAACCATATGATTATCTCAATAGATGTAGAAAAGGGCTTCAATAAAATTCAACATCCCTTCATGCTAAAAACTCTTAATAAACTAGGTATTGATGGAACACATCTCAAAATAATAAGAGCTATTTATGACAAACCCACAGCCAATATCATACTGAAGGCACAAAAGCTGGAAACTTTCCCTTTGAAAACTGGCACAAGACAAGGATGCCCTCTCTCACCACTCTTATTCAACATAGTATTGGAAGTTCTGGCCAGGGCAATTAGGCAAGAGACAGAAATAAAGCACACTCAAATAGGAAGACAGGAAGTCAAATTGTCTCTGTTTGCAGATGACATGATTGTCTATAGAAAACACCATCGTCTCAGCCCCAAATCTCCTTAAGCTGATAAGCAACTTCAGTAAAGTCTCAGGATACAAAATCAACATGCAAAATCACAAGCATTCCTGTACACCAATAATAGACAAATAGAGAGCCAGATCATGAGTGAACTCCTATTCACGACTGCTACAAAGAGAATAAAATATCTAGGAATACAACTTACAAGGGATGCGAAGGACCTCTTCAAGGAGAACTACAAACCACTGCTCAAGGAAATAAGAGAGGACACAAACAAATGGAAAAACATTCCATGCTCATGGACAGGAAGAATCAATATCGTGAAAATGGCCATACTTCCCAAAGTAATTTATGGATTTAATGCTATCCCTGTCAAGCTACCATTTACTTTCTTCACAGAATTAGAAAAAACGACTTTAAATTTCATATGGAACCAAAAAAGAGCCTATACAGCCAAGACAATCCTATGCAAAAAGAACAAAGCTGAAGGCATTATGCTACCTGACTTCAAACTATACTACAAGTCTACAGTAACCAAAACAGCATGGTACTGGTACCAAAACAGATATATAGACCAATGGAACAGAACAGAGGCCTCAGAAATAACGCCAGTTGTCTACAACCATCTGATCTTTGATAAACCTGATAAAAACAAGCAATGGGGAAACGACTCCCTATGTAATAAGTGGTGTTGGGAAAACTGGCTAGCCATATGCAGAAAACTGAAACTGGACCCCTTTCTTATGCCTTATACAAAAATTAACTCAAGATGGATTAAAGACTTAAATGTAAGACCTAAAAGAAAAACCTAGAAGAAAACTGAGGCAATACCATTCAGGACATAGGCATGGGCAAAGACTTCATGACTAAAACACAAAAAGCAATGGCAACAAAAGCTAAAATTGACAAATGTAATCTAATTAAACTAAAGAGCTTCTGCACAGCAAAATAAACTATCATCCGAGTGAACAGACAACCTACAGGATGGGAGAAAATTTTTGCAATCTATCCATCTGACAAAGAGCTAATATCCAGAATCTAAGAAAAAAACAACCCCATCAAAGAGTGGGCAAAGGATATGAACAGACAATTCTCAAAAGAAGACATTTATGTGGCCAACAAACATATGAACAAAAGCTCATCATCACTGGTCATTAGAGAAATGCAAATCAAAACCATAATGAGATATTATCTTATGCCAGTTAGAATGGCGATCATTAAAAAGTCAGGGAACAACAGATGCTGGAGAGGATGTGGAGAAATAGGAACACTTTTCCCTGTTGGTGGGAGTGTAAATTAGTTCAATCATTGTGGAATACAGTGTGGCAATTCCTCAGGGATCTAAAACCAGAAATACTGTTTGACCCAGCAGTCCCATTACTGGGTATATACCCAAAGGATTATAAATCATTCTACTATAAAGACACATGCACACTTATGTTTATTGCAGCACTATTCACAATAGCAAAGACAGGGAATCAACCCAAGTGCCCATAAATGATAGACTGGACTAAGAAAATGTGGCATATACACACCATGGGATACTATGCAGCCCATAACAAAGGATGAGTTCTTGTCCTTTGCAGGGACATGGATGAAGGTGAAAACTATCATTCTCAGCAAACTAACACAGGAACAGAAAACCAAACACTGCATGTTCTCACTCATAAGTGGGAGTTGGACAATGAGAACACATGGACACAGGGAGGGGAACATCACACACCGGAGCCTGTCATGGGGGTGAGGTGCTAGGGGAGGGGTAGCATTAGGATAAATACCTAATGTAGATGACAGGTTATGGGTGCAGCAAACCACCATGGCATGTGTATACCTATGTAACAAATCTGCACGTTCTGCACATGTAGCCCAGAACTTAAAGTATAATTTTAAAAAACTATAAAAATTGAGTCTTTTTAACATCTGTCTCTAAGTATATATACATATATATACACACACATACATATATGTATTAATACATAGATCAAAAAAGATAGATATAGAATCAAAAACAAACATGGAGGAAAAACAGAAGCAAATGATAAAATGGTAGAGGTAAATTGAACTTGATCAGTAATTAAATTAAATATTAATGGTATACACACTCCAATCAAAGGGCAGAAATTATCAGGATGGGTAAAAAAGCAAGACCAAACTATATGCTGCCAACAAGAGATAAACCTTAATAAGAATATACAGATAGGTTGATAATAAATGGATGCAAAAAGATGAGCCATGCAGATGGTAAGAGGAAGATCATTGGAATAACTATTAATATCAGATGAAACAAACTTCTACACAATGAGGATCACCAGATACAAAGAGGGAGTTTGCATAATGGTAAATGACACTTTATCAGGAAATTAGAATAATTTATAAAGGTGCATGTGCCTAATAAAAGAGTCCTCAAAACACGAAGCAAAACTGACAGAACAAAAAATAGAAATAGACTATTTTATAATCAAAGAAAGATTTTAATACTCTTCTCTCAGAAATTGATGGAGCACATATGCAAAAAGTGTCTCAAGAAGGACAGAGTGATCAACAACCTGATATCACTGGTGTGAGGAAAAGCAAGAGAGATCAGATTGTCACTGTGTCTGTGTAGAAAGAAGTAGACATGGGAGACTCCATTTTGTTATGTACTAAGAAAAATTCTTCTGCCTTGAGATTCTGTGACCTTACCCCCCAACCCCGTGCTCTCTGAAACATGTGCTATGTCAAACTCAGGGTTAAATGGATTAAGGGCAGTGCAAGATGTGCTTTGTTAAACAGATGCTTGAAGGCAGCATGCTCCTTGAGAGTCATCACCACTCCCTAATCTCAAGTACCCAGGGACACAAAAACTGCGGAAGGCCACAGGGACCTCTGCCTAGGAAAGCCAGGTATTGTCCAAGGTTTCTCCCCATGTGATAGTCTGAAATATGGCCTCGTGGGAAGGGAAAGACCTGACCGTCCCCCAGCCCGACACCCGTAAAGGGTCTGTGCTGAGGAGGATTAGTATAAGAGGAAGGCATGCCTCTTGCAGTTGAGACAAGAGGAAGGCATCTGTCTCCTGCCCGTCCCTGGGCAATGGAATGTCTCGGTATAAAACTCGATTGTATGTTCCATCTACTGAGATAGGGAAAAACCACCTTAGGGCTGGAGGTGGGACCTGCGGGCAGCAATACTGCTTTGTAAAGCATTGAGATGTTTATGTGTATGCATATCTAAAAGCACAGCACTTAATCCTTTATCTTGTCTATGATGCAAAGACCTTTGTTCACGTGTTTGTCTGCTGACCCTCTCCCCACAATTGTCTTGTGACCCTGACACATGCCCCTCTTCGAGAAACACCCACGAATGATCAATAAATACTAAGGGAACTCAGAGGCTGGTGGGGTCCTCCATATGCCGAACGCTGGTTCCCCGGGTCCCCTTATTTCTTTCTCTATACTTTGTCTCTGTGTCTTTTTCTTTCCTAAGTCTCTCGTTCCACCTTATGAGAAACACCCACAGGTGTGGAGGGGCAACCCACCCCTACACACTGGAAATGAGCAAAAAGTGTCTCAAGAAGGACAGAGTGATCAACAACCTGATATCACTGGAAATGAGTTCCTGACTCGAGAGGATCTGACCGGCCCAATACACAGTGGATGAGCTTGCTGATGATTATAGATTCTTTGTGGGGGATGATTTTTTCTTCTCCACTCAGCAACCAGCAAGTCAGGCCATTGATGAATGCTCCCTACAGGGTTCTGAGGCTCACTTTGAGGAGATTGTGGTCCTTGAGGCTCCTAACTTATGCAGTGGTCTCTTGTCCTCAGAGACCCCCTCACCTGAGCGGCCGTTACAAGAGGTTGGGGCTTATCAGGTTCCCCAGGCCAAGCCCAGTCTCAGGTTCCTTTTGCCTCACTAGATTCTTGTGTACCCCCTATTTCTTTACCACCGAGGACTTCTTACTTACTTGCTAGCTCAGCAATGCATTTAAAGAAAATTGTCAAATTGCACTCACGATTTTAGCTATTTTCAGTGAGAGGGTGGTTCATGAAACAGTCGGCTACCAGGGCAGGAATGGAAGCTATTTTTGAGACATATGGTAAAGTTGGCAAACATTTATACAGTATTGATCATTACAGAGTTGCTTATGACAACAGAAAGTGGCATAGCCTACAGTGGCTAAGAAAATGGAACAGTTAAATATGATGTGGTGCATTCATGTTATTGAGTGTTATAGATACACAGAGCATGCAGAGGGAAGGGGCATAAACATTGATATAACCAGCAGCTTCTGAGAAGGAGCCTGCACCTCCCTGTATGTTTCCAGCAGTTATTTAAGTGTTCATCATTTGCAGAAGTCACTCCAGTTTCCAGGAACCACTACCCGACGTTCCTTTGGAAAACTGCCAAGCCTTCCTGACTTGCAGTGGGTACAAAAGTGCAGCCTTTCTTTTTCACTGCCTCATATATTTTAAACCTGAAGTATGAAGTGACCCGGTCGTGACTCCCACACTGGACCTGGGACTGGCTTTAACACAGCTGTCTGAGACAACCTCCAGTTATTTTCACCCTGGGGGCTCTACTTTCTGTAATTCTTTGTTAACTTGCTAAGCACCAACTCCCTTTCATTTCTTTTGCATCATGAAAATGAACAGGAAAAACAAATGTCACCTCTAAGATTCACTGACATTACTTTAATTAAGCACGCTTTACCCTGTGGACTTTTAAAAAAGTGCTGCCTATCCCGAAATGATAGCATAAAGTCATAAAATTATGAGCAATATGGAAATTGCATCTTCTCCTTCCATTCTTCTCACCTCCTTATGAACGTGGAAGATTGAATTTGGGTTGAATCTGTGTCAAAATTTAGAGACTTGGCTGTGGTTAATCTCTCGCTGCTACTGCAAAGGCCGTAATAACAACCAGCTGAGCGAAGAATGAAGTCCAGACCTGGAAAACAAACAGATCCTCCCTTGGTGAGATCGTGCTGCTGCAGCCACAGCCTGGTGCCGCTGCCCGGGTGTCAGGAATGGGATCAGGGTCAGGGAGTGGGTTGTCTCTGAGGGACCTCCCTGCCCTGCCACCTGGGGACACCTCGCATCATGCATCTACTGCCTAAGTAAGCCTGACATGGTGACAATAAGGGAATCCAAAAGAGTAGAATACAGTTTGCTCTGTGGCTGTCTCCAAGGACCAAAGTAGCAAAAGAATAAAGTCAGTCAAAGTTTAATATTTTAAAGCCAATATATTTCTTAATAAGAATATGAGTGGAAAACAGTGACACAGCCAATACTTCCCCTAAACTGAAATCATTTCTCAACCCAGGAGAAATTTCATCTCAAAAATAACAAATGGATTAAAAATGAATATGAACCACAAGGAACCTTCACCCCCAGGTGAACATTTTAATAGGTTTCCTGACGAATGAAGTGGAAGTTGGCTCACGGTGTGCTCAGCCTCTGAAGCAACTGGATTCAGGCAGAGGCAGGTGAGACTTCCCTCGAGCACCTCCTGCCTCCTGCCCTGCCCAGAGGCTCCGACTGAGGATGTGGCACCTCGTTCCTTAGGCAGGTGTGACTTTGTTTTTATTACAATAATGTATATACAATAAGAACCGTGTATTCCTTTACTGAGAGAAAGAGAGAGCGAGAGAAGATCATAGGGTTGATTCCAAGGGCACGTGTTACAATGCACTCTGCAAACTTCTTAAAATTTATTGGGTTTCTCATCTAAAAATGTTCTCTGTGTTAGCTTCTGTCAATCAAGAAACATGACGAGACAAGTCTCAATCATTTTAGGAGGTGTATTTGCCAAGTTAAGAATGCGCGCCCAGGAGACAGATCTATGCCTTTCTCCAAAGACGATTCTGAGGGCTCCAAATTTAAAGGGGAAAGGGTGAGATAGTCACAATTTTCATGGAAGATGTGGGATAGGGAAAAATAATCATGCCTTTGTCTGGCTCAGTGAATCTGCATTTTTTTTTTTTTAACATAAGACAACGTAGACAGATGGAGCAGAGGAAAAACCTAGGGAATCTGCATTTTACAGAAGATCACAGACAAAATGGGGCAGGGGAACAATCAGATATGCATTTATGTCTGGTGGGCCGGGGGTGAGTGCAGCTATAAAGAGAAGCTGTCAATTTACATTGCCGTGGTGAAATCGTCACAGAAACACCTTAGATTAAAGATCTTGGAGCATACTAGGAATTTCCTTGTGGGCAAAATATGGGAGAGGCATGTAGCTTTTCATCAATTAGGAACCAAAAAGAGGAGGCAGGTTTGCAGCACCCAGTTCTCAGCTTAATTTTTCCCTTTGGCTTAATGAGTTTGGGGTCCCAAGATTTAATTTCCTTTCACACTTTCTAGACCATTGCCCAGACAATCTTTTTTGACCTGTGGTATCTAGCACAGTGAACCCACCTAATCCAAGAATGAAATGTGAATGGCAGCTGTGGAGTTATGCAACTTGGCTGATCCTGAGATTGTGGGTAACAATGATCTTTTCTAAACATGACCTTATGAGGCCCGTGCAGAGGCTTATGTCTGTAATCCCAGCACTTTGAGAGGCTGAGGGGGATGATTGGTTGAGCCCAGGAGTTCGAGACCAGCCTGGGCAACATAGCTAAACCTTGTCTCTACAAAAAATTAGCCAGGCATGGTGGTGCATGCCTGTGGTCCCACCTACTCAGAAGGCTGAGGCAGGGGGATTGCTTGAGCCCAGAAGGTTGAGGCTGCAGTGAGCTGAGATTGCACCACTACACTGGAGTCTGGGCAACAGGGCAAGACCCTGTCTCCAAAAAAAAAAAAAAATAGCCATATGCATATAACCTTCTGCCCCACCCTTACAGCTGTACCACGTGAGTGAGACATGGAAGCTGTTTTATGCCTCTGGGAGTCTTCAGTCTTTTGTTCTCTGAACAATGAGGGCACGATTCGGTTCACCATCTCTGCCCAGCTCCTTAGTCCTGGCTCCTTTCCCTAGGAACAGGCTGGCACAGAGTTCCAACACTCTTCCCAAAATCATATGAGTCAGAACCAGGAACCCAGAACCTAGTTTTAATAGAAGCTGATGTAAGCTTCTATAGCAATGCAAACTGATACCTAAGTCAATAGTAAAATATATGTGTTTGCAAGCACCTTCCTTCTTTCTGTGTAATCGAAGGGCTTCCAGCGTCCACCACAGGCTCTTCCTCTGTGGGAGTGTAAACCCTCCAGTGTCCCCAAGGCTGAGTGAGTCCAGTTTATGTCAGTATTAACAGCCCTGGGAAAATAGATGAGTTTGCAGTGTGTGTAAATTGTGGTGTTTAAGTTGGGTGACTCTATAGTTTATCATCGGGAGCGGGGACTGGGATCCTTCTGAGAGTGGCAAGTGGCCGTTCATAATTCCATAGCATCTCAGGCGTGAACCAGGACAGGCCCTGGGAAGGGAGGTGGTGTGGCCATGCTAAGAGTAAGCCTACATATGAACAAAAGCTTGATCTTTGGGTTTCTTCCTTAAACACTGCTCAGATTCCTCTACTACCAGGATGCCTCTGACTAAATATCTCACCCAGTCCAGCCCTCCCAGCTGGGGCCGGCGGGATCTTGTAGGAACTGCAGCGACAGAGGCAGTTAACAGGAAGGTTCACTGAGCAGACAGACAATGGGCTGGACTGAGAAAGGCCTGAAGTGGTTGGAGACTAAGGCGAACTCCAGCCTAGAACGTATCAACCAGACAGTGTGATTCCCTCTTGGACAAGAGCAGTGGGGTTAAGGACGGGGGTCTTGGTCATTGTTAGGGGCTCACCTGCATGGGAAGTGGAGAAGAAACAGTGGGGAAGAGGATGAGACATAGAAGGAGGCAGAGACCTGACGCTGAAGGAGCTTTGCAGCAGGTGAAGTCATCTGGGCAGGACACATGCCAGAATTTGGTGTGGGTGTGACAGGTGGCAGGCTCAGACGGACATCTAAGTCGGGTGAGTGTGGCCAGGGAGAGGGTGCACAGATGGAGCCGGGCAGTATGGCCAGTCTGGAGGCTGCTCAGGGCCCTGGTCACACAGCTCCTTGTTTCATGGGGCCTAAAATATACACAGCTGACCCATGAACAATGCAAGAGTTGGGGTGCTGACTCCCCACACATTTGAAAATCTTCATGTAACTTTGCACCCCCAAGAAAATTAACTACTCATAGCCTACTATTGACCAGAAGCCTCGGGACGACATAAACGATGGACACGTGTTGCTGTTATATGTATTATATACTGCATTCCAAAATAACCTAAGCTACAGTAAAGAACAGGTTATTAAAAAAGTCATAGGGAGGAGAAAACATATTCGCTATTCATTAGGTGGAGTTGGGTCATCATAAAGGTCTCCAAACATTAGAACTTCATAGTTAGCAATTTTAAAAGTTGAAAAGTGTCATGCATTTTTTAAACTTCCTCATGTTTTTAACCAGAAAGGTTTGTGGCCGAAGGTAGCCAGTGGTCGCCCAGAGGAACCTCCTAGGTGATGGATATACCTTCCTGAAATGTCATGGATAATTGGATCTTGAGGGAAAGCGACACCTCTGGGAGACGCTTGCTCCCTGGCCTGGTGGCCTCCCCTCCTCACTGGGCTCTGGCTGCCTCCTTCTGCAATGGGCCGACCTGGGTGGGTGGTTCCGTCCTGCACAAAGGCTGTCTTTGGGGTCCGAGGCTTTCTCTTCTTGTTAGGAGAACTGGCCCTAGCACAACCTGGGTGTAGGAGGATCCTGGCACCTCTGGGAAGGGTGTGGCTCTGATTGCCTGGGGTCTTTCTCTGACACCAGCTTTTCCTGGGCTCCTGTGAAGACCCTGCAGTGGAGAGAAAGCTGGTTCACCAGGAATCCGGGGAGCCCCACAGACCCTGCATTGGAGAGAAAGCTGGTTCACCAGGAATCCGGGGAGCCCCGCAGACCCTGCACTGGAGAGAAAGCTGGTTCACCAGGAATCCGGGGAGCCCCGCAGACCCTGCATTGGAGAGAAAGCTGGTTCACCAGGAATCCGGGGAGCCCCGCAGACCCTGCATTGGAGAGAAAGCTGGTTCACCAGGAATCCGGGGAGCCCCGCAGACCCTGCAGTGAGCTCAGCTCTGACCCCACGTGAGCAATTCTCCCCTCTGCACGAAGCTCGCTGTTGGCTCGGCCCATGGACAGAGGCAAGCACCCCGGGGCCAGCCCCTGTGCCAGCGAGCTCCGTGCCCGGGCGAGGCATGCCTGCCGGGGGAAGTGAGTCATCGCCCGTCGCCCAAGCCAGTGGCTGCACAAGGCAGGGGCAGGAAGAGGCAGAAGCCGCTTGGTAGCTGACAACAGAACACGTTTACGGGCCTGGGGACTGCTCCTGGGCGTTCCAGAAGCTTTCCTAGGAGGGATACTCTGCCTGGGCTGGAGGCCTCGAAGCAGCAGGGAGGGCAGAGCCAGCCACCCTGGGCACACCCGACTGGAGGGGCTGCCTCCACCAGCCCCAGGCACTTTCCTCTCACCCAATGGCAAGAATTTCCATTCCAATATCAGTATTCAATACTCAGTGCTGACTAAATAATTACTAAAATTGAGTACTGGGGTCTCGACATGAGAAAAGAAAGTCAGGCCAATGCCTGGGAACAAGGATGGAGAGTTTTGTGACAGTATCTTGGAGACATGAAGGCTCACTCTGCTTCCTGCTCAGACAAGCCTGGGGACCCTTGGGTGTGTCATGTTCCCTGCAGAGCCGACACTCCGTTGTCATGTGTGTTAGGAAGAGAGTCACCAGGGCCGTCCCGCCTACTTTGTCTCCAGCACCAGGTCTGACCCTTGTGCGTGGTCTCAGAAGGGCACAGGTGCTGACGATGGAAAAACAGCTTGTTGTGAAAGTGACACAGAGCTCACAGTTATCTCCTGAAACTCTTGGAAGGGAAACTATGAGAACCATAAATGGTAATTATTGTAAGATACCCGTTATCAGTAAGTTAAACATTATCAGTATTTCATTTATTTCCATGCGTTATCTTTATATTCTGTTTTAATGAGTGTAACGTGGCCAGAGGGAACTTTTTGAAAGGCCGGGGCAGGAAGAGGCAGATGCCACTTCGTAGCTGACAACAGGACTTGTTCTTGCAAACTCTTACCTCCTTACTGAATCAACTACGTCCTACAAGGCAAAGTACACATTTATTTTCCGTAAGGCAGCTAGTTCTGAAAACATTTAAATATTTCTCTGGTTACCTAGATAAGAAACACATGTTAAATTTGAAAAAGAAAGCTCATAGTGGTGATTTCTTGAGTTTATTGAATCTCCAAGAGTAAGGCTAACTTTAACTGGTCAATGGGTTACTATCCATTTGAATTTTAGCCGTTTAAAAGAGAATAGAGATACATTTTTGGTTTTCTTTACTACAAATTTTAATTGACTAATTTCCTCATTAACCTTTTCCATGGAGGCTAAGACAATCTTAAGGCACTGCTGTTTTTGAATTTCAGATGTGATTTCCTTTCTGACTTAAGAAGGAACCTCTGAAATTTATGCTCCCTGAGTGCTCATATCACTAAGGTAGGAACTGGGAGGCACTGGGCGTCCTGCACGGCTCCGCGGCTTCAGAGCCGGTGTCCGAGGTCACACAGCCTGGAGTTGCTGCCAGATCTAACGGCAGGTTGTTTTTATCACAGTGAACGTTTGCATGGCACCCACAGAACTACATTTCTGGGTGTTCTGGAATCTCGGGGTTCACTGCATGTGGCTGCAGTGCTGAGCTCCCCCAGTTTCACCTGGAGCCCCCCTTTCTCAGTTTACAAGGCATGCTCTTTTGATTAAAAAAATGGATTATTGCGTGTGCTCTATATTCTAGTCTAAAATATATCTTTTGCCCGTCCCCTCTAGCTGTGGCAGGCCAGGTCTCATGAATGCACACCTCCATCACAATTGTTTCATTACAGACTGAGTGGTTAAGATAAATATTAAAAGCTGAAAAAGCCAGTGCCCTTATACAAAGGCTGTGATGTTACAGAAGCCGATAAAGAGTTTTGGCCAGGCCTTTCCTGGGCCTTAAAGCATGACAAGATAATGAAGGAATTCTTAACAGGACAGATTTGGGATTAAACAACTTTTATTGGGGGTCTGAAGAAACTCCCCAGGCCTCCACAAACAAGCGTACTGGGGGCTGAAGGAACTCCTCAAACCTCCATGATTTAGCAGGGGAGAAGATAAGGGTAATCACTCCAGCACCTGAACCATTTAGATTAAGTAAATTTACTGGCTCCAGAGAAGGTCTTCAGGACTCAGACATTAGTTTTAGATTAAAAGAAGTTAATCACTTACGTCTTTAGATGAATGCACATTTATACGTAGACATATAGCTTAGAAGGTATTTAAGTGCTGGGAAACTTTGTAATTTTGAGTTGGTCTGGCGATAATTTCCCGGCCTTCTCCCTGTAACTGGTTACTGAAATAAAAACTCTCTTCCTCCCCAGTTCATCTGCATGTGGTTATTGGGCCACAAGAAATAGCAGCCCGACCCTCAGTTTGGTCCAGGAACAAAGTTTGGCAAGCCAGCCAGGAGAGACCAGGATGGTGCTGTGGTCAGCGGCTTGCGACGAGACACTCTTCAGGAGGATCTCAGCAGCTACTGGTGAGATTTTCCCGGGGACCCTCCGGAGGACTGTCTGGTGTGCAACATTTCATGTCCCTTTCACTACTGGGGAAGAACGGAGATCAGGAGCAGATGCTCTCCAAGGGTGAGTTAACTGGATCATATGCCAGGAGCCCATTGTTTTCCCATCTGGGTTTGTGAAACCACTTGTCCAGCACTGCCAAGGGAAGCAATGGGGCTTGCTCATACACCAGCTTTGCATTTTGGTTGAGATCAGATTTGAGTTCGCTTTGAGTCTGTTTTGCCGACTGCATGCCCTCTCGTGTTGTCCAAAATTTGTCTCCACTTGTTTGCATATCTGCCTTATTCCTTTTGATATCATGTAAACTTAAAAATGGGAGGTATTGGGTCCATTTCTGCTGAAAGTCCTCTGAGAAGAAAAACATATATTTTTTTAGGAGCTCAATGGTGAAAAGTCAGCTTAAAGGAAGGCTCACATCCAAGATGTGTGTATGCATATGTGCATGTATGCATGTTTGCATTTAAAAGGTCTTCATGTTTTTGTTTTTATTTCTCTCCTAGGACCTTGTCATTTTGAGCAAAAGTTTTTCTTCTCAGTTTACCAAATTCTGTTTTCTTTGTTAATAGCTGTAACAACGGAAGCTACTCTGCAGTTTTTAAGAAAAAGTGTAATTTAGACACTTACAAATGTCTTTGTTTGGGGCTGGGCATGGTGGCTCAGGCTTGTAATCTCCACACTTTGGGCGGCTGAGGCGGGTGGATCACATGAGGCCAGGAGTTTAAGACCAGCCTGGCCAACCTGGTGAAACCCCATCTCTACTAAAAATACAAAATTTAACTGGGTGTGGTGGTAGGCGCCTGTAATCCCAGCTACTTGGGAGGCTGAGGCAGGAGAATTGCTTGAACCTGGGAGGCAGAGTTTGCAGAGAGCCGAGATCATACCATTGCACTCCAGCCTGGGTGACAGAGCAAGACTCCATCTCAAAGAAAAAAAAAATTAAGTGCACCGTAAAAGCATCACATGTTCTAGCCTCATAATAATTCTCCCTTTTTGAAAACCCAGGATTCATTGTAGGCTCTGCTGAGAGCTCAAAGATCCAGTTAAAAGATATTTAGTCAATATCTAAGTAAAGTTAGTCTCCTTATACAGTCCTATGATAAAATTTCTATACTTTTACGTTTGATCTGGCCTTCCTCTTTAATCTCCCTCTAACACCACCCAGACTTTTTCTCTGTGCACCTTGAGATGTAAAATTTTGCTGTTTGCTTTTTCACCTAAGAGTTGTTTCCTTTAATATGCAGATTTAGGGCTATTTAGTTGACAACTGCCAGAGTAATAAACCAGGTTATCAAGAGTTTGCAAGTCTAAGATAGAAAAAAGGAGGTCTTATGAATCTATAAAATGTATTTCTGTTGGCATGCCTAACACGGCTATGTATTTATGTCTCATGTATACCATGTTTCACTACTGAAAATACATAAAAGAGTTCTTATTAATTGGCTCAAAGAAAAAATAAAAGTGCTTGCATACTTTAACAGAAAAAAGGAAAGAGTAGTCAAATGCTTTTTTAAGTTTATGTGACTTAAGTAAATCTTTAATAAATAAGCTAGCTTTAAAAATTTTAAAAATTATTGGTAAAGTAATATTAGAAATATCTTAAGAATTGCCAGCATACTTGTTTGCATTTATTGATCAAGTGATTTCCAACTTGTCTCTGCCACATACTATAAGGTGTCAAAATTTGGCATACAGGCTACAAAACTATAACCAGCCCAAAACAGAATAATCTTTGCTTATGTAATTTTTAGTAAGTAAAACATTAATATTAGTTTAATTGAAATAGCTACATCTTGAATTATTTAGTGAAATATTTTAACTTCGGATCTTGTGGCCTTAGGCAATCTAGTCCATAAGCATGAAGGAAGTTTGTTCTGGGAAAGGACTGTTACCACCTTTGTTTCAAAGCTAAAGTATAACTAAGAAGTTAATAAAAATAGCTTGGAGTTTAGAAGCAAGATGGAGTAGGTTAGGTCATGTCATTCTCACTGTCTCAGTTATAATTTTGCAATGGTGGTTTTATAACTGTAAATGATAACTATCGCAGCTTTCATAAATCATCTAGGTAAATGATTAAAATAAATAATTAGATGAATGTAATTGGATAAATACTCATAAACAAACCTGTCATAATTTAGAATCTAAAGCTATATTAAATTTAATAACAGACATTTCATTATTTGGCTATTTTCCAATGAAAATATATTGTAGGAAAACATTCTTTCTAAATATTGTGTCCTTTTTTCAGGGTAATTAATTTTTGTCTAATCCAAAGCTTATTTAAAGGTTATATACAAAACAAGGTAAAAGAAACCAGAAAACAAGAGAGCTATAAAGAAAGTATAAAGAGAGTTTTAAAGATTATTGGTAACATGAAAATCTCCTAAAAAATGTAAACATTTGGACTAAATTATGCAGGTCAAATATTAGGTTTGCTAAATGTTTTTGGTCATAAACTGTTTCTTTGACTTACAAATTGTTCAATTTATTTTGGAGTGCTAAATTCTAGATAAGGCCTGGGGACACATGAAATTAACCATGCCCTTAGCTATGCAAAAAGGTATAAAGAAAAGAGATTTTATATAAGAAAGGATCTTGTATGGTAAATTCTTTCCTAAAAGTAAAATGACTGGTTGTTTAAAAAGAGGGATGTTTAGGACAAGTCAGAAAGTCAAGGCGTGTCGTAGCTTGTCTGTGTAGTCATGAAAGAATTTATGAAAGCGAATTTATGCAAGAAATATACAATTTAAAGGTGATTAGGCCTCCTAAATGCTGTATAAAATGCCACTATGACTCTTAGCCGCACAACTGCCTGCTTTACAGCTAGATATGGCCTGGGACACATGGAGTTAGATGCTGGAATAAGTCAGACTTTTTCTGCACTTCTGTCTAGGTCCTAGGCTTCACACCTAGTTCTTCATTCAAATCCCAACCTTACCAAGGTTTTCACCAAAAGTGAAGGTTCCTAAGAGTTAACAGAGTAACATGTATTTAAAGCTGTTGAAGAAATAGCAACATTCTTTATGTCAGTTTACGTGCAACGTGTGTAAGGAAAGTAAAATATATTTTTGGTAAAAAGATTATAAGGAGGCATGAGGATGTGGATTTTTTGCCTAGATTTAAAGTGTTGTTTTAAGTTAGATAAAATAAAGATGAAGGTTTAAGCAAGGTGTGGAAGGTTGATTGTAAGGGAAATTCTGTGTGTAAACACATTGGCTAAAGTTAAAGGAGTATCATCCAGTTTTTCTGTAAATTGAGCATTAAAATAAAAACACAATGGGTTTCTCTTAGAGCACTAACCTGCTCTTTAACAAAAACTGTAAAGGGTTAGAAAAGTTCTATAAAAATCTTACCTTATGGTCAAACATTAAAATTGGGTAAATATGTTTATAAGGTTTTATTAAGAATTGGGTGTAACTAATGTAAAGGGGAAATTTGACCTATTTGGTATAAACATTACACAGGAAGTATTGTTAGATATGAAATGGTGTTTGGCTGTCTTTGGGCTATATTTGTATAAATATGTTTTGGTATTTGTTTCAAAGTTATGGGAGACTCCTATATTTCTGATGTATCTTAGTGGACATTATCAGTAATAATTGTTATGTTAAATTATTGTGTGCCACAGAAGTAACAGATTTCCTTGTCAATTGTGTTTTTAACTATGCCTACCCTAAAACTTTTGTCATCCGTAAACGATTGTCTTGTTTTGGTCCTCTTTAGAAGGTGGTTTTATACTTAGCTGGAAAGCTCTCACAGGTGCTCTTGAATGTCATCCGTAAACAATTGTCTTGTTTTGGTCCTCTTTAGAAGGTGGTTTTATAATTAGCTGGAAAGCTCTCCCAGGTGCTCCTGAATGTCATCCATAAACGATTGTCTTGTTTTGGTCCTCTTTAGAAGGTGGTTTTATAATTAGCTGGAAAGCTCTCCCAGGTGCTCTTGAATGCAGGTTTCTGATAACTTTGAAGATTGTGACATTAGCATAGAAGAAAAACGTTCACGACTCTTGAAGAGCTAAAATATTTACTAATATCAAGTAGGACAGGAATGAACTGCATGAACTGAACTGATAGAAGACTGAAATGATCTTTTTGACTTTTGCTTAAAATGTTAAGCAATGTTGCTAATCCTTTGTTTTGCTTTTTCAGAGTCAAGGAAACTTTTGAGCTATTAATGGCTTTTAACAAGTATATTCTTATGAACAAAATTTGGGGCATATTTGTTTCTCTCTACCTGATTTCTCCAGAATTTGGAACTGTTTATATATAGTTATTTGCATAAATACAATAAGAATCTGTTTTCATTTGTAACAGGACACAATAGGAAAAACTGATTATTTTGCCAAGGCATTGGCTGGAATGTTGTGCTCTCCTTTTAGGAATCAAACTTGACTTATAAAGCCAACAAAGCCCTTGGAAACTGTCCTCTTATTCTGTGTACACAGTCCCTGCACAGGGGTTGTGATCTGTGGTAAGTAAAGAATGTCACTTTCTGACAGGCCGGGAACCCCAAGTTATCTTGAAACCTCACGAGGAAAGGAATTCATCCAACTCATAGGTATTTGATGAGATTCCAGGGACCAACTGCAGATTCTGGTGAAATACAGAAATCCTGCCCTGCCCCTTATGGCGGCCAGACCTCATATGGGCAGGACACAAGTGGGCAGTGATGGACGTGGTTTCCACAGGGGCAGAGCTTGGCTTCTTCAGGAGGTCATGAAGAGCTCTGGGAGCAAGAGCAGGGACCCATACCAGAAAGCAAGTTCCAGCATTGAGGAAACACACACACACACACAGCCAAAAGTGAACTCAGAGCTCTCCCTAAACCAACTCAACAGAGATGGATATTGACAGAATTGGAGGCAGATTTGGTTGAGCAAAAGCAAGCGGAGATCTCAGGAGGCTGCTTTGGCTGGCGGTGCCTCCTGTGTGAGCTGCTGGTGGGTAGAAAACAGGGGCATGGAGTTGGCTCTGAAGGCCGGGGACTGGGTGGCACACCGTGGAAACAGCCTTTCTACCCAAGTAACTGGCTCGTCTTCAAGGGATTTCAAGATGATTTCCTTCTAATGAAATATTCTTGTATTTCATAGTATTCTACTCACTTTTCTTCACATTAAACTATTCAATGATTGTGATATTCCATTTGAGAGAAGATTCCAAGTGAATTATGAGATTGATTCCACATGATGTGTATCTTTTAAACCAACACTGTGTGCTCCAATGGAAGAAATATTCAAATAAGATTGGGAGCACATGCTAGTTTTTCTTTTATCATGATTTATGCAGCAAATGTTTTTAAAAAATCATCTTTGGGGATTTAGTAAACATTCGGTAGAATTCTATTTTTCCAGTAAAATTTGGAGTAATTCTTTTGTGTCATTGAAGAATTTTGGGTGAGTACAAGTTCATGTGTTTCTGTGATGTATAAACCTCTTCCTTATACTCAAAGGAATTATATAGTGCTAGAACTCCTTGATTAAAGCAACATTTTATTTCTAATTCTTTTTTAGTATCATAAAGTAGGTTTATGTCCAAAAGATCATGCTACGAATGGTGATGGAGTCCAGTCACACCCGTCTCTCTCCAGAGTCATCGAGCATTCCTTTTATCTCCCTCCTTCTCACCAGAACCTTCCAAGGACCATGAGATAACCTTGGGGGTTGGGGCCCACGTTTTTGCCTTGGTGTAGCCTGGAGCTGGGAGATCCACTAACCCCTGCGGAAATCCAGCCGTGGCCGGTGGCTTATTGATGGCATGCTTTCAAATGTCACCAGTCCGCAGACACACGGAATACTCATCTACCCTCATGAACAAGGCAGAGTGGCCCTTTCCCATCTCCGTCTATATGTGTAGTATTCAGAACACAGTTTAAATGCCTTTCAGCTTCCTAATATCCAGTCCTCCTGCATCATCTTATGTCTGCAGGTTGTGTGCAGGCAGCTGCTGAAAGGAGCCCAGGTGCCCCCAGACCGTGCACACAGCTGTGTGCTGAGGTCAAATCACTGCCAGGGCCGTGTTCTGACTTCCCCTGAGAGCTCTGCCCTGCTGCCCTGCAGTGCCGTGAAAAGAGGGAAGAGGGAATGTGATACCATCTACTCTTCTTGTTCCGTGCACATGGTTTCTATTTGGAATTATGACATTGTGGAATTCAGGTGCCGTCTATACACACTATTTGTCTCTTGTAAGAAATTATACTCTGATTTGGCCTCATGTACTTTGATATTTGTGATCAAACTAGACGATGAAAGCTACATATAAAACCAGAGATAAAGACAAAAGTCCAAGTTATTCACAGATAGCCTAAACAGACACCAGTAAATGCAATATTTATGTGTATTCAGAAAAACAAACTATAGTAACCATATGCATAGAGAATTGAGTCAAATATGTTGTTGATATTTTTACTTCCTGCCTATATGGCTCTGTGTGTGATGTCTATGTTTCTTCCAGGACGTGACTTAAGGAGACCACCCAAATTTGGCATCTTTTCCCTCTTTTTCAAAGTAGATTTGGGATTAATTATAGTCATAGCCATCATTTGTAGACAATTTAATTTTAAAGTGCATTTTATTTGTCTATACAATATTATATGTATAATAGGACAGACTCAGAACCTAACTGCTTGGGTTCAAATCTGAGCCTGACTTCTTACTTGCTGTGTGACTGTGGGCAATTCTGTTTACTTCTCTTCTTCAATTTGCTCACCCGTAAAGTAAGGAGAATAAGAGCAGCAGCCTGTCGGTGGTTAAGGGATTGAAATGAGTTACTATTTGTAAAGAATTTAGAATAGTGCCACAGAAGTCTCTGTGAAATTACACAAACTGTCTCATTTAATTCTCTTTCCAGCATGCTAAGTAATGTTATTTCTCTCCTTTCTGAGAGGTGAAAGGACTTGTCCAAAATAATACAGTGACTTTACTCTCCCAGCCCCAAACCCTCTCTGGTGTATTTAAACTGAGGAGACTTGTGGAAGAGCCTGTTCTCAGAGAGTGTTCTGCCTACCTAGACAGAGTGTTTTAAGCAGCCGTGATCACATTCACTATCGTCACCAGCATCCTCATCATCAACAGACCTGCACTCATTGCTTTACTGTTCATATCAGTGGTCTAGTAGCTTTAAAATGAGCCCAGTACATAATTCCCTCAGTCTCTCACTGTCTTTATTAAATGCAGGCACCTTCTGGGGATAATGGCAGGGGCAGTGTCTTCCTCACCGCTGGGGCTTCATGCTTCCTGTGTCTGCAGTCTACTTCTTCAAACAAACAGAAGTTTTATAGAATCCATTTCACCCGTGCCCTAGTGCGTTCCAAGGACTCCAGAAAAACACCTTGCCCCACCTGTTCTCATAAGAGGACTGCTCCCCTGGGAATCAACACTGTGAAAATGGCCACATTGCCCAAAGCAGTCCACAGATTTGATGCAATCCCTACCAAAACAACAACATCGTTTTCACAGAATTAAGAAAAACAATCCTAAAATTCACATGTAACAAAAAAAGAGCCCGAATAACTAAGGCAGTCCTAAGAAAAATGCTGAAGGCATCTCGCTACCTGATCTCAAGTCATACTATAAGGCTATTGTAACCCAAACAGCATGGTATTAGTATGAAAACAGGCACATAGATCAGTGGAACAGAATAGAGAACCCAGAGATAACGCAGCATATCTACAGCCAACTGATCTTTGACAAAGTCAACAAAAATATGCACTGAGGAAAGGACTCCCTTTTCGATAAATAGTGCTGGGAAAATCGGATTGTCATGAGCAGAAGAATTTAACTGCATCCCTATCTCTCCCCATATCAAAAATCAACTCAAGATGGATTAAAGATTTGAATCTTAAGACCTGAAACTATTAAAATACTAGAAGAAACCCTAGAGGAAACTTTTCTGGACATTGGTCTAGGCAAACAATTCATGACAAAGACCTCAAAAGTAAATGCAACAAAAACAAAAATAGACAAATGGGACTTAATTAAACTAAAACTCTTCTGCACATCAAAAGAAACAATTAACAGAGTGTACAGACAACCTGCAGAATGGGAGAAAATATTTGCAAACTATGCACCCAACAGGGGACGAATATCTAGAATTTACTAGGAACTGAAACAACTCAACAGCAACAACAACAAAAACTAACTCCAGTAAAAACTGGGCAAAGGACTTGACAAGATATTTTTCAAAAGAAGACATACAAAAGGCCAGCAAACATGAAAAAATGCTCAAATCACTACTCACCAGAGAAATGCAAATTAAAACCTCAATGAGATACCATCTTACATCCGTCAGAATGGCTATTATTATAAAGACAAAAAACAACAGATGCTGGCAAGGAGGTGGAGAAAAGGGAACTCACACATTATTGGTGGAAATGGAAATGAGTACAACCTCTATGGAAAACAGTATGGAGATTTCTCAAAGAACTAATGATAGACCAAGCACTGATGCCAGCAGTTCCACCACTGGGTATCTATTTACCCAAAGGAAAATAAATTATTGTATCAAAATGATACCGGCACTTGTAAATTTTTTGCAGCACTATTCACAATAGCAAAGATACGGAATGAACCTATGTGTCTATCAACAGATGATTGGATAAAGAAAATGTGATGTATATCCACACACACAATTGTATCACATTACAATGTGATAAAATTCCATATATGCAATGGAATACTATTTGGTCATAAAAAAGAATAACATTATGTCTTAAGCAGCAACATGGATGGAACTGGAGGCCATTATCTTAAGTGAAATAACACAGAAACAGAAAGTAAAATACTGAGTGTTCTCATTTATAAGTGGGAGGTAAATAATGTGTAAATGTGAGAATGTGGGATGATAGACATTGGAGACGTAGAAGGATGGGAGGGAGTGAGGGATGAGAAATTATCCAATGGGTGCAACGTACATTATTCGGGTGATGGATACAATAAAATACCAAACTTCGCTACTGTACAATATATCCATGTAACAAAACTGCAGCTGTACTCCCTAAATTTTTTAAAATACATATAAATGCTTGACATTATTATACATGTAAATGGAATAGAAATAGAAACAGAAAATAAATGCTTCAAGTGTTTTACACCCTGAGATTTTGGACTTATTACATTTGACAACCACAGAACATTTCTCAAAATATCTGAAGATGATACAGTTTTGAGTCAATAATGTTATCCGCAAACCATCATAAATAGTGATTCATTAGCCATCACAAATACATTGAAGTTATATTGTTTTCAGAGAAGAATGCTGGAAAGAGTAATTATTGCAATGTTTTATATCAATTATAATCCCACCTGATACCACTTTCTTCCCTGGAAACATTACTGAATGCAGAGTGCCAGCCGCATCCTCAGTAGTACATACATTTTTCCCTTGTAAATGGTGACCCTCAAAAGGTCATGTCTGGATGTCCACATCTTTGCATTTCTATGTAGCTCAGTTTGTTTGTTTATAGAGTTTAAAGGCACACATGTCTGTGTTTTCGTATGGTTTCATACTCACAGCAGTGCACTGAACAAAACAAGACAAGATTGATGTTGCTCTTGTTTTCCAGGAGAAGGGGCTGTGGAGGCTGACTCACTGATGAGCGGCTGGCCAGGCAGAGCCGGTGCTCGTGCTTGGGCGGAAGCTCCCTCACTCTGTGCAGAGCAGGCTCTCCATCTTGCTACTACATTACTTTTTCCCTTGGAATTTTAAATAACTATTTTTTGCCTTTTTAATTCAAGGCCTCTACCTTTTTTTCCTGCTTTTTTATTGAGAGGAAATTCACATCACATACAATTCACAATGTTAAAGTGAACAGTTCAGTGGCTTTTAGTACATTTACAATGTTGTGCAACCATTGCCACTGTCTAGTTCTGAAATATTTTCATCACCCCAAAGGGAAATCCCATATCCATTAAGCAGTCACTCCCAGCCCCCCAAAACCACTGATCTACTTTCTGTCTGTGGATTTGCCTGTTCTGGACATTTCATATACAAGGAATCATGCAATAGAAGTCTTTGTGCCTGGATGCACAGTGCTTTCAGGTTTTATCCATGCTCTAGCACATGTCAGAGCTTCACTCCTTTTCATAGCTGAATAATATTCCATTGTGGGGATATGCCACAGTTTGTCTGTCCGTTCATCTGCTGGGGGGCATTTGAGCTGTTTCTACCTCTTGACTGTGAATGGTGCTGCTGTGAACATACATGTCCATTGTTTGACCTGCAACATTTTTGAAAACTTACCAAAAGGAAACTGTATCTCTGTAATCAACATTTAGTAAACAAGACATTATTAGGCATGTCATGTGAGAAACAGGGTAGTTGGTTATATAAATAATGTTTTGGGCTTTGATGTTCATTATTAAACATCAATGGTTAGTTATAATTCCCCTGGGATCTTTAAACTGCACTTGCTTTTCTAAATCTTATGGTTATTGTGGAGAATGATATTTATGGTTGAACATTTTACAAGTATTAAACATGTAAACATTCCACTATGAATATTTCATCTAATGCCAGAAAAGTTATTCTGGGTCTTCAATGTCTGCAGAGACTTAGGACATATGTAATAATGCTCAACTTTTATGGATATAACCTGAGGTTGACAACCTAGAAAATCAGATTTATCAGCTATTTAAACAATCTTATCTAACAAATGGAGGCTTCTGAAAGTAACAGGCTGGATAAACATACTGAAAAGGCACAAGAATAGCCTTTATGCTATTTATAAAAATCATTGGGAAATGATATTCTCTTACTTTCTATTCCTAAGAAGAGACTATGCACACTGGCAAAATGCTGTTTTACAATGCTTATAATATAGACTTATACTCTGTATTTGTTTTGTGTCTATGGTTTATTTCTCTGAGTAGAAATTTAAAATTACTATTTTCTTTTGATCCATGGGTTCAGAATTACGGCTATTAATTCAAATTGTTAAGGGTATGTTGAATGAATTAGTAGGGGGTGGCTGGTAAACATAATTTATTCATCTAAGTCATTGATTGTCTATTTAACAAATACTAATTTGACTTAATCTCCAATTATGGACTAGATCCTTTGGTAGAGAGAAAGGGCATGGATTATCTCATCCCTTGCTTGGATGTCGAAGGAGTAATTATTTTTCTTTCTTTCTTATAGATACGTACAGATGGATTTTCCATGTTACAACATTACAGAGGGTGAAATGTTTATTCAGTAACAAACTTTATGCCATCCTGTGGAGGTGGGAAAAGAGGGAAATGCCTGTAATGAGATAAAAGCCATTGTCTTGGTTTAAATTTAGAAAGGCTGTGTTTACAGGACTGAGCCACTGCCCTGACAAGAGAAAAGTTAACTGAGAAGACGCCTGGAAGAAGTTAACTATTCAAACTATGCAGAGTAGTATTTTAGTCATTAGTCGTGTCTTCTGCCATGAAAATACTTACAAGAAGGTGGCTCATATATTGTCTTCAAAAACCACATATTCACTGATGTTTTTTAGAGAACAGATACAGCTGGTGGTATTGGTGCCCTTCAGTCCCTTAGTGCCCTTCAGTCCCTTCATTTCTGATAACACGTCCCTCACCTAGAGATGGCGCCGGTGCGCCTGGGGAGCCCAGGGCTCCAAGAGCTGCAACCACGGATTCGGGATTGCACAGAAGGAGACTCAGGTTAACTCATGTGGCTGGAGTTAGAGTGGATACTGTTTGTGTCATCTGACATTTGCTGTCTTTGAAATCATGCCTGACCTCAAACCAAAGAGCAGCTAAGTAGGCAAATACAAAATTCTCCATAGCATGCAGGGCTGGGGGTAGGAAAACGCTGCATAAACGCGCTACCGCCCATGTGCTGAAATACGGCACTGGATGCAGTTGCAGTGGGGACCCAGCGGGGGGTCTGCGGTGGGATTCAGAGACGCGTCAACTGCGGACGAGGCATCGCTGCTCCTTCTGGAGGAAAGAGGTCCACTGCATCCACCCCCGACCGGGGACACTGCCACGTTGGGTCCGGCATGGGTGCCTGAATCTGACAGATGAAACATTTGGCCATGGCGGATCGCTCATCAGGCAATGCCCGGATGAGTAGGGACCCGCCCTGCTGGGCCAGGAACTTCCAGGCATCCACTGAGCCAGACTGTGGGGCTGAAAGCACCGGGGAGCAAGGCATGGTGTGTACTTGATTTGATTTTTGCCTCATCTGTAGGGGAGATTCCAGGAGGAGCAATAATATGTCATAAAAAAATTTCATTTTCACTGTCATAACTCCCACTTCACAAACCAGGGTGCCCACTCCACAGTCCATGGTGCCCACTCCATACTCCATGGTGCCCACTCCACAGTCCGTGGTGCCCACTCCACAGTCCATGGTGCCCACTCCATACTCCATGGTGCCCACTCTACAGTCCATGGTGCCCACTCTACAGTCCATGGTGCCCACCCCACAGTCCATGGTGCCCACTCCATACTCCATGGTGCCCACTCTACAGTCCGTGGTGCCCACCCCACAGTCCATGGTGCCCACTGTACAGGAGATGATGCCCACCCCAGTCTATGCTGCCCGCTCCAAAATCCATGGTGCCCACTCCACAGTGAGTCCCTGTGTCCACTTCACAACCCATGGTGTCCACACCACAGTCCATGGTGCTCACTACAGAGTCCGTGGTGCCCACTGGAGTCCATGGTGCCCACTCCATAGTCCATGGTGCCCACTCCCATAGCTGAGGTACCCACTTCTCCTGGTCCTCTCAGAAGACGTTCTCTCCTCTCCAAACAATTCCTGTCATCGCTCTCCTTACTGGCTCTTCACCACACTGCCAGGCCGTTAATTGCCATCCATGCATTTATGTTTTCTCACTTTAAGTCAACTGCAGTTTCATAGGCGGATCAGATAATCAGGGACAGGGCTTGAAGCTCCTCCCATGTCTTCCTTAGGGCCAGTCCTGAGTGAGCTGATCTGCAGCCGCCATCTATGTCCAGGGCCACCCCTAAATGAGCTGTCTTGCAGCCCCCATCTATGTCTGGGGCCAGTCCTGAGTGGGCTGTCCTGCAGACACCATCTATTTCCAGCTGCACGTCGCAGTGAGATGTCCCAACTCTGACCCAGGTTGAACTTTCTCCCTACTGGCAGAGGTCCAAAGTGTGGCCACAGGGGTAAAGGGAGGCAGAGGTGCTGCAGAGACTGTGATGGGCAGCCTGGCCTCCTCTGTATGCACCTTACACTTCCGAGTTCTGTGCTCAGTCCACATGAACTGGTTCCAACCCATGGCTCACTTCACCATCTCACAAGTTTCTGCATGCTGGGCTAAATGAATCCCAGAGTTAGATCCGTAACACGTGTATCTAACAGACATCTGGCAAAGTGGACACTTCTCATTCATTCCAATAAGTATAATGTCATCAACATAACGGATGAGTGTGATACTTCTGGGAATTTTCATAGGGTCCAGGGCCCTTTACACCATATTAGGACAAAGAGCAGAAGTATTAACATAGACCTTTAACATCTACATTTTGCATTAAACTAGTGGGTAATCATTGCTATCATCTGAATGTGTCCCTCCAAAATCTATGTATTAAAATACTAATTTCCAAGGTGATAGCATCAGGACCTGGGGCCTTTGGGAGGTGATTAGGTCACTAGATTGCATCACTTATGAATGGGATTCGTGCCCTTATAAAAGAGACCCCAGAGAGTTCCCTTGTCCCTTCCACCATGTAAGAACACAGCAAGAAGTCATCACCTATGAGCTAGGAATCCATGACTCTCATCAGATACCAAATCTGCTGGCACCTTAATCTTAGACTTCCGGCCTCCAGAACTGTGAGAAGTAAATGTTGGTTGTTTATAAGCCACCCAGTTTATGGTATTTTGTTACAGCAGCCCAAAGAGACTAAGACTGAAAATTAGTAACAGGAGCAGGGTGCTCATGTAAGAAATAGCCAAAATATGGAAATGACTTTGGAACTGCGTAATGAGTAGAGGCTGCAGAGTTTTGATGTGGCAGGCTGGAAAAAGCCTTCATTGCCGTGCACGGTGGTTCTGGTGATGGCTCAGAGGAGGAAAGAGGAGAGTTGCAGAGAAAGCTTTGATCTTCTTAGAGAACACCTAAGTGGTTGTGAACAGAATGCAGGTAGACATATGAGTGAGAAAGGTCATTCTGATGAGATCTGAGGTATAAATGAGAAACATGTTATTGGACAATGAAAGAAAAGGCCATCCTTGTTACAAAGCAGCAAAGAACTTAGTGAACTGTGGGTATGACCTCATGTTTTGTGAAAGGTAGAACTTGTGAGCGATGAAATAGGATAGTTAGGTGAGGAAATCTCTGGGCAAAGTGTTGACAGAGAGTGGTCTGGTTCTTCCTGACTGCTTATAGTAAAATTTAAGAAGAGAGAAATGATTTAAAGATAGAATGTTAATTAACAGTGGAGCAGAACTTAAAAAGTTGAAAGATTTTCAGCCTATTCATACTAGAAAAAAATGAGAAATCTGGTTGCCAGTTTGGAAGAAAACAAGGGTGGGGCCATGCCACACTTTCATAAGGAGATGAGTGTGAAATAGCCCTCTCATTGAAAGCAAGGTGCCATTCGTCATGATAGTGGGGGATTCCCAGGCCATCCAGGCAGGACCTGCAGTCCATTACATGATGAAGGGGTAAGGACTAGGGCCTGGTTGGGGGGCGGGGTTCAGAATGATTTCAAAGGTAGGGTTCCCCCGCCAAGTGCTGCCCCACCTGGAGGTTCTGCACCTTGCTCTTCACCCACTCCAGGCGGGCTCCCGCTGCCCACTACTGCCCCACCTGGAGGGGTCTGTGTCCTGCTCTTCTCCCACCCCAGGAGTGACTCCCGAAGGCCCCAGGCAGCATGCACTGCCCCCAGCAAAGAATTGTGGGAAATAAACACTGGCTGTTGATAAGCCACCCAACTTCTGGTATTTCATGATAGCAGCCCAAAGAGAGTAAGACAGCCACCCTTAGCCTTGCATTGTCTTTTCCATACCCACAGCATCTAACTCTCTGATCCATGTTGCTTTTAAGTAATTATAACGACTGACTTCAAACTTCCCAAACACCTGAGGGATTGTCCCATCATTGCCTTCCCTCCCACCTGAACTGCATTTCTGTTGGGCATTGCAATGTTCTGTTTATGGACGTGGCTTTCGTAGGACAGGGGCTATGGGTTCATCTCCTACTAACTGTCTTGGGGTCTTGATGGACAGTCAACCAGTAAATAATTCAGTTCACAGAATCTCATTTTAAGGTCAGCTGTTTTGTACCATACCTGGTATCGACTGTTTTGGTTTTGTCACCACAAAACAGGCTCTGAGACGTAGATATGCACAGAGAAGTTTTATTGGGGGTGCCCTTGGGAACCACATCTGTGAGAAGGCAGAGGACTGGGATTAAGCAGAGGCAGAATTGAATGGAGATGAAGTCACAGAAATATTGTAAACCAATGGTAAAATCCTGAGCCCACAACCAACTGAATGGACCCCTTCTCTCAGACAAGGGCATTGCAAAGTTAACTTGTAAAAGGACTTCAGGTCATGATGGGAAGCAGGGTTATACATGCCTCATTAAACTCTCCTGTCTTTAGAATTTGGGCTCAGCAGACCAGCATTAACATAAAAACAGAGACCTTCAGATGGACCAAACAGACTCTTAGTAGCAATAAGATACCACCATGACAGATGTTGACATGACAGGCCCTGAATGAAAGAAATAAAAGTCTTTTACCCCCAAATATATTTCTTTGACATGCTTTGAAACGGCCTGAAAACTGTCTCTTGTGGGGAAAGCCTACATTCTGCAGAGAATCCCCTTCCCTTTCCAGGTCTTTTCCTGATCCAGGGGAGATTTAGCTAAGAGTCTGGCACCTTCTAGGGTCTCATGAGAGCATCTGTCCTGTATTCTCTCTGAAGACTGTATCTGAAGGCTTCATCTACATACAAGAACCTTGGCTTCCACAGTCCCCCTTATCTGAACTATAAACATTTCTTTCTGCTAACTTCAACTCTTCAGGCAGAGCTTAGCCCTTTTAACCAGCGGCCAATTAGGAAATCTTTGAATCCACCTGTGACCTGGAAGCCCCTGCTCTGGGTTGTCTGCTTTTCTGAGCCAAACCAATGTACACCTTACATGTGTTGACTGATGTCCGTGCCTGTAACTTCTATTCCCCTAAAACATATAAAATCAAGCTGTTACCCAACGACCGTGGGCATGTGTTCTCAGGACCTCCTGGGGCTGTGTCGTGCATCCTGGTCCTCACATTTGGCTCAGAATAAATCTCTTCTAGTGTTGTACAGAGTTTGACTCTTTTTTATTGACAAGATAATAGCTGATCCCATGCAGGTGCCTGAGAGGTGTCTTTCAGAAAGGGAGGGGGCACTGAGGGAGGCCTTGCGCCCCTGCAGGGCCCAGTCACTAAAAAAGGAAGTGCTGGGAGGGGCAGAATCTTGGGTGAGGGCGCTCCCTCTGCCAAGGGCAGCTTCTGGGCGGGATTCAGCTGAGCCATCTGCAGCTGACACTCCCATAGCTGAAGGGCCGTGCGTGCCCATGCTGAGGGCAGCCCCTGCCTCTGCTGCACAGCTGTGGCAACAGCCGGATCCGAGGGAGCCTGAAATCCAGAAGAGTGAGAAAGCCTAGTTCCCAGGCTTTTGGGGTTGTAAAATCAAGGCAATGTTTAGAATGGAAAAGAAGCTAGAAAGAAGAAAAGGCTAACTACAGCAAAGAGAGGAGAGAGAGGGCTGGGGAGAGAAGGAAGGGGCTTTGTATCCCTCAGAAACCTGTGTGTTCCTCAAGGGATGGCAGCAGGAGGAAAGGGGCCCCTCAGTGTCAGGGGAGAAAAATTTTAAATAAAATAATTAAGGTGCCTCTTTAATACTTTTTGTTGTTAGACTGGCCTTCATAAACTGCAATTCCATGCAGAAAATGGGCTTGGCCCTGGGGTTTATTTAGGTAACACATCTTACAAATTGGTCTTTTTTCTTAAGCTAGTTTGGAGTGGATTTTTATTACTTGAAAGCAAGAATGTGTCAATGAAAAGAGTTGAACTCTGTAAAATACTTAAGGAGATTTATTCTGAGCCAAATATGGGGACCATGACCCATGACACAGCCCCAGGAGGTCCTGGGAACATGTGGCCAAGGTGTTCGGGCTGCAGCTTGGTTTTACATGTTTCAAAGAGACAGAAGACATCAACCAGCTATGCAAGGTGTGCATTGGTTGGGTCTGGAAAGGCAGGACAGCTCAGAGTGAAGCCTTTCAGGTCACAGATGGATTCAAAGATTTTCTGATTGGCAATTGATTGAGGCTGGGCATGGTGGCTCATGTTTGTAATCCTGGCACTTAGGGAAGCGGAGGCAGGAGGAGGATTGCTGGAGCCCAGGAGTTCAAGGCCTGCCCGGGCAACATAGCAAAACTTCATTCTCCAACAAAGAGAGAAAAACAGGCAATTAGTTGAAAGAGTTAAGTTATTATTTAAAGAGCTGGAGTCAATAGGAAGGAATGTGTTGGTTAAAATAAGGGTTTTGGAGAACAAGATTTTATCATGCAGAATTGGCCTCCAGGTAGCAGGCTGCAGAGCTATCAGACCTAGGGAGGTGCTTCTCAGACTGTTACTTAATTATCTCCTAGATCAGGAAAAACATCTAGAAAGGGAAGGGGACGCTATAGAAAGTGGACTTTCCCCACAAAAGACAGCTTTGCAGGGCCATTTCAAAACAAGTCAAAGAAATATAGTTTGGGGTAAAATACTTCAGTCTCTCTCAGGGTCAGCTACTTACCACGTGATGTTATACTACAGTCAGGGTGGAATTAGCATCTTATTGCTACTAAGAGTCTGTGCTGTGGGTCTTAAGGTCTCTGTTTTCATGTGACTGGTGATCAGTTGTGCCAGAACTCCAAAGGGAAAAGGGTATTTTACCCTCGTTTTGAGGCACGTCCGACCCCACTTCCCATCCAAGCCTGGACTAGCTTTTTAGTTCTCTTTGGAATGAATGCCAGTGGCCAAGAGGACAGTCCATTGTGTTGACTGGGGAGCTTAGGATTTTATTTTTGGTTTGCAAGTGTCAATCATGGCAGAGACAGTTCTGTAGCTTGGTGCAAAAAGATGAAATAAGATGAACAAATAATTATGTTACTTATTTACTGTTTATTGAATACAAAGCACCCTAAGGCATTGTGGAGAAATTAGTTTAACTTTTTACCCAGTTGAAAGGACCAAAAACAGCTAAGCCTCTGGAAAAAAGGCTAAATCTAGATTTGAGTGCTACCCTCGGCGGGGCAGACTCTAATATCGGGCAGTTTTCATTCTTTCCTTCCTAACATGGAAATGTGCAGATAGGAGACAAGTTAGGAGTGTTGGGGTGTGATTGGTTTGGGTTAGCTATGTTCTTGGCTAGACATTTCTTTCCTAGACAAAATACACCACATAGAGCCAGCACCGCAGCAGTGCGGACTCAGCAGCCTGAACGTCTGTCTGGGTTCACTGACGTCCTCATCGAGAAAGCAGCTGAGCCCTAACCTCCAACCACACATTACAGTATAGAAGCAGCAACTGGGGGTTTAGCAGTATGTTTCCTAGAAATCACTCTAAACAAGGGTTCCCTTGAGGAAATTATGTCTGTGCAGCCTGAAATAAAAGGGCGTCTCCTTTGCCAGGCTTCGATCTGGTGCTTCCAGCCTCAAACCTGGGGTTGAGCAGGTGCGGGGGCTTAGCCTCAGGAAGACGCTGACCTCCAGGTTGGTATTCAAAATTACACAGTTTCTACTGCGGATCTGTGATACTGGCCCTTTTCATTAAAGCGAGGAAGAGTCAGTGTATTCTTGGAGACCCTGGGGAATAATAAATCACTAAATCACTGGTAATAAGACCAATAAAACAAGATAGTGTAAACCGGCCAGGCGCGGTGGCTCAAGCCTGTAATCCCAGCACTTTGGGAGGCCAAGGCGGGTGGATCATGAGGTCAGGAGATCGAGACCATCCTGGCTAACATGATGAAACCCCGTCTCTACTAAAAATACAAAAAATTAGCTGGGCGTGGTAGCGGGTGCCTGTAGTCCCAGCTGCTCAGGAGGCTGAGGCAGGAGAATGGCGTGAACCCAGGAGGCGGAGCTTGCAGTGAGCCCAGATCATGCCACTGCACTCCAGCCTGGGCGACAGAACGAGACTCTGTCTCAAAAAAAAAAAAAGATAGTATAAACCAGATTATGCATACCTTAAGCACACACAGTTTTCATCTACTGCCAACCCCAAAAGCTTCTTGTGATAAATAGGCAACATTTTTGTTTTGTTTTGTTTTGCGTGAAGGAGAATATTCAAAGTGCAGAGCCGGCGAGACACTCTCCTCTCTGGCATATTTGGTCTCTGCCAAAGCACTGAGCCATATTCATAAAGGCAGCTTGAAATCTAACCACCTCTAACAATATAGTCTGGAGGGAAAAATTAGAAAGTACTTTTTGAATACTTAATAGTAATATAGTATGTTATTACCAAGTGCTTCTGCGTAGGATCTGAGTGCTGCACCAGCAACCCTCTCAGTCTATAGACTCTCTGAGATATGTTCTTTCTTTCTTAATCAAATGGATTTGCAGATCTGGAAATCAAATTTCGATTGGCTCTTTTGTTTTGATTTTCCTCAATCATAATTTGTGTACATGACTAGAAAATCACTTACATAAACCCATTCTGATTCTCCTTGGACACCTATTGTGGGCCAGCCTCTCTCTGGACAAGGGACAGTCACATCCCCAGCCCTGCCTCTAGGAGTTTGCTCTCTGCTGGGAACAACAATTACCTTTGTTAGTGCCATTGTTACCACAACACATGACCTTCCAAGAGGAAGGGACCTGGTTTCCAGAAAAGAGAGATTTGATCCTGGCAACAAGGACCCGTGGATGGAAGGCCACTGCAGAGTGTGAGCTGGCAGATGCGTTTTCATTTTCGGTTCTTTGCTTCTTAATGGAATTGACTTTTAGTAATCTGGTATCCACATTGCTCTGAGTTTATAAAAATGGGGGAAGGGGCAAGAAAGAACATTTCATAACATGTGTGTGCTTGGAGGGAAAATCGCTTTTTGAAAGATCATAAGGTATTTTTACAGCTCGCTGAACTCAGAAGCTGAAACGCAAATGCGATAAGAGGTCCCAGCTGTTGGTGCCACTGTGGGCGTGCCTCGACTTCCCTGGCTGCGCCGTTGGTTCTCCAGGTGGAAGATCGGGATGCGGGAGGGAATTCTTGGAATGGTCAGCTGCTGCCTTGCTTGCCCTGCCACTTACCCTCCCCTGCTCTTGCTCCTCCCTCCTTCCACTTGAATAAATGAAAGGTATGGACGTCTTCCTCAACCCAGAGCTCAGCTGAGGAGGCCGGCAGAACAGCACCCTCTTCAGCTCTCAAACCGTGTCGAGCTGCTGAGGTCAAGACCAACACAGCAACACTGACTTAGAGAAAGAGACTGGATTGAATTTAAAACGACTGGAGCAAAATACCTATTTCACATGAAGAACACGTCTGGCTATGGATACACTGTCTCCTCGGGACTGGCCCTGGGTTTTGTAGATTCCAAAGCCCAACTTTACCCAAAGTTGGTCAGGCTCGGGGGAGAACCCATGCTGACGGTCTCACCAGAGACGTATCGATGAAGCCGAGCATCTGCTTGCCAGTCTCCCATGAATATCACACATGGTAGGAAGATTGTTCTGGTCATGTGGGACTGCTTTATCCCATGCAGGGCCTTATGGAAGCATCATCGTCATCGCGAGGCTGGACAAGGCGTTACTGTACAGAGTACCACAGGCAATTGTGACACGGTGGTAGGCATTTGTGAACCTAAACATATCTCAAGGTAGAAAGGTGCTGTAAAAATACTGCGCTGGAATCTCATGGGGCCACCATTGTATATGCAGTCTGTCACTGACCAAAAAGCTGTTAGGCAACCATGGCTGTATTTTGTCATTCAACTGCTTTTAGCTATATAATAGACACAAGCAGCTCAGATGATTTTTTCTTCCAGTATTTAGGCTTTTTGGACTGCGTTAGATTAGCCGAGTTTCTGGTATTGGCTTTCCATTCCGAGCTCCTGTTTTTCTGAAGTGTCTGTTGTATTTCTGTGATCCCTCCTTTCTTTCTTCAATCAGAAATGCTATGGCCTCGACTCCTCCACCCTGATCTGGCAAAGGTGTGGAAAGCCAGATGGAATTTGGAGCAGGGGTAAACACCTAAAACGCAAGCAGGGCATTCACCAAAGCCAACGGAACCCAAAGAACTTCCACAAGGATTCAATTTCAAATTTCGACCAAGACTTCGAATACTTTATTTCTGAGTCACTCTTGGGTAAAACTGAAAATGAGCAAAATGCAATGTGGGAATGGAAAAGGCCTGTTGTCTTCCTGTCTTGTAACACTTCCAGTCACCAAAGTCCTGTCCACAAATGATTACTGTGCACACCCTGTTAGCAAGCTCAGTACTACGTGGGTCCAAATTATGAGACTGGATTTTTGACATCAAGGAGTTTGCCATCTACCTGGGGATGTAACACATAAACAAATAAAATATTAAATGAATAGGCAATTTATCCCAAAGTAGTATAGGTTTTTCCTCCCAAATAAATTGAGTCTTTGTCACAGGCATTTAAAAGAGAGAAGAATAATTTCTATCTCGGCTGCTGTAGGGAAACTACCACTTCCCTGTAAAGAATTAGACCCATACTTACCCATGTTGGCAATGGAGGAGGAACACCAAATGGGGGAGGATGGCGAAACCTGGCCCACCATGAGTCCCTGTCTCCTGGACATCCTCACGCGTAACCAGTGGGTGACCACTGTGCAGACAGACGGAGGTGTTAGTGTGTGTGTGTGAATGAGTGCCTGTGCGGACAGAGGTGGGCACTGTGTGTGTGTGAATGAGTGTGTGGACAGAGGCAGGCATTGTGTGTGTGTGTGTGAATGAATGGACAGAGGGAGGCGTTGGTGTGTGTGTGTGAATCTGTGTGCGGACAGAGGGAGGCATTGGTGTGTGTGTGAATGAGTGTGTGTGTGGACACAGGGAGGCATTGGTTGTGTGTGTGGATGAGTGTGTGTGGACAGAGGGGGGCGTTGGTGTGTGTGTGAATGAGTGTGCGGACAGGCAGGCATTGTGTGTGTGTGTGAATGAGTGTGTGGACAGAGGTGGGCATTGTGTGTGTGCGTGAATGTGTGGACAGTGGGAGGTGGTGTGTGTGTGTGAACTAGTGTGCAGAGGGAGGCACTGGTGTGTGTTTGAATGAGTGTGTGTGCAGACACAGGAGGGTGTTGGTGTGTGTGTTTGAATGAGTGTGTGTGGACAGAGGCGGGCATTGTGTGTGTGTGTGTAAATGAGTGTGTGGACAGAGGGAGGCATTGGTGTGTGTGTGAATGAGTGTGTGTGTGGACAGAGGCAGGCGGTGTGTGTGTGGATGAGTGTGTGTGTGGACGGAGGGAGGTGTTGTGTGTGTGTGAGTGTCTGTGCAGAGGCGGGCATTGTGTGTGTGTGTGTGAATGAGTGTGTGGACAGAGGCGGGCGTTGTGTGTATGAATGAGTGTGTGGACAGAGGGAGGCATTGGTGTGTGTGTGAATGAGTGTATGTGTGGACAGAGGGAGGCGTTGGTGTGTGTGTGTGAACAGAGGTGGGCGTTGGTGTGTGTGTGTAAATGAGTATGTGTGGACAGAGGGAGGCATTGGTGTGTGTGTGAATGAGTGTGTGTGTGGACAGAGGCAGGCGGTGTGTGTGGATGAGTGTGTGTGTGGACGGAGGGAGGTGTTGTGTGTGTGTGAGTGTCTGTGCAGAGGCGGGCATTTTGTGTGTGTGTGAATGAGTGTGTGGACAGAGGCGGGCGTTGTGTGTATGAATGAGTGTGTGGACAGAGGGAGGCATTGGTGTGTGTGTGTGAATGAGTATGTGGACAGAGGGGGGCATTGGTGTGTGTGTGAATGAGTGTATGTGTGGACAGAGGGAGGCGTTGGTGTGTGTGTGTGTGAACAGAGGTGGGCGTTGGTGTGTGTGTGTAAATGAGTATGTGTGGACAGAGGGAGGCATTGGTGTGTGTCTGTGTGTGGATGAGTGTGCAGAGATGGGGATTGGTGTGTGTGTGTGAATGAGTGTCTTGTGGACAGAGGTGGGCATTGTGTGTGTGTGTAAATAAGTGTGTGTGGACAGAGGCAGGCAGAGGTGTGTGTGAGAGTGAGTGTGTGGGTGAACAGAGGCAGGCATTGGGGTGTGTGTGTGAGAATGAGTATCTGTGTGGACAGAGGTGGGCGTTGGTGTGTGTGAATGAGTGTGTGCGCGGACAGAGGGACCATTGGTGTGTGTGTGTGAATGAGTGTGTGTGTGGACAGAGGGGGCCGTTGGTGTGTGTGTGAATGAGTATCTGTGTGGACAGAGGTGGGCATTGGTGTGTGTGTGTGTGAATGAGTGTGTGTGGACAGAGGGAGCATTGGTGTGTGTGTGTGAATGAGTGTGTGTGGACAGAGGGGGCCGTTGGCGTGTGTGTGTGAATGAGTGTGTGTGTGGACAGAGGGGGCCGTTGGTGTGTGTGTGTGTGTGTGAATGAGTGTGTGGACAGAGGTGGGCATTGGTGTGTGTGTGTGTGTGTGAATGAGTGTGTGTGTGGACAGGGGGCCGTTGGTGTGTGTGTGTGTGAATGAGTATCTGTGTGGACAGAGGTGGGCATTGGTGTGTGTGTGTGAGAATGAGTGTGTGTGGACAGAGGGAGCATTGGTGTGTGTGTGAATGAGTGTGTGTGTGGACAGAGGGGGCCGTTGGCGTGTGTATGTGTGAATGATTGCGTGTGTGGACAGAGGGGGCCGTTGGTGTGTGTGTGTGTGTGAATGAGTATCTGTGTGGACAGAGGGAGCATTGGTGTGTGTGTGTGAATGAGTGTCTTGTGGACAGAGGTGGGCATTGTGTGTGTGTAAATAAGTGTGGACAGAGGCAGGCAGTGGTGTGTGTGTGAGAGTGAGTGTGCGGGTGAACAGAGGCAGGCATTGGTGTGTGTGTGTGAATGAGTATCTGTGTGGACAGAGGTGGGCGTTGGTGTGTGTGTGTGAATGAGTGTGTGTGCGGACAGAGGGGGCGTTGTGTGTGTGTGTGAATGAGTGTGTGTGCGGACAGAGGGGGCGTTGTGTGTGTGTGAATGAGTATCTGTGTGGACAGAGGTGGGCGTTGTGTGTATGTGAATGAGTGTGTGTGTGGACAGAGGGAGCATTGTGTGCGTGTGAATGAGTGTGTGTGCGGACAGAGGGAGCGTTGGTGTGTGTGACTGAGTGTGTGTGTGGACAGAGGGGGCCGTTGGCGTGTGTGTGTGAATGAGTATCTGTGTGGACAGAGGTGGGCATTGGGGGGTGTGTGTGTGAATGAGTGTGTGTGCAGACAGAGGGAGCGTTGGTGTGTGTGCGAATGAGTGTGTGCGGACAGAGGGAGCGTTGGTGTGTGGGAGAGAATGAGTGTGTGTCGTGTAAGTGTATTTGCGCAGATGTGTGAGTGTATGTGAGTGCCCCAAGCGTCGTAACAGAACCTTCCATCCCTTCCATTCAAACTCAGCGGTACAGTAGAACCACAGGCTGGTGATTTGAATACAGTTTCGGGAAAGGCCAATGAGTAGCAGAGGACAATGCCCTCGGCATGGTGCGCGGAGGTGGCAACCTGACCTGCTGCCCTGTAACTTTAGAATCCCAGAAGGAACCAGCCCCGCAAAGGCTCTAAAGAAATAAAGCCTGGGGACTTGGGATCCCTGGGAGCCCAGATGGAAGGGGACAAGGTCCCGAGATACTGTCGTCAGGCAGTCCCTGTCCTGACCTCGCAGGATGGACACAGGCTGAGTGGCCACCTAGGCCCAGAAACAGAGCTGGCACAGAGTCCTGGAAAGAGCAGGCATTGGGTGGGGTGTCAAGGGGGCATTCAAAAAATTAATTTTATGAACCAAATTCCTTAAATTGAGCCTCATGTTGGAAAGCACATCCCCCCGCACAAAGGTTCAGAGTGTGGGCTTGGGAGAGGGTCAGACATAGATTCCATTCTGTGCCCCAGCAAATTACAGCCCTCGAAACTTCAGTTTTTTGGTTCATGCCACATCCTTACAGGACCATTTAGAGCCATGCTGCCAATGGGAATATAATGTGAACCACACAGGCTCATCGATGTTTTCTAGTAGCCACACTAAAGATAGCAAAAAGACACGGGGATGTTAATTTAATAATGTGTATCATTTACTAGAAGAGACCCAAAGTTTATCACACCACGTGTAATGGACGTGAAGATTATCCCGTATGTCTTCTCTTGTTCCCAGTCTTTGAAACCTCATGTGCATTTCACACTTAATGCACGTTGCCAGGGTTTTCAAGAGCTTGGTGACCTCATGTGGCTGGTGGGATCATCGCTGGAAGGAAGAGCTGCCGGGGTTAAATGAGGTAATCACTGCAAGCGCCGTGCCTCAGGTTTGGTAAACGTCTAATACACGCAAGATTTCTTTTCTTTTCTTTTCTTTTTTTAACCTGTATTTTGTCCTATCCTGTGGTATTTCACATACACTTTTTATAAGGAATTTTGCCACATTTTCTTCTTCCCACCGTTGGGATCAGTGTGTTTTTGAGAACAACCCCTGTATTTTACTTCCAGGTAGAACAGCTGTGCTGAGGCTCAGAGCCACACAACAGCCCCAAACCCAAGCGAGTTGTTGGAAGAATGTATGGAGAAGCAGTCAGTGAGGCAGGCCAGGAGTGCAAGCCCCACCGGGGCTTGTGGAAAAGAAGCCGGAGGCCAGGGAAGCTGTGAGCTGAAGTTTGTCTGTATCCAGACCCAGGAGCAAGTAGATATGGCATGAGAGATCAACAAGCCCCTGATGAATGAAATAACTGAAATGCGGTAATTTTAAGATACATATGTTTCAGGTGTGTCAGCCCAGGTGGATTAGCTCTGGGCCCCTACAGGACCAGCTGCGAGAGCTGTCTGGGTTTATCAGAATTAGTTTATGTTTTGGGAAACACTCATAATGAAAGGCTGAAGCCCAGAGGGCTTTTCTCTTCCCTTTGTGAGATTTCTCCAAAGAAAACTCTTCCCAGGAAAACTAACACAGTTGTGTCTTCATTGGGATTGTTTGTGATTCACTGTGATATGGTTTGGCTGTGTTCCCACCCAAATCTCAACTTGAATTGTAGCTCCCAGAATTCCCAGGTGCTGTGGGAGGGACCCAGGGGGAGGTAATTGAATCATGGGGGCCGGTCTTTCCCGCACTATTCTCGTGATAGCGAATAAGTCTCATCAGATCTGATGGGTTTATCAGGGGTTTCTGCTTTTGCTTCTTCCTCATTTTCTCTTGCCGCAGCCATGTAAAAAGTGCCTTTCGCCCTTCCGCCATGATCCTGAGGCCTCCGCAGCCATGTGGAACTGTAAGTCCAATTAAACCTCTTTTTCTTCCTAGTCTTGGGTATTTCTTTATTAGCAGCATGAGATGGACTAATACATACTGGCACATTCTTGCACAAAATATACTTAAGGAATGGCAGTTGAGATTTTGTGCACATCAAATCCACTTTTGGATGCATCACGTGTGTAGAGACAGCACTTCATACCCACCAGACAAGCAGGTGGAGGTCCACAGTTAGGGCAATTCACCCATCTAAGAATAATATTTGGGTATGACAATTACAGTTCCTCACAGCTATAACTTTTGTTATTTTCAACCTGTCTTCTGTTAGAGAAAAAGACAAAAACAAAAACTCAACTTATAAAACCAGATGCATCTTTACAAAAAGATTCCTCACATTATTACCTTAAAAAATTTTCACTGTATGTTGTTGCCTGTTCAAGTAAATGTGTTTTTCAAAGCATAACATATGCGGAGCATGCAGAGAAGTGTGCAGTATCTCTACTGCACAGCTCGAGAGATGCTCAGTAAAATGAACACAGCTGTGTAAGCAAAACTCAGACAAGTATGTGAGTGCCCTGCCCCACAGAAGATCATGGCCTGGCACCTGCCCCACACAAGACCACAGCCTGGTCCCTGCCCCACGGAAGACCATTGCCTGCTCCCTACCCCATGGAAGACCATAGCCTGGTGCCTGCCTCATGGAAGGCCATGGCCTGGCCCCCATCCCATGGAGGACCATGGCCTGGCCCCTGCCCCACAGAAGACCACTGACTGGCCCCTGCCCCATGGAAGACCATGGCCTGGCCCCTGCCCCATGGAAGGCCATGGCCTGGCCCCTGATCCATGGAAGACCATGGCCTGGTTCTTGCCATTTCTGCTACAAGGATCTTATTGGCTGTTCATGTTTATCATTTTGGGGCAATATTTGTTTAAAGATTTTGTCCACTTTTATTGGGTGCCCCTCCTGACTGTACTTTTGTATGCATTAATCATCCTCTTTATCTGCCTCCTTTCCAATCACCCCAACCAGCCTCTAGTAAAAACCTTCTACTTTCAATCTCCAAGAGTTCAGTTTTTGTTTTTTTTAGCTCCCATGTGCTACTGAGAATGTGTGACTTGTGTCTTTTCATGCCTGGCTTATTTTACTTAACATAAACTACTCCACTTGCATTACATGTTGTTGCAAACAATGACATTTCATTGTTTATGGCTAATAATCCATTGTGTACATGTACCACATTTTAAAAATCTGTTCATCCATTGATGGACACTTAGGTTGATCTCATACCTTGGCTATTGTGAATAGTGCTTCAATAAACATGGGAGTGCAGATATGTCTTGGATATACTGATTTCCTTTGCTCGGGTATACACCCAGGCAGTGGTATTGCTGGATCATATGGTAGTTTTATTTGTAGATTTATTAGGAACCCTCATATTGTTCTCCATAGTGGCTGTACTAATCTGCTCTCTCACCAACAGAGTATGAGGGGTTCCCCTTTCTTCACATTCTCACCAGCATTCATTATTGCCTGTCTTGAGGATAAAAGCCATTTTAACCAGGGTGAGATGATATCTCATTGCGGTTTTGAGTTACATTTTTTCTGAATGATTGGTGATGTTGAGCTTTTTTTTTTTTTTTTTTTTTTGAGACAGAGTCTTGCTCTGTCGCCCAGGCTGGAGTGCAGTGGCACGATCTCGGCTCACTGCAAGCTCTGCCTCCTGGGTTCACGCCATTCTCCTGCCTCAGCCTCCCGAGTAGCTGGGACTACAGGCACTCGCCACCATGCCCAACTAATTTTTTGTATTTTTTTTTTTAGTAGAGATGGGGTTTCACCATGTTACCCAAGATGGTCTCGATCTCCTGACCTCGTGATCCACCCGCCTTGGCCTCCTAAAATGCTGGGACTACAGGTGTGCATTTTTTCATGTACCTATTGGTCATTTGTATGTCTCTTTTGAGAAATGTCTATTGAGATCTTTTGCCCAATCTTTTTTTTTTTTTTTAATTGGAGACAGGGTCTCACTCTGTGGCCCAAGCTGGAGTGCAGTGGTGCAATCTCGGTTGACTGCAGCCTCCATCTCCTGGGCTCAAGAAATCTTCCCATCTCAGTCTCCTGAATAGCTGGGACCACAGGCATGTGCCCACTACGTCCAGCTAATTTTTATATTTTTTTTGTAGAGACAGGGTTTCCTCATGTTGCCCAGGCTGGTCTCGAACACCTGAGCTCAAGCAATCTGCCCACCTTTGCTTCCCAAAGTACTGGGATTACCTGCATAAGCCACCATGCCTGGCCATTATTTTCTTATTTATATAAATGTAAGGGGTACAAGTGCAGTTTTATTACATAGATATGTTGTGTAGTGATGATGTCTGGGCTTTTACTTTATCGATCACCCAAATAATATGTATGTGCATATTAAGTCATTTCTCATTCCCCCATGTCCCCCCTCCTCCCAGTGTCTATCATTCCACATTCTATGCCCATGTGTACACATGATTTAGTTCACACTTATAAATGAGAATAAGTGGTATTTGACTTTCTGTGTGTGAGTTGTTTCACTTTATATGATGGCCCCTAGTTCCATGTTGCTGCAAAAGACATGATTTCATTCTTTTTATGGCTGAGTAGAATTCCATTGTGTATATGTACCACATTTTCCTTATCCAATCATCTGTCGATGCATACTTTGGTTGATTGCACATCTTTGCTATTATTAATAATGTTGCAATAAACATATAAGTGCAGGTATTTTTGATATAATGATTTCTTTTCCTTTGAGTAGATGCCCAGTGGTGGGGTTGCTGGATCCAATGGTAGTTCTATGAGGAATCTCCATACTATTTTCCATAGAGATTGTACTTAATTTACATTCACACCAGCAGTGTATAAACATTCTCTTTTATTTGCATCCTAGCCAAAGTCTGTTGTTGTTTTTGTCTTTTTAATAATAGTCATTCTGACTGGTGTAAGATGATATTTCATTGTCCTTCTAATTTGCATTTCTCTGATAATTAGTGATGTTGAGTATTTTTTCATATGCTTGTTGGACATTTTTATGTCTTCTTTTGAAAAAATGTCTACTCATATTCTTTGCTCACTTTTTAATAGGTTGTTGTTGTTGAGTTGTTTGAGTTCCTTGTAAATTCTGCCAGTTGCATAGTTTCTAAATATTTTCTCCCATTATGCAGGCATTCTGTTTATTGATTGTTTCTTCTGCTGTGAAGAAAGTCCTTTTAGCTTAATTAAGACCCATTTTTCTATTTTTGTTTCTGTGGCTTGTGTTTTTGAGGTCTTTGTTATGTGCTCTTTACGTAGAACAATGCCCAGAAGAGTTTTATCTAGGTGTTCTTCTAGCATTTTTATAGTTTCAGGTCATATATTTAAGTTTAATCCATCTTCAGTTGATTTTTGTATATGGTGAGAGATAAATTCTTCTACATATGCCAATCCAATTTTTCCAGCACTATTTATTGAAAAGGATGTCTTTCCTCTGTGCATGTTCCTTTCCACTTTGCCAAAGATCAACTGGCTAGAAATATGTGTCTTTATTTCTGGGTTCTCTATTATGTTCCATTGATCTGTGTGTCTATTTTTATACTTTTAAAGAGTGGACAAAGGACATGAATATATCATGCTGCTTTGGTTCCTATATCCTTGTAACAGAATTTGAAGTCAGGTAATGTGATGCCTCCAGCTTTGTTCTTTTTACTTGAGATTGCTTTGGTTTTTGGGCTCTTCTTTGGCCCCATATAAATTTTAGGATCTGTTTTTCTAATTCTGTGAAAAAATGACATTGGTATTTTGATAGGAATTGCATTGAATCTGTAGATTGCTTTGGATGGTATGGTCATTTTATTAATTAATAAAATTCCTCTGGTCCATGAGCATGGAATGTTTTTCTATTTGTTTGTGTCATCTATACTTTCTCTCCTTAGTGTTTGTGGTTTTCTTTGTAGCAATATTTCACCTCCTTAGTTAAAACCATTCTTGACTAGATTAATTTTTTCCTATGATGTTGTTTCAGCTCCTTGCATATTCTGGTTATTAATTTATTGGCAGATGGGTAGTTTGCAAATATTTTCTCTCATTCTGTGGGTTGTCTCACCACTTTCTGGTTGTTTCCATTGTTGTGCAGAAACTTTTTAGCATGATATGATCCGATTTGTCCATTTTTGCTTTGATTGCCTGTGCTTTTGAGGTATTACTCAAAAAAAAATTGCTTAGAGCAATGTCCTGGAGTGTTTCCCAATGTTTTCTTCTAATGTCATAGATTTAGGCCTGAGATTTAAATATTTAATCCATCTTATTTTGGATTTTGTATAGGGTGAAAGATAGGCATCTAATTTCATTCTCTTGCATATTAACATTCAGTTTTTCCATCACCATTAATTAAAGATTTTTTTCTCCAATGTATGTTCTTGGCATTTTTGTTGAAAATGAGTTTATTATAAATGTATGGATATTTTTGTGTTTTCTATTCTGTTCCATTGGTCTGTGTTTCTGTTTTTATGCCAGTACCATGCTGGTTTGGTTAATATAGCTTTGTAGTATAATTTGAAGTTCAGTTTTGTTCTTTTTGCTCAGGATGGCTTTGGCTATTCTGGGTTTTCTTGTGGTTCCATATAAATTTTAAGATTATTTTTCCTGTTTCTGTGAAGCATGTTATTGATATTTTAATAAGTATTACATTTAATCTATAGATTGCTTTGGGTAGTATAAACAGTTTATCAATATTAATCTTTCTGATCCATGAACATGGAATATCTTTCCACTTTTATGTGTCCTCTTCAATTTCTTTCACCAATGTATTATGGTTTTTATTGTAGAGATCTTTCACTTCCTTGGTTAAGTTTATTCCTGGGCATTTTGTTTTATTTGTATCTACTGTAAATGAGATAACATTCTTGGTATCTTTTTTAGGTTGCTCACAATTGGCATATAGAAAGGCTACTGATTTTCATATGTTGACTTCGTATCCTGAAACTTTATTGAATTTATCAGCTCTATGAGTTTTTTGATGTAGTCTTTAGGTTTTCCTAATATATATATTATGATATAATATATTATCTGCAAAAAAGGATAATTTGACTTCATTCTTTCCAATTTGGAAATCATTTTGACATCCTTTTCTTGTTCCAGATCTTAGAGGAAAGGCTTTTAGTTTTACCTCATTCAGTATGACACTAGTTCTGGGTTTGTCATATGTGGCTTTCATCGAGTTTTTTGAGTTTATATTTTGAAGAAATGTTGATTTTATTGAATTGTTTTTCAGCACTTGCTGAAATGATCATACAGTTTTTTTTACCTTCATTTGATACGATGTATTGCATTTATGGATTTACATATGTTGAACCATCCTTGTATACTTGGAATCCCATCCTTAAATCCCACTTGATCATGATGAATGATCTTTTTGATGTGTTGTCAAATTTGGTTTGCTAGTATTTTGTTGAGGATTTTTGAGTATATGTATTGGTCTATAGTTATTCTTTTTCTTTCTTTTTTTTTTTTTGATGTGTTTTTGTCTGGTTTTAGTATCAAGGTAATACTGGCCTCATAAAATGACTTTGGAAGTATTCCCTCCTCCTCATTTTTTTTAGAACAGTTTGGATAGGATTCCTTAAATGTGTGGTAGAGCTCATCAATGAAGCCATCAGGTCATGGACTTTTTTTTATTAATAGGAAACATTTTATTACTGCTTCTATCTTGTTACTTATTATTGGTCTGTTTAAGTTTTTTATTTCTTCATGATTCAATCTTGGTAGGTTGTATGTGTCCAGGAATTTATCTATTGTTCTACATTTTCCAATTTATTGGCATATAATGCTTACAATAGTCTCTAATGGTCCTTTGTATTTCTGCGGTATCAGTTGTAATGTTTCCTTTTTATCTCTGATTTTATTTATTTGGGTCTCTTTTTTCTTAGTTATCCTGGCTAAAAATTTATAGATTTTGTTTATCTTTTTTCAATGAACCAACTTTTAGTTTTGTTGGCCTTTTGTATTTTTGTCTCAATTTTATTTATTTCTGCTCTGATCTTTATTTTTCTTTTCTTGTACTAATTTTGGTTAGTAGAATTTTGTTTGGTTCACTCTTGCTTTTCTAGTTCTTTAAGATGCATCACTGGGTTGTTTATTTGAAAATATTTTACTTTTCTGACATAAGCATTTATTGCTATAAACTTCCCCTTTTGTACTGCTTTTGCTATATCCTGTATGTTTTGGTATGGTGTGTTTCCAGCATTTGTTTCAATTTTTAAAAAAATTCCTTCTTAATTTCTTCATTGACCTAATGGTCATTTAGAAACATATTGTTTAATTTCTGGGTGTTGACATCTCCAACTATTACTGTATTGTGGTCTATCTTCCTCTTTAGATCTATCAATATCTGCTTTTATATCTGGGTGCTCTTGTGTTGGGTATATATTTACATTTGTTATATGATCTTCTGAATTGACCCCTTTATCATTATAAAATTATAAAATGACCTTCTTTCTCTCTTTTTAATGATTTTCTCTTGAAATCTATTTTATCTGATACAACTATAACAAGTCCTTCTATTCTTTGGTTTCCATTGGCATTGAATTTTTCATTCCTTTATTTCAGTCTATGTGTGTCTTTTTTGGTGAAGTAAGTTTCTTGTAGGCACCATATAGTTGGGTCTTGCTTTTTAAAATTTTTTTGAGACATAGTCTTGCTCTATTACCCAGGCTGGAGTATAGTGGCATGCTCACAGCTCACTGCAGCCTTGACCACCTGGGCTCAAGTGATCTTCCCACCTCAGCCTCCCTAGTAGCTAGCTGGAACTACACCATGTATATCTAATCTTTGTATTTTTTTTTTTTTTTGTAGAAATGGGGTTTTGCCATGTTGTCCAGGCTGGTCTCAAGCCCCTGGCCTCAAGTGATCCACCTGCCTTGGCCTCCCAAAGTGCTGAGATTACAGGCATAAGCCAACACACTGAGCCCTGGGTCTTGATTTTTGAAAATCCATTCAACCATTCTGTCTCTTGATTAGAGAATTTAGTCCATTCACTTTCAGTGCTATTATTGGCAGGTAAGAACTAAGCACTGTCATTTTGTTATTTGTTTTATGGTTGTTTTATTGATCTTCTTTTTCTTTTTTCCTTCCTTTCTGTCTTCCTCTGTGTAAAAGTAACTTTCTCTGGTAGCATGTTTAAATGTATTACTTTTTATTTTTTTGTGTGTATCTGTTAAAGGTTTTTGTTCTGTGGTTGCCATGAGTCTTGCAAATAACGTCTTATAGCCAATTATTTTAAACTGATGCCAAGTTATTCTGATTATTAAAAAAACCCAGACAAACAAGCACAAAGAAACCCAGAAAAGTCTACAGTTGAACTTCACCCTCTTCTCCTGGTTTTTGAGTTTTTGTTGCCTCTATTTATATCTTTTTGTACTGTTTATCTCTTAGGAAGTTGTTGTAGTTATTATTTTTGACAGGTTTATCTTTTAATCTTCTTACTCAAGATATGACTGGTTTATACACTATAATGACAATGTTAGGGTATTCTGTATTTATCTGTGTATTTACTATTATTAGTGAGTTTTACACCTTCAGACAACTTCTTGTTGCTTGTTAATGTCTTTTTTTCAGATTCAAGAATTTCATTTAGCGTTTTTTTTTTTTTTTTTGTGGGACAGGCCTGGTATTGATGAAATCCCTCAGGTTTTGTTTGTCTCAGAAAGTTTTTATTTCTACTTCATGTTGAGGAATAATTTTTCTGGATATAATACTCTAGAATGGAAGTTTATTTTCTTTAGGACTTTAAATATGTCATCTCACTCTGTTCTGTCATGTAGGTTTTTGCTGCAAAGTCTGTTGCCGGATATATTGAAGCTCCTTTATATGTTATTTGTTTATTTTTTCTTGCTGCTTTTAGAATTCTTTCTTTATGTTTGACTTTCAACAGTTTGATAATTAAGTGCCTTGGGGTAGTTATATTTGGGTTGACTCTGCTTTGTGTTTTATAGCCTTCTTGTATCTGGATATTCATGTCTTTCTCTAGGTTTGAAAAGTTCTATTATTATTTCTTGAACAAAATTTCTATTCTGATTTCTCTCTACCTTTTTTTAGGTAAATAACTTACTAGATTTGGCCTTTTGAGTATATTTTCTAGATCTTGTAGATACGCTTCATTCTTTTTATTCTTGTTTCTTTTTTCTTCTCCATGTGTTTTCATATAGCCTGTCTTCAACCTCACTAATTCTTTCTTCTACTTGATCAACTGTGCTGTTGAGAGACTCGAACACATTTTTCAGTTTGACAATTGATTTTTTAAGCTCTAGAATATCTGTTGGATTTTTAAAACTTTCAATCTCTTTGTTAAATTTCTCTGATAGAATTCTGAATTTGTACTGTGTTAAAGTTCATTGAGATTCCTCAAGACAATTATTGAATTCTGTGTCTGAAAGGTCACATATCTCTGTCACTCTGAGCTTGGTCACTGATTCTTTAGTTCATTTGGTGAGGTCATGTTTTCCTGGATTTTCTTAATGCTTGTGTATTGTATGTTTGTTGATGTCTGGGCATTGAAGAGTTTTGTATTTATTTCAATTTTAGCAGTCTGGGTTTGTTGTACCATCCTTCTTGATGAGGTTTTCCATGTGTTCAACAGAAATTGAGTGTTGTGATCTAAGCCTGTGGTCACTGCCACCATATCAGTACTAAGGGGCACCCTAAGCCCAGTAACATTGTAGCTGTTACTGACTTCTAGAGGCACCACCTTGGTGGGCTTGGGTAAAATAAAGAAAAATTTCCTGGGTTACTAGACAATGTCTTTAGGTCACCTCTCTCTCTTTCTCCAATCAGAATGCATCTTGCTCCACACCGTGCTGCCTGGAGTTATGGCAGGAGTGATGCATGTACTGCTGTGACCACGACACTGGCCCTGCACTGGGTCCTACCTGAACCCAGTGTGGTACTGGGTCTCACCTAAGGCCTATGAGGACTACTGCCTGTATACCACTGATGTTTACTCAAGGACCAAGGGCTCTTCAATCAGCAGGTGATGAATCTTGCCAGGACCGGGTCCTTCCCTTCAGAACAGTGAGTCCCCTTATGGCACAAGGTGGGTGTGAAATGCCAGCTAGGAGCTAAGGCCTGGAATTGGGGATTCCAGGAATCTGCTTGGTGCTTCATTTTACTGTAGCTAAGCTGGTACCCAAGCAACAAGACAAAGTCCTCCTTACTCTTCCCTCTCCTTTCTGTAGGCAAGATGAGTCTCTTTCCTGAGTTGCACTGCCTGGAATTGGGGGAGGGGTGATGCCAGTGCTCCCTCAGCTGCCAAAGCTGATGTCTCAATGGGTCACATCCCAAGTCCACTGCCTCTGAGCTCAGCACAGCACCAGGGGTTGCCCAAGGATTGCAGTCTTTGTGGCATTATGGCCTCTCAAATTTATTTTGGGCCCCAGACCACTTAAGTCAGCTGCTGGTGGATCCAGCCAGGACTCAGATTCCTCCCACTGGGAATAAGAATTCTCTGTTTGGTGCTGCTCTAAATGCTCCCTCAATGGTCACCAAGAGAATTCTGCCCTGTGTTGTGTTTGGCTGTGACAGGGCAGCACTGAGTTTCAGTGGAATGTCCCACATTCATTTGACTCTCTCTTCCCCAAGCACACAGATTGTCTCTCCATGCAGCTTTGATGGGGCATGGGGAAGGGGTGGTGTAGGCAATGCAATACTGCCCTTTCTACCCTCTTCAATGCTTCTTTCCTTGATACTATGTTAAAACCAGGTACCATAATGGCTCATCTGATTTTTTGGTTCTTATAAAGGTGCTTTTTTGCATGGATAGTTTTTCAGTTTGGTGTTCCTGCCGGGGAACAGTTGTTGGAGGGTTCAATATTTGGCTCTCTTGCTCCACTGCCTCCAAAACTTCTATATCCTTAATAATTTTCTATCTAACTGTTATATCAATTACTGAAACATTGTAGTTGAATCTTGCTTTTTTATCAAATAGAGAAATGTCTTCTTTTAAACTGGAGTATGAAATCTGGTGCTATTAAATAAATCACCATAAGCTATATGTGACTATTTAAATTTAAGTTTAAATTACTTAAACTTAAATATCATAAAAAGTTTAGTTCTTCACTCATATTAACCTTTTCAAGTGCTCAATAACCACATGTGACTAGTAGCTTCTGTATTGGACACTGCAGGAAAAAAAACATTTTTATAATTTAATATGTATTATTAAACAGTGATAACCATTGATACATAACATAATCATCAATATGGTGAGTATTCTCTTATGCATAAGTAGCTTAATCCTCAGCTAAAATCTCAAAGAAAACCCTTGTAGATCTGCAGAGCATTTGACTGAAAAACAGTGCTGTTGAATGTTTCCTATATAATTATAAATAAGAAAAATATCTTACAATATCATTATAAAATTATCTCAGAATATGCTGTTAATAACTCAAAGTTATAAAGTACCCAAATTTATTTTTATTTCCACTTCAAGTACTAATTTCTTTTAGTTTTATTATTGACAGTGTTTTTCCAGTAGTAACTACCCACAAGCCTGCATACTGAAATGTCCCCATCATTTTTATTAAGGATGTCAATAAAATATATGTTGTGGTATAACTATGTCAGATTTAAGATCTGTTAATGTAATAGAGTTTCTTCATCTGCCAACCAGAAGTGTTTCTTGTCATATTTCCCGGCAATATACTTTAGGAATTACACTTGGTTTAATTTTATGTAAGTAAGTTCTGCGTCAAAATAAGAAACGTTGAGAAACTCTTTGTCTAGTGGAATCTTGGAGATGTGAAAACTGAATTTAATGTGGTATCCCGGATGGCATCCAACAAGAGAAAAATGTGATTGAATAAGAACTAAGAAAATATGAATAAAGTGTAACCCTCAGTCAATAATAACATATCAATATTGGTCCATTAATTTTAAGAAATATTCAATACTGACATAGATATTAATAATAGAGAAAACTAGATGCAGGAAATATGAGACCTCCCTGCACTACCTTTCCATTTTACAGAAAACCTAAAGCTGCTGAAAAATAGCTGAACTAAAAATAAAATTCTAAGCCCCCCAACTGATTGAGTGGACCATCTCTTGGCCAAGGAGACCCCAGAGAAACCTTGAACATTGAGTTCTTGGCCATGACAGAATGGGGGTCAGATACACCTCATTACACCCCTTCACATGCTAACCATAATTGGGCTTTCTTCTCTAAGGGCTAAATGGAAATTTACTAACTGTCCTACACTGCCCCTCCCTTCTTGTCTGATAAGAGACATCTGACCATGAATTGCTTCTGGCCAGTCTGTAAACAACGTGCAATAAGGGTTTTTGTGTCTTCTGCTTCACCTTTTGATATCAGAGAGCTGAAAACACCTTTGGATCATGCTACCACCACCACTTTTTGAACATGGGCTCATTGCAAGGGACATGAAGCTCAGTTGCAGATGTGTACGTTTTCCCTTCCATAAATATTTATGACTCTCCCTATAGCTTATTATATATGTACATTTGGCTACCTCTTACATTTCCCTTCTTGCCCTCCCTCCCCAATTCATAGTGCCTGTTTTTGGCATCGGGCTAGAGGCTACATTTCCCAGTCTGTCAGAATGGCAACCTGCAGGCTGCATCCCTTCATGAGAAATAAAGCTCTTCTTTCCAAATTATGAACTTAATCATCCTTGAGTTGACAAGCCAAAACTTTATTGTTTTAATGTAAGTTCAGAGTTTTTTATCTACATCATTAAAAACCGTTCGAAATGCATACAATTTAAAACCACCACTTAATAAACAGATAAGTAGAATGAAAATATAATCTAATACAGTTTTTGAACAATGATTGGCTATTCTAAGAATTTATTCATTTCACTTAAATATTTATCTAAATTTTCATCTAAAATTCAAATTAATTTTATCTAAATATGCAAATTCATTGTCATAAGTAGCCTAATATTTATAATCTTTTAAAATTGCTGTTTTTCCTTGCTGTTACTGGTTATTTTGACCTTTCTTTTTCTTTTCTTTTGATCTATGTTGCCAGAGGTCTACCTTTTTGTTATCGTTTAGTTTTCTCTGGAAAAACAGCTTCTGATTTTGTAGCTCCTGTGATAAGAATGTTTTCTTTTGCATTTTGTGTAGTTTATTTTAATCTTTCAATTCTCCTTACTTCTGTTTATGCTTTTTGCAGTTTAATTTTTTAATAAATCTTGAGTTGGGTTTGATTTTTTTCATTAAAAGAATACTTTTAGACTACAAATTTAGACTAATAGACTATGAATTTGCTTTTAAACACAACATTAACTGTATCCCATGAGTTTTGGTATACCATTTTATATTATCACTTAGTTCAAATGCTATTTTGAAATTTTCATTGTGTTTTTCTTATAAGCTGCAGTGTCATAATTTTATGTATCAATGACTCAATCACTGAATGCCTAGATATTTGGTTAAACATTATTTCTGGATGTGCCTAGTAGGGTGTTTCAGGAAGAGATTAGACTTCAAATCTGTAGACTAAATAAAGCACATTTTCTGCCCCAACCTGGGGTGGGCATCTTTCTATCTCTGAGGGCCTGATAGAACAAAAAGACAGAGGAAGGGAAGATTCACTCCTTCTGCTTTGTTGAACTGGGACATCAATTTTCTGCCCTCAGCACTCCTGGTTCTAAGGCCTTTAAACACAGACTCTAATCTATACCGTCAGCTCACTGGCTCTCAGGTTTCACACCGCACCACTGGCTTTCTTGGGTCTCAGCTTGCACAGAGCAGATTGTGGAACATGTCAGCCTTAATAATCACACGGGCAATACCTTGTAATTAATATATACATCATTGATGTGGTTTGACTTTGTGTCCCCACCCAAATCTCATTTTGAATTGTAATCCCATAATCCCTATGTGTTGTGGGAGGAACCCAGTGGGAGTTAATTGAATAATGGGGGTGGTTTCCCCCATGCTGTTCTCATGATAGTGAGTGAGTTCTCACGAGATCTGATGGTTTTATAAGGGGCTTTTCCCTCTTTGCTCAGCACTTCTTCTTCCTGCTGCCATGTGAAGAAGGACATGTTTGCTTCCCCTTCTGCCAGGATTGTAAGTTTCCTGAGGCCTCCCAGGCCTATGGAACTCTGAGTCATTTAAACCTCTTTTCTTTATAAATTACCCAGTCTTGGGTAGTTCTTTATAGCAGAGTGAGAATGAACTTATACAATTATGTTGGTTCTATTTATCTAGAAAACTCTGATTAATACATGAGGGTTGTTTGGAAACTCTGATGCTTAATATGGAAACACTTAGGAGTTCCAAGTTACCTTTTTGTTACTGATTTTGTAATTCATTTCACTTTGGTTAAAAATTATGTTGTGTACCACTTTGATATTTTAAAATGTATTAAGACATCAAATTTTGTCCTGTGTATGATAAAATTTTATAAGTGTCCTTGTGCTTTTGAAAAGTTTATTCTGCAGCTACTGAAAGAAATGCTCTATGTATGTCAGCATAACTTCAATTTCCAACTCCATCCTCACGTGACTGTCTTCCCTCTGTGTGTCTGTGTCCAAATTTCTCCCTTTTGACAAGGACAACAATAATTGGATTAGGTTTTACTATGACTTAATTTTAACTTGACTAAATCTGCAAGACCCTATTTCCAAATGCAGTCACCTTCACAGGTTTTAGGTGGACATGAATTTTGGGGGTGCACTGTTCAACCCAGTATGTTCTTTAAATATTTGTGTATTTTTAAGCTATTTTTGTTATTAATTTCTTGTTTAATTCCACAGTGGTCTCACAGCATACTCTGTATGGTTTCTATTCTTTTACACTTGTTCAGTTGTGAAATAGGAGTGTTGATTCCCAGAGTAGAGTTGGCCATGTTTATCCCATTATTGCCCCCACTCCTTCCATAATCTAGGAACACATAACATCATCTGAGAATAGCCCAGAAGCATGACAAGCAGGACCATGTTGTGGACTCTTACTGTTCTTTATACATGATACAACTGGAATTCAGACTAAGAGTAAAACTCTCAAATGTTATTAAGTTTCATCAAAGCTAATGAATCAGTAGCTTTGGGTGATAATAAAGCTATTATCCATGAAATAGTTGGTTTTGCCCACTTTTTTTTTTTTTTTTGAGTTAGAGTCTCGCTCTGTCACCCAGGCTGGAGTGCAATGGTGCAATCTGCAACCTCTGCCTCCCAGGTTCAAGTGATTCTCCTGTCTCAGCTCCCTGAGTAGCTAGGATTACAGGCATGCACCACCATTCTCAACTAATTTTTGTATTTTTAATAGAGATGGGGTTTCACCATGTTGGCCAGGCTGGTCTTGAACTCCTGACCTCAGGCGATCCACCTGCCTTGGCCTCCCAAAGTGCTGGGATTACAGGTGTGAGCCACCGCACCTGACCAATTTTGCCCATTTGGATAATTGAGTTTTTTTTTTTTTTTTTTTTTAGATGGAGTTTCACCCTGTCACCCAGGCTGGAGTGCAGTGGCGCAATTTTGGCTCACTGCAAGCTCCACCTCCCGGGTTCATGCCATTCTTCTGCCTCAGCCTCCCGAGTAGCTGGGACTACAGGCACCCACCACCACGTCTGGCTAATTTTTTTGTATTTTTTTAGTGGTGATGTGGTTTCACCGTGTTAACAAGGATGGTCTCGATCTCCTGACCTCGTGATCCACCTCCCACAGTGCCAGGATTACAGGCGTGAGCCACTGTGTCCGGCCCAATAATTAAGTTTTGAAAGTGTTTTTGTATGACAACAATAAAGATAGTGCTGGACACTTTCTCAAAAACATGATCAATGTCTTCTATATTGCAAGTCACGATAGTATTTAGCAAACTTGCTAATGAAAATGTGAAACACAGAGAGCCTTCAAGGTGGAAGGCAGCAGACACGACTGTTTAAAGAATGAGGACACCTCTGAGGCAAAACCTGTTGAAATTGAAGAAGAGAATAAAGTTGAAGAAAAGGAAGATGCTGGAGAAACCCCTACCCGCCCCCCGGCCAGCCACTGTGGCCATCATCGTTAATTTATGATCCATGCAACACAACATCAAGCCACTAGACCAGAATACGGATTCCTCCCAGTGAACATACTCCAGCAAATACACCAACAAGAATGCCTCAAGGCACAGGGGTTGCAAGAAACACCATCCAAACTGCCCCCCAAACTGTTCTGGCCATTGACCTCATACTTTTCAGGAGCTTCCCAGGGCAGCAACTGCCTAGCACCAGAGGACTTTGTTAGTACAGAGAAATAGTTCAAATATGCTAAAAGTGGTTTTTGCAAAATGAAAAGGTAAGCACTATGTGGAGAACCTACAGGAGGCCCCTAAGTATGGACTACAGGCAAAGAAGGAAGTCTTTGAACAGACCTGTGCAACTTTGGCCTAAACAACTAACAGTGCATTTAGCCTTTCAGAAGCACAGTTCTAAGAAGACCTTAGTTCCACTGAACATGCTGATGAAATCTGTTTGTGTACTGGATTCCTGTCGAAGCATGCATGGGCAGCCTCAATCAGGTTTACTGTGGATTTAGTAGACCCAGCAATTTCTGTTTATATGGGACTGATGTAAGCATGATTCTAAAAATACTCATTAAACCCTACTTCAAAAAATTAAAGCAAACTGCTATACATGTATATTGTGAAAAAGCTTTGTATCTCAATTTACATGCATTAAGGAAATATTTAAACATCTATAATGTTTGGGTAAACAGGTCATTATTACTTTAATACACAAATTTAAATTTAGTAAAGATTTCCAGATATAGGACTAAACTTTTTCATCGTATTACCTTTCTTTAGTATATTAATTATGCTTCTCTTAAAAATATTAGTTGTTGTCTCGGGGTTTGCAATGTGTATTTCTGACTAATATAAGTCCACCTTCAAATACCACTGTATGACTTAATAGATAGTGTAGTTAACTTACAATAAAATATTCCTAATACCTTCCTTCTGCCCTTTATAACATTCTTGTTCACTTCATTTATCTGTATGCTATCGATACCTGATATATTGCTACTATTATTTTTTAAAAGATATTGTTATATTTTTGATTAGTTAAAACAAAGAAAAATAAAGGATTTTATTTTACCTTCATTTATTCCTTATCTATTGCTTTTCCTTTCTTTAGGTGGATTCAATTTCTGATCTGTATCAATTTTCTTCTTCTTTAAAAACTTCTTACATTTCTTGCACAGATCTGCTGGTGATGGATCCTTTAGATTTTGTTTGTCTAGGAAATTAATTATTTCCCCTTTACTTTTGTAGTATACTTTTTACTATATATTTTTTATGTCAATGGTTTAAATATTTCATTCCACTGTCTTGCTTGCATAGTTTCAAAGCGAATTCTGTTGTAAGTCTTATTCTTGTTCCCATGCAGATCAGCTGTCTCTTGATTCTGATGCCTTTCAAGACATTTTTTTGTCTTTGATTTCCTGTAGCTTAGGTATGATATGCTTATGTATTCACCTTATTATAATTAATTGTTATTATTATAATATTTATCCTTGGTGTCCTCTGAGCTTTCTGGATCTGTGGTTTAATGTCTGTCATTAAATTTGAAAAATCCTTGGTAATTATTATTTCAAATATTTCTTCTCCAGTTTCTCCTTTTCCTTCTAGTAGTCTAATGATATGCGTATAAAATCTTTTAAATTTATTCCCAAGTCCTTTGATATTCTGTTCCAGTTTTCATTTGTTTTCCTATTTTCATTTTAGTTTGGAAGTTTTTGTTGTCGTATATTCAAGCTCACTGCATTTAAAAGTGCATTAAGAAGTGCTCTACATTATTAAAGATCAGAGATATGCCAATTAAAACCATGCAGAAAGACACCACACACCTGTGAGAATGGTTATAACTGGAGAGACTGGCCGAAGTGTTGCTGAGAACGTGTAGTCAGTCACTAGAACTCCCACACACTGCTATCGGAAACGTGAAATGATACCATCAATTTGGAAAACAGTTTGGCAGTTCTGTCAAAAGCTAAACAGCCACTCCCCAGATTGTCTGGTTTTTCTGACCCTTAGTGCTTACCCAGGAGAAATGTAAGGTTTGCCTTAATAAAGATTTGGGTGTAAACATTCATAGCAGCTATATTTGTGAGAGTCAAAAACTGGAAACAGCTAAAAATTTTATCAAAAGGTGAATGGGTAAACAGATTTTGGAATATCCGTAGAATGAAATACTGTTTGGCAATAAAATAATACAGACAACTGAAACCTTCAACAGCATGAATGAATCTCAAAATAGTTGCATGCTGGAGGAAAGAAGGCAGACAGGAAAGAGCGCACATGGTATGATTCCACTCACATAAAACTGCAGAGAATTCAAGCAAGCCACAGTGACAGAAAGTGGACTAGTGACTTCCGAAGGCTTAAGGGAGGCAGGGAGGTGCCAGGGAGAAGGGCCACAGACACAAAGGCAGGAGGAATCTTTCTGGGGATGATGGCTACATTCATTATTTTGGTTGTGTTGATAGTTTCATAGATACACATATGCCAACATTAATCAAATTGTACAATATAAATATATGCTGATTATTTTATTTTCATCATACACCAATAAAGGTTTTAAAGTTAAAACCAAACAAAAGGTCAAATATTGTATAATTCAATTTATAAGAAAATCTAGCAAAGGAAAAATGAATGTATAGTGATCAATGGCAAATCAGTATTTTCTTGGGGCCAAGTCTGTCAGGGAGTTTGGCAGTGGGGCACGTGAGCATGTCTGGGTGATGAAATGCTCTGTATCTTGATGGTGGTGGTGATAATTCTGCATATCATTTGTCAAAACTCATTGACTATACACATAAAATATATGCATTACACAGTAGGTCAATTATACCTCGACATATTCCATTAAAACTATCAAGTCCAGAGCAGGGTGCAGTGGCTTATGCCTGTAATCCCAGCACTTTGGGAGACTGAGGCGGGTGATCACTTGAAGTCAGGAGTTCAAAACCAGCCTGGCCAACATGGTGAAACCCCGTCTCTATGAAAAACACAAAAAAATTAGCCGGGCATGGTGGTGTCACCTGTAATCCCAGCTATTTGGGAGGCTGAGGCAGGAGAATCACTTGAACCCAGGAGGCAGAAGTTGCAGTGAGCCGAGATCATGCCATTGCACTCCAGCCTGAGTGACAAGAGTGAGAGTCCATCTCAAATATATATATACACACACATATATATATATACAAATATACATATATATACACAAAGTCCATTTCTTACACGTGGATTCTTTGAGTTATTTTTAGGAAAGATACAGATTTAAACAGCCACCATGGAGAGTAGCATTGAGAGTTCAAAAGATGAGAAAAGGGAATTAGAGCTTGAGCTGATGCTATTTCTTTGACTTAAGAATCATTCACACATTGGAGTATATCTGGGTGATTATGAAATATATCTGTACTGAGGAAATTTTTGTAGAATGTTTGAAATCGTGGAACTCTTCTGTTTTGTTTTCATGTAAGGAAACTTCACCTTAGAAATGGTGTTGACATCAGTGCAAAAATTATTTAAACTGTAAGAAATTCATGAGAGCAAAGAATATGTTTTGTTCTGGGATTTTGACTTCAATCCACCTAATTCTAATTATTATCCTGCAATAAAGGAATAAAATCATCTGATTTAGTCATATTTATACAATGTTCTTATTGGTAACTCCTTTGAAGGTTTTAATCATTTTTAGTAGTTGTTTGGTAATAAAGCCCCCCTTTTAAAGTTTAAATGTCAAACTTAGATGTCAGATGAGTAACGTAAAATGTTTGAGCACATACAATGGCCGTGTGTAATATCCGGAAGCATCTTATCAGACTTTTCTCAATGGACTTGTATCCTGAGAGGCTAAGGATGGTTTTAATTACTTGTTGAAGAACACAAGTCTATAAAATATTAAACTATGATGAAATGGAAAGAATATTTTGAGGCAGCTACAGACAAAACCCTGCCTGTCAAGAAGATGAAAGCCTGGAGATGAGTCACCTAGCAGAGGGAGATTGGATCATATTTCCTGAGTGAGGAGATCGCTTCCACAAGGCTGATTGCACAACCAGGATGGCCTCTTGCTGCAGGGTGCCGGGGGCTGGGGGTGAGCTCTGGGTCAACACCACTGAGGCAGAGTGGGCCTGTGAGATGTCCTGGTACAAAGGCCTCCGCTCTCCATGCTTCTGCAGGGCCCGCGCTCCCAGACGCAATCTCTGGGGCAAATACCTTGCTCCTGAGGATGGCATCTAAATCTAAAAATGTTGTGTAAATATGAATGAGCTCATGGGGTGCAATCCCTCTGATACACAATGTTTTCACAGCACAGGGTGATCACTGAAGCTGGAGTGTACTGAGAAGCGTGTTACTGATTTTTAGCTTTGCAGGGGATAAACGGTTTAAATGAGGAAGTGAAAGGCTATGAAAAGGAAAGAAGACTTTTCATCACCATCATGCAATGAATTCCTGCTTTAAATGCCTTGTCCCCACTCCAAGCACAGCAATGAGACCGACCACATGGGATAAAATGAGTGTCATAGGATAAAATGACACAAAGGTAAGCAGTCAGAGCGGGCTTTGCACTTCCACAATAAAACCTAAACACGGGGGAGGCGCCCCTGCCAGTGACAGGGGTGTCAGAGGCCCTGGGAGCCATGGCTTCTGCTGTCCCGGCCTCACACAAGGTCAGTGGTAAATCCAGAAGACAAAGTGTGGGCTCAGAAGACGAGAGGATGAGGGCGAGTCAGTACTGAAGGGACAGTGGTCATGTTCTCATGTTGATTAAACATTTTCAGCACTTTTTAAATCATATTCTTAGATGCCCTCAGCTAAACCTTTGCCCCCCACAGTCTGAATAAACTATTCCGCATGATTCTCACTGGGCCCGCCTTCAGGGAGTGCCCTAGCACAGGGCAGGGTTAATAATTCCTGGGACACAATTCCTGCCAGGGTCAGAAGTCACCAGCCCTGGTTTTATGAAAATGCAAGGTGGCCACAGTCTGAGAGGAATGTGGGCCCATAGCTGAGCCATGACGCTGAAGGACCAGTGCAGAGCCTGGCCAGGAGTGACATGCATGTTAGCAAAGAACCAGAAGTTCTTCCCAAAGTGGGAGCAAGAGGGTATCGTGATGTGATCATCTTCGTAATAGAAGGGCAGCATGCGGGGTTGGAAAGAGGGGTGGACGTTTGTTAGATAATGAGGAGGTAAGTTTAGAAAATTAAACGTAAACAAGACATTGAAGATGAACGGGTAAGCAGGGCAGCAATTAGGAAATGAATAGACTGATGGCCCAGTCCCTATATCAGACAAGGAAGGAAGCAGCTTGATGTATCATAGCAGGTGCCGAGGTTTGGAGAACGTAGGGTATTGTGAAGTGCAGAGAAGGGGCACTCAGTGGCTTGAATGTCTGTATTCCCATGAAATCCAGGTGTTGGAAGCCCCTCTTTCCAGGGGGATGGCATTAGGAGGTGGGACGTTCAGGAGGTGATGACGTCATGATGATGGAACCCAATGAACGGGATCAGTGCATTTATAAGAGTCCCAGAGAGCTCCTCTGCCCTTTCTGCCATGCGAGGATGCACACAGAGGTTACCATCTATGAACAAGGAAGCCGCCCAGACGCCGAGTCTACTGGCACCTTGATCTTGAAATTCCCAGCCAGCTTCCAGAACTGTGAGGAACACATTTTTGTTGTTTAGGAGCCACCCAATCTATGGTATTTTGTGATAGCAGCCAGAGGGATGAAGACAGGCACTTGTACCCATCTTTCGGAACAGGGAGGCGCTTCCTAGAGGAATTTGCAGTAAGCTGAGTCTTGAAGGCCAAGACAGTGGAAACCAGATGAGTGGGCCTGGGAGTGGGGAAGAGGCTCAAGGGGGAGGGAGCCGCACAGCACAGAAGAAAGACCAGAGAGGTTGCAGCTCAGCAAGTCAATTCATGCGCCGAGGACACAGGCACTCAAGTTGGTGGTGGCAGGTTGTAAAGATTCTTAAGCGTTCTTCTAAGAAAGCTCTTGTTCATCTGTTGGCCAATGAACAGCCACTCGAGGTTTAAAGAACCAAATAGACCAGATCTATGCTCAATGAAACCTGTTTTTGAATGATATGTATATTCTGGTAGTTGTGTGGTAGGGAAGAGAAACAGATGATTTACATAAATTCACTGAAACGAACTTGAAAGCAACCCAGATCATGGAGGGCTGGGATGAAAATCCCACACGAGCTGTGTGGCCTTCGGCAAGTTCCTCCAGTTCCCATCCTTCCCGCTCTTCCCTGCGACATGCCGATAGACAATAATGCTATGAAACAACTCCCGGCCCTCACAAGACTTTTTTTAAATTTAACTTTTGTTTTTTTAAGTTGAGGGGCACACGTGCAGGTTTGTTCTATCGGTACACTTGTGCCATGGGGGTTTGTTGTGCAGGTTATTTTGTCATCCAAGTGTTAAGCCGAGTACCCATTAGTCTCCTGGGCATCAGAGAAGGCTGGGGGTTGTTTTCAAGGAGTTATTTTCTATCAGGATGATGTGGCAGAACCCAGTAATGGTGCAAGCTCTGCTTGGTTTAGGGAAGGAAATAACTCATACAGAAATCTGTGGCTTGGAAAACGCAAGCCCAAGGGCCTGACCAGAAGGAATGAGGAGAGCTGGTTGGTGGAGGCGGTTTGGACAGGAGGTGGGCTAGCCAGGAATATGATACTTTGTACAGCAGAGCCTGGGATGCCGGAGGGAATTCAACCACGGGCTACTTATGCCGTCCAAGATTTCTCTTCCTTTGGAAGATAAACATGTTGGAACTGTGTTAAAGAGTCTTTTAAATCAAATATGTAATGAATAACAGCTCTGTTCTCGCTTTATCTCTGCAGAGCCTTGAGTCATGGGTATATCAGAACACCTGTGGATCAGAATGAAATGGCATGTGCTGTTGTAACTGGTTTTATGCATTCTGGATTCGTGTCCCTTCGCACCTGCTTACCCCCAGCGTTTACTCCACGTGTAATCACTTGCTCAATGACTCAGCCCTAAACAGCGGAAGAGAACGGCTTTGTCCATCTCAGTCCAGGGTGTGCTCAGCCCCTAGAACCGCGGGAGGCACATGCTTGGGCTGTGCTCTATGTGTAAGGTGGAGAAATCGCAGGCAAACCAATGCCTAGAGTCCCGGATCACGTACATGCTGATGACGCCAGGGACACTTTCAATAACATTGGGTTTCAGGGATAATCTGGAATTAGAATTTTTGTTGTACGTCATAAGATTAATTATTTATTGTGTCAAATTTTCCATCAGATTCCCCTCCTGGGGCTGAGGACTCTAGACACTCAGCAGGAAATAACTTTTCCTTTTTTCTGGAAAGATGGAACTGCAAATGGTTATAACATGACCTCACTCTCCTTTCCTCAGAACGTAGACCACACAGAGCAATGAGAAAATAAGACACTGTAGATGAGTCTCGTCCTCAAAGTCTGTTCAATTGGAGAGTGCGCTGACTTGCTTTCTGTGTTCTTTTATGAAGGAAGAGAGATTTACCTCTTTGCCTCGCATGAGGTTAAACATTGCAGCTGAGGGCCACCTTTGCATCTGCCCCAAATGCAATAGCGCAGTGTGGTTGGGTGACGCCCCACGAGAGGAAAATGATAGAAAATGTTCTGTCTTTGAAGCACTCCAGCCATTTGTTCCCACTGAGCTTGGCTCTGGCTTGTGGATAGATTCCACGGTACTCACATCCCTGTACTCAAACTGGTGACAAGCTCCGGGTCCCCAATTGCTTGGAAGCAGAGGCTCACCCAGCAGTGACCAGGAACAGGAGGGCCGAGGGGGTCAAGGGGCAGCTGCTGTCCCCGTCCTGGATGGAGATGAAAGGGAGAGCAAGACCTCCAGGCCACTGCCTCCAGGGGGCCTGGGACTCGTGTCCGCTCCACTTTGAAGAGTCAGAAGAAGGCCTAGGCAGGCAGGGGCGCTGTGTGGAATTCTGGCTGCTTCAAAGGCATCGTGAAATATTAATCTTTATCCCTTGACTTTCTGGAAAAGACGTGGCAAGTGGGTAGGACCGGCCCTGTGCCGAGGAGAGCAGTGACTCAGGGGAGGTTTCTCTTGGCACATCCTGTTCCTCACTCATCAGAGGCTTCTCCACACAGCCTCCTACTCCAGAGGGACGCAAGCTCTCCCTGCACAGGAGGGAGGGTGGCTGAGGACAGGGTCAGGGCCAGGGGTCTTTCCTGTCCCCACCTCGTCTCTCCAGTTCTGCCCGGCCTTCGTCCCCAGACTCCAGCTTCCTCTCTGCAGCAAAAGCCCCTGGAGCTCTAGCATTCCCGGCTTCTTCTTCCTCAGTCCCCAAATAATTCTAGTGGACTTAGTAGGCTGAATAACAGTCCCCAAGATACCTAGGTCCTAATCCCTGGAACCTGTGTCTGTTACTCTACGTGGCAAAAGAGACTTTTGTGATTAAGGATCTTGAGATGGGGAATTCTCCTGGGTTACACACATGGGGGCTAACACACGTGGGGGCTAAAAGCAGCCACGCGTGTCTTTATGAGAGGCAGGTGGAAGGATATTGACAGCACAGGGTGGGGAGCGGTCCCCACTGAGACTCAATGCTACCCTGCTGGACTGGGGGTGGAGAAAGGGGCTATGAGCCAAGGAGCCTGAGAAGTGGGAAGGGGTGAGGAAGCAGATGCCTCCATGGAGCCCCTGGAGGGAGGACTTGCTTCCATGGAGTCTCTGGAGGGAGCATTTGTCCCCAGAGGGCCTCCGAAGCCCCTACGGAGCCTCAGGAGGGAGCACTTGCCCGCATGGAGACTCTGGAGGTAGCCCTTCCTTCCATGGAGTCTCTGGAGGGAGCGTTTGTCCCCAGGGAGCCTCTGAAGGAATCACTTACCCCCACGGAGACTCTGGAGGGAGCACTTGTCCCCATGGAGCCTCTGGAGGGAGCACTTCCCCCTTGGAGCCTCTGGAGGGAGCACTTGCCCCCCATGGAGCCTCTGGAGGGAGCACTTGCCCCCACGGAGACTCTGGAGGGAGCACTTGCCCCCACGGAGACTCTGGAGGGAACACTTGCCCCCACGGAGACTCTGGAGGGAACACTTGCCCCCAGGAGACTCTGGAGGGAGCATTTGGAGTTGAGAAACAGATCTTAGACTTTTGACTTCCAGAACTATAAGATATAAGTGTGTTAAGGCCAACACATTTGGGTCATTTGTCACAGCAGCCATGGAAAATTAACACCATGGACAAATGTCTACCAGGAATGCAGTTTACAGTTCTCAGCCTCCTTTGCAGGGACTTAGGGCTTTGTATATGTTGTGTCTTTTTCCCAAAATGCTTGGGACCAGAAATGTCTCAGGTTTGGGATTTGTTTGGAATTTGGAATATTTACATTATACTACCAGTTGAGCATCCCAAATCAGAAAGTCCAAAATCTGAAATACTCCAATGAGCATTGCCTTTGAGAGTCATGTTGGTGCTCAGGTTTTAGATTTTGGAGCATTTTGAATGTGAAATTTTCTGATTAGGGATACTCACCCTGTACTAGATCTGATCAAAGAGATATACGTGGAAATACAATATCAACTTCTGGGATGCATTCTTAAAGAAAGCGGTCTGCCCTCTCCCCTCTGCTGTCCCTCCTGCAGGGTGGAATGCCGGCATGTTCTTGGAGCACGAGGCAGACTTGGGAACTGAGTCAACACATGGCGTATCACTGAGACAGAGCAGCCCCAGAACACACACCGGGGAGTACAGGAGCCTAGGCCACGTACCCAACATTGCAGGCAGAGAAAAAAGAAAGTGTATTCCATGTAAGCAAATGTTATTTGGACCTTTCTCTCTGTCTGACCTAATCATGGCTCACAGAAAGTAATCATACTCCTAATAATACATCAACTTATCTGATTTATCCACACAATCACGTAGATTAATGTATGCTTCTATTTCCTGGTCGCTTTAGCATAATATTGATCATAAATTGATAAATAGGAATAAAACAATATAATTAGATTAATTTACAATACGGTATAGTTGACTAATAACATTTTCACGATTTACATACTAAGAATAAATACATTTTTAATCAAATGTCTCCCCTAGGTGGTGCATTCCAGGCCTTAGAATAAAATTAAAAGGGAAATCAATGAAGACACATCCACTGTTCACACTCTCATCTTCAATGTTTGACCAGTGGCTGAACTGTTTGGAGTTGCAGATTGATATTTCTCTTTTATAGTTTTAGGTGCTTGTAATTGCTCTTTAATGCTCATGTTTACTCTTATTCTGTGTGTCTTTAACTCATAAAGACAGTTTTCCATGAGAAATGTGTCTGGGCCTCCTCATCTTCTCTGTGCCTCATTTTATGGGAACATCCTGAAGGGACTGCCCTCACCTGTCAGATGAAACCTTCCAATGTGATCTTCAGAGCTGCTTTTTCTCTTAATGGAACTCCAGGCGAACATCTTAAAATATAATAGCAGTGAGGTTCATAAAGTGTAAGCATCATTGACTCCTGTGTTCCCTCTGTTTATGAAACAATAGCTTTCAATAGCTTTTGTAAGTTGGTTTCCAAATATATTTTCTCTGAGGCTGATAGAGGCAACTTTATTTATTTATTTTTGGTTTTGTTGCATTTGCTTTTGAGATCTTAGTCATAAATCCTTTGGCAGACCAATGTTTAAAAGAGTTTTTTTCTAAGTTTCGTTATACAATTTTTATGGCTTCAGATCTTAGATTTAAGTCTTTAATTCATCTGGAGTTAATTTTTGTATATGGCCTGAGATAGGGATCCAGTTTTAGTTTTCGAAATGGGGCTACCCAGTTTTCCAAGCACCATTTATTGAATAGGGTGTCCTTTTTCCAATTTATGTTTTTCTATTCTTTATCAAAGATCAGTTGGTTGTATTTGGCTTTATTTCTGGGCTCTTTATTCTGTTCCATGGGCTATGTATTTACTTTTATAACAATACCATGCTGCTTTAGTTATTATAGCCTTGTAGTATAATTTGAAGTTGGGTAATGTGTTGCTTCTAGATTTCTTCCAATTATCTAGTGGATACTTTGTACACTATTTGGGTGATGGGTACACTACAAGCCCAGACTTCACCACCACGCAATTAATCCATGGAACCAGAAACCACTTGTACTCCTAAAGCTATTGAAATTTAAAAAAAATTCTCATACTCTTTGGTCCAGTATCCTATGACAAAACTGTCATAAGTGTGAAATGACACAAAAATAGGGATAATCATCACAGTATGGTGTATGCCACCAAAAGCCTGGAAACATCCAAAGGCCCATCAGTGGGGTCACTGGTTGAACAGAAGTTTGCAATCACTGCAAATAATGCACGATGCTTTCTGTACAGATATGGGGGGGTCTCCAGGATACACAGCTGTGACAGACACTGCCCTTGTCCTGCTCAGACCCTGAGCTCCTCAGACTCCTCCCCCATGTCTGGTGCACTGCTGGTCAGCTCACTCTGCTTCTGCCCTCACAGCCAGCACCTGCTGCTCTAGAAGAGGCTCCTGTTGGGACTCTGGAGCTGGCAGTGCAGGAGAGCACTGGCAGGGGCCCTGAGCTGGCACTGATCAATCAGTGTGAGCTGTGAAAACCCTGCCCCTTGCCTCAAGTGAGGGACACGCTCAGAGGTGCCACTCGTGTCCAGGATTCCTCTGCAGAATCAGAGCCAGGCACGGTCAGCTCAGGGGCTGCAGCGTGTGTGTGGTCACAGTCAGCACCACAAAAGCCCTTTTCAGTTTCAGGCCCTGCCTTCACTGCCTCAGTGATTCTTCAGCAGGGGAAATTTCTGTTTTGCATCGAGCTTTGCAAATTATATAGCCTATCTTGCCGCTGTAGGACTTCACCTGGAATTACAGCCTTGCATGGCGTTCCTGCTTTCCTGTCCTGTCTCTCCCATTCCTCTCTGTATTTTGGAGGGAGCACAATTTTTCTTTTTTTTTTGAGACAGAGTCTTGCTGTGTCACCCAGGCTGGAGGGCTCCAGCTCACTGCAGCCTTGACCTCCCAGGTTCAAGCGATTCTTCCACCTCAGCCTCCCAAGTAGCTAGGAACACAGGTGCACACCACCATGCCCTGCTAATTTTGTGTGTGTGTGTGTGTGTGTGTGTGTGTGTGTGTGTGTGTGTGTGTGTAGACAGGGTCTCGCTATGTTCCCAGGCTGGTCTTGAACTCCTGGGCTCATGCAATCCTCCTTCCTCGGCCTCACCAAGTGCTGGGATTACAGGTGCGACCCACCAGGCCTGGTCCAAGTGCCATCATAATACATCAATTATGCATTAGCACTTATTGAGTTTAGGTCAGGGAAACCTAACCTGACATGATTGTTAAGTGAAAAGGTCCATTGCAAAAAATTGTCTACAGTGTGCTACTATTTATGGGAATGTGTGTGTGCATGCATTTGTGTGCTTAGGTGTGTATGTGTATATGTATTTGTGTGTCCATGTGTTTGTTTGCATGTGTGCTTGTGTTAAGTGTGTTTGTGCATTTATGTGTGTGTGTATGTGCATGTTTATATGTGCATCCACATGTATGTTTGTGTGTTTTTATTTGGCTATGTGTGTGCCTGTGTAGGTGTGTGATTGTATGTGTGTGTCTGTGTTTGTGTATGTGTGTGTATGTGTGTTTTTGTGTGGTTATGTGTGTTTGTGTATGTATGTATATATGAGTATGTTTGTGTATGTGCATTTATGTGTGTGTGTGTTGTATGTGTGTGCATTTGTGTGTTCATGTGTTTGTGTTTGTGTATGTGCTTGTGTTGTGTATGTGTGCGTGTGTGTGCTTGTGTATGTTTGTGTTTGTATATGTATGTGTGTGTTTGTGTGTTTGTATGTGTGTATGTTTGTGTGTGTGTGTGTGGGTTTTTTGTGTATGTGTTTGTGTGTTTGTATGTGTGTATGTTTGTGTATGTGTGTGTGTGGTTTTGTGTGTGTGTGTGTGTGTGTGTGTGTGTGTGTGTGTATGTGCATCACCTCTGAGAGGATGCATACCAGACACTGGCAGTAGCGGTTGCTTCCTGGAGAAAGAAAGTGTGACAATGAGAAACTTACATTCAGGAGTGCTTATTGGGAGAGAGGCTTCCCTTCTTACCTTCTTACATTTCACAGACATAGCTTTTGGATTTGCTTTTAATTTCTTACCATGTGTACGTATTACACATCTGAAAAAACCCAAAGATATTAACACAGAGAAGCAAACCCCAGAACCCATGGGTGACATGGTTAAGGCTCAGCTCCTCTGCGTACAACGTCCTTCGATGCCTGTCTTGCTGCCACAGCCTCATCTCCTCATGCCCTCCCATTCACCTGTGTCCTGGGGACACCTGCGCATCCTGTTGCCTGGATGTGCCATGCACACCTGTCTGTCTGTCCCTGGTTCATGCGTTTTTCTCCTCCCATCGTGTCGCCTGTGGAGGACATCACCACCTTTAAGGGTTATTTCCAGTTGTGAAGTCTTTGAAGCCAGGCTGGCCTCCTGCCACAAAGACTTTGTTTCTCTACTTTTTCTAATTCTTAGTAATATTCCTACACTCCTGTAGTACAAGATGTTTTTAGTATTATATTTAAAATATAAATTAAAATATGCATATTTTTAACTTCTAACAGCATATTATGCACATAGTAGACAGTAATTAGTTAATGAATCTAACAGGTTTTTATCTTCAGGGAGTTGCACATGTAAACAAGAGATAGAGAACCTCTAGACTTAAGTGGTAGATATGGAAATTGTCTTCCATGAAGCTGGCGGTCAGGATGTTCTGTCCCTGGTGTGTCGAATGCTGCAGGCAGGGGCACTGTCTCCTGCCCATTCCCGATGAAGGCGGCTGCCACAGGACTTACCTTTACAGAGGAAGCTGGGAACATCACACAAAGATGTCAATGACTAAGATAGCATAGTTGTACTAAATTACACTGAACTATTTTCTGTATTTTCTTAGCAATTGTATTATTTTTAGTAAAAAAAACACATTCTCTTCCCAAGGAACTATGTCAGTAAGTTAACTCTTATTTGGGGAAAATTAGTTCATAATAAACTTAATGTAAACAGTTTTTGGTCAATGTTGACTATTAAAATTATTTTTGAAATATGGTGAGAATTATGTATAGCAATATGCATAGCAGAGCAAACGGAAGGAATATTTGAAAATGCGAACAGAGGTGATCTCTGGATGGAGGGGCCGCCAATTATTGATTAATATTTTAATTCTTTCTTCTATTTTCCAAGTTTTCTATCACAACCAGAATGTAAATAATTGAGACACTGTTCAAGGGTTCGCGTGCAGTAGCCCTAATCTTCTTCAGAAGAATGGCTGGGTAGCTCAGGAGGTTTTGAACATCAAGGTGTCTTTCGCCATTTAGTCAGTTATGCTGGGAACGCTGCTGAAGCCTTAATGATCAACACGTCTGCTGGTCTCCATCATTTGATACAGGATTCAGATCAACATGCTTCCTATTTTTGCCCAGCATCTGTATAGAGAAGCTACGTGTGGCGTGGAGACAGAGTGGGAGCCCTCCCAGTTCGTGCGTCAGGTGGTCAAGTGCCCTGTTCTTCCCACCACACTGATTGCCGCGCGGCTTTGGACACGTCCGTGAAGATGGAGGGATGTGCTTCCCTGCACCGGGGATGCTGGGCTTGGCCCGGAGACTTGCTTGGTCTCAGAGTGTGAGCAGAAATGACAGTGGTTGGTTTGGGGCGAGGTCTCGGGGGTATGGCTGGTTCTCGCTCATTCCCTTGTGCCTTGGTGACAAGCCTGGTAGGTGCAGGTCTAAGGGGAATGAGGAAGTAAGAGACAGACCTGAACACACCCTGCTTCCTGGAGCCCATCCTGACAGTCCCCGCTGAGCTGGCCTGCAGACCCCAAGAGAGGGTGGGTGTCCATGGTCACAGGCCATACGATTTTGAAGTTGAGCGGTAATCCAATCCTAAGTACGCCACTCTGCCAAAAACAGTGACTATTTAACCAATCTTGTTCTTTTCAAAAGACCATTTTGGTACCAAGCTTGTCATTTGAAGAGTTCCCCTGGGTTTTATGGCAAACTCCAAGAAGTTTATCAAAGAAATCCTTTCGAACATCCAGTATTCTACTTTCTATGTTACTGTGCATTTCTGGGAATATTTTGACACTTCCCATGAATGAAATCTCCAGGCAAGCATCTGGCCAGCTCCCCTGCACTCATCTCTGGAGAACGGATGGTTTGTAGATACTGCTCAGGTCATACATTCACGCACAGGAGTCATCCTGCAGAGAGAACATCACGCAATGACAAGAACAGCTACAAATGCATCTGCCATGTCTCATGGAACATCTTGGAAAGAAATCACTAGCACCACTTTTCCCAAAGAATGTCTATTAATATCTCAAAAACATAGTTTCATGACACCTACATCCCAATCACAGGACTATGAGTAACAATCCTACCCTGTTGTAATACTTTTTTAGTAAAGTTGAATAGGAATTTTAGGAGACAATGCAATTTATTTGACAGGATTTATAAAATTCATGTTTTCCAAGGAAATCATAAATCATAGCTGTGTTAGCGTCCCATTTCTTTAGACAGCAAGCTGGTGCATGAAGTAGGAGGAGCCAGGCAGACAGTGCCAACTGAGTGGCAATGTTGGTTCAAACCTCACAAGTCATCACTAACATAATTACATTGAGTACTCTTTTAATGAAGAAATAAAGATTACAGTCTATATTAGTTCCACAAATTTTTCTGATGTTATTTACTTCTTACATTTTTGTTTAAGTGGTATATAGTCAATATCATCTAGATTATCTATTGGTCAACACAAAAATGCAGTGCATACATGCTACTACTCGGAGAAAAGCCACTGAACATGGATCAACAGCTGCTTCTAACCTTCCGAAGACACCAAGGAAGAAGCTATTGATGGTGCTGCGTAGGGCGGAAGGAAGTACTGGGGTTCGTTCTTTTCACTCCTCCCTGGTAGATGTTATTGTAAGATGCTGAATAAAGACATGGACTTCAGCATGAAAGCTGTGACATGTAATAGTGCAACTCTATACCTCAGAGAAGTCTAGCACGAGCAGGAAAATGGATCATCTGCCATTGGTTTTGTCTTAACGCTGAGAAAATGGTGGCACCCGAGTTTGAGGTTTATGTAATTAGGCAGTGATGTGCCTGGGACTCCTAATCTAATGGACTTCTCCCCATCTCCGGACCTGCATCTACAGGCCTAAATGTTTGACATTTGGTGGCATTGTGGCCTAAGCCAAGTGGACCCTTAGTAAGTATATCTCCAAGGGAATGAGATATGTTCTATGTCTGGAGGAGTGGACTGGGGTGGTTTGCTAAGGTTACAAGGAAATATTAAACTACTATTAGAAAGCTTCGTTCAGCCAATAAATAAAATTCATGCAACCAATATAAAACTAATGTTTTCCCCAGAGAATTGAAACTAAGTTCTAATCTGGGTGATGAATCATGATTAGCGAGTGAGGATACAAACATATACAAATCCAGTCCTTGCTATTCATTCAGTTACCCACACAACACTGGGTTCCTTTTTCCTTGCAAGGTTTGAAGAACAACATTGGGTAAAGCATTTAAAAATTAGAGAAGGCTTTAAAAGGAATGTGTATGTCTGGCCCTGTGCATCAGGTAATGATGGTGGTAATGGTCACGAATGTTTATCAGGGATTACTGAATGCAACATTTAGAACTTAACACTGTCTGCCGGGCGCGGTGGCTCACTCCTGTAGTCCTAGCACTTTGGGAGGCCAAGGCGGGTGGATCATGAGGTCAGGAGATCGAGACCATCCTGGATAACACAGTGAAACCTCGTCTCTACTAAAAATACAAAAAATAAGCGGGGCTTGGTGATGGGCGCCTGTAGTCCCAGCTACTCGGGAGGCTGAGGCAGGAGAATGACGTGAACCCGGGAGGCGGAGCTTGCAGTGAGTCGAGATTGCGCCACTGCACTCCAGCCTGGGCGACAGAGCGAGACTCCGTCTCAAAAAAAAAAAAAAAAAAAAAAAAAAAAGAACTTACACTGTGTCCTTGATCTTCAGAAAGATCTAACAAGATAAATGCTATAATTATCTCTATTTTGCAGAAGGGGAAGGAAAAACATTGAGAGGTTAAAATTTTACCCAAGATCGTCAACGTGAGCCTGAATCCAGGTCTCCCACCTTTGTGCCATCACCAGGCAAAATTTTAACAGCTGGCCATGGAGAAAAGACAGTGCATATTCAAGACGGTAAATGTCCTCAAAACCCTGCAATTTTATTTTCTCCTCCGTTTATTGAATGCTTAACTTTATGCATTCTTAACTTTATGCGGATTGGGTTGCTATAATTTGAGGGATACTTGTGCTCTGTTTAAAGCTAAGAAAATATGTGTGGACATCTAAAATTCTCTTACAACTGAGACTGACAGCTTCACTCTTCCTCAATAGACCAATTTTGTTTTCCTGTTGGAAGCTAAGTGTCTTGGACAGGTTTGCCATTGATCACAAGTCTTCTGACAATTATGTTGAACTAAATCTTTTAGTGTACTATATAATAATTTTAAGCTGGAAATATTAATGATTTTCAAATGAGAATTGAGAATAATAAAAGGAAACCAGTATAAGCCACAATATTAAAAAACATATCTACAGAAAATGAACGGAAACTCTAGGGAAATTGTGCATCCTATAAAATCCTCATGTTACAGATTTATATCTACTTTATCCTGTAGTTACATAGAAAAGGACTTGTTTAAGAGCATAGAAAGTGTGCTTGCTTTTACAAATGCTGCTTGGTACATTCAATAATCATTCTGCCATCAACTCTAGGAAACAGAGAACGAATCACTTTTCTTTCACTTATTAACACCAATGTTAAAAAAAAGAAATTTAAACATCAAAAATTAAAAATACTCTTCCACACTCATCTCAAATTTTGTACATAGTAATTTATTTACTGGTTTCCTACTTATTTATTTTGCTCATACGAAACAATAACAGGTGTGGTGGCTCACGCCTGTAATTCCAGCACTTTGGGAGGCCGAGGTGGGCGGATCACCTGAGGTCAGGAGTTCAAGACCAGCCTGGTCAACATGGTGAAACCCTGTCTATACTAAAAATACAAAAACTTAGCTGGGTGTGGTGGTGCACACCTGTAATCCCAGCTACTCGGGAGGCTGAGGCAGGAGACTCACTTGAACCCAGGAGGCAGAGGTTGTTTTGAGCTGAGATTGTGCCACTGCACTCCAGCCTGGGTGACAGAGTGAGACTCAGTCTCAAAACAAAACAAAATAAAACAATAACAGAACCTGTACTGTGTTAACAGGAAAACTTAAGACAAACTAAGTCTAACAGTTTAATTGAGCAAAGGACAATTCATGAATCCGGCAGCCCTTAGAACCAGAATCAGCTGAGAGTGACTCTGGGGCTGCCACATGATTGGCCATGTGTGGACAGAAAAAGGAAAGTAATGTACACAAAACAGAAGTGAGGTGCAGAAACACTGGGTTCAATACAGCTTGGTTTTGCCTTATTTGAACATGGTTTGAACAGTTCGTCTCTGGTGATTGGCACAAGAGTAGGTTAAAGTCTGTTTACACATCCAGTTAGGATGCAGTTCACTATGCACAGAGAAACCTTTAGGCTGAAATTAAAACATGTAAAGAGGCAGCTTTAGGCTAAACTTAATAATTTCTCCACTTTTAGTCCACCTCTCAGTTTTGAGAGGTAGATCAAAACTTTAGTCATTGACATCACCCTGTCACCACGGTAAATAGACGTAGTGGTCTCGAATCCCTCTGGGAAATAGCAGAACAGTGGGTTTTGTAAGGAGGGAACAAGGAAACAATAAAGGAGGAAAAAACTAGTTACCTCAGGTGGCTTCTCTGTAAAGGTTAGAGCAGAGGGACCTCCTTGGTGTGCTGGAATCTCCTGTTTTCTGGAGAAAAATTAAACTGGTCTGTTTTAGGATCTGTCTACTTCTTTAAAGTTTCAGCTTAATTATGTTGCATTTCACATGCATGACTTCATTTTGGTTTGGTCTGATCTACTGGGACCTAGTGCATGAGCTCAGTCCAAAACAATGGCCTCCCATAATTTTGCTTAAAAATCCTCCCCTTTTGGTCAGGTTTTCACTGAAATGAGAGTGTGACCAAAACTTAGGGCCTTAGCACCACTCTCAGTTACCATCATTTTGGGTTTCCATCCAGCACTGTCATTCATAGGTTATGGTGCCCTCAAGGTCACACATTTCTGTGACCTATGATGCAGGTTAACAGGAGTGGATAGATGCTCTTCTTCTGACATTATGGAGCAACAAAGCTACCATTAAAATTCCTTACCCACATTGGCCCTTCATATTTCATCAGTCAAGGCATAAAGTTTCCAATGTATGTGGTTGGCTGCGAAATCCTCCACAAATAAAAGTATAAGCATGAGTGTACATAAGACCCATTTTTCAATTTTATTATTCAGAGAGACATAAGCAAAGAAAAAATTAAAAGAGGTAGCATCTCATCATGGCAGAGGAATCTTGATAAAAGATCCTGGGAAGGCTGTCCATATCTAGGATGCTGTTTACTTCTGGGGAGAAACTTCCCTGGTTAGTTTTAGTTTAAGGAATCCAATAAGTATATAGTTCCAAGAGTCTGGAGTGGCCCTTCTCAGCTGTGAGATAATGAACCCAAAATTTGAGGTTCCCAAGGTTTTGTGGCAGTGTAAGTGGCAAGGGCAGTCTTTCTTTGATGTCATTTCCAGAAGATCCAGTCTGCAGGTTCTAGATTTTGAATTGTTTGTCCTCAGTCAGGGAACCATGAACGACTTCCTATACCTGGTGGAAATACACTTTAGCATAATGCATTAAAGCCTCATATCCTTTAGCCATATGAGAGTTTTAAGCAGAAGATAAATGAGGTTCCATTAGTGGGGCAGAATCCTTTCAGTGACTGTTTCATAAGGGGTCAATGTATGTCTTCCACTGGAAGAGATTTGATTGTCATCAACCTGCACTCCCTTTGATCAAGGCAATCCAGCCTATTCATTTAGCTTTGCCTAATCTAGTTTATCAGTGATATCTTAATTGTTTTACAACTTGTCCAGTGAAATTAGTACCTCCATCACTGGAGATTTCTCCTGGAATGCCCCACAAAGGAAACACATTTCCTAATAACCTTTTAGCTACTGTGATAGCAGCAGCCTTCTGACATGGGGAAGCTTCTAAACAACCAGAAAACATATATTTAAAATGAATTTTGAATAAAATCCCTCTATAAATGTTTAAATGGCCTAACAGGTTGCAGAAATGTCCCTGAAGTTTTCACTGGATTTCCAGGATTATGGGTTTGACAAACCAGACATTGGTCACAACTACTTCAGCAACTAAGAACAGTCACCACCCACCAATATATCTATAGCTACATCGATGCAGATATATGTAATTTGGATTAGTTCATCTTTTCCATGATGAGTCATGGAGTGCAGAGCTTTTAATAATGGAAAGTTTAAAAACTCAGCAAGGACTGGGTAGCGGCCCAGGCTCTCCATTAGTCTATGCTTAACATTGAATTTATGTCCTCTTAAAGACAAATTTTGTTTCTCCAATTTAGGTGCTGTATTAGGCCTTGTTGCATTGCTATAAAGAAATGCCTGGGACTGGGTAATTTTTTTATAAAAGAGGTTCAATGGCTCACAGTTCTGCAGGCAGTACAGGAAGCATAGTGCCAGCATCTTATTCTGGGGAGGCCTCAGGAAGCTTACAGTCATGGCTGAAGGCAAGTGGGGGACAGGTGGTGGGAGAAGACCAGGAGGAGGGCGGTGTGCTACACACCTTTAAATGACCAGATCTCATGAGAACTCACTTGTTACGATGTGAACAGTACCATGACATGAGGGTCCACTCCCATGACCCAAATGCGTCCCACAGGGTCCCACCTCCAACATTGGGGATTACATTTCAACATGTGACTTCGGTGGGGACAAATATTCAAACTATATTATTCTGCCTCTGGGGCCCCTAAATCTTATGTCCTTCTCACATTGCAAAATAAAATCATGCCCTGCTAATAGTCCATTAAAGTCTTAACGTATTACAGCATTAATTCAAAAGTCTTAAGTCCCAAGTTCTAGTCCAAAGTCTCATCCAGAGATGAATCCCTTCCACCTATGAATGTGTAAAGTTAAACAAGTTATTTACTCTCAAGATACACAGGGGGTATAGACATTAACAAACATTCCCATTCCAAAATGGATAAATCAGCCAAAAAAGAGGGGCTACAGGCCCCATGCATGTTCTGAAACCCAGCAGGGCAGTCATTAAATCTTAAAGCTCCAAATTAATCTCCTTTGACTCCATGTCTCACATCCAGGGCATATTGGTGCAAGGAATGGGCTCCCAAGGCCATGGAAACCTCTGTCCCTTTGGCTTTGTATGGTTCGGCCCCTGCAGCTTCTCTCACAGCTTGTTGAGTGTCTGTGGCTTTTCCATGCACAGGATGCAAGTTGCTGGTGGATCTACCTTTCTGGGGTCTAGAGGGCAGTGGCCCCTCTTCCACAGCTCCACTAGTCAGTGCCCCAGTGAGGATTCTGTGTGGGGGCTCCAACCCCACATATCCCCTCTGCACTCCCCTAGGGGGGGTTCTCTGTGAAGCTCTGCCCCTGCAGCAGTCTTCTTCCTGGACACCCATGCTTTTATATACATCCTTTGAAATCTAGGCTGAGAATGCCAAGCCTGATTTACTCTTGCACTCTGTGCACTCACATGCTGAACACCACGTGGAAGCTTCCAAGGCTTAGAGCTTGTTCCATCTGAAGATGAGAACTGAGCTGTATCTGGGCCCCTTTAAGCTGAGGCTGGAGCTGGAGTGGCTGGGATATGAGGAGCAGCTTCCTGTGCTGATGCATGGCAGTGGTTTCCTGGGCCTGGACCTTGAAACCAATCAGTCATCCTAGTTCTCAGGGCCTGTGATAGGAGGGGCTGCCTGAGAGATCTCTAAAATGTCACAGAGGCCTTTACTCCATTGTCTTGGCTCCTTTTTAGTTATGCAAATATATCTAGCAAGTGGTTGCCCCATAGCTTGCTTGAATTCCTCTCTTAATGAAGCTTTTTTTTTTCTCTGACACATGATCAGGCTACAAATTTTCCAAATATTTATACTCTGCTTCCATTTTATTTTTGTTTTTATTTATTTATTATTTTTTTTTGAGACAGAGTCTTGCTCTGTCGCCCAGGCTGGAGTGCAGTGGCATGATCTCGGCTCACTGCAAGCTCCTCCTCTCAGGTTCATGCCATTCTCCTGCCTCAGCTTCCTGAGCAGCTGGGACTACAGGTGCCTGCCACCAAGCCCAGCTAATTTTTTTGTATTTTTAGTAGAGACAGGGTTTCACCATGCTAGCCAGGATAGTTTTGATCTCCTGACCTCATGATCCACCAGCCTCGGCCTCCCAAAGTGCTGGGATTACAGGCATGAGCCACCGCACCTGGCTGCTCTGCTTCCATTTTAAATGTAAGTTTCAGCTTCAGGTCATTTCTTTGTTTCTGCATAGGCGTAGGCTGTAGAAGGCATAGCCTGTTCTGAGTGTAGGCTATTAGAAGCAGTCAGGCCATATCTTGAATGCTTTGCTGCTTAGAAATTTCCTCCACCAGATACCCTAGGTCATCACTCTCAAGTTCAAACTTCCACAGATCCTTGAGCATGAACAGAATGTAGCCAGGTTCTTTGCTAGAGAATAACAAGGGTGATCCCTGCTCTAGTTCACAATACGTTCCTCATTTCCATCTGAGGCCTTGTCAGACTGGCCTTCATTGTCCATATCACTGTCAGCATTTTGATCACAACAATTTAGCCAGTCTCTAAGAAATTTCTGTCTGTCATCTTCCTGTCTCCTTCTGAGCACTCCAAACTCTTCCAATTTCTTCCAGTTCCAAAGCTCCTTCCACGTTTTCAGGTATCTTTATAAGCAACGCCCCACTCCTCAGCACCAATTTTCTGTGTTAGGCACTTCTTGCATTGCTAAAGAAATATGTGAGACTGGGTGATTTATAAGAAAAGAAGTTTAATTGGCTCATGGTTCTTCAGGCTGTATAGGAAGTATAACACCAGCATCTGCTTCTGGGGTGGCCTCAGAAAGTTTACCATCATGGTAGAAGGCTTTGGGGGAGCAGGGGTTTCACATGGTGGGAGCAGGAGCAAGGGGTGGGGGAGGTGCTACACACTTAAATGACCAGATCTCGTGAGACTCACTATGGTGAGGACAGCACCAAGCCATGAAGGATCTGCCCCCGTGACCCAAACACCTCCCACAAGGCCCCACCTCCAACACTGGCAATTAGATTTCAACATGAGATTTGGGCAGGGACAAATATACAAACTGTATCAGGTGCATAGCACTGTTTATTAAATGAGTTGTCTTAGGTAATTCGACTTGGACCATGGAACTCATTCAAATTGCATATCTTAACAATTTCAGTACTGGCTGATTTAGCATAAAAATCTAGCAAACTATTTCCTTGGTATTTAATTACTTTTTGTCCTGCTTGGGTTAACAGTTTTATAAACCAGTGACTCTCTTCACTAGAGTTCTGGGAATTAGAAATTCTTACTCAGTCTAAGCAATATGATTCTAAAGTAAGTGATCAGAAACTTGTATTCAAGAGTGCTTGTTAACATCCTTTCCATCCTTTCCATGAATCCCTTTGAATCTTACTTGCTTCTAAAGACCTTTCAGAAAATGCCTTGGAATTAAGCAATCAACTGTGAACAAGACTTAATATGGTCATGGTCAAAAATGCAGTTGACAGGAAAATCTGGTTATTTCTGTGGCCTGTAATAATTTAACATAATAACCATAATTGTGACTAATAATATCTATACAACATATCAGAATTTTAGGAATCTCCTATAATTTGGAACACATATTAAAAACATATCCATAAAAAATATAATTTTTTGTGTGTATTGATCTGGTGTCCTAAAACCTTGCTAAACTCATTATTTTCAGTAGGCTTTTTTGGATAGGTTATTAGATTTTCTACATGGATGATCATGTTGTCTTCAAATAAAGGGACAGTTTTACTTCTACCTTTCCAGCCTGGATATTCTTTATTTCTTGCCTGTTTCACTGGCTAAAACTTCCAGCATGATATTGAATAGAACTGATAGGAGCAGACATTTATGTATTGTTCTGCACTTAGAATTCAGACTTTTATTACTAAATATTATATTAGATATAAGATTTTTATAGGTTCCCCTTTTCATGTTGAGAAAGTTCCCTATATTTTTGGTTTCTCTCTTGCATTCGTTTCTTTCTACCTGATAGACTTTCTTTGAGTGCAAGTCTGCTGGTGTTGAATCCTTTCCACTTTTGCATGTCTGAAAATGTCTATGATTTACTTTTGTTTTTGAAAAATATTTTTGCTGGGTGTAGAATTCTAGGCTGAAATGTTTAAAAAAAAACTCAGTACTTTAAAGATGGGACTCTATTGTCTTCTTATTTACTTTGATTGTTTCTTAGAGAAAAGTCTTGTCTTAGCTTTGTTCTTTTGTACAGAATGCATTTTTTCCTCTGATTCCTTTTAAGATTTTCTCTTTACCACTCATTTTAGACAATTCAATTATTATGTACGTTGATGTAGTTTTCTTAATTTTACTTATGATTAGGGTCGATTTGGCTTCATCAATATGTTACATCATCATGCTCAAATTGTGGACATTTTTTGCATTATTGTTTTCTTGTCCCCTTTCCTTTGAAACTTCAATTATATGTATATGTCTGCTTGAAATTATCCTGTAGCTTGTTAATGCTCTGTTTATTTTTCTTAAATGCTTTGTTCTCCCTGTGTTTTCTTATGGATAGTGGCTGTTGCTAGGTTTCTAAGTTCACTAAACTTTCTGCAAAGTCTAATCTACACACATGTATTTTTCATCTCACACATTAGAAGTTCTATTTGGGTGTATGTTATATCTTCAATGTATGTACTTAACCTTTTAAACACATGAAATACAGTTATAAAAACTGTTTTAATGTCATTTTATGCTAATTCTAAAATCTGTGTTAATTCTGGGGCAGTTTCACTGGACTGAATTTTCTTCTCATTTTACATTCTACATTCCAACATCATTGCACACTTGGTAATCTATGATTAGAAAACAAGATATTGTGAGTTTTGTGTTGTGGAATGCTGGATTTTTTAACCTCTCTATACATATTCTTGAATTTTATTTTAGGGTTCATCTAAACTACTTAAAAACAGTTTAATCCTTTCAGGTCTTGCTTTTAAGATTCATGAGGTGGAATGAGTGCAGCATGTAGTTTCGGGCCAATTATTCCTCACGATAGGCAAGAGCTTTCCAAGTACTTTCCTCAATCCTTTGAAACATAAAGCTTTTCACTCAAGCCAGTGGGGCAGGCACATCTGCAGGTGCTGTATGAGCATGGGGCACCCTCTCCCGCAGGGTGTGGTTTCCGCACAGGAATGCCCCGATGCTTCAGATCTCTGCGATTCTCTCTGCTCAGCTCTGTCTTCTAAAGACCTCTCTCCTGTGAGTCCTCACTTCTCCGTCTCCCCAGGCTCTCACTTTTGTCAGCTCAGTGCAGGGAGCCCGCTGGGATTTCCCTGCCGCCTTCCTGCTCTGGGGCCTGGAGACAATCTCCAGCAGTCAGTTGGGTGATCACAGAGCCCAGCTCACTTATTCCTCACGTTATGGCTTCACTCCCATTAATTGTTGATATCTAGTATCTGGAAATTTGTTTCTTTACATATTTTGTTTAATATATTTTATACAGTCTTTTTTTGGGGTGGGGGGGCTTCAGGTGGAAGGGCAAATCTCATTGCTGCTACTTAACCTTCTCTGGATGTAAAAGAGTCCCTCCTATTTGTTGGTTTTTCTATTAGTGATTGGCCTTTGTGGAAGAATGATAATTTTTCAGGCACTATCTTGTGGGTAAAGAAGAAATAGTTCTAAAAAGCGAGAATAAAAGGACAAAATATTTTTGGTACATGTTTTTCTAGTCCACTCTGGACTCAAAGGAGTTGGAATATATACCCAAGTGGCTTCACTATATGTTCTACCTCTTAGGAATTGCCCAGCGGTGACTATTTTTATCCCAGCCTGGAAATATGGGATGGAATTTTGCATGATTTAAGAGGAACAAATCTATTAAGAAAATTATTTTTTCTGCCTTATACAGTGTTATAAAGTTGAATGAGCTAATGATTATAAAGCACTTTGAAAGTCGTTGAGTTGAACTCTGTAAAATATTTGGAGATTTATCCTGGGCCAAATATGAGTGAGCACGGCCTGTGACACAGCCCTCAGGAGGTCCTGAGAACATGTGCCCAAGGTGGTCGGTGTGCATCTTAGAGAGGCATGAGACATCAATCAGATACATTTAAGAAATACATTGGATAGGTCCAGAAAGGCAGGACAACTCAAAGCCAGGGCTTCCAGACTACAGGTGAATTTAAACATTTTCTGGTTGACAATTGGTTGAGTTTGTCTAAAGACCTGGTATAGAAAGGGAATGTTCAGGTTAAGAGAAAGATTGTGGAGACCAAAATTCTTTTGAAGTCTTATAGTGACTGCCCTTAGAGACAATAGGTGACAAATGTTTCCTATTCAGATCTTAGTTAATCTCTTTAGAATTGGGAGGGTCTGGAAGAAAAATATGCAGCTATGTTAATAGAGATTCTTTACAGATGCAAATTTTCCCCCACAAAGAACAGCTTTGCAGGGCCATTTCAGAATATGACAAAGAAACATGATTTGGGGTAAAATGTTTTGATTTTCTTCTTTGTCTCATAATGTTATGCCAGAGTCAGGTTGGAAAGTAAAACTCATCAGAGGGCATGACTCCCCAGTCCCCTTAGGAATTCGGGCAAGATAAAACATCAGAGTTTAGTCTTCAGTGTCTTGTACAGACAAGTCTAATGAAAGTGAGATGTGGGCTGGTAAAGGCAGATAACATTTTATTATTTGATTTACACATTAACCTGCGTTGTTCTATAATTTCCTATAAGACCTTGGCACATCATTCTGAGGAAGAGACTCTGGACTGCTTCTGGGACAGCACAGATAAAACAGGGTTTAGACATACTAAATCTCTTGTCTCAGGGCCCATGGCCTGCAATGTTTGAATGAGGAACTGACTCATAGATTTTGCTTCCAATTTCATCTCTCTTACAACCACAGCAGTTTCCAAATTTTAACTTCTTTTCTAAGTTCAGCTACTTATTCTGGTATTCCTCTGTTGCTGTCAACTCCCACACCACGAGCAGAAGGCTGTTTCCAACTTCTGCTCCAGCTGACATTCTCTCATCCAGCTTACTTCCCACTTATTATAGTAAACAGGGTCCAGAGCCCCACCTGCCTCCGTCATTGCAAAACAACTGAGCTGGAACATGCATGAGCAAATCTTGGAATTCACTTATTTTGTTAAATTTTATCTCTACTTTTATAGCAGGCAATGAAATGAACTTTACTCTTGGCCATGACAGCAACAAGGGCGCATGGCTCCATGCAGGGTCTCGGCAATGACAGCAACAAGGGTGCATGGCTCCATGCGGGGTCCGTATCCCACAGCCCATCTCTTCCACCCTTGGTTCCTGCACCAGCAGTTCTTAGCCCCTGGTTTGAGGAGTGGAGCCCGGACTTGCAGTGAGAAAGGCAGCAAGATTCTGGCCTTCCAGGCTCATTTTGCAGAGGGTATTCAAAATCCCTGGGCTTCTGTGATTTATCTGCTGTTAATGATCTACTGTACAGGGCAGATGCAAAGACCAGAATAAGAATGTCATGGGAAAACTCATTGCTGGTACTTAATGCCAGGCACTGTTCTAGGCCCTGGAAGAAAAGAGACTAAAAATTTATGTTCTCATGGAGCTTTTGTTCTAGCGCAGCAGTTCTTTATAAACTCCAAAGTTCCAGGTAACTATAGGCAGTAACATTTAATCCAGTTAGAGCCATGGGCCTCCCTGTAGTATAACTGAAATCCATAGACCTTCTCCCCAGAAAAACATCCACATATCCACACCTATATTTTCATTTAATCTGAGCAGTTTTAGTTGTTCAAACATTGATTCTACCCTAAAAGCCTCTCCGCATCTAACTGCTCTTCTAAATGAGTGAAATAAAATACTTGACGATCAGAGAAATTTCCATCTTTTCCATTTTTCATATCTTCAAAAATTAGAAGCACACCAAAATGCATGTGATAGGAAGCACTTTCAGGATCAAAGATTTAAACTAAATGGGTTCCTTTTAAACCCCTCCTGCTATGGCTTATTTTTTATCCCCCCTCCCTTCCCTGAAGCTTTAAGGCAGTTGCTGGAGGAGTGAGTGTGTTCTTAATAAGTGTCATTGCATGGCTCATGGCTGACCTGTGCTCACTGGGAAACTCCACTCAACAGAGGCCATCCATTTGCTTTCTCTTCTTTTGGGGCTTTTAATTTTTGCTCATGTAAGATGTGAAGGTTAATTTTATGTGTCAACTTGACTGGGCCATGGGGTGCCCAGATATTTGGTTGAATGCTACTTCTGGGGTATCTGTGAGGATGCTCTGAATGAGATGAACCTTCGAATTGGAACACTGAGTAGAGCAGATGGTCGTCCCCAGTGTGGGTGGGCCTTGTCCCATCAGCTGAAGGCCTGAACAGAACAAAAAGGCTGACCCTCCTCCAAATAAGAGAACTCCTGCCTGATTGCCTTTGAGCTGAGACATCAGGCTTTTTCCTTCTTTGGGGCTGGAATCAAAGTATTGGTTCCTCCTGGGTATTGAGCCTGTCAGCCTCCAGACAAGAACGACACCACCAGCTAACCTGGGTCAACAGTTTGCTGACTGCAGATCTTAGGGTCTTGTCAGCCTCCCTAATTACGTGATCTGATTCTTCATACTAGATCTCTTTCTCTCTCTCTCTCTACACACACACACACACACACACACACACACACACACACTCTATTGGTTCTGTTTCTCTGGAGAGCCCTGGGTAATACACAGTTTGCCAAGCACTTTTCAAAACCGTCCAAAACTGAGTAGAAAATGAAGGACCTGAGGCCTCTTTATGAGGTCATACACTTTAGGGAATCTTGCAAAATTTGGCCTTATCACTAACTTACAATGACACTGAAAAGAAAGATACTCTAAACTCTTTCCATGATGGCCTTTTGCAAAAGGTTAAGCTTGCTCAATATTGGGAGTCATATTTACATCTCTCATGCTAGCTAGGGTATTTTATAATCACTGAAATTCTTCTGCCCTTTTTGACTAAATAATAAATTCCACAATAATAAGGCACGCACATGCACACAGCAAGTGAGTGGTGAGCACAGAGGCGATGGCTGAGCATCCTCAACTTGGTCTCCATGCTCAAATTCCTGCCTAATTACAAAAATATTGTGCAAATGTCAGTCACATGAATCTGTTTGTGAAAACGCCACGGCCATGTGTGCATCCTCCCAGGACACCACACAGAGAGTGACTCAGGACCAACATGTTTCCCTGCAGAAGACGAATATAGAGAAAACACCCCTGAAGTTAAGCAAATGAGGACAGAATCCTGCTGAAACGTGACATGAATGTTCATGCTTCTTAATCACATATGATGACAGGAAATAGGTCCGACTGTGTCTAAAACAGCCATCCCCATTCCTAGATCTGGTTGGTGTGGCAGAACCTGGTTTTTTCTATATTATGACTAATAGGATGACAGCCTTTAGGATTTGTAAACAATAAAAGTACCAGGAATCTCTATCAAGTTAGACAACATGAATGCATGCAAGTGGATCCTTGTTGAAGACATGACGAAAACCCTTTCTTCTCACTGAACGAGGCTGCTGCTCTGCAGGTTCAATAGCCGATGAGACCTTATGAGTGTTAGCAGAGACCGCCCAGCCCGGGTTCTGCATGGAAAAGAGATGGCTGCAGCCACCCCCAGAGGATCTCTCAACTGACCCCTGTGTATGGGAGTGACAGCACACCCCCTGCCCCACCCCTGGGGGCCCTGGGACACACAAGCTCCCACACTGGAGAGAAGCGTATTGGCTTGTTCATAAGAGGAAGAGGTTGCTCCCTTACTAACAACAGGCACAGGATCCAGTCACGGGAAATGCCCTTAATCTCTCGTCACTCTGGCTTATTCTTCCATCCCTGTGTTCCCTGTATTCTCCCAATTCAAGAACCTTCTAGAAATGGGGACACCCTAAGCCCAGCCCTCCCCTTCTGCATGGGTCCCTCCTGACAAGGCCGGACGTAGGTTTTCAGCCCAGCCCCAGCATCTCCTGGTCCTGGGGCAATGCTTCTGCACACCCACAACTCCATGCATGAGCCCACCTTGGATTTTCTCTCTTAAACTTGGCATCCTCACTAAGCCTGGACCCTTTTAGAACCTGTGCTGGCTCCTGCAAGGCCCTGGCCCCCAGCCAGGCCTGTTTCTCACTCCCTTCGTCAGAGGAGCAGGATTGGATTCCTGGTCTCTCCCCAGATGTTGCTGCCAGGGCCCAGGTGACCTCAAGATTGTACTGTGGCCCCAGTGTCCTCCACTGCACAGTAGCCGTGCAGAATTAAAGAACCTGACACCAGGGTTTGCCTCCAGGAAACCTGTGTGCATTGGAGCCGGGTTGCCATGGGGCATGGGCACCTGCCTTTCTGTCTCTATGGCCAGGCCAGTGTCTCCAGCTTCATCTGTTCAGTTTCAGCTGCTCCTCCCCTCCCTCTCCTCCTGGTCTCCTCCTTGTTCTGTGGCCTGTTTAGCTGAGGCCTTGTGTGTGGCCCCTGAGCCCACACTGTTAAGAGGCAACATCACAGAGTGACCACGGCTCAGAGACAGGAGGTGGGGAGCCGGGAGAGGCCCAGGTGGCGGAGAGACACTGCCCGGTGCCTTATGAGAACTCAGTCCTTGCCGAGGGCGCTGGCTGCTCCCCTGCTTCCCAAAGACGAGCTCATCTTGAGAATCGCTCCCCTGTCCCTGCTGCTTTTCAACCCACTATCTGCACTTGCGGGGCCACAGGCACCTGTCTGGGTTCCAAGACTCTTCCTTTGGGTGCCTTCACACTCTGCCCTAAATGCCATCCCAAGCCAGGATTAGCACCTCCCCTCAGACGGGGGCTAATGCTATGTGTGTGGGCGCTGCACCTAAAGCTCTGATTCCTGCCACTTCATAGATGGGGGTTTCCCTGCACTTCCTTCCTCAAGTGCTTCCTCCACCTCTAGCTGGATCCTCTCCCAGAGCCTGATCCACCCTCGTGGCACTGATGTCTGCTTCTGTGGATGTTGCTATCAGTCAGCCCATCCTAATTGCAAAGCTCAGTCCATCCTAATTGCAAAGCTCAGCTCATCCTAATTGCAAAGCTGTTCCCCTCCCACCCTGCCTTTGTGCCAGCTTCAGGAGGAGGAGGGCACATCAAGGGACCCCGACACCCTCAGGGAATGCACTGGGGGATCTCAGGGATGCATTTGAAAAAGGGCTTCTATCCCTCCTGTTTCTCCGCGGTCCATGCTGTGTTTTCCGTGGCATGCTGGGCCCTCAACCTGGCACCTTCACTAGTATTTCCAAGAACTCCGAGTATCCCAGTGATGTTTGGGGACAGGCACAGAGCTGATGCAGGCCCAGCAGATGCCAGCGGGCTCTGCTGCCCTTGGCCTGAGCACATTACTTAGCTTCTTTGATTCTCAGTCTCTGTAAAATGCGGCCAATGATGCTCACTGCTTGTGAGGATCAGAGGAGATGCATTGAACGGAAGGCCCAGACTTGGCGGGCATTTATCCCTGTGGATGGCGTCTATCCCTGTGGATGGCATCAATCCCTGTGGATACGAAAAGTAGGTCCAGACCTACCCCTTCTCTTTTTGCTGTCAGGGACTCACTCACCAGTAGTCTGGGGTACCCACCTGCATCCACCTCTCAGCCTCCATTTGGGTACCTTGGATCTGCCTCTGATGTTTCTCTTTCCTCTGAGCACCGACTGCTTCCAGCATGCAGAGAGGCCTGGACCTGTGCTCCTGTGCCCATCCCTGTGAAACAACTCAGTGTCCACAGCACAGGACCAGGCCCTCTGCTTCCTCCGCCATCCTCAGAGCCCCTGCCCTGCTCTCTCCCACCATGCTGAGCAGCTGCTTTCTGGGGCCCACCAGGAGTGGGGATTCTGAACCTGTGACAGTGAAAGCTCTGCAGAGCCAGCGACACTCACAGATTTCCGGTGGCAGAAGCCGTCCTTCTCAATTCCGGAAAGTAGGAGCTCAGCTCTGTTCCTTAGATTTGAGATTGATGTCTCAGATAAAGAACTCTGTAAGAAGCAGCCTCAAAACTCATCATTGCACTGGATTCTCCCTCCACAAAAGCAGGGTGCTGTGTGCTACGTTCACAGCCGGCACCTGCTCAGGGTGCTGTGTGCTAGGTTCACAGCCAGCACCTGCTCTGGGTGCTGTGTGCTACATTCGCAGCCGGCGCCCGCTCTGGGTGCTGTGTGCTACGTTCGCAGCCGGCGTCTGCTCAGGGTGCTGTGTGCTACGTTCACAGCCGGTGCCTGCTCAGGGTTCTGTGTGCTACGTTTGCAGCCGGCACCTGCTCAGGGTGCTGAGTGCTATGTTCACAGCTAGTTCATGATCATTGACTAGCAGAGTCCTCGGTTTATGGTATTTAGTAAGTTTATGATTGACTTAACAAATGAACAAAGATATTAGTTCATTCATTTCTGTGTGAAAACCAGAGTTTCTTCTCCTCTGATGGCATGTGGTGAGCACCAGTCAGATTCTGGTCAGACCAGCTTGGCTACTTTCCATCTCTCTCAGCTAAACACCAACACCCGGGCTCACAGCCAAGAGCGGGCCCATCCGCCAAGAGACTCATGCCCTCAGCCAGTGTCCATCACTGGCTCTGTGCTGCACTCTGCTCTGTGTGGGGGATGCAGAGCAACCGAGAGAGGAAGGTTGGGTGCTGGTCCCAAGATTCTCTTCTAGAGGAGCTCATGCTGGTGGGCAAGAAGCCGGATGTGCGTGGTAAATGGTCAGCAAGCTGACCTCAGAGACAGCCAGCTGACCTCAGAGACAGCCAGCTGACAGATGCTAAGGAAAAAGTGAAATGACCCAGAAAGGGACTGGGATGCAGGGTGGGGGTTTTGGGGCCAGTGGTCAGAGAAGACCCTTGGAGGAGGGTTTGGGCCTGGGGTCTGGGTGACTAAAGACCCAGCCTCTGAGGATGTGATGGGAGAAGGACAGAGAGCTCAAGGACGGCATCTGAGGCACAGAAGGGCAGCTGGGAGGGAGGGGAAGCTTGGAAGGGGCAGGGCCAGACTATGGGAGGAAGCTGTGAGAGTCAGCTCTTACTAAGTGCACTGGAAGGTCCCTGGGGGATTTTTCCAGTGGGGTCTCCGTCACAGATGTCCCTGTGGTTGCTGTGTGGGGAGGGGCTGTTCGGAGGGTGGGTGCAGGGATGGAGGATTGGGATGCCTGGCACTAGTGAGCCACTGACCTCTCTCTGCTGTTAGGCTGGGATCTGTTCTGAGCACTCTGTGGGATGTGGCCTCAGCTCCCTAGGAGAGGGCCCCAGGCTTGTCCCCATTTTATTATGATTGTGCTGGTCAGAAGGTGGCTAGGTGGCTTCCTGGGGACCCTGAGTGAGGATGTCCGCTGACCACTCCCATGGCCAGGATCCAGAGGGAGAAGATGGTGGAACCCTGGGTTTGCAGTAGTGGCTGCGGGTGCAGGAGGCTCGGAGGGGCCTGGTGGAGCCCTGGATTTGCAGTAGTGGCCGCGGGTGCAGGAGGCTCGGAGGGGGCCTGGTGGAACCCTGGGTTTGCAGTAGTGGCCGCGGGTGCAGGAGGCTCGGAGGGGCCTGGTGGAGCCCTGGATTTGCAGTAGTGGCCGCGGGTGCAGGAGGCTCGGAGGGGGCCTGGTGGAACCCTGGGTTTGCAGTAGTGGCCGCGGGTGCAGGAGGCTCGGAGGGGCCTGGTGGAACCCTGGGTTTGCAGTAGTGGCCGCGGGTGCAGGAGGCTCGGAGGGGCCTGGTGGAACCCTGGGTTTGCAGTAGTGGCCGCGGGGGCAGGAGGCTCGGAGGGGGCCTGGTGGAACCCTGGGTTTGCAGTAGTGGCCACGAGTGCAGGAGGTACGGAGGGGGCCTGGGCCAGGGCTGCGCTCTTGGGACTTGCAGATGGATTGGACCCCAGTTCCAGGGAGGGATAAGAATCAGAGGTGACGCAGAGGTCTTGCCTTGTGGAGCCTAGTGATCAGGACACTTGCTGGTTTGGGGGAGGTTGGGATGGGGTGGCCTCTGTTCCTGGGGAGCGGGGAGGAGTTTTACATCCGATGGGCGTATTTCAGTGGAAGCCAGATGGATGAGTCTAAAGCCTGGGCAATCCTTCGTTAGACATGATGTTTAAATCCATGGGCAGGAGACAGGTGAGGCCACTGGAAAGAGGGAGGTGGGGAGGGGCAGACAGAGCCCCCAGGGCATGGACCTCTGGCTGGAGCTGAACCACAGGTGTGGTGAGGGAGAGGGCTCCTTTCTGCCCCAGAAACTCCTGTCCCTGAACCATTTCCGTTGTCAGGTTGTGCATGGACTGCGTCAGAAACAGCAAATCCTGGTGTGGCTCTGTTCCTTTCACAGTGACGCAGGGGGGTTGAAAAGCAACTGGACACATTGAATGTGCAGAGGCCTGAGCTGAAGAAAAGAGCATGGGCTGGGGACCAGGGCCAGGCACACTCGTCACAGCCCTTCTGACTCAGAGGTTTTTATATCACCTCCCCTTGCTCTTCTCTCTGGCCTGAATCTGCTTCCTAAGCACCCCAAGGTGATCTGGGGATACTTGCCGGATGGGCGCTGCTTGGAGCAAGAGGCCTAGCTTTCAGCCTGTCTCAGCTTTTGATATGCCTTCCTCACTAAGCTTAATTAGTTCTAGCTTTTGATTTGCAGTGAGAAATCAAAACTCTCCCTTTCACTTGAACTCTTAGAGGCCATTGTAGGTTATTAATTGGCTTAATTTCAATATTGTTGCATCTCAGGGAAGAGGGAGGCCGGAAGAGAGGGAGAGAGATGGAACGGCCTTCGGTGGGGAAGTGAGAGCACACACAATCCTCATCGATTTTGTTCGCCATCTTACATGGGTGCAATTGTTGATGGCCCCAAACAATTAAGGTAGTTAACACTGAAGGCCACTGATCACAGGTCACCAGCACAGACAGAATAATAATAAAAAATGTGAAATAGCATAAGAATTACAAAGCATGACACAGAGCCATGAAGTGAGCACTTGTTGTTGGAGAAATGGCACCTGCAGACTTGCTACAGACCTTCAGTTTGTAAAGATGCAGTATCTGTGCAGATGCATTTCCTGAAACTTCCATTATTCCAGAAGTTTCTAAAGTGGTCGTGCAGTCCCAAAGATCCCCCGTTACAGTGGGAGTCCCTAAAAGAGATAGAACACTCTGAGCCCTGTGATTAGAGACAGACTCTGAGTCCAGGGAGCAGATGCCTGCGGTGCTGATAACGTAGGGAGGAGGGAAGGCAGACAGAGGACAGCGATTTGAGAATGGCATGAGAAGGACCGTGAGCTCTGTGCGCAGTCCTGGCCATGAGCATTCCCGTCAGTGACCAGTGCCACAGAGGGGACAGCCAGCAAACTCGCATCTGTGGCAGTCTTGGAGGCAAGGTCAATGTGTGTGATGAAGGGGCAAAAGGTCTCAGCAGGTGGAAAAGGCAGCCCAAGCTAGTCATCCAAATGGCCCATGCAGAACAGGAGGAAGGCAAGCTGGGCCAGATCAAAGTCTCCACAATCTGGAAACCAAACTCCCCAAATGGAGGGCAGGTGAATGTAGGGGCTGAGAGGCAAAGAGGGGAAGTGAGGGAGACATTCAGTGTCTGAAACACCGGCACTTCCAGTCCAGCAGGGAAACAGGCATGACCCAGGAAATAAGGGGCTCTTGGGATAGGGAGGATGAATTGGGTGTCCAGGCAGCTCAGTGCAAGAGGATGAAGTGACACACATCCACCTGCTCAAGCATGACCTTCACTCCAGGCATGACCTCCACTCCAGGGATGTCCTCCCTCCACTCCAGGGATGACCTCCACTCCAGGGATGACCTCCCTCCACTCCAGGCATGACCTCCACTCCAGGGATGACCTCCCTCCACTCCAGGGATGACCTCCCTCCACTCCAGGCATGACCTCCACTCCAGGGATTACCTCCCTCCACTCCAGAGATGACCTCCCTCCACTCCAGGGATGACCTCCACTCCAGGGGTGACCTCCCTCCACTCCAGGCATGACCTCCACTCCAGGGATGACCTTCCTCCACTCCAGGGGTGACCTTCCTCCACTCCAGGCATGACCTCCACTCCAGGGATGACCTCCCTCCACTCTAGGGATGACCTCCCTCCACTCTAGGGATGACCTCCACTCCACTCCAGGCATGACCTCCACTCCAGGGATGACCTCCCTCCACTCTAGGGATGACCTCCACTCCACTCCAGGGATGACTTCCACTCCAGGGATGATCTCCCTCCACTCCAGGGATGTCCTCTGCTCCAGGGATGACCTCCACTCCAGGGATGACTTCCACTCCAGGGATGATCTCCCTCCACTCCAGGGATGTCCTCTGCTCCAGGGATGACCTCCACTCCAGGGATGACCTCTCTCCACTCCAGGCATGACCTCCCACCACTCCAGGCATGACCTCCACTCCAGGCATGGCCTCCCTCCACTCCAGGGATGACCTCCACTCCAGGGCAGGGGATAGGGGGAGGGGGCTTGGGCTATGCCCACAGGAAGCCTGGGCCATGAACGCAGCCCCTGGGCCTCCTGATGTGGAGCGCATGGGCTCAGGTCCACGCTGGGTTTACAAGGGGAGTGATGGCTGGGCAGGTGAAGAAGGGGGCCACACAAATGTCCGAGAAGGCCCTGCCACGTGCCTTGGAATGTTTGCACAACACCTGGGAAAGGGAATCTGTGGTGTCCGGGACATAATTAGAATTTATGCACAACAGAAATGAGCAGAAGATTCCTGCTCACCCCTTACGGTTACCTGTGAGGTAGGGGGCTCCAGTCACACAAGACACAGAGCATCAGCTGATGACCACAGTTCCATGAGGCTTAGTGGGAATTCAATTAGGCAGCAGGCCAGGCTACATAGGAGCCCCAAAGGGCAGGGACCTGTTTATGCCTCATGTGTACTGTGCTGTTTGCAGTGTCTGGGATGTGTTAGGTGCCACAGATGCTCAATGAGTAATTTTTGAATAAATGGATGAGCAAATGGAGCCTCAAACAAATCGACAAAGTAGCCCCCATTCCTTTTCCTGTGTATGCTCCAAGTCAGTGCAGCTTGGGTGGAATCAAAGCCAGAGGGACTGGCCTCAGCCCTGGCCCTGGGAATTCTGGGCCCCTCTCCAGGGAAGGATCCTGGTCCCGAGGACCCAAGGGTCGACAAGGCGAGGCCAGAGCCAGGACCTTTGATTTCTCCTCTGTAGAATGAGTGTGACAACAAACCCACCCCAGGGTGGTGGCCAGGATAACAGTGCCCTGCTGAGTTACAGTCACTAAAGTCTTGCTACTCCAAGCGTGATCTTGGAGCAGGGGAGCTTGTTCAAAACCCACCATCAGATTCCCCAACCCCACACCTACTGAGTCGGAATCTGCCTTTGGGCCAGGCCCAGTGTCCTGTGTGCGCATTCCAGGTGGAGAAGCCGTGCAGGGGAAGTCTGTCTGCTTGTTCTTTTGATAATTTTAACAAGCTCCAAGCAGCGCCCATCCGGCAAGTATCCCCAGATCACCTTGGGGTGCTTAGAAAGCAGGTTCAGGCCAGAGAGAAGAGCAAGGGGAGGTGATATAAAAACCTCTGAGTCAGAAGGGCTGTGACGAGTGTGCCTGGCCCTGGTCCCCAGCCCGTGCTCTTTTCTTCAGCTCAGGCCTCTGCACATTCAATGTGTCCAGTTGCTTTTCAACCCCCCTGCGTCACTGTGAAAGGAACAGAGCCACACCAGGATTTGCTGTTTCTGACGCAGTCCATGCACAACCTGACAACGGAAACCACGGTTCAGGGACAGGAGTTTCTGGGGCAGAAGGGAGCCCTCTCCCTCACCACACCTGTGGTTCAGCTCCAGCCAGAGGTCCATGCCCTAAGGCTCTGTCTGCCCCTTCCTGCCTTCCTCTTTCCAGTGGCCTCACCTGTCTCCTGCCCATGGATTTAAACATCATCTCTAATGAAGGATCGCCCAGGCTTTAGACTCATCCATCCGGCTTCCACTGAAATATGCCCATCGGATATAATACACTCCATTGATAAGAAAGCAGAACAGCCTTATTGCTGATTGATAGGGAGAAAGTTTGAGTGTCCTGGAGAGAAAATCAAACCAGCCACAACATTCTCTGAGGCCAAAGCCTAATCTAAGCAAAGCTCTAACTCTCTTCAATTCTGTGAAGTCTGAGAGAGATGAGGAAGCTGCAGAAGAAAAGTTCGAAGCTGGCAGAGATTGGTTCATGAAGTTTAGGGAAGAAGCCATCTCTGTAAGACAAAAATGCAAGGTGAAGCAGCAAGTGCTGATGGAGAAGCTGCAGCAAGTGACCCAAAAGATCTAACTAAAATCATTGTGGAGGTGGCTACACTCAACAGCTGATTTTCAATGAAGACGAAACAGCCTTGCATTAGAAGAGGCCATCTCCAACTGTCATAGCTACAGAGGAGAAGTCAATGCCTGGCTTCAAAAATTCAAAGGCCAGGCTGTCTCTTTTATTAGAGGCTAATGCAGCCGGTGACTTCAAGTTGAAGCCTGTGCTTATTTACCAATCTGAAAATCTTTAGCCCTTAAGAGCTATGCTAAAGGTATTATTCTTATGCTCTTTAAATGGAACAACAAAGTCTAGATGACAGCAAATCTGTTCTCAGCATGGCTGACTAAATATTTCAAACCCACTGTTGAGACCTACTGCTCAAAAAATGATCTATTTTAGAATATTACTGCTCTTGGTCAATGCACCTAGTCACCCAAGAACTCTGATGGAAATGCTCAATGAGATGATGTTGCTTTCATGCTTACTAACTAACACAACATCCACTCTGCAGCCCATCAGTCAAGGAGTCATTTGGACTTTCAAGTCTTACTATTTAAGAAATACATTTCATGAGGCTATAGCTGCCATAGAGAGTGATTCCTCTGATGAATATGAGCAAAGTCAACTGAAAACCTTCTGGAAAGGATTCACCATTCTAGATGCCACTAGTACATTCATGATTCACGGGAAAAGGAAAAATATAAACACTGACAGGAGTTTGGAAGAAGCTGATTCTTCCAAACCCCACCATGAGGGATGACCCTGAGGGTTCAAGGCTTCAGTAGAGGAAGTCACTGAAGATGTGATGGAATGAGTGAGAGAGGTAGAGTTAGAAGCTGGGCCTGAGGATGGGACTGAATTGCTGTACTCTCATGATAAAACTTGAATGGATCAGGAGTTATTTCTTAAGGATGAGCAAAGAAAATGATTTTTTCAGATGAAATGTACTCCCAGTGAAGATGTTGTGAAATGCTTCACTCCTGGGGAAGATGTTGAGATGACAACAAATAATTTAGACTATTACATAAGCTAAGTTGAAAAAACAGCAGCAGCATTTCAGAGAATGGACATCAATTTTGAAACAAGTTATTGTGTGAGTAAACTGCTATCAAAAACCATGATATGCTACAGAGAAACGTTTTATAAAAGAGTCCATAGATGCAGCAAACTTCATTGTGGTCTTACTCTAAGAACCTGCTACAGACACTCCAACCATCAGCAACCACCACCCTGATCAGTCAGCAGCCACCAGCATTGAGGCAAGACTCTCCACCAGCGAAAAGATGACGGCTCATTGAAGGCTCAAATGACGGTTAGTAGTTTTGAGCAATGAAATGTTTTAGAATTAAGATATGCACATTGTTCTCTTAGACATAATGCTATTGCACCCTTAATAGACAATAGTGGAGTGTAAACATCCCTTTTATATGCACTGGGAAAGCACAAATCCATGCAACTCACTTTATTGCAGAGGTGTGGAACCGAGCCTGCGGTATCTCCAAGGTGTGCCTGTATTAGTTCCCTGGGCCCGCTATGATGAAGTATCACAAACAACACACATGTATTGTCCCATGGTTCTGGAGTCCAGCAGTTTTAAATGCAGTGTGTGGCAGGGCTGCACGTCCTCGGAATGTTCTGGCAGAGGCCCCTTCCCTGTCTCCCACAGTTCTGGTGTTTCTGGCAGCCCTTGGTGACCTTGGCTAGTGGTTGCATCACTGTGGTCTCTGCCTCTTTCATCAAGCGGAGCTCGCCCTGTGTCTCCGTCTTCATATTCTTTATTCTTATTAGAACACTAGCCATTAGATTTGGAGCCTGTCCTACATCAGTTCGACGACATCTACACTTGATTTCATCCACAAGCACTGTGGTATTTCCAGTAAGCTCATTCACAGGTTTGGGGTGGATGTGAACTTGGGGGGACATGATTCCACCTGCTGCGTGTCTGTCCCTCATCCTCCCGCGCACACATGTGATGATGCTTCCCTCAGCATCGCTGGCTTTCCTGACGAAGCCTCTGACTGCTTTTTGTTTCATCCTCACATCTCCCTTCCTCCTCACCCCCAGGGGGCCCAGGGAAGATGCTGACCAGGGGCTGTCCCCTCTACTCCCCCTCTGGTCCCCTGCACAGTGGGCCCATGAAGTCCCGCCTCACCCTGCCAGGAAACTCTCTGTGACTTCCATCGTCTATGAAGCCCATTCCATGCACCTGGCCTGGGTGCCGCACCAGGAGCCTGCTGTTCTTTGCACCATGAACACCTACCCACTCTCTCTGCCTGAAATACTTTCTCAACTGGGGACACCCCATTCACGGGCCATGTTCCAATCGGCTTACCTTCTGTCTCCTCTAAACAGACTTCCCTGATTCTGGGCTGCCAGATTTTACAGAAGGAGGCCCATCTTCTCTGTACCTGCCCATCGGCACGTGGAGTCATGAATACATACCTTCCTGCTCCCCAGTGAGTGTCACGGTCTTCACCGCATGCTCCTGAAGTGCTGAGCAGCTGAGCTGCCTGTCTTCAGCTTTAATCAGGAAACACGCATTCTGTGGACTGAGGAACAGGAGAGGCCGTGGCACGCAGAGTAGGGGATGCCGCCCTCCATGTTCTGGCCCCAGGAAAAACTAACCTGGAGGCAGAAAAACTCAAACTGATGAATGGATAATTATCCACTGAAAATTCTTTAAGGGGAACTGGTTTATACTTTTTTTGAATTTGAGATAACATCAATCTATTTAAACTACTTTTTAATTCAAATGATGACTTTGTCCCTAATAGCTTAAAAAGCAAAATAACGTACCTTAAACATGACACATACACTCTTGGAGGCTTTTGTCTGTGCATGTGTCGGAAACTGATGTTTGCCAAGTGATAAATAAACAGGTGCCATTAGGAAAAACAGAGGTTTTCACAAATGAAAGCTCCTTCCCTCTCCCACACCCGCTCGCATATCCTCCCTGAAGACAGAGGCCAGAAAGTGAGGCTTGCTCTTCATGGTGCCTGCCGACCTCTGCAGCGCTGGACCCCTGTGGGGGAATGCCAGGAGGCTTAAGAGACACTCCCCTGCCACAGACACAGTAAGGGTTGTGTCCACAGAAATTCGCTTTAATGTTCTCTAACTAGGACTTGACGGATCCATGGCCAGGCTGACAACTCCACACAAACGTGAAGGAACCTGACAGGCAGGTGCCGACATGAAGCAGGTGCAGGTGGCTCCGGGCAAAGCAGCAGCTCCCCAGTCACCATCCACCCCACCTGGGGAAGTAGCACCTCCCCCATCCAAGGTCCACCCCAACCCAGGAGAAGCAGCAGCTCCCCTGTCTGCCATTAACCCTGACCTGGGAGAAACAACACATCCCCAGCCACCTTGCACACTGACCTGGGAGAAACAGCCTCTCCACCATCCACCTTTCACACTGGCCTGGGAGAAGTGGCACCTCCCCCATCCACTGTCCAGCCCAACTTGGGAGAAGCAGCCCCTCCCCCATGTACCATCAACCCCCACCTTAGAGCAGCAGCTTCCCCTTTCCACTGTATACCCTGACCTGGGAGAAGCAGCCCCTCCGCATCCATCGTCCACCCTGACCTCTGAGAAGCGGTGCCCCCCACCCCCATGCAGAGTGCACCCTGATTGCGGGTGATGCCTGAGGTGTGGGAGGGGCGGGGGTTAGCTGCTGCCACTGCTTCTCGTTCTCTCGAGTCCTTGCTCTGTGCCTGCACGTCAGGTTGTTCCTGTGATGGGGCCACGTGCAAGTGTGCACCAAGGGGACTTGGCCGGGTACTGTACGTCCACTGGGACACACCCTTCTACGGGTATTGCACGTCCACTGGGAGACGTCCTTCTAGGGGATCCTCACTGAGCAAATGAAGCAGAATTTGGGTAAAAATGAATTTTCCCAAAGCTGCAGTACAGCTTTTCAGTCCTCTAACTGCCTGAGATAAATGTTGGCAACTTCCTTTTATATTAAATTTCATTTTTGTCACATAATACACTTGATTATTGACCATAATAACTTTATTAATATACAGACTGATTATTGATACTCACCGATGTATTTCATGTGTTATTGAGAGTCACTCATTTGGTTTAGAAAGACCAATATCACATTGAGTAATTCGAAACATATTTAAGGCATAGAACTTGCATTTTTTTCTCTTAAGCAAAATGAGGAGTTCTAGCCAATCTTGCTAGTGTTATTTATAGCATCTTATTTCCTGAGAGAAGACAGGAAAAGTGAGTCCCTGCCTTCCCTCTCTCCGTCTGGCTCCTCCCAGGCCTGTCTGGCAGGGGCCGGGGTGCAGGAGGAGGAGACGGCATCCAGTACAGAGGGGCTGGACTTGGACCCCTGCAGCAGGTACTCGGAGCAAATGGTGAGATCAGAAGGGGGATGATGTCATTCCTTCGAAGGAATGAATTAAACGTGCTTCCTCGTGTGTCTGATTGACAGCCCTGCACAGGAGAAGCGGCATATAAAGCCGCGCTGCCCGGGAGCCGCTCGGCCACGTCCACCGGAGCATCCTGCACTGCAGGGCCGGTCTCTCGCTCCAGCAGAGCCTGCGCCTTTCTGACTCGGTCCGGAACACTGAAACCAGTCATCACTGCATCTTTTTGGCAAACCAGGTACGATTATTTCTTAAACTCAATCAATTATTTAATGGTGCTCTAATTTTAAGAAATTAGAGTTCTCGAACTCTAAGAAGCGGAGAAGAAAAAGGAGCAATTTCGATTCTTAACTTAAGGTGGGTGGTGTATCTATTAACACTAAATGGCAAGTGTTTCTTCACGTGGTGTTTCTACTGCCCGCTTGAAGAGCAAGGCACGTGGCCGCTCCTCAGCTTTTCCTCCGTGGCTGTGCTTTCACCAGCCGGGCACCCCTTCCTCTCTGAGGGTTGTGGCTGCTGCTATTTCAATGTATATACCTGCCTGGGAACCCGGGTAAACGCTTTATGTTTTCAGTTTCCGAAGAAGAAGATTCCACATGAGAGTTTGTTATTGAGGAGAGAATTAGAAACAACTCCCGGAATATCTGAAAAGTAACTGGAGATTAGAGAGAGACTCTGATTGTTAACATCATTATTAGTAGATTAGAGAGAGACTCTGATCGTTAACATTATTAGTAGATTAAAGAGAGACTCTGATTGTTAACATTATTAGTAGATTAAAGAGAGACTCTGATTGTTAACATTATTAGCAGCTGAAAAGTGGTTTTGAACATAACTAGAGAGTATTTGTGGTAAGTCTATGGAAAATCCTGTGACTGCCGGGACACACAGCGACTTTTAACAGTCTTGGGGCAGTTTGCATATGAAAAGCGAGCTGGCAGGTTGCCTGGCTACCACTTAAGGAAGGTGGGTTTGGCTGCCCAGGACTGGGAGCTGAGCACCCAGGAGTCTGGTGTTTAATCAGACTGCTGTTGGTGGTGGACGGCCGGTAAACAATTAGCTCTCTGCAAAGCTATCTTTTACTTTGATTGTTCATACGAAAAGAGTTTTAAAAGACCTTTGCAAATTCAAACTACATTCTGCTGCAGACAGGCACCGAAATCTTTCTTTTGGAAAAACACAAGCATAAACGTGGATGTGTGGCGTGCAGAGGCTGGGGCAGGGGTGAGCGGCACTGGCTCATCCGTGGCTCCATCCATGCATGCCCGGTGTCCCTGGATGGGCTGAGGCCAGGTAGCCTGGCTGCTCATCCTTCCTGTGGGATGGAGCCTCACTGTCCTTTGACAATCCGCAGCAGGGGATGCTTTGTTAGCCTCCTGCTCTTGTAAGAATCTACCTCAAGGCAGAGACAGTAGGATCTGGTTTCGTCAAAGGAGTTTGATTTAGTTTTTCTAACCTGTCCTTATGAAGCTGGGCATCCAGAACTTTCGCATTTACCATCCTGTTCTTGGCTGGCCTCTGCAGGGCCAGCCCCACACAGCTGTCCTTAGGGGACTGCGACGTACCCGGCAGTGTGGGCTGATGAGGTGGGGAGGTGGGAAGAGCCTGCCAAGGCTGTACCTGAGCTGTGTATTCTAACACCGTTCTGTGGTGCTTACTGCATGCAGGTACTGTTCTAAGCTCATGGCCAAGTGTTCGCTCCTGTCATTAAACCCTCTTAAGAGCTCCATAGAAAGGCCCTATCAGCACCACCATTATTACTGCAGCTGCCTCGGGCAGTTAGAGTAGAAAGCGCCCCAGACCCAGAGGCACATTCTGCTCCGGTAACCCATGCCTGTGGCTCGCTGGGCTAAGTCAGCCCCTGGTGAAGTTTCATTTGCCGAATTCATCTCTCATGACAACCCGATGAGGTGGGCATTTTACATGACGCTACGTTTCATTCTACGGATGAGGAAACTGAGACAGAGAAGTTAAGTAAGTTTCCCTAGGTTGCACAGCTGGTGCTCAGCATTGCTCAGCCTGGTGCTGACTCCGGCCGCAGGCCGTGCTGCTTCCGGAGCCAGGACAGATGAAACAATCACCAAGGACCCCTGGGGCGGCACTGGGGGGAGCAGATGGTTTGGGGGGGGGGTCCCAGCAGCAGATGGGTGGGGGGTCTGCAGGTGCTGCCAAGCATTTCTCTTCTTCTGAGGAATGTTTCTCTATTCCTGGAAGGTGAGGATTTCCAGGTTACCAAATGTTGTTTCTGGAGAGGGAGAGTCCTTGGATTAACAATGAGAAGTTAACGGCCTTTGATATTCTAAATATGGGAAGAATTGGGGTCTCAGTCTTCCCTTCAACCTAGAGCAGGGTGTGACCAATTGCTGGAAGGGACCTGGGGAGCCCTGGGACCCTCAGGCTCATGCTCGCCCGGAAGAGGAGAAGCTGAGATCCACAGGGTTAATCGCCCAGCCGGGCTTTGGACCACATCTCCTGACTTCGGGGCCAGCCTCCACTGAGCTGTGCCAACTTAAAATCCCCAAGAATGGAAAAACAGGCCTGCAGGAAAATAAAGAGGCAGGGTCAAAATGATGGCTAAGTCAAGTGTTCTGTTGTTTTGTAAGTATAATTCACCAAATTAAGTTTATTTGTAACTTTTTTTTACAGTTGATATTCATTCTATTTAATTAGGTTATGCATAACTGTTTTTTGCTGGATATTTACACAAAATGCGTTCACAGATTATTTTTGTCAGGCTGGATATTTTTCTAAATTCAAACTTTCTACATCTAAGTCCTGTCTACGAGTCGTATGAACAGAATTACTCCAGGCAAGCGCTGAACTTGCCCATCTTCCATTTGCTCATCTGTAAAATGAGGACAATTAGAGCAGCACATACCTCCCAGGCTATTATGAAGATGAAATAATAGGAATATTTAGAACGTGATGTGCAGTGCTTGCCGGCAAATGCTAGCTCAACAAATCTTATAGTTAGAAGAATCCTGCTTGAAGAGTAAATTTCCTCCTTCGCTCTCAGTTTGCCACAAATCCAGTTGGTGCTGAGTTTTATATGCAAACTGTTATTCAATGGTCATGTGAGTCACTGGGCCAGTCTCGCTCACAGGCAGGGTTGCAGCTGTGGACTCATCACTAACAAGGGTTTCCTGTATTCCCAGGAGCTCAGCTGCAGGAGGCAGGATGGTCTGGAGGCTGGTCCTGCTGGCTCTGTGGGTGTGGCCCAGCACGCAAGGTGAGTGTCCTCAGAGCCTGTGGTCTCTCTCTGGCTTGTGAGATATGGCTTAGCTGCAAGGGGAGAGATGACAAAATAAAGTGTGTGGTTGGACAATCTTACCCGTGAGGACCTTCTAGCTCCTTTATAAATCAAATAGTAACTTACTTCTGAGCCAATATGACATGAGATAATTTATCTTTGGAAAATTCAGGTGTTAGAGAAAAATGCAATTCCACCTAGAGTTGCACAGTTTATCCTTTTTTCTATAGAGGATGTTCACAACACTGCAAGTATTTGGTGTTTGTTGAATTCTTTTTGCTCCACTTTCTTCCTCCTTTAAATATTTTCCCATGTGTTTACTTTTCTACAGTATGATTTTTAATGACCACATAATATTTCATCACAGATAAAGCCTGATCTTTTTCAATCAATTCCCACTTAGATTGGTTTATTTTCATTAGCATAAATGATGACACAAAAAATATTGACGTGGATAAATCTTAAGTAGCATTTGTGATTATATCCTTTGGATAGGTTACAAAATTAGAATTGCTGAATCAAAGCTTTTAATTCTTGCCAAGTAACTCTATGGAAAGTGGTCCATTGCCCACTTCTGTCAGCAACCCTGTGTATTATCCTGTTCTAATTTGCTAAATATTAGATGAAAAGGAAGGCTTTGGCTAAACTTTCTGTTCAGTGTATTACTTTTTTTTTTTTTTCTGGGACGGAGTCCTGCTCTGTCACCCAGGCTGGAGTGCAGTGGCGTGATCTGGGCTCACTGCAAGCTCTGCCTCCCGGGTTCACGCCATTCTCCTGCCTCAGCCTCCCGAGTAGCTGGGACTACAAGCGCCCACAACCATGCCTGGCTAATTTTTTGTATTTTTAGTAGAGACGGGGTTTCACCACGTTAGCCATGATGGTCTCCGTCTCCTGACCTCATGATCCACCCACCTCGGCCTCCCAAAGTGCTGGGATTACAGGTGTGAGCCACCGCGCCTGGCTTTGAATTATTTAAACTATTATGATTTTCGTGAGATCTGATCACTTTTCTTGCCAATAGCTTAGGTGGTGACTTAAAACCATTTGTTTCTGTACTTGATACTGACCACTCTTTCAGATCCTTACCCACAGGGTGCATTAAGAGTTGGAGAATACATTTTTACAAAATAACAACCTGCTGACATAACTGGTTTTAGGCAGTTGATCTCAACAAGAAAGCAACATACGATTTAGCCGCTTTCTGACACTCTATCAATAGCAAGGCTAAAGATCCATGTCTTTCCCAGTTTATTCATTTATTTGGTTTTTTCCTGAGCAATCAACTGGTAGACAGGATGGCTGCTTTTCAGCCTCAGATCTGAGATGGAAGAGCCAGACAGAGTGACCTGGGACATGTGCCAGGATGTCAAGCGAGGCCGGGATTCCCTCACCAAGAAGGTCGGGCTATGCAAAGGGCCAGCTGAACGGACAGGGCGCTGCCTGTCTCCACCGATTTACCTTCTGGCACACGCTCCTCGACCAGCCAGGGGCAGAAACTGACCCCACAGACCCGCAGCTGCGTTGGGCCCACACTCTGAGTAGCGGCACTGGCACGGAGGATAGTGGCTTTTCATCAGAGGTGGCTCCAGGATTCCCATAAAAAAGGGAGAGAAGCTGCGGGATATTGGGAGGCCTCGTTAATTTCCTTACACGCGAGGTTCTGGTTTGTCACCCTGGGTCAGGCCAACCTCGCCCTCTTCCCCTACGTCACCCTTCTCCACTGCGGTTCCCTTTGCAGCTGGTCACCAGGACAAAGACACGACCTTCGACCTTTTCAGTATCAGCAACATCAACCGCAAGACCATTGGCGCCAAGCAGTTCCGCGGGCCCGACCCCGGCGTGCCGGCTTACCGCTTCGTGCGCTTTGACTACATCCCACCGGTGAACGCAGATGACCTCAGCAAGATCACCAAGATCATGCGGCAGAAGGAGGGCTTCTTCCTCACGGCCCAGCTCAAGCAGGACGGCAAGTCCAGGGGCACGCTGTTGGCTCTGGAGGGCCCCGGTCTCTCCCAGAGGCAGTTCGAGATCGTCTCCAACGGCCCCGCGGACACGCTGGATCTCACCTACTGGATTGACGGCACCCGGCATGTGGTCTCCCTGGAGGACGTCGGCCTGGCTGACTCGCAGTGGAAGAACGTCACCGTGCAGGTGGCTGGCGAGACCTACAGCTTGCACGTGGGCTGCGACCTCATAGACAGCTTCGCTCTGGACGAGCCCTTCTACGAGCACCTGCAGGCGGAAAAGAGCCGGATGTACGTGGCCAAAGGCTCTGCCAGAGAGAGTCACTTCAGGGTACGCTCTGCAGGGAGGTGGCCGCCGTGAGGGAGGAAAGAGCTTAGCTGGGAACTGATCTGCTAATGCGTCTGGTGATGCGATGCTTGAGCAGGCAGAGCCTGGCCTTAGAGAAGCACACTGCACATCCCGGCATGTGCTCACACACATGCGTGCACACACCACATGCACATGCACACACTGCCCACCACACGCAGCCACAGGCATGTGCACACATGCACACACACCACACACACACACAAACACACATGCTCACAAACACATGAACACACATCCAAAGACATATACACAAACACTGCATATGCACTCACACTCGCATATGTATATACATCACACATGTACACACACCACGCAACACACACACACAGACACGCACACACACACCTCACCACATACACATGCATGTGAACACACCCTCACATATGCATGCCCATGTGCACACAAACACCATACATGGGCACGCACATGCAGACGCACATAAACACCATTCATACACTCATGTGCACACATGCACACCACACAGACATACATGTGAACACACACATGCACACACGTGCACACACCCTACGTGGGCACCCATGCACATACACAAATAAACACCATGCATGCACTCACATTCACAGACGTGTGCACATACCACACATGCACACACACCACACACATACATGTGAACACACTCATGCATGCACATGTGCACACAACCATATGTAAGCACTTATACATGTGTGCACAAAACAGGTGTGCACACACCACCCACAGCCATGCAATGCACGCACACCACACACATGTGAACACACACATACACACGTGCACAAAAGTACCATACACAGTCACACACATCACATTTACATACCTACACAAACACCATACATACACTCACACATCCCCCACACATAAACACATGAACATCATATAGATGCATACACAGAACCACACATGTACACACACATACACATGCACAAATGCACACATACTCATACACACGTATACATACACACAAACACCTCATGCAAACTCATGCATGCACATACATCCATCACACATGTGTATACAAACAGGCACACGTGCACACACAATGCATGCAGAGCCACAGGCAGTTGTCAGCACATACGTACTTTCACACAGGCACTCACCCTTTCACATGCAAACACCACATACAAGCGCACACACACACAACGCACGCCTTTCTAAACCACGATTAATCAGAGAGGGCTGCCCCAGGTGTGCTTCCCTAACTGCACTAATTATCGTCAGTTGAGATTGAGGCTGGTTTGATGATCAAGGAATCAACCCTATTCAAATGTTTCTAGCAATCCCAGACTTTTTTGATCACAACCAAAACCACTCCTAAATGTTTGCTTTAGTAGCGAAATGATGGGAGAGCAAAGTAGCAGGTGCCCTTTTCCAAGGGAAAGGGCTAGTGATTTATGAGGGAATGGTTTCATGTCCATTTTGGTTAAAATATGTTTGGAAATGAATCTTAAACTGCAGGTCTTTAGAATCACAATGGTGTATGGTACATTGCTCCCTCCCGGACGTGTAGGGCCTTGGAAATAAGTACATGGTTAAACTCAGTAATTTGAGTAAAAGGTCTAGAGATGCATAGCTTGTTGTTGAGTCAATTTCTCATGGGTGTCCAGGAGTTCCATACCATATAGGACTGGCCCAGCCCCGTCATAACTCAGCTGCGGAAGGCGCTCCTGCAGGCCCAGGGTCTGTGTCTCTGAGAGGACCAGTGGGACTCTGTGAGCCTCTTTGCCAAATGCAGAAACTCGCTAATCATGAGTGACTTGCAAGGAACGAATGGCCTTGAACGTCCATGGGAACATGCCCAGAACACACAGCAGGCCACACCTCTCCAAGGGCCATCTCACTCTTATTTATGAAACATTTCCTTCTTCTAGGTAGATTTCTTACATTACACTTCCATTTCTTGTGTCATGCTTAAAAACAAAATTTCAAAAGTACTATATACAGAAAAACTGATTATAAAGAGATTGCAAACCTGCTACGTAGAAGGAAATACTCTCACTACTTGAAGATTCCAACTTGTATTTTTAGAATGTCAGTTAGCTTGGCATCAAACATTGGATGTTTATCTGTTGCTCTATTTTTCTGCTTGTGTATACTTACAGGGTTTGCTTCAGAACGTCCACCTAGTGTTTGAAAACTCTGTGGAAGATATTCTAAGCAAGAAGGGTTGCCAGCAAGGCCAGGGAGGTAGGTGTGTTGTGAAAAATGCATTTTATATACTGGCTTGGATGGATTTCTATTGTGACATGGTGTATGTGTGTGTGTGTATGTGTGTGCATTCATGCTTGTAAAAATTTAAGTAAAAATATTTGGGTAACTACCACTATTGTCTTTGAGTGACTTAGCTGGTCAACTTAGACATGTTGATATCTGAAAATAATAAATTGATTAAACAGTTAATTTTAAGTAGATTTTAATCATCCAAATAATTTTATTATAGAAGACAAAATATAAATAGCTGGTGCTTTAATATGAGTTGAAATATAGACAACTTTTCCAGTATATTAATGTGTGATGCTTGTCTGCCTAAGGAAAGTCATAGATATTTGTCGAACTTGACTTACAGAAGTTTTCTTTTTTTTTTTTTTTTTTGAGCCAGAGTCTCACTCTGTCACCCAGGCTGGAGTGCAGTGGTGCGATCTGGGCTCACTGCAAGCTCTGCCTCCTGGGTTCACGCCACTCTTCTGCCTCAGCCTCCTGAGTAGCTGGGACTACAGGCACCCGCCACCACACCCAGCTAATTTTTTGTATTTTTAGTAGAGATGGGGTTTCAGCGTGTTAGCCAAGATGGTCTCGATCTCCTGACCTCGTGATCTGCCCACCTTGGCCTCCCAAAGTGCTGGGATTACAGGTGTGAGCCACCACGCCCGGCCTAGAAGTTTTCTTATACTGTTCATAGTTGTTGACTCCATCATATGATGGAAATCTATGCTACTTAAATCATTGACAGATGATCTCATCTTTTCTGTTAGTTACAATTGTGAATCATATTTCCAAGCACACTTTCCAATATTTTCTTGAGCATTTAATTCTGAAGGTCACTATGACAGGTTCATTAAATGCCGTACATCATCTAATCTTCAGAATGACTACGTGAGATGGGCACTTTCACTTTCTTCATTTTACAAAGATGAAGGCTGGCACCCAAGGGAGTGCTGTGTGGCTGCCATGTTGAGCTCCCCAGTGAGCAGGGAGCAGGGCTGCTGCCTGGGTCTGTCTGACAGCCTCAAAGCGGAGCTCACGTCTGCCACACGGTGTGGCCGTGTGCACACGAAGGCCAGGCCATTTCAATTCCAAATTATGACAAGCGTAAACTGTTATGTCATGAATCTATACATCAGGAATATGTGAGATTTGGTATCTTTGGTGCACAATGACTCTGTGATCCCACCGCCTACTTCAGAACCGGGGTGCGTAGCCCACTCTTCAGTTACACTTTGCAGGTCCGGGTCCTTGTGCACGTCCTGTGAGGAAGGAGAACAAGGAGACATTTGATCATCAATGCAGGGAGAAGGGTGTTCTAAGACCAACCCTCATTCCAGCTCCAACTGTCACCCCCACCACGACCCTCACTGTGCCTGTTACCTGAGGGGTGATTTGCAGCACAGGCAGAGTTATCTTGGCTCCAGCACTCTGCGTGCCAGGGCCTCAGCTTCATGAGGCAGTGCTCTTCTGGGGGTTCCTGGGGTGCAGTTGGCTGTGGGGCTTTTGGGTACTTTTTGTTGCAATAATGTTTTTTCAGTCTGATATATTTATATGTATACGTGTGTGTGTGTGTGTGTGCGTGCGTGTGTATTTTCACTAATATAGAAAAATATTGTTTTTATAAACAAAACATATATGCAAATATTCTTTGTATGAAAGAAAATATACCCTTCGCGGTGTTCCTAATCACATGTTTGTACTATAATTTCACGTGGGTTCAGTTAAACTAGAGCTAAGGTTGTCCATGGCATGTTGAGTCAGTTGTCATAATGGTCAGTGAGTAAAACTAACCTACTATGACAAACGTGACTTACACCTCTATGTGAGCAAACACCTTGTGTGTGTGTGTGTGTGTGTGTGTGTGTTACCAGCATACACCCTAGTAGGTGCAGCCTCCTTCAGCAGGTATTTCCTAGGCTCACAGGTACAAGTCAATAATCCCTGGAACTATCAAAAGCAAACCTTTAAAACTTATGGGAAACTCTTAGATCTTCCAAAAAAAAAAAAAAAAAAACACAGAGAAATCTAGATCTGTTATCTCCAGATGTGTAGAATAAGTATGGATCTATATACATATATCTACCGGACCATATGTGGCAATCACCCATGAGTTAGTCTACTCAAAGCCAGGTGGATGCCAATGTCCCATTTGGAGATCTTTGCCAACACAACAAAGACTTCTTCTTCACTGGTTATGTCAGACTTAAGGAAAATTGGTCTTATACAAACAGCTAGTTCATGGATTGGTTCTTGGTAATGACATCCCCTTTTCCACTGTTTGTTAAAAGTGAGAGTAACCTTGTGAAGAGGCTGAGCCATTATTATTTTACAACTGAGAATACTGGCAGAAGCCTGGAGAAATGCAAGTTAGCTGGAAGGTTTTACTACCAGGTAAAACTACATTCCTGTCAGAGCCAGAGCAGAAGCAAAGATATATGCGGTCTTTTGTTTAACTTTTAGAGGAATGAAAAACAAATACCCTAGGTTAGTTAAAGATTAGTGTGCTGGGTAAAATCCACTCAGGGTGGTTTCTTTGTCTCTATTAATGTGTTGATATTGACCTGATTGTACATGGTTATGGGCAACATGAATCCGAGGGGAAGCTTCTGAGCTTAGTATGAATTGCAGCACAGTTTATAACCAAGTGATTAAAAACTCAATCACGGAATGCCTGACAGCGCTGTAAAATGTCTAAGTCTTTCCTCAATAATGGACTGTCCGAGAGAAGTCAGGCATTTCAAAGATGGGATCTTCACCCCTGAGAGGGAGCAGGGTCCTACATGGGGGTGAGGTGAGCTCCGGCCTAGAGCCTGGGCCCTGACTGCAACTGCGCAGGCCCCGCTGACCTGAGGACTGGACCCCGCCTCCGTCCCTGACTCGCCTCAGGTCAATTTGTAAATTACATGCCATACCCACCCAGGTCCCACGATCTAGGGCTTCAGAGGGAGTGGTGGGAATGTGGAAAGGTGGGAGTGGTGGGAAGGTGGGAGAGGTGGGAAGGTGGGAGAGGTGGGAATGTGGGAAGGTGGGAAGGTGGGAGCGGTGGGAAGGTGGGAAGGTAGGAGTGGTGGGAAGGTGGGAAGGTGGGAGCAGTGGGAAGGTGGGAAGGTGGGAGTGGTGGGAAGGTGGGAAGGTGGGAGCGGTGGGAAGGTGGGAAGGTGGGAATGTGGGAAGGTGGGAAGGTGCGAATGTGGGAAGGTGGGAAGGTGGGAGCAGTGGGAAGGTGGGAAGGTGGGAAGGTGGGAAGGTGGGAGTGGTGGGAAGGTGGGAAGATGGGAGCACTGGGAAGGTGGGAGTGGTGGGAAGGTGGGAAGGTGGGAAGGTGGGAGCAGTGGGAAGGTGGGAAGGTGGGAAGGTGGGAGTGGTGGGAAGGTGGGAAGGTGGGAGTGGTGGGAAGGTGGGAAGATGGGAAGATGGGAAGGTGGGAAGGTGGGAGCGGTGGGAAGGTGGGAAGGTGGGAAGGTGGGAGTGGTGGGAAGGTGGGAAGATGGGAAGGTGGGAAGGTGGGAGTGGTGGGAAGGTGGGAGTGGTGGGAAGGTGGGAGTGGTGGGAAGGTGGGAGCGGTGGGAAGGTGGGAATGTGGGAAGGTGGGAATTTGGGGGAAGGTGGGAAGTTAGGAGCAGTGGGAAGGTGGGAAGGCCAGGAGGAGCAAGGCACAGTCTCAAGGGGACTGGCTGTTTGAGCAAGAGGATAGTGAATTTTCTTTAAAGCAGAGCAAGGAGCCATAAGAAAGGGTGTTTGGGGATGAAAAAAAAAGGATGAAGAGTCGAGAGGAGCCGTCAGAACATATGGGGGATGTGTTCAAGAAGCAGATTTGTGGTCGGAAGCTTTGCAAAGAGGGGACCTGGGTCTGAGTGACATGCGTGGCCACTGGTGCTCCTGCGTTTGGACTGTGCAGGCCTCTCCTATGCTGATGCGTCTCCCCACTCCTGAGCTAATTTCTGCTCTGCTCCTTCTGTGACATGTGGCAGCGTGGGAAATAGCCACTGTCCCCTGTCCCTGCTGTTCCTGGTGTCACCCAGCACCAGGCCACTCTGGGAGCCAGGGCAGATGGTCCTCCCTGTGGTCCTGGCCTCTGCTGCTGGCCCAGTCCTCCGCCTTGTGTCTCCCAGCACCAGGCCGCTCCGGGAGCCAGGGCGGGTCATCCTCCCTCTGTTCCCAGCCCCTGCTGCTGGCCCCGTCCTCTGTGATGCTCACGGCCCTTCTACGCTTGCCCTCAGCTGAGATCAACGCCATCAGTGAGAACACAGAGACGCTGCGCCTGGGTCCGCATGTCACCACCGAGTACGTGGGCCCCAGCTCGGAGAGGAGGCCCGAGGTGTGCGAACGCTCGTGCGAGGAGCTGGGAAACATGGTCCAGGAGCTCTCGGGGCTCCACGTCCTCGTGAACCAGCTCAGCGAGAACCTCAAGAGAGTGGTGGGTACTCACGCAGGGGCCGCGGGGGTCATAGGGCATGGGCAGCTCCGCCGCTGGCCCATCTCAGCAGGTATCAACATTCCCTGGCTTGGCAGTGCCTCATGCTCGATGTAAAAACCCACAGTTCACAGGGGAGGTGTCTGCCGGGCTCCTCAGGATCCTTGCTCAATATTCAGCATTGTTAGAGGGAAGTTGGGTAGATCTTGGGAAGTATTCCCAAGGAAAACAGTCCTGGGCACAGTCTCCAAAATAAATTCTTAATTTTGGGAAATTTACCTCCTTGGTAAATCTGTAGGTATGAGTGTACACACACACACACACATACACACACACATACACACACATACACACACACACACACCTGCAGAGGAAAATAATTTTATTTCAAGGACTGCATGTTGGCATAGCTGAAGAGGCAGGACGGGAAGTTCCTGTGAGGCTGGCAGGAGTGAAATGGGTTTGAGCGGCACAGCGCGGCCAGGAAGAGAGAGCGATGCCTGCGGGGCTCAGGACGGGCAGCTCGCAGTTTAGAGAAAGGGACTGAACATAATGAGGTGCTCCGGGCCACGGTGCCCCACAACATACACATGGCTAACCAGGGTGCAGTGATGCTGACTGTCACTCGTACCCAGAGGGCATGAAGTAAATGATGCCAGGAGATGGAGCCCAGGGCAGGGAGGGCGGCAGGGGCAGGAGTCCGGGGCAGGGAGGGCGGCGAGGGCAGGAGCCTGGGGCAGGGAGGGGGTCGATGGCAGGAGACCGGGGCAGGGAGGGTGGCGAGGGCAGGAGCTTGGCTGTATCCCTGCCTGTCGTTATGGCTGCTGCCTGGGGACCTAGTTCCCACCCCAGTCCCACCTGGCGTCCCCAGTCGAAGGAGCCCCAGCGTTGCTCTGCACTGGTCCAGGTGTGATGTGAGCCACGCGATTTCCGCTCTCCAGGAAGGCAGGTGGATGGGGAGCCCCAGAAGCCCAGGCAGTGACGAAGCTGTGGCTCAGAAAGCCCCGTGAGGATGGAGGACAACTTCCGGAACTTCCACCCAGGGATGAGTCAAGTCTTACTTGACTTTAGAGCTTTTTAATGAAGGAGGAACTTTGTTTTTCATCCACAAGCATGATGACTAAATATGTAGTATTATTGTCTACACTTAAATGTTTCACTTGATTTTCCAGTCGAATGATAACCAGTTTCTCTGGGAGCTCATTGGTGGCCCTCCTAAGACAAGGAACATGTCAGCTTGCTGGCAGGATGGCCGGTTCTTTGCGGAAAATGAAACGTGGGTGGTGGACAGCTGCACCACGTGTACCTGCAAGGTGAGGCCCCAGAACACGGCTCTTGGGGGAAGAGGCCACCATCGGACACTTGGCAGAACCTGACTGCCTGGAAATGCCAGCGTTCAGTGCTGATGTGTGAAACCGGTTCAGCTATGTGAGGAAATTTCAGTGTAAGAAACACAGAAGGGCCAGGAACCGTATTTAGGACTTGAATCAACCTCTTTGTTTGCACATAAAGAACCAGAGCCCAGAGAGGGGGAGCAACCTGGCCAGCGTCCCCAGTTGGTTAGAAACAGGAGGAACAGAGAAGCCAGACATGGCCCTAGACTCTGCATTTAATTCCATCCGGTTCCAACAGAGCCTGAGGCTCAGCAGAAACGTTTGGGGGAAATACAAGCCACTGCCTGAAGTCTTACAGACAGACAATTTAGCTTTTAATGTTACTCTATTTCTGCTGACAATGGCCTCAGCATTACCTTAGATAACAGGAGTTCCTGCTGCCCGTCTTTTCTTCCCTCCTTCCAGGAAGCTTGGAGCTCTCTGTTGCATCCTTGCTGCTCAGTGAAGGGAGAAAGGAATGGAATGGATGCAAAGAGCCATCTGGGGGCCCTGTTCTTGTTAGGCTGTCAGCACTAATGGGAGAAAAAGATGCCCTTATTTTCACATCTCTGTAATGTATGGTCCGTAGGATGGAAAACATTCAGCCATTCTGTCGACCCCTTCTAGTCTCAGCCCTTGTACCAGCGTCCCCTCCTTTTAAATGAGTGTTCCATGCATGCCTTTCTTCACTTGTAGAAATTTAAAACCATTTGCCACCAAATCACCTGCCCGCCTGCAACCTGCGCCAGTCCATCCTTTGTGGAAGGCGAATGCTGCCCTTCCTGCCTCCACTGTGAGTATCGCCAGCCGGCAAGCGCATCCTGCATTTTTAGGAATTCCATGCTTGTTTGTTTATTTATTCATTGGTTGGTTTTGGCAGAGAAGAGTGAGGTTCAGCCCCCTGAGTACAGGTGAGAGAATCAGAGGGCCACCCCAGGCCACTGGTCATCCACTGAGGACTGACTCATGGCTAGAAAGGAGTGTGGAAGCCCTGGGAACGCGGGGGTGGGAAGGCCAGTCCTGATGCTTCTCAGACGAGGAAGCTGAGCCCAGTGGTCACGCAGGTGAGCCCAGAGCAGGCCCCGATGGAGCCCCAGCTGAGAGTCAGAGAACACACGTAGATCTGTGACTGTGTTATGGCAGCAAGTGATCACTGTACACACACTCCTGGAAAAAACAATAGAAAATCAGACAAACAAAAACCAAAGACTGTTATCCGAAGAATATGTTCTAAGGGATAGAAATACATTCTAAGGAACAGAACCTGAGATGGAGAGGAACCACGTGTGGGCACCCTGGGGGTTCCTGGGCCACCCTGGAAACTCAGTGCACGTTCAGAGACTGAGTTGGCCCCAACGCTGCCCTCAGGTCTCTGTGCTGCCTCCCACCCCTGCCCCGAGTTCCCTTCCCAAGTTAGCTCTGCTGACCCCACCCAGAGCTCCTGAGCCATCCGTGGCTCCCCAGTGCCGTGCCGTTGGCAAGGTGCTTCAGGTCTACACCCCAAGTTGCTGCTGCACTAAGATCAGGCAACGCTTCTCCCAAACTAAACTAGTCACCATCCCCCAAACATTCCCAGAATGTCCCTGTGGCCCCAGAGCTGTGTCATCCTCAGGGCACCTTACCTCTGATGTGGACAGAGAATGAAGGGACTCAGAGCTCACGCTCTGCCACTCTGTGATTTTGAATAAAATGGGATTTTTCTGAGTTTCAAATTTATTGCCTGTAACATGCAGAAAATGTATCCCCTATACAGTTAGTCTTATAATTAAAACCAACAATTCAATATGCGTAAAAGTGCCTGTTAGGTATTCACAAAGTCAGAATGCTCCTGGCAAAGCATAAAAATATAATCTTGATAATCAAAGGGCCCACATTAGACTAGAAGGAGACATTTTATGTTATCAGGAGCATCATGACCAGGAAAAGACCTCCTTGACCATTTTTCTTTTCTTTCATTTCCCTGCTTTCTAGAACACTGAGTCATGGCGCATTCACTGGGCTTCTCTCCTCACGGGAATGATTTCTGGCGTCAGGTTGCTCTTTCCCCCCATTTAGCGGCTGTGATTACCTATGAAGAATTTCTTTACAGGGAATCTCCTTTTTATTAGCTTGTTTCAGTTTACTTGGAAATAAGTGACCTGTAATTTTCACCAATAATTGAAATGTTTCACTACATTATGTAAATCAGCGAACAGAGGTTAAATGGAAATACGTTACATTTTTGTAACTTTAATGAAACCTCATGTAGAAAAGATTCAACACTGTCTTTGGCAAGCTATTTTATAAAATCGATTAAGAGACTTTCCTGGACACACATGGATTTAGCTCCCCTCAGCACCCTAATAGTAGACCCAGAAAGGCGTTTTTGCTCTTCTCTTGAAAGGCAGTCCCTGAACTCCCGTGCAGGTCACAAACTTGGGTCCCACGGAGCCACGGCCCAGCCACTGGGATGTCCACCTGCCCCAGCCAGGCAGTGGCCCCTCAGATTCCTGGATGCATGAACTGTGGCCCCACGCCAGCTGCCCTGTGCCCGTTCTGTTCTGTGGCACGTCTGTGAGGCAGGGCCTGATGCCACCGTGTTTGCTTCCTCTGGCAGCGGTGGACGGTGAGGAGGGCTGGTCTCCGTGGGCAGAGTGGACCCAGTGCTCCGTGACGTGTGGCTCTGGGACCCAGCAGAGAGGCCGGTCCTGTGACGTCACCAGCAACACCTGCTTGGGGCCCTCCATCCAGACACGGGCTTGCAGTCTGAGCAAGTGTGACACCCGCAGTGAGTGTCGGGCAGGTGACACCCGCGTGCCTGTGGGGGTGGGGCCGCGTTTCTCTCAGTCATCGGGACCTTTGCAAGGGACAGAGCTGCCCTCACGAGGTGCTGGGCCTTTGCAAGGATTCTAGCCAGGTGAGGCTCTTTCTCCCAGCTGATGGGAGGGGTTCTCCTTCCCTCTCCTCAGCAGCTGTGAGATGCTCCTCGGTTAATAAGGCACACCGCTTACAGGCAAATACCCCTCTAGGCGGCACAGCCTGATCTCTCTCCGCTTCTTGTGTTAGTCCGGCAGGACGGCGGCTGGAGCCACTGGTCACCTTGGTCTTCATGCTCTGTGACCTGTGGAGTTGGCAATATCACACGCATCCGTCTCTGCAACTCCCCAGTGCCCCAGATGGGGGGCAAGAATTGCAAAGGGAGTGGCCGGGAGACCAAAGCCTGCCAGGGCGCCCCATGCCCAAGTAAGTACGGTGAAGGCGGGGCCCTGGGTGGGCGGGCTTGCAGGCAGCTCACAGTGAGCAGCCACAGCTGGAGCCGGGATCCGGGGTGTCAGGGCCTGTTCCAGCCCAGCCCAGCCCCAGCCGAGCAGCAAAGGGGGCTGCCATCCCGGGCCTGGCTCGGTAATGAACCCATCCTTTGTGATTAATTCTGCTCACCTGTGCTCAGCGCAAACCTCCTCTGAGATAGCCCCGTTTCATTCCAGTTCAGGACAGACTGTAATTAAAGGAAGAATGATCCAGCACCGCAGCTCTGTCATGGGAGTGAGTGTGGATGGGGGAGTGAGTGTGGATGGGGAGTGAGTGTGGACGGGGAGTGAGTGTGGATGGGAGTGAGTGCGGACGGGAGTGAGTGTGGACGGGGAGTGAGTGTGGATGGAGTGAGTGTGGATGGGGAATGAGTGTGGATGGGGAGTGAGTGTGGATGGTGTTTATGGGGGAATGAGTGTGGATGGGGAGTAAGTGTGGATGGGAGTGAGTGTGGATGGCGAGTGTGGATGGGAGTGAGTGTGGATGGCGAGTGTGGATGGGAATGAGTGTGGATGGGGAGTGAGTGTGGATGGGAAGTGAGTGTGGATAGAGTGAGTGTGGATGGGGAATGAGTGTGGATGGGGAGTGAGTGTAGATGGGAGTGAATGTGGAGAGTGAGTGTGGATGGGGAGTGAGTGTGGATGGTGTTTACGGGGCAATGAGTGTGGATGGGGAGTGAGTGTGGATGGTGTTTATGGGGGAATGAGTGTGGATGGGGAGTGTGGATGGGAGTGAGTGTGGATGGGGAGTGTGGATGGGGAGTGAGTGTGGATGGGGGAGTGAGTGTGGATGGGGAGTGACTGTGGATGGGAATGAGTGTGGATGGGGAGTGAGTATAGATGGGAGTGAATGTGGATGGGGAGTGAGTGTGGATGGGGAGTGAGTGTGGATGGTGTTTATGGGGCAATGAGTGTGGATGGGGAATGAGTGTGGATGGGGAGTGAGTGTGGATGGGGAGTGAGTGTGGATGGTGTTTAAGGGGGAATGAGTGTGGATGGGGAGTGAGTGTGGATGGGAGTGAGTGTGGATGGTGAGTGTGGATGGGGAGTGAGTGTGGATGGGGAGGGAGTGTGGATGGGGGAGGGAGAGTGTGGATGGTGGAGGGAGAGTGTGGATGGGGGAGTGAGTGTGGATGGGGGAGTGAGTGTGGATGGGGAGTGAGTTTGGACTGAGTAGTGAGTGTGGACAGAGGGAGAGTGTGGATGGGGGAGGGAGAATGTGGATGGGGGAGTGAGTGTGGATAGGGGAGTGAGTGTGGATGGGGAGTAAGTGTGGATGGAAGTGAGTGTGGATGGAGTGAGTGTGGATGGGGAGGGAGTGTGAATGGGGGAGTGAGTTGTATGGGCAGTGAGTGTGGATGGGCAGTGAGTGTGGATGGAAGTGAGTGAGTGTGGACTGAGTGAGTGTGGATGGGCAGTGAGTGTGGACGGGGAGTGAGTTTGGACTGAGTAGTGAGTGTGGACAGAGGATGCCGCAGATGCACAGAACTGTGTCTCTCTGAAATAGCCTTTCCCTGCGTCTGTGCAGACTAGGGTGTGAGTTACAGAGCGCTTGGCCCAAAGCATCAAGGGCTTCCCCAGGGAGGCCTGGCTCGGGAAGTGCATGGATGTGCTGAGAAAAAGAGGGTGTGCAGGGATTGCCTTCAGCTGTGCTCACGCCTCATGGGAACTGCCTGTGAGGACATTCGGTGTCATACCAGGCTTCTGAGTTGAGGCCACCCTCCATGGCAGAGGGACAGCTTGGCGAGGAGCTCTGAGCTTCTCGGTGTAAATGGTGGTGTGGGGCCGGGCACGGTGGCTCATGCCTGTAATCCCAGCACTGTGGGAGGCTGGGGCAGGAGGATTGCTTGAGGCCAGGAGTTTGAGAGCAGCCTGGGCAACATAGCGAGACCCTCTCTATTAAAAAAATTCTTTTATTAAAAAGAAGAGGTGGTATGATTTGTCTTCTGGAGGCCAAGAGATCGCAGCAAAGCCATTGGAAACACTGGCTTCTGAGTCACTCCCGGAATCCACCATTGCAGCAGGCGTAGTGGTGCGATCACGCTCTGACCTGTAGTCAGCCAACCTGGGGAGAAACCAGTTTGTGGGGCTGTGTAGGGAACACCATGTCCCACCTGCTCTTCCCTCTCACTCAGCCAACTCACGTTCTCCACCCCGGGTCTTGCTCTGAGCTCCCCCTGGTTGGCTTTCCCCGCAGTCGATGGCCGCTGGAGCCCCTGGTCCCCGTGGTCGGCCTGCACTGTCACCTGTGCCGGTGGGATCCGGGAGCGCACCCGGGTCTGCAACAGCCCTGAGCCTCAGTACGGAGGGAAGGCCTGCGTGGGGGATGTGCAGGAGCGTCAGATGTGCAACAAGAGGAGCTGCCCCGTGGGTGAGTGAGGGGTAGAAGCGGGGGCACTGAAACCCGGGCTTCCATTCTGATGAAAAGCACAAACGCTTTGGGAAACTAGATGAAAAACACAGAAAAGAAAAATCAATTTTAGTTGCACACGCAAAGATAACTACTTTTAACATCTGTGTTTCAGTCCTCCTGTATTTCTAATGTAAAAACAAAAAAGATGCCAGGTGGCGTGGCCTGTGGAATGTGGGTAGTTGTGTGGCGTGGAATGTGGTGTGTGGGTAATTGTGTGGTGTGGCCTGTGGAATGTGGGTAGTTGTGTGGCGTGGCCTGTGGAATGTGGGCAGTTGTGTGGCATGGTATGTGGTGTGTGGGTAGTTGTGTGGCATGGAATGTGGAGTGTGGGTAGTTGTGTGGTGTGGAATGTGGTGTGTGGGTAGTTGTGTGGTGTGGCCTGTGGCATGTGGGTAGTTGTGTGGCTGGGAACATAGCATGTAGATAGTTGTGTGGTATGGAACATGGTGTGTGGGTAGTTGCATGGTGTGGACTGTGGCATCTGGGTGGTTGTGTGGTGTGGACTGTGGCATCTGGGTGGTTGTGTGGTCTGGAATATGTAGTTGTGTAGTGTGAAACGTGGCATGTGAGTAGCTGTGTGTTGTGAAACATGGTGTGTAGGTAGTTGTGCGGTGTGGAACATGGTGCATGGGCAGCGGTGTGGTGTGAAATGTGACACATGGTAGTTGTGTGGTCTGGAACGTGGCATGTAGGTAGTAGTGTGGTGTGTCACCTTGCATGTAGTTATGTGTTGTAGAAGGTGGTGCGTGGGCAGTTGTATGGTCTGGAACATGGTACATGGGTAGTTGTGTGGTCTAGAATGTGGCATGTAGGTAGTTGTGTGGTATAGCACCTGACGTGTGGGCAGTTGTGTGTTGTGGAAGGTGGTGTGTGGGCAGTTGTGTGGTCTGGAATGTGGCACATGGTAGTTGTGTGGTCTGGAACATGGTGTGTAGGTAGTTGTGTAGTGTGGAAGGTGGCGTGTGGGTAGTTGTGTGGTCTGGAACGTGGCACATAGGTAGTTGTGTGGTGTGGCACCTGGGGTGTAGTTGTGTGTTGTGGAAGGTGGTGCGTGGGCAGCTGTGTGGTCTGGAACATGGCACGTAGGTATTTGTGTGGTGTGGAAAGTGACGCATGGGTAGTTGTGTGGTCTGGAATGTGGTGCATAGGTAGTTGTGCAGTGTGGCACCTGGGGTGTAGTTGTGTGTTGTGGAAGGTGGTGCATGGGCAGTTGTGTGGTCTGGAAGGTGGCACGTGGTAGTTGTATGGTCTGGAACATGGTGTGTGGGTAGTTGTGTAGTGTGGAAGGTGGCACGTGGGTAGTTGTGTGATCCGGAACGTGGCGCGTAGGTAGGTTTGTGGTGTGGCACCTGACATGTAGTTGTGTGTTGTGGAACCTGGTGCGTAGGCAGTTGTGTGTTGTGGAAGGTGGCGTGTGGGTAGTTGTGTGGTGTGGCCCGTGGCGTGTAGTCATAATGTACACGTGCTTCTGCAACCCGCTGCACTGTGTCCACCTGAGCAATGCGGTCTTGGAGATGATGCCTCTTGATGATCATCCAGAATCACACCAGAGTGTTCCTGACTACACAATTCGATGACAAAGACATCCCAGAGTGTTTGACGGCCCACAGGGCGGGCTTCCTTCTGTGCTGCGCAGGGCGCGTGGTGAACTCTGCTCCGCCTTCTCCCACCCAGATGGCTGTTTATCCAACCCCTGCTTCCCGGGAGCCCAGTGCAGCAGCTTCCCCGATGGGTCCTGGTCATGCGGCTCCTGCCCTGTGGGCTTCTTGGGCAATGGCACCCACTGTGAGGACCTGGACGAGGTGGGTGACCCCGCCCTGGGCTGTGGGCGCCCTGAGGTCGGGAGCGGCCTCTCATGTCTGCTTGTCCCCGCAGTGTGCCCTGGTCCCCGACATCTGCTTCTCCACCAGCAAGGTGCCTCGCTGTGTCAACACTCAGCCTGGCTTCCACTGCCTGCCCTGCCCGCCCCGATACAGAGGGAACCAGCCCGTCGGGGTCGGCCTGGAAGCAGCCAAGACGGAAAAGCAAGTACGCAAGGCCGGCCTTCCTTGTGTGTTGCGAGCGGCTTTGGAAAAATCAGATGAGCTCAGAAAAGCAGCAGGAGGAAGGAGAGGAAGGGGTGGCGTGGCCCGGGAGAGGCATGGGAGGGGCTGGCCCGGGGAAGCTGAGCACCTGCTCGGCTGGGCCGCTGCTCTCCGCGCGGGGTGCGGGGCGTGCTCAGCCGGGCCTGTGAGGGTCAGGCCGCCACCTCTCCGCTGTTAGCGCAGCCCTTGGTGAGCTGCAGCCGAGGCTCAGAAACGATGGCTGAGTCACAAACGGAGCCTCAGGAACGAACAGCACCTCAAGTGCGTGTCCAGAAAGCCCTTCCCACTTCAGGACTTGGGTCCGCTTGGGACCGGACCTGCTGGGGCCTGCGGTGCCCGACGCCCCGCCTCGACGCCTCCGGAGCCATCGTCCTGCCTGTCGCTAACCCCGCAGCCCTTCTCCCCGTAGGTGTGTGAGCCCGAAAACCCATGCAAGGACAAGACACACAACTGCCACAAGCACGCGGAGTGCATCTACCTGGGCCACTTCAGCGACCCCATGTACAAGTGCGAGTGCCAGACAGGCTACGCGGGCGACGGGCTCATCTGCGGGGAGGACTCGGACCTGGACGGCTGGCCCAACCTCAATCTGGTCTGCGCCACCAACGCCACCTACCACTGCATCAAGGTGAGGCGCGGGGCTCGCAGGGCACACGGGGCCACGGCGGTCAGCCCTCCTCCTGGCGCCGGGGACGCTACGCGGACGGGGGGCGGGGGCAGCACAGGGAATTTGGAAGGAGGGTCTCTCAGGCCTCTTGCCTGATCACCAGGTTGAATGCATCCCCCTGGTCCCCTCTCTGGAGGTCCTTAGTAGACACAGGCACACTCTGGCGCCGCCCACTGCTGGGCACAGAGAACCTCGGGCACGTCGGCCCATATTTGCAATTGCGCGCATCGTTAACGCCTGAAACTGAGCAGAGGGAGGACGCCGGCTCCACGCTCGGCTCCAGGCTGTGCAGAGGCCATTGTGTCTCAGGCAGGTCTGGCCAGGCTATGTCACTTGGAAAGAGTTAGGACATGGTTTTCTTCCCAAAGCCCAAGCGTGTTGCAGTATAAGGAGCTGCTCAGCTGGAAGAAGGAGCTCCTTCGGGGCCCATCCCAGGCTGGACTGCTTTCCTGTGGCCGCTGGAACGAACACCACGGCCCGGGAGGCTCACAACAACAGGAATCTGTTATCTCACAGCTCTGGAGGCCTGAAACACAACGTCAAGGTGCTAGCGGGGCCGTGCTCCCTCTGCTTCTCCCAGCTTCTCTGGCTCAGGCGTCGCTGGGCTTCTGGCGCTGGTGGCTGCATGGCCCTGACCTCTGGTCGGCTTCACACCACTTTCTCCAGTGCCTTTCTCTCCGGAAACTTCCTCTGCCTCTCTTTGATAAGAACACCTGTGGTTGTATTTAGGGCCCACCCAGATAATCCAGGATGAGCCTCACTGTTCAATGTCCTTGACCTAATTCCACTTGTTACCATACAAGATGAAATTCACTTCAGCCATATCAGGTGACATCCCCGGGCGCCAAGACACTAGGACGCGGACATCCATCGTGGGGACTGCCACTCAGTCCACCGCACAGGGTGCCCCAAAATGTTTTAGTGCAGTTTTATGCCTTAAGAAGGTCAGACATGGAAATGCCACAAACTGACACAAAATATCATTTGAAAATATAAATATATTCATTTATTTAATATTTAATCATTCTTGCAAATTTTGTGTTAATTTTCTCTGTCAGTCCCGCTTGATTAAAGATGCCAAATACTCACTGAAACAAAATATGAGTATGTTTTAAAATCAACGAGGCACTGATCCCAACCTATGTTACACCCCTTGGCTACCCAGCCTACCCTTCTTGAAGCCCCTGATTTCAGAAGGTCAGCTGCAGCTGAGTCCGTGCTGCTAGAAGATATCCCGATTATTCTTTCCATCATTGTGGAATTTTAGATGGAAATTTAATAACTTCGAAAATGGTATATAATTTGCAAAGTTATATGTATATATACACATACACAAAAGGATTTAAAAGTGAGACTTGACAAGGGACCCCTGTGCCCGTTCCCATATTAACCCGACACACAGGTGCTGGATCCTCCCCATTGCCAGGGGCCCCCGTCTGGGATCCGTGTCCTCCATGACAAGCAACATGCTCTCCTTTCTTAATCTGTAAGTGCTGAAACTCTGGGCTCCAGCACAAGACCCCAGGTTCTGTCTTCTGATTCAACGAGTGATGTGCTTTGAGCCACGGGGATGACACACCCTTGGGGCTCTTGTACTGAAACTGAAACGGACACGCTACTCTCTACCTTTTCCTGGATTTCCAATTCCCTCAAGTTGTTAGTGTCTGCACAGCTCAGCTTTAAATTATGGTATAACTGGACTGAAATGAAAGGAGTTTTTGCCCAATTACATGCATTACCCACTCACCGTGAAAAGCTGAGTTAGCAGATAATTTCAAGTTCTCAGCCCTGGTTTCTGAACATATCACATACATATTTGAAAGACTCTTTTCTTTGAGATTTTTTGACTGGTGAGGGTTAAACGTTTATAAGCTTTGGCATTTTGATTTATGAGCTGAAGTCTGTGGGAAGGAAAGCACCACTAAAGCCTCTTTTCTCTCCCATGTTCTCTCAGAGCAATACCTTGTCATTCTCTTCTTGTTTCTGCAGTTGTTTGGCAACCTCACTGGGATTCTGGGCTCCGAACACAAGTTTCTTTTGTCTCCCTCGTGAGTAGTGGTGACATAATTTCCAGGGCAGGAGTTGAGAAGAAATTCATGCGCTTCTGGCCTCCTGGCTCCTCTCTCAGCTCCCGCTTGAGATCGAGGACTGATGGGGCACGCTTCCTTCCTCGGCGCCATGCTGGTTTCATTTCACCTGCATTCCTGAAAGAGGCGCTTTCCTAAATGTTTTTCCAAGTATTCTTCCTTCTCCAATTGCAGGATAACTGCCCCCATCTGCCAAATTCTGGGCAGGAAGACTTTGACAAGGACGGGATTGGCGATGCCTGTGATGATGACGATGACAATGACGGTGTGACCGATGAGAAGGTAGGAGCAGCTTGTGCCGCGCACCTGCCCTGGGTTCCAGGAGCAGCGAGGTCCACAGGAGGCCACTTTATACCAAACAGCCCTTGTCAACGTAACTGCCATTGTCCTGCAAGCGTTTGTGCATAGGCAGTTCCCAAAGGTCACTATAAAGACAGTCCTTTGCAAAAGCGGATTTTACCTCAGTGCATGGGGCTGCCCAGGGTGTGCTGCCGGAAATGTTTTGAATAATTTTTTCTATTTTAACTGCAAAAAAATAGAAGACCTCCTCTCCTTCTGCTGAGGAGCCAGTGATGGGCAAGGCTGACACCACCATGAGTGATAGACTTGCCTTTATGGCAACATTTAAAATATTACCATTTTTCTAAGAAAATTGCTGCAAACACAAATGGTTTAATGTATTTGTACACAAAACAGCTCTAGCAAGAATAGATCAAGATTTTACTCACTGCTTTTTTACATCTGACTTTGATGGGAGACATTGACTCACTAATCCATTCATTTATTTGATATTTACATATCTCTCCTCACCATGAAGTGTATGATATACCATTTTTGCCTTAGCAATCTACAAATTTTCAACAAAAGACAGATGCATAAATAATGATAAAATGATTTGATATGGAAAAAGTGTTTGGCGAGGGCTAACTCTTTTTTTTTTTTTTTTTGGTCGCTCAGGCTTGAGTGCAATGGCATGATCTTGGCTCACTGCAATCTCCATCTTCTGGGTTCAAGCGATTCTCTTGCCTCAGTCTCCTGAGTAACTGGCATTACAGGCGCACACCACCACGCCCGGCTCATTTTTGTATTTTTAGGAGAGATGGGGTTTCACCATGTTGGCCAGGCTGGTCTCGAACTCCTGACCTCAGGTGACCCGCCTGCCTTGGCCTCCCAAAGTGCTGGGATTAATGGTGTGAGCCACTGTGCCCGGGCCTAACTGGCTTTTTAAAGCACTGGGATTAAAGGTGTGAGCCACTGCGCCCGGCCCTGGTCTTGAACTCCTGACCTCAGGTGATCCGCCCGCCTCAGCCTCCCATAGTGCTGGGATTAAAGGTGTGAGCCTCCGTGCCCTGCCCTGACTGGCTTTTTGAAGTGCTGGGATTACAGGTGTGAGCCACAGTGCCCAGCTGTGATTAAAGGTGTGAGCCACCGTCCAGCCCTAACTGGCTTTTGTGTTTGTTTGATTTCTATATTGATTTTCATCAACCTTGAGTACATAACTTATAAGTGCTAAACGGCCCGACACACATTCCTATGATCTTCGTTAAAGTCTTCCCTTTCTTGGTTTTCCAGGACAACTGCCAGCTCCTCTTCAATCCCCGCCAGGCTGACTATGACAAGGATGAGGTTGGGGACCGCTGTGACAACTGCCCTTACGTGCACAACCCTGCCCAGATCGACACAGACAACAATGGAGAGGGTGACGCCTGCTCCGTGGACATTGATGGGGACGGTGGGTGCTTCTGCTCCTTCCCATGCGTGCACTTTTTTTTTTTTTTTGAGATGGAGTTTCACTATTGTTGCCCAGGGCAGTAGCACCATCTTGGCTCACTGCGATCTCCACCTTTTGGGTTCAAGTGAGTCTCCTGCTTCAGCCTCCTGAGTAGCTGGGATCACAGGTGCACACCACCACGCCTAGCTAATTTTGTATTTTAAGTAGAGACGAGGTTTCACCATGTTGGCCAGGCTGGTCTCAAGCTCCTGACCTCAAATGATCCGCCTGCCTTGGCCTCCCAAAGTGCTGGGATTACAGGCGTGAGCCACCGCGCCCGGCCCAATGCATGCATTTTAAGGGTCGCAATTGGAGGCATTGGCAAGTTTCATGTTTTATTCTGAATTTTGATAAGCTCCTTTCATTTTTACACTACTATAAGATTAAATGATTCATTCAGTTATTCCCATAGGGACCCATGCTTATTCTGCCTTGCCTTTTCCTGAAGGTCAGGGGACACCAGCCACAGGACCGCCCTAGAGAAAGCTATGCATTTGGTATCCTCCTCTCTCTGACCCCAGCCTTGCAGTCCTGGGCCTCGTGCTTCTTCATGGCATCTTTTCTAATGTTCACCCTTCATTCAAAAATTCCAAGAAGCCATTTCATGTTTTCATCAAACTGAGCTTCTAGGAGTTAGAATAACGTGGGTGTATTGTGGTTACCTCTGCCACTGATCCCGGTTGCTGCTTTATCCGGAGAGTTCGCTGGCCTTGGTAAGCGAGCTCTGCAACCCAGTGCCACTGTCACCGCATGGTCATCCCTTCTCTTGGGGTGCCTGGAGACCAGGCGAGTGCTTCTGTAGAACCAGCAAGAGCTGGGGGCAGGCTCGCCTCCACGCTGGAGCTCGGCCCCAGCTCCTCCACACTTCGCCTCGTGGGGTCCTCTTCCCAGCCCGGCGCCAGCCACCCCCTTTCTGAGCCACCCCAACCTGCTGTTCTGTCTCACAGCGGGTTTCTCAGTCTGATCTTTTCCACTGATTTCTGCCTCCACCCTCCTCTCGTTCTCTGGGAATGTGGTGGGTTGCTGTCTGAGGGCTCGTGGTGGCCAGGGGGCTCCTCGGCTCCCCATCCAGGATGGCGTCTGTGATGTGCTGGATGCAGATCTCAAGCTCCAGTCCCTTCCATTTTTATTTTTTAGGTGTTCCTTACTTCCCTTCTCCAGACCTCACCTGACCAAAGCAAGGCGAGCGTCTCAGCTCAGTTCTGGCTCTTCCTGTGGACTCGCTGCCGTGTAACATTTTGCTCTGTCATTTGTGACACTGTCACTGATGGTATTGTTTAGTTCAGTGCTAGTTTATATTTTTGTAACTTCAGTATCAATGCAACTCATCACTTTCAGATTTCTTAAGATAAGATATGACATCTAAAAACCCTGCCACTCTCTGCCATTGTTTTTTTCCTACTCATGTGCATGGATGATAAACTCCTGGGAACTCAACACATACTTTCCAAGTGGGTATTAGGGAGAAATAAGCAATTTAGCAAGCTCAGATTTACACGGCGACAGCACATTCAACTACCCCTCCTGCAACATTACCCAGAAATCTCCAAAAGTTGGTTCTATTTCAAATGAAAGGTATTTGAACTGTAATGAAATATGTCATATGTTCTTCTAAAATCTAATAGTCTTTATATTTTACTATATTCTTAGGCGTCTTTTTATTATAATTAAATAGAAGTGTGGCTGTAAGCAATTTCGTGTGATAGGAAAAACAATGTGCTTTTTCTAAACTCACCTGTCCTTCTGGTTTGTTTTTGTTTTCTTCCCCCTTTAAACACTTACAGATGTCTTCAATGAACGAGACAATTGTCCCTACGTCTACAACACTGACCAGAGGGACACGGATGGTGACGGTGTGGGGGATCACTGTGACAACTGCCCCCTGGTGCACAACCCTGACCAGGTGAGGGCAGCCGCAGACAGGCGGGGTTGGAGGTCCTCATCAGAGGGACGCGGGGACGGTGGCGGTGTGGGGGATCACTGTGACAACTGCCCCTGGTGCACAACCCTGACCAGATGAGGGCAGCCATGGGCAGGCGGGTCTCAGGTCCTCATCAGTCCCCTCCATGGGGCCTTGGGAGTTTTCCATGAGCTCCACAAAGACAGGATAACATGGAGTTTTCAATGATTTCAATTGAAAACATTTATTCAACTCAAATCTCAGCACTATTCTTGTATCTCAGTGGCCACAGGCCAAATGAATAGACGCCTTCACCTCATCAGCTGGAGCGAGGTTGTGTCTTCACAGAATTCTCTCCCCATTTTCCTGATGCCAACATAGGAATTGGCTTCATTTCCAGGTTTGCGTTTGAAAGAGACAAGGGAGGACAGTTATCTTGATGCAGCTCATAGGATATATTATCCTATGATGTAAATGGTGTAAATGGCGCAAATGGTGTAAAAAAGAGACATAATTACCTGGTAGTTCATGCTTTTCCAGCGAAGAAGCACATCTTCCTTTAGTGAAGTGAATTACTGTGGAGAGGTGGCAGAGGGTGGAGAGATTCCTGGACCGAGAGGCCTGGCCCCAGTGCTTGTCCTGACGTCAGGGTCAGTGTGACCTCGGGCCAGCCGCCCCTGCGTGGCCCTGGGGCTTGTGCTGCAGGACGAGGAGGCCGGCTCTCAGGCTTGCGTCCTGCTGGTTCCTCTCCACCTCCTCAAACTGGCAGTCCTCTGCTGTTTCTCTCACGCCCCATCCCCTAGACCGACGTGGACAATGACCTTGTTGGGGACCAGTGTGACAACAACGAGGACATAGATGACGACGGCCACCAGAACAACCAGGACAACTGCCCCTACATCTCCAACGCCAACCAGGCTGACCATGACAGAGACGGCCAGGGCGACGCCTGTGACCCTGATGATGACAACGATGGCGTCCCCGATGACAGGGACAACTGCCGGCTTGTGTTCAACCCAGACCAGGAGGACTTGGACGGTGGGTGCTCTCTCAGCTCATGGGCGTGGAGGAAAATGGCTTCTGAGCAACCCGCCAGGGCAGAGATATGTATGCACGGAGATCATCTTAAATCTGCTGCTGGAAAAAGGGCAATGACTTTGGGCCTCTTAAAGCTGTGGGTCCATGCAATATGAGTTTCTTCTCCCCTGACACTCAACACATTCTTGGCTGTGTGTGTGCCCTTCAACAGGTGTGCTGCCTCAAGTGTGTGTGCACGTCGGGAGGAGGAGAAATCCCTGCCTCCATATAACTTCCAGATTGTTGACGATCTCCTAGAAAGAATGCGGGTTACGAACGTAGGATGAATTGGGAATTTGGTGTATGGGGCCAGGCAGGGGACAAGGAGGATTTTTTTGAAAGCAAAGCCAACAAAAGTGGCACGAGTGTGAAGCATGAGAGGAAGAGCTGCTTTGCTCAGCAGTGAGCATGAATAGGTGGCCCATAGCCACGGGGGCCCAAGGAAGGAGCTGGATGGGCTGCAGTCCTCTAAGTCAGCGTCCCTGAGTAATAAACAAGGGCACAGCTGTGCTCTGGGGCTTCCGGGGAGGCTGTGAGAAAGTGGCCCTCACTTGGAGTGGGGCCTGGCTGACACAGGCTCTCTTTGGAAGCCACGTCCTTGACAGAGGGAGATAAGGACTTGAGGGGCATCTGAGACAGCATGACTCAGAAGTACGTGGGAGATGCTGGGATCAGAAGGGCAGCTCCTGTGTTCTCCCCGAGCAGCATGAAGGGATGGAGTGAGCACAGCAAGCCTCATCTGGACTCCGTGTTCGGGCATGCAGGGGCTTGCTCCCCATGCAGCCTTTCCCCAGGGAGGGACTGGGACAGAGAGAAGCTGATAGGCAGAGCAGCATTTCAGCATTTCAGAATGCCCTGATACCAACTATGTGCCTGCCACGTGGTAGCTGGAGTATGTTCTTGAACAGAACGGAAACTAGTTGAAGAATATGATGAGATATTCAATCCAACTTGCCTTTCCTCCAAAACGGCAGGCCACGTGATAGCTAATTCAGTACATTGCAATCTGCCTGTCAGGTTATCGTCATCGCCGTAGACTGATAGACTGGACACATGTGGCAAATTCGTGGTCCCCCTGTTTGCACCAGGCCCACCTCATCCCCACTCCCCACCATGCCACAACCCCGCTGAAAACTTGACAAGGACCCACTAAACAGCGGAAGTCCATGTCTCCCTAGGAAAAACCATTTTAGTGTGAGTTCCGCTTTAATGCCAAATAGACTATAAAAGGCAAGGATGACTAAGAAAAGTAATAACAGACATTCAGAAAACTATCCAAACACAAAGCTGGAAATGCAGGTTGATATTACTTGACAGCCATTCAGGTTTTATACCTGCAGCATTGAGTTTGGAACACGGTGAGAAATGGCTTTATGTGAATTTGCTGTGCTGGCCTTTGCTGTGTATTTATCACAAAAATTTTGTGAAAAGAGTTGAGGTTCCTGTGAAGTCAAATGTTTTGGAGATTGTTGAGCACGAATCCACAAAACACTGCAAAGCACTCAGTCTTAGATGTTCTGGGAAAGATGCACTCATGTTTCTCAGACACGGAAAAGCAAATGGCAAACCACCGACCACCGACTTTGCTTCTTTGTTTTTGTTTTTGTTTTTGCTTGTTCTTTGTGCATAGGTGATGGACGGGGTGATATTTGTAAAGATGATTTTGACAATGACAACATCCCAGATATTGATGATGTGTGTCCTGAAAACAATGCCATCAGTGAGACAGACTTCAGGAACTTCCAGATGGTCCCCTTGGATCCCAAAGGGACCACCCAAATTGATCCCAACTGGGTCATTCGCCATCAAGGCAAGGAGCTGGTTCAGACAGCCAACTCGGACCCCGGCATCGCTGTAGGTGAGTCTCTGAGACACGGCGGTGGTGCCAGCATTTCTCCGGGGGAGGCGCCCACAGAAGATGCAGACTGCACTTTAAGATCATGCAGGTGGGATGCCATGTGGTCTTTCTGGAAGCCCCCATCCTTCCATGGTCTGTGAAACTGTCTGCCTAAATAACCTTGACAGGTACATGCACCTGCCGCTCTGAAGTCTCTGAAATTTCAGTAAACCATTTTATTTTATAGACTTGGTCTATGAAATGGGACCTCATAATCCTCTCAGAACTCTTGTAAGTTGGATCTAAAAGAAATACCTTCAATTCCACTAATCTCATGGTAAAAGAGCCCATCGGGATGATGAGGGGAGCCCGCCCTGCCTGCTGGGCATCCACTGTCAGATGGTCACAGGGCCAAGCTGGGGATTGCCTGAAACCTGTTTCTTTTTTTTTTCTTTTTTTTCTTTTTTTTTTTTTGAGATGGAGTCTTGCTCTTGTCCCCCAGGCTGGAGTATAGTGGTACAATCTCAGTTCACTGCAACCTTTTTTCCCCGGTTCAAGTGATTCTCCTGCCTCAGCCTCCTGAGTAGCTGGGATTACAGGTACCCACCACCATGCCCGGCTAATTTTTGCATTTTTAGTAGAGACAAGGTTTCACCATATTGGTCAGACCAGTCTCGAACTCTTGACCTCAGGTGATCTGCCCACCTCGGCCTCTCAAAGTGCTGGGATTACAGGCATGAGTCACTACTCCCGGCCACCTGAAAGGTGTTTCTAACGAAACCTTATGGCGTTGCATCCAGGTTTTGACGAGTTTGGGTCTGTGGACTTCAGTGGCACATTCTACGTAAACACTGACCGGGACGACGACTATGCCGGCTTCGTCTTTGGTTACCAGTCAAGCAGCCGCTTCTATGTGGTGATGTGGAAGCAGGTGACGCAGACCTACTGGGAGGACCAGCCCACGCGGGCCTATGGCTACTCCGGCGTGTCCCTCAAGGTGGTGAACTCCACCACGGGGACGGGCGAGCACCTGAGGAACGCGCTGTGGCACACGGGGAACACGCCGGGGCAGGTGAGGTTGGCTGGCCAGGCCCACACATCTCCTCTGCACCACTGTGGCTGCAGAGTGTTTCAGCAGGACTAGCCCAGTCCAGAGACCCCACTTTTGTCTTTATTAATTTTAACTCCAGGCACAGTTATTTTAATAATCTTACTTTATTATAGACACTGTGCCTGGGGTTACAACTCAACACAGTTGATAATTACCAGTTAAATACAGTTGCTAATCCTTTTACAAATTAAACCTCTTTTACCCTCTTCTGGAGATAGGGAGTGAGCATAGGACATAATGATCAAAGATATAATATGAAAAAAATATTTTAAAAATTGAAGCTAGGGAGAATTGAATATCAAAACTTCAAGAATTTTGCCCAACATCCCATATCAAGGAAAGAGAAGATCCAGACATGAACCCAGGAATCTGAGGATCAGGTGCCTGGGCTCTTCAATCCAGGAATCTGAGGGTCAGGTGCCTTGGCTCTCAGCCCTGAGCCACACTCTGTCCATGGGCTTCAATCCACAGTAGAGATTTGGATGATAAACACATCAGAGAGATATGGAGCACCATGAGCCTTAAGCATGAACTTGCAAAGTCATGTTTTTGCTTCCTGCTTGGTGTTACAGAGCTGTGGTTAAGGCTCCGGGTGCCCATGGCACTCAAGAGTGCTATGTTCTCTCTCAGGTGCGAACCTTATGGCACGACCCCAGGAACATTGGCTGGAAGGACTACACGGCCTATAGGTGGCACCTGACTCACAGGCCCAAGACTGGCTACATCAGGTGAGGGCAGGTCAGCACAGCTGCATTTCTTCCAAGGGGCTTCCCATCGGACGGCACATTTGAACATTAATAGACAAATAAGCTCAAGTGAATTCTAACTTTTTGTTTTACTCTGGATTCTTCGTCATTAACTGCTTTCTCTTTTCTATCCTGCATCTCTACTAAATATTAAGTATTTTTAAAAAATGGTTGAAAAGGAGAATATACAATCTGCTTTGTTTTGGGATGATAACCATATTTTCTCCTAATGAATACCCCAGGCAGGGGAGAACACCTGCAATTAAAATAACTGCATCTTTGCAGAATTAGCATGTGCTTTATTGGAGACTAGATTTGTACCTGATATAAATGGCTGAATTTAAAACACGGTTGTATGAAGTTTTGACACAGTTAGCCCAACAGAATCTTTTCCCTTGGCTTAACAGTATTTATAATTGATTTTTATTCAAACAAAATGTGGTCAATTTAAAATCAAGGTGTTTTTGTTTTTTCAAAGTTAATAAGCACCAAGATCAGGCTGGACTCTGCACAGATGCCAGGAGTGTGTGAGTCCCTGGCAATAGAGGGCAGATCTGTGTGGGTGAAGTGCAGGCTCGTGGCCTCGCTGGAACGTTTCCCTAGGGGGCCTCCTGTTTATTCATATTGATGCCCCATCCTCCTGTCGGGGGCTTGGTGTATCCAGTCCTGCTCCCACGCAGCTTCCACAGTGGGGAGGAGAGCCGGTGAGCTCATGGTTTTAGCACAAGGTGAAGTAGGGAGAGTCCGGTGCATCTTCCCAGGAAGTGGGAAGCTTCCTCCTCACCCCACCAAAGGTAGAGTCTCCTCTAAAGCCCTTGCCTGGGTGACTGTAAGTGAACTCACAGATTGTGACAATAGTGTGGTTGCAAGAAGGAAGGCGTGCCCTGGATCAGTGCTGCACCAGGGGTGGCTGGAGCTCCAAAGGAGAAAGCCAGCAATGCCCCCTGGGGCACTGAAGCCCTGGGCGGAGTATCCACAGCTTGTGTCCGGAGCCAACCTTCCATCACTGGTGAATGCTTCACAGAGTTCATGTTGTCTTTCTTTCCTCTTCTTCTTTTTAAACACCATTTTTAGAGTCTTAGTGCATGAAGGAAAACAGGTCATGGCAGACTCAGGACCTATCTATGACCAAACCTACGCTGGCGGGCGGCTGGGTCTATTTGTCTTCTCTCAAGAAATGGTCTATTTCTCAGACCTCAAGTACGAATGCAGAGGTGAGTGTGAGCACTTCAGGTTAGTGGGGAAGGCATGTGGCACCCAGAAAGGGAAAGGGGTACACAGTGCGCTCTTCCACTTACAAAAGCTGTACATCAGGGCAATAAACCTAATGCACAATACCACACATGAGCCCCCTGCACATTCCAAGCAGCCATTTCATTTGGTCAGCTTGGATTGTTTTGTTTTTAATTGCATTTGGATGCCTCTGGTAGAACACTTTCCAATTATTTACAGGTCCCACCCATCCTCATTGTGCCATAGCCTAGAGTTTCCTAGATTTCCTCCACTTCCAGGCTCCTGACGCCATTTTAGATTGGTACCCTTGCATTAGCAATGGCAGGCAGGCAGGAAGGAAAGAAGGAAGGAAGGAGTTTCTCTATAGTTATCTCGCTACAGGTATATTTGAATCAAAATATTATAGACCTGGAAGATAACTTGAATTCCATCTGCTCTAATTCCATGCCTTCAAATGCGCATTACCCTTCCACAGATGCAGTAAATAAGGCTCAGGATGCTTCTCAAGAATCACACATTGAAAATCATGTGTTTGGCTGGGGGCAGTGGCTCATGCCTGTAATCCTAGCCCTTTGGGAGGCCAAGGCGGGTGGATCCCCTGAGGTCAGGAGTTCGAGACCAGCCTGGCCAACAGGGCAAAACCCTGTTGGGGTTGATTTATCTGCTTGCTTCTGTGGAGGTTTTCTTCTCCTTATGTTAGGATGTCTTTCAAGGCATCTCATTTCCTCCCATCCATCCATATCATTCATCCACCCACCCATATATCTCATCCATCCACCCATCCATCCATCCATTCATCCACCCATCTCATCCATTCACCCAACCATCCATCCATCCACCCACCCACACACCCACCCATCTCATCCATCCAACCACCCATCCACCCAACTATCTCATCCATCCATCCATCCACCCACCCATCCACCTATCCATCTAATCCATCCACCCACCCACCCACTCATCCATTTCATCCATCCATCCACCCACACATCCACCCAACCATTTCATTCACCCCCACTCACTCATCTATCCCATCCATCCATTCATCTCATCCACTCACCTACCTACTCATCCATCCATCCATCCACCTATCAATACATCCATCTCATCCATCCATCCATCCATCTCATCCACCCACCTACTCATCCATCCATCCACTCATCTCATCCACCCACCTACTCATCCATCCATCCACTCATCCACCCACCTACTCATCCATCCATCCACTCATCTCATCCACCCACCTACTCATCCATCCATCCACTCATCTCATCCACTTACCCACCCACTCATCATCCATCCATCCACCCAGCACTTATCCATCCATCTTATCCATCCATCCATCCATCTCAGCCACCCACCCATGCACTCATCCATCTCATCCACCAACCCACTCATCCCTCCATCCACCCACCCACCCATCCATCCATCTCATCCACCCACCTATCTCATCCATCCATCCACCTGTCTCATCCATCCATCCATCCCATCCATCCATCTACTCATCCGCCCATCCATCTCATCCATTCACCCAACCATCCATCTCATCCATCCATCCATTCATCCATCCACCCACCCACACACCCACCCATCTCATCCATCCATCCACCCAGCCCCATCCACCTATCCATCTAGTCCATCCACCCACCCACCCATCCATCTCATCCATCCATCCATCCACCCATCCATTTCATCCACCCCCACTCATCTATCCCATCCATCCATCTCAGCCACCCACCCACCCACTCATCCATCTCATCCATCCACCCACCCATCCATCTCCACCAACCCACCTATCTCATTCATCCATCCATCCATCAATTCATCTCATCCACCCATTCATCTCATCTACCAACCCACTCATCCATCCATCCACCCACCCATTTCATCCATCCACCAATCCATTTCATCCATCCATCCACCCATCCATCCATCTCATCCAGCCACCCAACCATCTCATCATCCATCCACCCATTCATCTCATCCACCAACCCACTCATCCATCCATCCACCCACTCATTTCATCCATCCATCCATCCATCTCATCCACCCACCCACCCCATCCATCCACCCATCCATCCACCCACCCATTTCATCCACCCACCCATCCATTTCATCCATCCATCCATCCATCCATCTCATCCACCCACCCACCGACCCATCTCATCCATCCACCCACCCATCTCATCCATCCACCCATCCATTTCATCCATCCATCCATCCATCCATATGATAGATCTCATCTTTAATTAAAGTAATTATATTTCTGGTTCTAGGTAAAACAAAATAAATCACTACCCATGGCCCAGTTATGCTAATTGTTTATTGCTTTTTTTTTTCTTTTTGTAGATATTTAAACAAGATTTGCTGCATTTCCGGCAATGCCCTGTGCATGCCATGGTCCCTAGACACCTCAGTTCATTGTGGTCCTTGTGGCTTCTCTCTCTAGCAGCACCTCCTGTCCCTTGACCTTAACTCTGATGGTTCTTCACCTCCTGCCAGCAACCCCAAACCCAAGTGCCTTCAGAGGATAAATATCAATGGAACTCAGAGATGAACATCTAACCCACTAGAGGAAACCAGTTTGGTGATATATGAGACTTTATGTGGAGTGAAAATTGGGCATGCCATTACATTGCTTTTTCTTGTTTGTTTAAAAAGAATGACGTTTACATATAAAATGTAATTACTTATTGTATTTATGTGTATATGGAGTTGAAGGGAATACTGTGCATAAGCCATTATGATAAATTAAGCATGAAAAATATTGCTGAACTACTTTTGGTGCTTAAAGTTGTCACTATTCTTGAATTAGAGTTGCTCTACAATGACACACAAATCCCATTAAATAAATTATAAACAAGGGTCAATTCAAATTTGAAGTAATGTTTTAGTAAGGAGAGATTAGAAGACAACAGGCATAGCAAATGACATAAGCTACCGATTAACTAATCGGAACATGTAAAACAGTTACAAAAATAAACGAACTCTCCTCTTGTCCTACAATGAAAGCCCTCATGTGCAGTAGAGATGCAGTTTCATCAAAGAACAAACATCCTTGCAAATGGGTGTGACGCGGTTCCAGATGTGGATTTGGCAAAACCTCATTTAAGTAAAAGGTTAGCAGAGCAAAGTGCGGTGCTTTAGCTGCTGCTTGTGCCGCTGTGGCGTCGGGGAGGCTCCTGCCTGAGCTTCCTTCCCCAGCTTTGCTGCCTGAGAGGAACCAGAGCAGACGCACAGGCCGGAAAAGGCGCATCTAACGCGTATCTAGGCTTTGGTAACTGCGGACAAGTTGCTTTTACCTGATTTGATGATACATTTCATTAAGGTTCCAGTTATAAATATTTTGTTAATATTTATTAAGTGACTATAGAATGCAACTCCATTTACCAGTAACTTATTTTAAATATGCCTAGTAACACATATGTAGTATAATTTCTAGAAACAAACATCTAATAAGTATATAATCCTGTGAAAATATGAGGCTTGATAATATTAGGTTGTCACGATGAAGCATGCTAGAAGCTGTAACAGAATACATAGAGAATAATGAGGAGTTTATGATGGAACCTTAAATATATAATGTTGCCAGCGATTTTAGTTCAATATTTGTTACTGTTATCTATCTGCTGTATATGGAATTCTTTTAATTCAAACGCTGAAAAGAATCAGCATTTAGTCTTGCCAGGCACACCCAATAATCAGTCATGTGTAATATGCACAAGTTTGTTTTTGTTTTTGTTTTTTTTGTTGGTTGGTTTGTTTTTTTGCTTTAAGTTGCATGATCTTTCTGCAGGAAATAGTCACTCATCCCACTCCACATAAGGGGTTTAGTAAGAGAAGTCTGTCTGTCTGATGATGGATAGGGGGCAAATCTTTTTCCCCTTTCTGTTAATAGTCATCACATTTCTATGCCAAACAGGAACAATCCATAACTTTAGTCTTAATGTACACATTGCATTTTGATAAAATTAATTTTGTTGTTTCCTTTGAGGTTGATCGTTGTGTTGTTGTTTTGCTGCACTTTTTACTTTTTTGCGTGTGGAGCTGTATTCCCGAGACCAACGAAGCGTTGGGATACTTCATTAAATGTAGCGACTGTCAACAGCGTGCAGGTTTTCTGTTTCTGTGTTGTGGGGTCAACCGTACAATGGTGTGGGAGTGACGATGATGTGAGTATTTAGAATGTACCATATTTTTTGTAAATTATTTATGTTTTTCTAAACAAATTTATCGTATAGGTTGATGAAACGTCATGTGTTTTGCCAAAGACTGTAAATATTTATTTATGTGTTCACATGGTCAAAATTTCACCACTGAAACCCTGCACTTAGCTAGAACCTCATTTTTAAAGATTAACAACAGGAAATAAATTGTAAAAAAGGTTTTCTATACATGATCTCTCTCCCTTTTTTAAAAAGAACTAGCAGGGTTTCTACCGGGGTGGGGGAAAGGGGTAGAAGGAATTGGCATTTTGCTTCCTGTCATGTAAGTAGGCCTGTGGTGTGATCACGGGCTATCTCCTCGCAAGTCACAGGTTAAAATGCAGGCTGAAGGGCCTGGTGGAGAAGGAAGCCCTGCTTGACACAGGTCTCTGTTCTGCTGAGCCTCCCAGCACGGTGTGGGATACAACCATTTAGCAATTCATCTCTCCTGCCTCTGCTCATTGTCAAACGAGGGAACAGAACTTCGTAGGGAATTTGGCAAACATGATTGAAATGATTCCGAAAAAGGCAACAGCACACGGGACCCTCTCCCTAATACGAGCTGTTCTTCCCTCTTGACTCATTCTTCTGAGTCAGGTGGAGGGAAGTAGCGGACCCCAGAGGAAGGGCCCATTTCCAACCACAGCACTGCCTAAAAATGGGCCGATCGGGCTCACCAGTTGGAGGAGGCAATGGCAGCAGCACAGAACGCTGGGGTTTCTTTAGCAGCTCCAGCTGCTCTTGTTGGGATTTCTGAATATTATGCAGGCAGACACAGAGAAGAAAAACAGGGAGAGAGGGAGAGAGGGCATCCAGAGAGAAAGGGGAAGAGAGGGAGGGAGAGAGGGAGAGAGGGCATCCAGAGAGAAAGGGGAAGAGAGGGAGGGAGAGAGGGAGAGAGGGCATCCAGAGAGAAAGGGGAAGAGAGGGAGGGATGGGGGAGAGAGAAAGAGACAAAGAGACAGAGGGAAAGAGGGGGAGTTGGGGGAGGGAGGAAAAGAGAGCAAGATGAATAAAAACAAGTATACTTGGCTGAAACACGCTGGAGTGAGTCAGACAGTGAAGCAATAAGATATAGGAAAGGCCGTCTGAGGCAACGGGCTGTGAACTGAAGGCCCTGGCTTTGAGTTGTGAAATGAGTGAGTTTTAGTTCATCAATATGGAGGAAAAAGCTAGACCTACATGTGTAAAAAGAAAAGTTTAGAAACAAAATAATGATGGCAGTGATAGTGGCTGGTCTATGGACAGCTACTGGAGGAAGCTCAATGTACATTTTACTCATGAAACAAAAAATACATATAATATGTTGAATAAGGATGCTTAGAAGTCAGGCATTAAAATGAGATACATTTCTCCTGCATTCAGGTTTTGCTGTCATTTATCGAAAAGTTGAGGTTTCCTGACAATCATGTTCCCTGTCGATGGCCTTAGCCACATCAGAATGGTTGTCTCCCAGGATTAATGTGTGGTGCCTTTGTGAGCTCACCTGGGAGGAAGGTGTCCCTGGACCTCGATGACTCCGTGCGAGCACCTGCCCTGTGGCCCTCCATCTCCCTTCTGCGAATCGCTGCCAGCACACCACGGGAGCTCCGCACCTTCCACCGTGGACCGGGAGGGCCGTCGTTCTAGACGCTGATGCTGCTGCTCACAGGGAAAGGTTCGGCCCAGGCCCACGCTCTGAGAGTTGTCTGTACAAGGCTCAACCAACTCGCCCTCAGGGCAGGCACAGGCCTTGGTCGTGTGGAACGAGTCGGTGGGTGAAATAACACATCTTCACTCCCAAGTATCCAAGCGTGGGATCTGTGATTGCCGGGAGGAGAGAAGCCTTCATACCGTGACCAACTCACTGGCTGCTGCGTGTCCCAGCTATAGGCTACATGGGGGCAGAGGGCTCCTTCCGTCATTCCTGGAGGACCAAAATCTTAGGCCAGCTTTGCTCAGTCTGCGTTTCACAAAGTGATGCTTTTGACCATGGAGCAAGTGGTGCCTAGGCCTTGAGGAACGCAGGTGTGGGGTGATCCAGGAGCTGCCACTCCAGCTCCACGGCCACAGCCCTGTGGGCTGCCAATGCCCAAATGGGAGGGCCCTGCTGAGGGCTATCACCCACACGAGGCCCTTAGCCCAGGGCAGGTACCTGCACTGATGCTTCCCACCCTCTTAGTAAAGTCCTTCTGGAGCCACCAGCCTGGGGGCCCAGGGGAGGGGCTGAAGCAAGCTGGGACACTCCTGCTTCGCCCGGGTGTCAGCCCTGTGCCCAGGGGAGTGAGCTGCGGGCCCAGAGCAGCTTGCGGCCCACGCAGCCGGCGTTAGCCTTGGGGACCACGTGGGCATTTGTGAGAGAGGTCCGGGCCCGTGCCCCCCACCCCGTGCAGTCCCACAGGGGCCCCTGACTCACCCTTCCCCAGCCCTTGCTCAGCGGTCCGGCCCCTCTGGCTCCCCTGAGTCTGCGCTTGGCCCCTTGCGGGTGGGGTGAGCGCGGAGCCTCGGCTGTCCCTGCCTCGTGGCCCACCCAGGGCGCCCGCCGCCCCTGCAGCAGTAGCAGGACCTACTGCCAGCTTCTCAGTTCCTGTCTCGGCCTTTTTCAGGCCGTTGAAGACTTTTGCCACTTTTCTGACTTTTTTTTTTTTTTTTTTTTTACCACATAAGGGCTTTTTCAACCCCAAAGCACATCAAATGCAGGATGGGAAGTGATATTCGACTTTCCGGCCTCCAGCGCACACCCCTGACGCGCGCGGACTGCAGGGCTTGGGTCGGGGCGTCCCTGGGAAGCTCAGCCGGTTCAGCCCCGGCGAGCCCCGCCCGCGCGCGTCCCCGAGAGCCGGAGGCCCCGCCGAGCGCATGCCCAGCCCTCCCTGCGCGCCTGCGCCCTCCCTGCGCCCTCTCCTGGGCCCTGACTGTGCTTGAATGACAGCTTCACTGCAGGGTAACCCGGAACCTTCAAAAGGCCGATTCTGCAAACAAAATGGTGTAGAAAGAGGAAGAAAGCATTAGTGCAACAAAACTCGATTGCGCTTCGTTTTATGTACGATTTATTTACTTTTAAAATATTTTTTCTGTTTTTAGATTTATTTTTCTACTGAAAAATTGTTTAGTTATCTTGAGGTGGGACAGAATTCTTCATACGACTTTTCCCATTTAAAAATGTAATTATTTTTAAATATGGCTTTAGGAATAAATTACAGTTGTTAAAATGGAGATACATATTATTTATATTTATGTATTGATTATTGAATGGTATATACGCAAGCAACATACACGTGACTATACATATGCATCATGAATACACAAACCTCCCTTGTCTCAGGCCATACTTATTCTGGATTTTAAAGAAGTGGAAAAGTTGGCAAAGTGTCAGAGAACAAGATCAACACATGGAAATCAGTTGTGCGTCTGTATACCAGACAGAAACAATTTAAAACGGAAGTTAAAAGTACAATACCATTTGCAATAACATACAAAACAATAAAATACCTCGTAATAAATGTAACTTGGGAGGCAGAAGACTTGTACTATGAAAACAGAAAAACAATGCCAAAATAAATTAAAACCTATATAAATGGAAAGACACCCTCGTGTATAGTTTGGAAGATTTAATTCTAATTCATTATAATATCTGTAGTATTCTTGGGTTATATGTGATATTTTGATATCTGTTTAAAATGTGTAATGATAAAGTTAGGGTAATTGGGATACCCATGACCTCATACATTTTTATTCTCTGTATTGAGAACATTACAATTCTTCTAGCTATTTTGATATGTACAATAAACTATTAAGCATAATTTTCCTACTATACTGCATGTGATAGCTCATTCCTTCTGACTGTATTTTTGTACTCCTTAACCAGCTCCCCTTCATCTTCCTCTCCACCATTCCACCCCAGCATCTGGCATCCGCCATCCTGCTCTCAACATCCACAAGACCCACTGTTTTAGCTCCCACATATGAATGAGAACATGCAATATTTGTCTTTCTGTGTCATGCTTATTTTACATAACAGAATGATCTTCAGATCTATCCATCCTGCTGCAAATGACAGGATTTAATTCCTTTTTATGGCTGACTAGTATTCCATTGTGTGCATATACAATATTTTCTTTGTCCTTTCGCCTATTGATGAACACTTAGGTTGATTCGATGTCTTGGCTATTGTGAGTAGTGTTGTAATAAACATGAGAGGGCCGATGTCTCTTTGATATACTGATTTCCTTTCTGTCAGATGCATACCCAGCAGTAAGATTGCTGGACTATACCAAACGTAGTTCTAGTTTAGTTTTTTGAGGAACCCCCATACTGTTTTCCCTAGTGGGTGTACTACTTTACATCCCTACCAACAGTGTATGAGTGTTCCTTTTTTTCCACCTTCTCATCAGCATTTGCTATTTTTTGTCTTTGTGATAATTCTAAATGGGGTCAGATAATATCTTCTTGTGGTTTTGAATTGCATTTCTATAATGACTAGTGATGTTGAGCCTTTTTTCATGTACGTGTTGGCCATTTCTTTTGAGAAATGTCTATTAGGTCTTTTGCCCAGTTTTTAATTGGGTTGTTTGAGTTTCTTATATATTCTGATTACTAATCCCTTGTTGGATGGGTAGTTTGCAAATATTTTCTCCCATTCTGTGGGTTGTCTCTTCACTTCGTTGATTTTTTCCTTTGCTGTGTAGAAGCTTTCTGGCTTGATATAATACTATTTTTCTATTTTTGTTATAGTTGTCTGTAATGTTGAGGTCTTACCAAAAAATCTTTACCCAGATCAATGTCCTGGAATGTTTCTCCGTATTATTTTTTAGTAGTAGTTCTATCGTTTTGGGTCTTGCATTGAAGTCTTTAATCCATTTTGATTTGATGTATGTATATGGTAAAAGAGGGGGGTCTCGATTCATTTTTTTCTGCATGTCTAACTTTCCTGGCAGTATTTATCAAAGAGACTGTCCATTCCCCAATGTATGTTCTTGATGTCTTTGCCAAAAATGAGTTGGCTGTAAGTACGTGGATTTATTTCTGAATTCATCGTTTTATTCCATTGGTCCACATGTCTGTTTTAGTGTTGGTACTGTGCTGTTCTGGTTACTATACATTTGTAGCAAAATTTGAAATCAGGCAGTGTGATGTCTTCAGCTTTGTTCTTTTTTCTCAGGATGGCTTTAGCTATTTGGAGTCTTTTGTGGTTTCCTACGCTTGTAGGAATGCTTTTTTCTGTTTCTGTGAATAACATCATTGGTATTTTGCTAGAGATTACATTGAATCTATTGATCACTTTGGGTGATTTACAGTATTCATTCTTCTAATCCATGAGCATGGGATATCTTTCCATTTGTGTCTGTGTACCCTCTTCTTCTCTTTCATCAGTGTTTTATAGTTTTCCTTGTAGAGATCTTTTACTTCCTTGGTTAAACATATTCCTAGGTATGTTTTTTGTACCTACTGTAAATGAGATTGCTTTCTTGATTTCCTTTTTAGATTGATCTCTGTTAATGTATATAAATGCTACTGATTTTTATATGATCATTTTTTATTCTGAAACTTTATTAATTTATTGGTTCTGATTTGTGTGTGTGTGTGTGTGTGTGTGTGTGTGTGTGTGTGTAGTCTTTAGGTTTTTCTAACTATAAGATTGTGTCATCTGCAAACAAGGATAATGTGATGTCTTCCTTTTCCAATGTGGATACCCTTACTTTCTTTCTCTTGTCTAATTGCTCTGGCCAGGACTTTGAGTATTATATTGAATACAAGTGGTGAAAACAGACATCCTTGCCTTGTTCCAATCTTAGTGAAAAGCCTTTCCATTTTTCCTTGTTTAGTATGATATTAAATGTGGGTGTATCATATATGGACTTCCTTGTGTTGAAGTACATTCCTTCTATACCTTATTTATTGAGAGTTTTTTAAAAATCAGAATGGATGTTGAATTTTATTAAATACCTTTCAACATCTATTGAAATGATCATATGGTTTTTATCCTTAATTCTGTTGATTGCTATGTCATGCATATTGATTTGCACATGTTGAACCATCCTTACATCCCTGGAATGAATCCCACTTTATTACAGTGAATGATCTTTTTAATGTGTTGTTAAATTCAGTTTGCTAGTATTTTGTTGAGAATTTTTGCATCCATGTGTATTAGGGTTATTGGCCTATAGTTTGTGTGTGTGTGTGTGTGTGTCCTTGTCTGATTCTGGCATCAGGGTAACGCTGGCCTTATAGAATGAGTTTGAAAGCATTTCCTCCTCTTCAGTTTTTTGAAATAGTTTCAGTAGAATTGGTATTACTTCCTACTTAAGTGTTTGATGAATTGAGCAGTGAATCCATCAAGTCTTGAGGTTTTTTTTTTTGATGGGAGATTTTTCATTAGTGCTTTAATGTTGTTACTTATTATTGGTGATTTCTTCATGGTTCAATATTTGTGGGTTGTGTGTGTGCAGAAATTTATTCACTTCTTATCATTGTTTTCCAATTTGTTGGCATGTAGTTGTTTAGTTTCTAATTAGCTTTAGAATTTCTGTGGAATAAATTGTGATGTTTCCTTTTTTATCTCTGCTTTTATTTATTTGGGTTTTCTCTCTTTTTCACTGGGTCTGGCTAAGGGTGTTGATTTTGTATATCTTTTCAAAAAACTAACATTTTGTTTTGTTGATATTTTGTATTTTTTAGTTTCAATTTTATTTATTTCTTTTCTGTACTTCATTATATCTTTCTTTCTATTAATTTTGCTTTTGGTTTATTCTTACTTCTCTAGTTCCTGCAGTGCATTGTTAAGTTGTTTATTTTAAGTCTTTCTACTTTTCTGATATAGATATTTATTGCTATGAAGTTCCCTCTTAAAAGTATCCCATAGCTTTTGATGTGGTGTATTTCCATTTTTGTTTGTTTTAATAAATTTTGTAATTTCTTTCTTAATTTCTTTATTGATCCATTAGTCATTCATGAGCATGTTGTTTAATTTCCACATATTTGTACAGTTTTGAAAGTTCCTCTTATTATTGATTTCTAGCTTTATTCCTTGTGGTCAGAAAAGATACTTGATATGATTTCAATTGTTTTAAATTTCCTGAGACTTGTTTTATTGCCTAACATGTGGTCTATCCTGAAGAATGTTCCATATGCTGAGGAGAAGAATATAAGTTCTGCAGCAGTTGGATAAGATATTCTGTAATAGTCTGTTAGGTCCATTTGATCTAGAGTGTAATTTAACTCCAATGTTTCTTCGCTGGTTTTCTGCCTGGATGATTTGTCCCCTGTTGAAAGTGGGTGTTGAACTATCCTACTATTATTGTATTGCAATCTATGTCTCCCTTTAGTTCTATTGGTATTTGCTTTATATATTTGCACGCTGTGGTGTTGAGTGCTTATTTATTTCCTCTTGCTGAATTGATAAATTTCCTTTATCATAATTTTCTTTGTCTCTTTCTACAGTTTTTGACTTAAGATCTATTTTATCTGATATGAGTACAGTTACTCCTGCCCTTTTTTTGGCTTGCATTTGCATGAAATATCTTTTTTATTCTTTCACTCTCAGTCTATGTGTGACTTTATAGACATAATGAGTTTCTTGAAGGCAGCACATAGCTGATTTTTCTTTTGAAGAAAAGTCATTCAGCCACTCTATGTCTTTGAATTGAATAATTATTCCATTTACATTCAATGTTATTATTCATAGGTAAGGACTTTCAACTACCATTTTCTTACTTGTTTTCTAGTTGTTTTGTAACTCTTCTTTTCCTTTCTTCTTTTTTTTTCTGCCTTCCTTTGTGGTTAAGTGGTTTCTTCTGGTTGTATGTTTTAACTCATTGAATTTTATTTTTAGTGTACCTATTATAGACTTTGGCTTTGTGGTTACCATGATTCTTACAAAAAGCATTCTATAATTATAAGTAGTTATTTAAAATTGATACCAACTTAACTTTGATGACAAATGAAAAGAAAGAAATAACCAGGAAAACCTGTATGCATTAACTCCCTTCTCCCACTACATTTTAAATCTTGATGTCACAATTCATATTTTTAATATTGTCAATTTCTCAAATATTGTTGTATTCATTTTTACTTCAATTGCTTTTCCTTTTAGTCTTCTTAGTAAATACACAAATAGTTTACACACCATGATTACCATATTAGTGTAGCAATCACATTAGCATTATTTTCTTTCAGTTTTAAAAACCCTTTCTAGCATTTCCTGTAGAACATGTTTGGTAGCAATAAATTTTCTCAGCTTTTGTTTTTCTGGTCAAGTTTTTTTATCTCCCCTTCATTTTTAAAGAGCATATTTGCTGGGTGTAGTATTCCTGGTTGACAGTATTTTTTCTTCAGCACTCTGAATATATTGTCCCATTCCCTTCCTACCTGTGAAGTTTCTGCTGAAAAGTTTGCTGCTAGGCATATTGGATCTTCCTTATATGCCATTTCCTACACTTCTCTCACACTTCTGTCACTTTCAAGAGCTTATCTTTGTTTTTGACCTTGGAGTGTACTTGTAGCATGTTTTGGAGTATTTTTAATTTGGTGGAACCTGACTGGTGACTTTGACCTTCCTATACCTGGATATTCATATCTTTCTCCAGATTTTGAAAGTTTTCTATTATTATTAATAATTAATAATGATAATTATTATTTTAAGACAGGATCTCACTGTTGCCTAGGCTGGAGTACAGTGGAGAGATCCTGGCTTACTGCAGCCTTACTCTCCCAGGTTCAAGGGATCTTTCTACCTCAGCTTCCCGAATAGCTGGAAGTACAGGCATAAACCGTGATGCCTGGCTAATTTTTAAAAAAATTACTGGAGACACAAGAACTCACTTGTGTTGTCTAAGGTGGCCTCAAACTCCTGGGCTTAAGTGATTTTCCTGCCTCGGCCTTGCAAACTCTTGGGATTATAGGCATGAGTGACTGCACCCAGCCTTATGTTTTTGCATAAGGTTTCTACCCTTTTTTATTTTTCAGTTTTCTCTTTATCTTCAATAACCTGAATATTTGATTTTTGCATGTCATTCCATAGAACCTATAAAGCTTTCTTCATTCCATTTCACCTTTTCCTTCTCTTTTCTTTCCTTTTTTTCCCTCAAACTGTTATTCTTCAAGCTCACTGATTCTTTCTTCTCTTTGGTCAATTTCTGTTATTGATACTGTTTATTTCATTTCTCATATTATTCATTGTTATTTTCTGCACAGGATTTCTGTTTGATTTTTCCCAAAATTTATTTCAATCTCTCTGTTAAATTTCTCTGATAAATTTCTGAATTGATACTTTGTATTTTCTTGAAGTTCATCAAACTTTCTTAAAACTACTATTTTGACTTAATTGTCTGAGAGATTACATATCTCCATCATTTTAGGGTTGATCTCTGGCACCTTAATCTGTCAGTTTGGTGAAGTCACATTTTTTTGAATGTCCTTGATGCTTATGGATATGTGGTAATGTCAGCACATTGAAAGATTACGTATTTATTTTAGTCTTCACAGTCTGGCTTTGTTTGTGCCTGTCCTTCTTCTAAATAGAAAAAGTATATTCTAAGTAGATTGACTGTTGAGTTCCCTGAGCCTGTGACCACTGCAGCCATATTTGCACTAGAAGACACTCTAAGTCTAGGCTTGCTACAAGTCTTGTAAAGACTCTGAGGTTGACATGACTTTCCCCATGTCTTCCTTGGGGAAGACCCAGGGAATGTACTTGGGCTGTGTGGGAATGCTGGCCAGGAAGCTGAGTCCAGAAGGCTGTGTCAATGGCCCAGATGGATGTGCCACCCAACAGGTCTCTGCACAGTTGGGCTGGGTTCCCAAGTGCAGCAAGAGTGGCTGAAATTGAGACTGGGTCCCCTAGAAATCTGCTGTTGGAAGAAGGCTTATGGGTCTTTCACATTGGCTCAGGTGGGTATGTATCTCCCAAGCAGTTCTTGCACAGATAAAATCATTCCATAACTGCAGCAGAAGGGGCTGGAGCTGGGAATGGGCCCCTTTGGAATCTGTTGTGGCACAGAGGTTGGAGAGCCTGATCTTGGTTTAGAGTGATGCATGTTGCCTAGCAAGTTCCCGCATCAATGAGATGGCTCACCAACTATAGCAGGAGGGGCCAGAGCTGAGCCTGGGCCCCCTGAGGATCTGCCGTGGAATGCAGGCTGGAGAGCCTGGTGTCAGTGGCTCAGAGGGGTGCACATTTCCCTGCAGGTCTCAGTATAGATGGGCTAGTTCTCTGATTGTATCAGAAGGGGCCAAGCTGAGACTGGGTCCCCTGAGGATCTGCTGTGGCATGCGGGCTGGAGAGTCTGGTCTCATTGCCTCAGAAGGGTGCAAATCTCCCTGCAGGTCTCAGTATAGATGGGATAGTTCTCTGATTGTAGCAGAAGGGGTCAGAGCTGAGGCCAGGTCACCTAAGGATCTGCTGTGGGAGAGAGGTTGGCAATCCTATCAGGCAGTCTCAGACACCCGGGCTGCCACAGATGGGTGAATCTCTCTCTGGGTCCTTGTGCAAGCAGCTCTGAGCTGGCACCTCAGCTTGGGCGCACTGGGACTGAACTATAGGGAAACTGTCAGGTTCACCACTGAGACTGATGTTAGCAGGCAGATGAGCCCTTCTGCCAAGACCCTAGTGTGTGTGATTCCTTCCAGATCCCTTGGCAGGTGGTTTGGATTACAGCCTCAAGGCCAAAATGGGGCTGTAGCCAAACCCCTTGGAAGACTGAGTCATTTCTGGGTTTGAGCCTGGGAGCAAGTTCAGCAGACCAGCCACCCGAGAGTGGGTCTGAACTCTTAAAATGACCCTCCACAGTGTTGGGCTCCAAACTCCTACCTGAATCTTGAGGCTCCAGCAGAGACTTGATTGTGGATGCATGCAGAATTCTTATTGTGGGAGGATATGAGCTAGTTACCTTCTATTTTGCTTTATTGCTGACATCACCTACTTAATATTGTAAAGATGGTAATACTGCCCCACAGTAATCCACAGATTCAGTACAATTGCTTTCAAAATTCTGATGGTTGGGTGGTTTTTGGCAGTATTAGAAAAAATTATACTCAGATTCATATGTAATTACAATGTCTTCTAAAAATTCAAAACAAGATTGAAAAAGAAGAACAAAGTTGGAGGATTTACACTTCTTGATTTCAAAACTTACTACAAAGCTACCATAATCAAATAGTGTAGCATGGACATACAGATAAACACATAGACCAATGAAGCATAACTGAGAGTCCAGAAAGAAACACATATATGTATAGTGAATTGATTTCAATGGAGTCTTAAGACCATTGAATGAGGAAGGAGCAGGCTCTTCCACAGGTGGCCCTGGGACAACTGGATCTCTACATACAAAAGAAAGAAATGGTTCCTACCTCACATTCTATACACAAATCAACTTAGAAATGTATTGGTGACCTACTGTAAGGGCTAATACTATGAAACTCTTCGATAAAACATAGGGGTAAATTTTCGAGGCCTTAGATTCAGCAATGGATTCTTAGATATGCCACTGAAAGCATGAGCAATGACAAACAAAACTAGATAAATTGGTCTCTATTAAAATAAAATTAAAACCTTTTGTGTAATCTCATAAGTAAACTATTTACTTATGAAAGTAAAAAGATGTATGACTCAATGGGATGAATATTTGCAAATTATATATTTTATAAGTGTCTAGTGTCTCAACAACTAAAAGACAAAGAACTCAACTCAAAAATAGTCAGTGGATTTGAATAGACATTTCCCCAAAGAAGTTATACAAATGGCCAAAGATAACATGAAAAAACCCTCGACCTCATCAGTCATTAGGGAAATGAAAATGGAAACCACATTGGGGTGCCACCTGCCACTCACTGGAATGGTGATAATAATAATTAAAAAGGGAAGTATTAGTGAGAAATTGGAACCCCCATATATCACTGTTGGTAGGAATGTAAAATGGTGCAGCTGCCCTGGAAAACAGCTTCACATTTCCTCAAAACGTTAAGTGTGGAATTACCACATGATCCCAAAGTTTCACTCTTAGGGATATATAACCAAAATAACTGAAAACAGATCTACAAACATAGTTTCATACCTGAATGTCCATAGCAGCATTATTCACAGTAGCCCAAACATGTAAACAACCCAAATGTTCATCCATGGATAAATGGCTAAGCACAATGTGGCATGTACATACAGCAACATTTTGCTCATCTGTAAAAAGTAATTTAATACTGATACAGCTACAACATGGATAATCCCCTAAAACATTGTGCAAAGTGAAAGAAGCCAGACACAAAGGTCACAATAGATATAATTCTGTTTATATGAAATGTACAGAAAAAGTATATCCATAGAGACAGAATGCTGATTGGCATTTGCTGGGGCTGGGGGCAGGGGAAAATGAGGGTGACTGCTAATTGGGTACAAGATTTTCTTCTGGGGTGATGAATATGCTTGGTGATAGTTTAACAACATTGTGAATGTACTGTGCCATTGAATTGCATACTTTAAAATTGTTAATTTAACATTATGTGAATTTCACTTTAATAAGAAAAAAAGAGGCTGGTGTGGTGGCTCACGCCTGTAATCCCAGCACTTTGTGGAGCCAAGTTGGGTGGATCACCTGAGGTCAGGAGTTTGAGACCAGCCTGTCCAACATGGTGAAACACCATGTCTACTAAAAATACAAAAAAAATTAGCCGGGTCTGGTGGCAGACACCTGTAATCCCAGCTACTCAGGAGGCTGAGGCAGGATAATTGCTTGAACCCAGGAGGTGGAGGTTGCAGTGAGCCGAGATCACACCACTGCACTCCAGACTGGGCGACGGAGTGAGACTCCATCTCAAAAAAAAAAAAAAGAAAGAAAAAAATGGGAAGCAATCATAACTATAGTAAACACTCAGTAAATGAAATTGTCAGACTAATAAACTCACCTTAAGACATTTCTTTTTCTTTGAGCAAAGGCCTAAGCCTTTAGGCCTAAACATATATCATCTTATACATATAAAATTAACAGTTTCTGAGAACCTAGTGTACAGAACAGTGACTACATCTCAAACTAATGTATAATGTATTGAATACTTAAAATTTGCGGAGAGTAGATCTTGTATTCTCACCACATGCATGCACACGCACCCAGTAACTATGTAAGGTGATAAACACGTTAAGCAGCTGTACTGGGGTCAACATCTCACAGTGTATACGTATAGAACCATCACATTGTACACCTTGAATGCAAACAATGTTCATTTACCAATGGATATGGTTTGGATCTGTGTCCCCGCCCAAATCTCACGTCGAATTGTAATCCTCAGTGTTGGAGGTGGGGCCTGGTGAGAGGTGAATGGGTCATGGGGGTGGAGCTCTCATGAATGGGTTAGTGCCATCCCCTGGGTGCTGTTTTTGTGATAGTGAGTTCTCGTGAGATCTGGTTGTTTAAAAGTGTGTGATACCTCCCTTTCCCTCCTTCCTCCTGCTCCAGCCATGTACGATGCGCTGGCTTCCCCTTCGCCTTCTGTCGTAATTGTAAGTTTCCTGAGGCCTCCCCAGAAGTTGAGCAGCATCATGCTTCCTGCATAGCCTGCAGAACCGTGAGCCAATGCAACCTCTTCTTTATAAGCTACCCAGTCTCAAGCATTTCTTTATAGCAGTGTGAGATCAGCCTCAAACACCAAGTATCCCTCAATACAGCTGAGAAACCAAGGTAAGCATGTGGACCACGGCAGACCAGGCCATGAGAAGTCCCGAGTCTCCCTGCTCCCCCAGGTCCACCTGTTCTCACGCCTGCTGCTCTCCGGTGGTGATGCAGACGTGGAGGGAAGACTACACTCTGGAGTGGGGCGGCCACATGTGATGTCAGCTTCACCACGCCACCCACACTGTAACTTATGTTCACTGAGCCTCACTGCTCCCGTCTCTAAGATGGGAACACACTGTCTGCCTCCCTGAGTTTCCACGAGGCCAAATGAGGCTGTGTATTTAATGCACGCGTGTGCACAGCACAGAGTTTCCCACACGTGTGTGTTCTTTTCCCTCCACTCTGCTTTTGTGCACAGACAAGTTTCAAGAGGCAGAGGAGAAGCAGCCGCGGGAGGCCTGCGCTGGAGGCAGAGCAGTGCAGGTGGCTGCCTGAGTCTGCTGCCTCTGTTTGCGAAGGAAGCGCTAGAAAAGTAGCTAAGGAGAAAATTGTAGGCTGAGGATCTTCATTCTGAGCGATGTTGGGCCTCCTGTGGCCTCCCCTAAATTTTCCCAGGGCCCCTCTGCTAGGCCCTCTGCAGTTCCCATCGGGGGTCTGCACCGTGCGACTAAAGGTATGGACTCGTCACATTCTCACGGAGATTCTCCACCCGCTGCCAGGCTCCCGGGATGCTCCATACTGGATTATTCTATATACAGTGCCTTTTGTTTTTCTGGCTGGTGATTCCATTGCTTTCATTGTTTCTTGAAGGGGTCATGATCTTAAAATTTCTAAAAACTGTTGTATTGGACAGAATGTTTCTTGACATACCATAGCGCTTCGTGTGTGTATGTGTGTGTACGTATATTCAGTGACTGAAGGCTGTGTCCAGCCCTGAGTAGATGCTACATGCCCATTACATTTTTTAAATCATTCCTGTGTTCACTACCTATTTCTGGGTCTCACATGAGGAAGCTGGGGCTCAGAATCGTGGAGGCCCTGTCTGAGGTCCCTCAGCCCGTGCCCAGCTGTGGCAGCACAGGGATTCTGGACCTCACAGCCCACAGGGATTCTGGACCTTGCCGTGGGTGCTGTGTTGTGTGTCTCATCCAACAGCGCAGACCAGATGTGCTGAGGACGTTCTGCCGGAGAGCAAGCTCAGGAGCATCTGGAGTTTTCTTATGAGGAATTCCACCATCTTGCCAGTTTGGATTTTGGGAAGCCGCTCTTTCCTGCCAGAGTAATCATGCTTTCTTTTGATGAGGAATGAGGGTGGGAACTACCAAGCTGGCTTTTGGGATGGATGGTGTTGTTGGCCAGGGCTCCCGGGCTGTGTCCAGAGGGCTGTTTGATGGCTTCACCATCTGCCCGTCTCTTTCTTGGCCTCTCAGGAGCAGAGTGGGGCTTCGTGGCTTCACTGGAGGAGAATGTGCTTGCCCCAGCTGGAATCCTGGCATGTCTAAATGTTAGTGCATCTTATACCACCCAAAGCTTAGCTCAGTTCAATTGTTGCCTGGGTAGGTAATGATTACACATCCTCTGTGTACCTGGGGAGGCTGATGGCATGAGGGTAGGACTCCTGCCCGAGGTAGGGATGAGTAAATTCCAGGGTGTCCACTGCCTGGCTTTTGGGTGCCTCCAGGTTCTCACGTGTGGAGTGAGGATGCCCATTTCAGCACCTGACTGAGTGTTTTGATGCCAGAATGACGGGACATGGGTGAAGCTGTTTGCAGATTCCCTCACACATAATATGCAGTCAGTGAAATTTAATTATTATTTTTTATTTGCAGAGAAGTATGTTATTGACCTCACCTTTGAGGAAATGTGAAGCTTTTTGGGAGCGTGTATCGTGTTGAGGCTGGTGAGCACAGGGGGCCATGTCCCTCAGTCTGGCCCAGCCACTGACTGCTTGTGTGTCCCTGGGAAAGTCACTAGCTTCCCCTGGGCTTCAATTTCCTCATCTGTGATATAGCAGAAATAATATATTCCTCATGGGGCTATTGTAAGAATTAAATTAATTCAATAGAAGAAACAAAATGGCTAATTTGAGGTGTTTTGGAGTAGCTATTAGATGAATAATAAAATGGCTAGCGGGAGCTAGAGGGTGGGCAGAGGGGTTTGGGGGAGGGAGCTGTGCATAGAACCCCCCTTGGAGAGGGCGATGGAGAGTGGGGGCAGGAAAGCGCCCACCCAGGGAGAGTTGCATTGAAGACGCAAGGCAGGGTCCAGCTATGGGGAGTTGGAAAAATGCTTCCCAGAGGAATGGGAACTGACACAGAGTCACATGTGCCTGGAGCTTGGGCCCTACTCACGCTTGCCCCTAACCCAGTCCATCAACTGTGTATAGAGCCTGGGATCTCAGCCTGCAGGTAATGAGCAGGTGAAGATGCTTCCCTCAAAAGATGTGATGGCGCAGGAGGAAGAGATGGCTGCACTGACCGGGCTGTCTATGGGGACTTCTACCCCTGGTGTCCCCTCTCCAGCACTGGGAGGCAGGTCTGGTGCAGCCTGCACCAGGGTGATTCTAAGGGTGGAGATGAGCAGTATTTACCAGACCCCCCAGATGGCCCCAAGGGGAGCAGAGGCCACAAGCTTGGCCTCGTGGCTTTGCAATTGCATAGGGTCAGCACACTCACAGGGAATGCAGAAAGGATCTGTGGGATCTTGAAGGGGTAAACTGTCTCCTTGAGACATGTCGCAGCCCAACATCTGCACCCCTGAGGCTGAGAGGAAAAGAGCAGAGGACACATGTTCCTGACGTGGCATGAAAGCAAAGGTCTTGGTTGTAATTCTGGAACACAAGCGTCTCCAAGGAATACTCAGGAATATTCACCTGCCCTAAAGCATTTCCCTCAAAGAGAGGGAGCAGACGTTCAAAGGTGATTGACCGTTCATCGACAGAACTTTCTGTCCTTACATGCTTTCAACATGTGATTTACCTCAGCATCAACAAAGCTACAAGCAGAGAAAAGGCACATTGATTCTGCCCCAAATCAAAAGATGTCAAAAGCAGAATACGTGGTCATTTTCATCTTGACCATCACATTTCGTGTTTCTGTGTGTGTGTACACAAGTACTTGTGAAGGTTAATGTAAACCTGCTTATGAGGAAAATTGTAGACTCAGATTACAAGCATCTTTGCACATCACATGTACTCCAGAAATACGTACAATCATTGATCACCAATAAAAAAAAATTTAAGCCAGGCATGGCGGTTCACATGGTGGCACTTTGGGAGGCCAAGGCAGGAGGACTGCTTGAGCCAGCAGTTATAGACAAGGCTGGGCAACATAGTGAGACCCTGTCTCTACACAAAATTTAAAAAATAATTAGCCAGGCATGGTGGTGAGCACCTGTAGTCCCAGCTACTTGAGAGGCTGAAGCAGGAGGATTGCTTGTGCCTGAGAGGTCAAAGCTTCAGCGAGCCATGATTGCACCAATGCTTTCCAGCCTGTGTGACAGAGAGAGACTCTATTTCATAAAAACAAAATTAAAAAAAAAATTTGTATAGAATTTCTAAAATAATTAAAAGTAAGCAAGAAGAGTCAGGAGCAAAGATCACCAGATGCTCAGTTTTCTTGTGAAACAACTTTGCATAGACGACGTATATCAGTTGTAGGCTGCTTATTCACAAGTGGAACTCACAAATAGCCTTTTATACTGTAGCCTCTTTATTGTTTGTTTTTTAACTTTTATTTTAGGTTCAGGGATTCAAGTGCAGATTCATATAGGTTAATTGTATGTCACATGGGTTTGATGTACTGATTACTTAGTCACCCAGGTAATGGGCACAGCACCTGATACGTAGTTTTTTGATTCTCACCCTCCTCTCACGCTCCCCTTCAAGTAGGCCTCAGTGTGTGTTGTTCACCTCTATGTGTCCATGTGTTCTCATTATTTAGCTCCCACTTATAAGTGAGAACCTGTGGTATTTGGTTTTCTGTTCCTGTGTTAGTTTGCTAAGGACAGTGGCCTCCAGCTCCATCACGCTGCTGCAGAAGAAATGCCCTTGTACTTCACTATGGCTGTGTAGTATTCCGTGGTGTGTGTTCACCACATTTTCTTTAGCGTCGTATTCCATGGTGTGTGTGCACCACATTTTCTTTAGTGTCGTATTCCATGGTGTGTGTGCACCACGTTTTCTTTAGTGTCATATTCCATGGTGTGTGTGCACATTTTCTTTAGCATCATATTCCATGGTGTGTGTGCACCACATTTTCTTTAGCGTCATATTCCATGGTGTGCACATTTTCTTTAGCGTCGTATTCCATGGTGTGTGTGCACATTTTCTTTAGCGTCGTATTCCATGGTGTGTGTGTGCACATTTTCTTTAGCGTCGTATTCCATGGTGTGTGTGCACATTTTCTTTAGCGTCGTATTCCATGGTGTGTGTGCACATTTTCTTTAGCATCGTATACCATGGTGTGTGTGCACCACATTTTCTTTAGCGTCGTATTCCATGGTGTGTGTGCACCACATTTTCTTTAGCGTCGTATTCCATGGTGTGTGTGCACATTTTCTTTAGCATCATATTCCATGGTGTGTGTGCACCACATTTTCTTTAGCGTGGTATTCCATGGTGTGTGTGCACATTTTCTTTAGCGTCGTATTCCATGGTGTGAGTGCACATTTTCTTTAGCGTCGTATTCCATGGTGTGTGTGTGCACATTTTCTTTAGCATCGTATTCCATGGTGTGTGTGTGCACATTTTCTTTAGCGTCGTATTCCATGGTGTGTGTGCACATTTTCTTTAGCGTGGTATTCCATGGTGTGTGTGCACATTTTCTTTAGCGTCGTATACCATGGTGTGTGTGCACCACATTTTCTTTAGCGTCGTATTCCATGGTGTGTGTGCACCACATTTTCTTTAGCGTCGTATTCCATGGTGTGTGTGCACCACATTTTCTTTAGCGTCGTATTCCATGGTGTGTGTGCACCACGTTTTCTTTAGTGTCATATTCCATGGTGTGTGTGCACATTTTCTTTAGCATCATATTCCATGGTGTGTGTGCACCACATTTTCTTTAGCGTCATATTCCATGGTGTGTGTGTGCACATTTTCTTTAGCACCGTATTCCATGGTGTGTGTGCACATTTTCTTTATTGTCGTATTCCATGGTGTGTGTGCACATTTTCTTTATTGTCGTATTCCATGGTGTGTGTGCACATTTTCTTTAGCGTCGTATTCCATGGTGTGCGTGCACATTTTCTTTAGCGTCGTATTCCATGGTGTGCGTGCACATTTTCTTTAGCATCGTATTCCATGGTGTGTGTGTGTGCACATTTTCTTTAGCGTTGTATTCCATGGTGTGTGTGCACATTTTCTTTAGCGTGGTATTCCATGGTGTGTGTGCACATTTTCTTTAGCATCGTATTCCATGGTGTGTGTGCACCACATTTTCTTTAGTGTCGTATTCCATGGTGTGTGTGCACCACATTTTCTTTAGCGTTGTATTCCATGGTGTGTGTGCACCACATTTTCTTTAGCGTTGTATTCCATGGTGTGTGTGTGCACATTTTCTTTAGCGTGGTATTCCATGGTGTGTGTGCACATTTTCTTTAGCGTGGTATTCCATGGTGTGTGTGCACATTTTCTTTAGCGTTGTATTCCATGGTGTGTGTGCACCACATTTTCTTTATCCAGTCCACCGGTGATGGGCATTTAGGTTGACGCCGTGTTTGCTATTGTGAACAGTGCTGCAATGAACACATGGGTACATGTGTCTTTCTGGTAGAATAATTTATATTCCTTTGGGTATATACCCAGTAATGGGATTGCTGGGTTGAATGGTTAAGTTCTTTGAGAAACCACTAAATTGCTTTCCATAACATCTGAACTAAGTTACATTCCCACATGCGGTATGTACATGTCCTCTTCTCTCTGCAACTGTACCAGCACCTGTTATTTTTTGGCTTTTTAAAAATAGCCATCCTCAATCATTAAAAAGTCAGGAAACAACAGGTGCTGGAGAGGATGTGGAGAAATAGGAACACTTTTACACTGTTGGTGGGACTGTAAACTAGTTCAACCATTGTGGAAGTCAGTGTGGCGATTCCTCAGGGATCTAGAACTAGAAATACCATTTGACCCAGCCATCCCACTACTGGGTATATACCCAAAGGACTACAAATCATGCTGCTATAAAGACACATGCACACGTATGTTTATTGTGGCACTATTCACAATAGCAAAGACTTGGAACCAACCCAAATGTCCAACAGTGATAGACTGGATTAAGAAAATGTGGCACATATACACCATGGAATACTATGCAGCCATAAAAAATGATGAGTTCATGTCCTTTGTAGGGACATGGATGAAATTGGAAATCATCATTCTCAGTAAACTATCACAAGAACAAAAAGCCAAACACTGCATATTCTCACTCATAGGTGGGAATTGAACAATGAGAACACATGGACACAGGAAGGGGAACATCACACTCTGGGGACTGTTGTGGGGTGGGGGGAGGGGGGAGGGAGAGCACTGGGAGATATACCTAATGCTAGATGACGAGTTAGTGGGTGCAGCGCATCAGCATGTCACATGTATACATATGTAACTAACCTGCACATTGTGCACATGTACCCTAAAACTTAAAGTATAATAATAATAATAATAAAAATGAAAATAAAAATAGCCACCCTGCCTCATGTGAGTCAACTCAAGATAGATTAAAGGCTTAAATATAAAATCTATAGCTATAAAAACCCTGGAATATAACCTAGGAAATACCACTCTGCACAAAGTCCCTGGCAAAGATTTCATGACAAACATGCCAAAAGCAATTCCAACAAAAACAAAAATTGACAAATGGGACCTAGTTAAACTAAAGAGCTTCTGCATGACAAAACAAACTATCAACAAAGTAGACAGACAACCTACAGAATGGGAGAAAATTTTTGCAGACCACATCTGATAAAGGTCTAATATTCAGAATCTATAAAAAACTTATAAGCTAAAAGTAACCCCATTAAAAAGTGGGCAAAGGCCATGAACAGACACTTTTCAAAAGAAGACATACATATGGTCAACAAACATGAAAAAAAGTTCAACATCACTGATCATTAGAGAAATGCAAATCAAAACCACAGTGAGATACCATAACCTCTTTATAATAAAAACTTTCATTACACTTTCAGCAGGAATAAAGCTAGGCCACGGGTGTTTGGAAAGGATACATTCCAGGCCTCGGTAGCGTGCACGGCACTTTCCCCTTACCTTAGGCAGTCAGGCATCTTGAGGCCCCTGTCTCTTGCCAGACCCAGGGAGAGGTGGGAGGAGCACAGACAGGAGCCTCTAAGAAGGAATAAAATGTGGGACCCTTGGAGAATTTGCCTAGGATAAACCAGTGTAGGGTGGATGAGCTCAACCATCACAAAGGCAACTCCCATGCAATAACCTCTGAATGGGACACTAAAGAGTTTAAGAAACACCCAAATCTTAAAATGTCCTGGGTGTAACTTTCCAATGGAATGCACTTTCAAAACTTAAATATGCTCCATTGTAGCTGACTCGGGAAAAAACAAAACAAAACAAAACAAAACTGTGTTACTGGAAAAAGGATGGCCTGCCCTAGGGCTGAGGGCTAGGGGGAGGTGGAGAGTGAGGGTCCGAGCCCAGCTGCAGGGGAGAGGGCTTCCCATAAGGCCCATGAGCATCTGTGTGGGAGTGCTCTCTCGGGCCTGGATGATCATGGTTTCATGTTGATGAAAGTATGATAATTATAGCCTTGATAATAATACAATTAGTTTCCTTGTGTTTATTCTCTAACTATGAAGAAAACTTTCATTGGGCTTTGTCTTAAAGCAGAGCATTGGATCTGAGCTTGAGGTCAAGTCATTTTTTTTTTGGAGGTGACCCCAGGAAGCTGAACCCGGGAGCAGGGAACCTACAAGAGAGATTTAAAGTGTACATTATTGAGTTGGTTACTGCTGTGGGCAACTGAAGCTCAATTTTCCCAGGATCCTGTTGAGGAACCAGGAAGAAATGTTCAGCTGAAGGAGTCTGAGGCATTTATTCATCAGCTCACCTCCCACTCCCTCACTCTCCATGCCTTTAATTGCCCATAATTCTGGGCTGCCTCCACCTGTAGGTTTAGAAAATGTGAGAAACACAGTGTTTACTTGAGGTAGGATGCCGTCAAGAGTGATAGGAATGTCCATTGTCACTGTAGCTCACACCAGAGCTCGTCAAAAAAGACACAGTCCAGGGAACTAAGAGTGTCTGTGATAGGCAGACTCTCCTGGAAAGGGAGACAGCTCTGATGGGGGCTCCAAGCTGAGTCAGGGCAGAGCACATTTGTGCATCTACATCCTGGTTTCCAAGCAGTTCTCCTCCAAGAGTGGTTGGTGCTCAGCAAAGACCTCTGAGTGGACATCTAGGACTACAATGATGTGATCAGGTGCTGAGAATGTTCTCTGGTCTCTAAGCTGTGTTTCTCCCACTTTCATCCAAAAGAGCTAGAATCCAATGTACCTAAATTAGAAGAGTCTTCCGAGAGGTTCACCATTTTGAATTCAAGACGGCATCTCATATCACAGATTGAGATTCCCTGGAGAGCACAGAATCTGTTTTGCCAAAAAGATTACCCAGTTGTTGGAAGGGGCTCTGCGTGATTTGTTGAGGAACACTGACCACCAGAATAAGGGAACAGGAATTGATTACAGGCAGCAAGAATGACGCTGGAATGGGTGTCTGTGCAGCTCCTGCCACCTTTCCCGCTGTGCACAGCTCCTTTTGCATCTGTACTCCTCTCCTCTCCTTTGGAGCAGTGTCCTTCTTGCAATTCTTCAGCATTTCTTCATTGGCAGAGTCCGCAGGTTCCCCACTGGGATGAGCCAGGGAAGAGATCTCTTTACCTCCTGCTTCTCTTTGCATAGAAGCCAACAAAATTGGGATTTGAGGAGAGACTGTTCTGTCTGGAGATAAGAATGTTAATGGCACCTCAGGAGAGCGTGTTTCCCAGGGACTGCTGAGCACAGATGCTGAGAACTGGAGTTGTAGAAAAAGGGGTGGAGGAGAGGTTAGGGAGGTCCGTATGCACCACCTGCCCTGAAAAAGTTCATCATGAAAGACGGAGGAAATACAGAGTGGGCTTGGGGAAGCAAAGGCATAAAGCCCATTATACAGGAAGATGGGGAGATGAGAAGAGGAGTGGGCAGAGGAGAATTCAAAGGAGCGGAAGGTGGAAAGAGAGGGAGAGAAACAAGGAAAACTGGGAAGAGGAGTGGACAGAGGAGAATTCAAAGGAGCGGAAGGTGGAAAGAGAGGGAGAGAAACAAGGAAAACTGGGAAAAGGAGTGGACAGAGGAGAATTCAAAGAGCGGAAGGTGGAAAGAGAGGGAGAAAAACACTTCTCTGATTCTGAGGCCATGATCAAGGGTTTGGTCACCAGGGTTCGGTTTTAGGAAAAACAGATATGTCATCTTCTGAGCTGCTGCTGAGGAGAGAATTGGGTTCCAAGGGCAGAGGGAGCTCATTGAAAGGAAGAAGCAGGCACTGGAAGGACATTCCAGATGCACCAAGAGCAGTGACTTCAGTCCGCTCCGGGCACATCTTCCAGCCGAGAAAAGGAGGCGTCCCAATGCGCAGCCATGATTATCTCCTCCTAGGATGACACAGATCATGATTATCTCCTCCCAGGGTTAGGTGGAGCCATGATTATATACCCTAGGATTACGCAGGGCCATGATTATCTACCCCAACGATTACACAGGGTCATCATTATCTACCCCAAGGATCACACGGGGCCATGATTATCTCCCCCAGGATCACACGGGGCCATGATTGTCTCCCCCCAGGATCACACGGTGTCGTGATTATCTCCCCCCAGGATCACACGGTGTCGTGATTATCTCCCCCCAGGATCACACGGGGCCATGATTATCTCCCCCCAGGATCACACGGTGTCGTGATTATCTCCCCCCGGGATCACACGGGGCCATGATTATCTCCCCCAGGATCACACGGTGTCGTGATTATCTCCCCCAGGATCACACGGTGTCGTGATTATCTCCCCCAGGATCACACGGGGCCATGATTATCTCCCCCAGGATCACACGGGGCCATGATTATCTCCCACCAGGATCACACGGTGTCATGATTATCTCTTCCCGGGATCACACGGTGTCATGATTGCCTCCCCTAGGATCACACGGGGCCATGATTATCTCCCCCAGGATCACACGGGGCCATGATTATCTCCCCCCAGGATCACACGGTGTCATGATTATCTCCCCCCAGGATCACACGGTGTCACGATTGTCTCCCCCAGGATCACACGGGGCCATGATTATCTCCCCCGGGATCACACAGGGCCATGATTATCTCCCCCCAGGATCACACGGGGCCATGATTATCTCCCCCCCAGGATCACACGGGGTCACAATTGTCTCCCCCAGGATCACGCGGTGTCATGATTATCTCCCACCAGGATCACACGGGGCCATGATTATCTCCCCCGGGATCACACGGGGCCATGATTATCTCCCCCCAGGATCACACGGTGCCATGATTATCTCCCCCCCAGGATCACACGGTGTCACGATTGTCTCCCCCCGGGATCACACGGTGTCATGATTATCTCCCCCCAGGATCACACGGGGCCATGATTATCTCCTCCTAGGTTTATGCAGGGTTGGGGCAGGGTCAATGTCAGAAATAAAAATGGAGCAAAAGGGGGTTTCCAGCCAGGCCTTCAAAACTAATAGGAAATTTGATACCAGAGATCATCAGTCATTGGTTTAGAATCTTTGTAACTTTTCTGTCTCAATATCCTATTTGTTTATTGTGTTTAACAGTAAAATGATGTAAAGAAAAATTGCTATCAAAATATATTCCAGATGAAATGAAATTATATTTGAAGCATCAGTCAAATATAAAAAGAAAAACGACCTATCTCACTACTTTATGTTCTTACTTAACTCTAACAACAAGTGAGCTGGTGCAGGTCAGTGGAATTACCATCTTCTGCAAGCAAAGGCCCTAAGAGGAGGCGTAGAGGCCGAGTGAATGGTATAAGGTCTTAAAGCAAGTCGGTGAGGGGCCAGGATCCTTAACTTTGGTCCCTGACTCTTAGGCAGCTGTTACAACCTTTTCCTTAAAAAATCATTCATGCACGAATGAAAGTGAATGTTTGTACAAAGCAGGCACTATTATGTAATGAGAGGCACAGGGTTGGGACACGCGCTGTAGGTCTGTGTGACTCCAAATCATTCAGCTCTCTGGAAACTCAGTTTTCTCATCTGTGCGGCAGGTCTGCAGAGACAGGGTGAGAATTTCAGGAGGCCCACAGTGGGTGACCAGTGTGATGGCTTTTCTGTCCTCCCTTCGCTGAATTCCTCTTGGTATGCTAACAACTCCACACTGACTGTTATCAGGGCCACATTGGGGTTTCAGAGACCGTATCTACTGTTTTATGGCCAGAAGTAGAAATTTTTGAGTTATGTTAGGTCCATTTTAGTTGTAGCCACTTTTGTGTAGCTTTTTTTGAGTTTGGGTTTCTCTTATAGTTTAATATGCTGCAAGTTTTACACATTTTAATAACATTAAGTTATGCAGTATTAAACTTTTCATAGTGTTCTGCATATTTTCTTTTAGTTTTAAAATTGAAATAGTCTTCAACATTTTAAATCCAGAATTCTTATTCAGGGAAAGCTCCAAACCCAGAAATAACTATTACATTTTGTGCCAACATATGAAATAAAAATATTTCTTTGAAAAAAATTAGCAAATCATTTGTGGTTCTCTTAATGGCTAGTAAGAATATGTCTAGCTTTTACTTGATTATGAAATGGAAAATTGCAACACTTGCCTTAAATAAGTAATATAAATTTTGCCAGACACTAAGATCCCAAATTTCCCAGAAAAGCTCGATAACGATGACCCAAGGCAGGAAGAACTCAGATTCCTACGGTTGGGCTGCTTTTGGCTGCACACAGGGCTCCCACAGGCATGTCTGGCGCGGTGCTGAGGTCCACTGATGGGGGAGAGGGAACTGCCCGGGGGAAGGGCCGGGAGGTGCAGGGCTTTGTTTGGGACTGGTGCAAATCAGGGCCCGGGAGACACTGGGCAGGACCAGAGCATTCATGTCTGAGCTTCAGGGCTTGGGAAGCTGGAGATGGGGCAGCCCCAAGCTTGATGCTCAGCCTGTCCTAGGAAGCCTTGCTGTGTGTGTGGGAGGGTGGGGTTGAGTATTATGAAGGTGGATGAATCCCACAGTGAGGGAGTAACTGCATGTGGCCTTAGAAAATATTTTGAAGTCAAATAATCATGAAAATGTATTAATTCACTCACTCAACCCTTCTGCCATATTTTGTTCATGCCTGTGGCATCCCAGAGACTCTCTAGGTAGGGGGCTGTGGTGTTGACAATGCAGGCTAAGGCCCTGCCTGGTGGCTCTGAGGCTCACAGGTCCTGAGGAGTGAGGAGGATGTGAATAGAGTAGGGACGAATTCAGGGCTCAGGATTTGGTACTTTCCCAGAAACTCTTTTACAGAGAAGCATTCCAACATTTGGCAAACAACGACAACATTCGACAACCACAAGGGAAGGCCACACAGGAGCGTGGTGCTCCGGCTTGGGGACGTAACGGGTCCCACAGAGCTGCTTTTATTAACGATAAGGAATTTCACACCCCTGTGTTTGCCCATGAGAAGCAGAATATTGTCTGATGTGCTGAGTATCACACACATATTTTGATCCTCTTAACTAATTATTTGAATAATGAAGCCCAGAAAATGAAAGGAGTAAATAAATTCCACCTTGCAAAAAATACAATTTTGCAGTTTACAAAGTGTTCCAGTGAAGCTATGGGATCCCAAATCAACTCCTGCACCCCTGCGCTCCCTAGCCCAGGAGCTGATGCTCTGCCCAGCACACCCCACCCGCGGCTCAGCTGCCATTGTGAGTGTCTCTTTGCCCTCGGTGATGAGTGCAGCACCTGCCTTTCTGTGTAAGCTACGCTGAAGTGCCCAGTAGGATTTCTGTGAGAGGGAAATATGCAAAACCCCATTGATGTCTATTCCCAGTGATCGAGAAGGAAAAAGGCTCACTGTTCCAGGAGGCTGCACAAGTTTTTCTGTCACCTTAATTGATGTGTGTCTAGTGTAACATTTCCAACAGACAAAAAATATGGGAAACGTTGCACTTTCTTCGTTCTAGCCCCACAATGTATACCATGTGCTACTGTGAAACAGAACTTCTGTGAAAGGACTCCTGGCTGGGCGTGGTAGCTCATGTCTATAATCCCAGCACTTTGGGAGGCTGAGGCAGGTGGGTCACCTGAGGTTAGGAGTTCAAGACCAGCCTGACCAATATAGTGAAACCCGGTCTCTACTAAAAATACAAAAATCAGCCAGGTGTGGTGGTGCATGCCTGTTATCCCAGCTACTTAGGAGGCTGAGACAGGAGAATTATTTGAACCTGGGAGGTGGAGGTTGCAGTGAGCTGAGATGGCACCACTGCACTCCAGCCTGGGTGACACAATGAGACTCCATCTCCAAAAAAAAAAAAACCTCTGTGAAAGGACTCCTAAGCAGGTGCTCAAGGAAAACAAGCTCGCCCCTTACTTTGCAGCTGCCGAGTGAGTCAGCGACTCACACCATTGTCTGAGCCTCTGGTTTAAAAGCTGAGGTTTACCGTGAATTATGACGTCACCAGAGTCCATGTGGTTTTGATATTTATAAGTAAAATTCTCAAAATGTGAGCTTCCTTGGTGTCATGCTTTGCTGTCGCTGGGGACCCTTGTGGGTAGCACTGCAGGGAACAGCTGCAAACCCACTGCTCACCTGTCTCCAGACTGAGCTGTCAGTCTTCCTCTGGCATTCTCCCTCCCTCCCCTCCAATCCAGCCAGTCTCCAAGGCCTCCTGGGACACTGGGGCTCAGTTTCCTTCCCTCCAACCCCATGGCCACTCTGCAGCTTGGGGCAGAGGCAGTGGGCTTCCCGCTCCCAGGCCTACTTCCCTCCATTCTCTACCAGCAGCTGGAGGGATCTTCTGAAAACAAAGCTCTGAGTGTCTTCTCACCTCCTCAAAACCCTTCAAAACCTCATGTGACTCAGAGAGCACCTACAGCGGTCCCCAACACCCCGGCAGCACCTCCTCACTCACTGTTGCTGGAGGCAGCCTCACCAGCAGGCCTCGTTCATCTCCGTGAGTGTCCAGAGACGCCCCCTCGCCCCATGCTGTCTGCTCTGGATGGTGGAGGCTCTTCCCTCTCCAGAGCTCTCCTCTGTGTGGAGGTCGGGCAGCTGTGGGAGGCACCAGCCACGTGCTGTCCATGGCTGGTGGCCTTCTACTGGGGACAGGGATGGGGGACAGGGGGATGGGGGACAGTGACAGGGGGGACGGGGAGCGGGGGGACAGGGTGACAGCCTGCCCGCAGCTTTGCGGTCATTTGCAGGGTTTACATTTGCTCGACTCTTTTGACTTTTTAAATCTTTTTTAAGTGCATGGCTGTGTTGGGTTCACAATTATTTGAATAAACAATCGTTCAATTAGTTTAGTTTTATCCAGTTGTTGCCTATCAGTGGATGTGTGATCTAACACAAGCTTATACAAGGAGAATTTGCTCTTCGTTACTGTGTTAACAGTATTTCTTCTACTTATAAATAGATTAATCCAGTAAAATGTAGAGAGGCGAGAGAGAGCTGAAACTAAGGTCTGCTGAGTGTTTAACTTGAACACGCTCTTATTTGGTGGCTACTTTTAAACAACTCCAGAAATTTAATAAATTACTCTGGATAAAAGGTTGCTTCCTGTTTCTAAGGAGCTGTCCCTCTTTAGATCAACATTTAAACTTACATTAAGATGTATACTTCTTGGGGTAATTTAAAGTTGAGCTGAGATTCTCTTCTGGATAAGCAGGATCACCAGGTCGGGATGGCTTTTCTCTGCTCTTGGTTCTGCTCACGTTTTGCCACATTGGAGAGTTTGTTCTTGCAACCGTCCATAAGTAACTTGTCTGCTTTCAGAGGTTTTAGCTAAATTTCTCTTCATAAAATCATTCTAGCAAATTTATTATGCAAATGGTATAAGGGATTAGCTTTGCTTTTTTTTGTACTTTAAATTATTCTGTCATCTTTCTCTTACAGTACGTGTCCCGTAGCACCTAAATAAATTTCTATCTCTTATACCTTTTGTTGTGAATACATGTTTTGGTCTAAATACATATAATTGCTAAGTTTTGTTGATTTGGGACTAGTTTGTGTTCAGAGTGGTGGAGTCAATGTGAAGTCTCCCGGGTGTGAGCAGGTGCCGTGCAGAGGCTGCACGGGGCTTCCCCGGACCTGCTCTCCAGGATGCCCACCTCGTCAGGCTCACCCCCACCACACCTGAGCTTCTGTCCGTGGAGGTGGTTGAGGCGGCTGGTGGGTGGCGTGTGTGTGGTCATGGCCCTGTTCAGTTACGCTGTCTGTTCTTAACTTCTGCCACATCCTCCTTTGGCCTTTAATTTCGTAAAGGTTGTTGTGGGTGGAATGTTCTGTGGTCCATTTCTTTCCACCTCAGAGCTACCCCTGGACCTGATGTTTTTGTGTAAATGCTGGTGCTCACTCTGCGGCCATCGTAGGGTTTGCTGAAGATGGTGGCGTGTGGCCGGGTCAGCAGCAGCCGGTGGGGGCTTCAGGGTTTGTTGATGGCACAGTGGGCTCCTCCGAGGAAGCGAAGCGCTGCCCTCAGTCCCGGCTGCTGCTGGCGGCACTCGGGCCGGTGACTGCTCATTTTATTGAGCTCATGGCAAGGCGTAGGGGGTGGCTGACCGCAGCCTGGGTCTTAGCTGTCATGCTCAGAACACACTAAAGTCACTTTCACAGTTTGTTTTTATTTTAGCGGTAGCTTTTCATGGCTTAGTTGGGGTTTAACTTTATTTGTGTATAAACTTAAGCACGCTTTACACTGGGCTTTATTAATTTGGGTTAAGCCTATGGCCATGGTGGCCGGCACGAAATTTACCAACCCTAAGGAAAATGACTGTAGCTTCTCACACTTCTGCTTTACCACCACATCTCTACCTCCGCTGTTTCCCGCAGGGCCGTGGCGGAGTGGGGAGCTAGGAGCTGCTCCTGAGTGAGCCTACGGCCCGTTGCTTTGGGTCTCCTGCGAACCTAGAGGCCTCCGTGCAGGAACACAGGTACCTGGATGCGTGGCCTCGCAAAGAACTCATGAGGAGGCCAAGACCAGGCTGTGTGCTGATGGTGTTGCATGAACTCAGGCTTGGTCAGTGCCTGGCTTCAGTGATGTCAACGTGTACTCAGAGGAGAAATGGCTGAGCTTCGGTTCTATGTGAGTATCCTGGGCTTTCTTAGTAATCATAGTAAGAAACAAAACAAGTTTTAGTCCAAAAAGCCTAATTTTGAGTGAATTTTTCTGGCAAAGCAGGCTGTGGCCTGTAGGGGCCCAGCTCTGACGTCACAGCAGGTGACACAGGTCAGAAGCAGCCTCCTTGGAATGGATTCAGCGTGCTGGGGCCGCCTCCCTGCCACCTCGCTTGGCCGGGCATCACCACGGCACACAGTGAGGGACCTTCTGATCCCGGTGGCAAGGGCCGTGTCTCCAGCCTGCCCCTGTGGCCAGCCCTGTGCACCTCTTTCTTTTTTCTTTTTTCTTTTTTTTTTTTGAGATGGAGTCTCGTTCTGTCGCTCAGGCTGGAGTGCTGTGGTGCGATCTGGGCTCACTGCAAACTCCGCCTCCCGGGTTCACGCCATTCTCCTGCCTCAGCCTCCCTAGTAGCTGGGACTACAGGCTTCTGCCACCACGCCCGGCTAATTTTTTGTATTTTTAGTAGAGACGGGGTTTCACCATGTTAGCCAGGATGGTCTCGATCTCCTGACCTCGTGACCGCCTCGGCCTCCCAAAGTGCCGGGATTACAGGCATGAGCCACGGCGTCCGGCCCTGTGCACCTCTTTCATTTCAGGTTTCCAGCGCATTGAAACAGTCTCTGACACCACTCTGGAGAGAGCAGAAGCCACGCTGGAGTGACCGGCCCTCTCGGACCACAGGGGTGGACATAGCGGTGGCTGTGGCAGCCTCAGTTGGCCACCTCCCCATTCACCCCACGTGCTCCCCATGGCCTCTCTCTGGCACTATTAACAGCACTGACCCCACGAGTGGGGAGGGTCCCTGCGAGTACAGAAGCCCCTCCCCACCGTTCAGCATGGACAGCCAGTCCGGTACAGCCCCATTGGTAAGAGGCTTGGGAATAAAGGGTGATACCGGGGGGTGGGGGGCTGAGGGTCTCTGACCTCTGTGGGGACGCAGTGGGTGCCACAGTGATTGACACGTCCAGCTGGGCCTGCCGGCTGTGGGACACCCTAAGGCATCATGAGGTTGCTAGTTTTGGCAACAGAGAGGAGAATTTGTGGAAATGGGGTGCCGTAGAAGAAAAGTAGACTGGGCTTGGTCCTCACAAAGGAATTGTCGACTGTTCCTGGTAGAATTTTAACCCTTATATTTGGGAAAGGGAGCAAGGAAAGATAAAATCTCCTAACTGGTCAGGCGACTGCCTGGATGGACTGCTAGGGTTGGTTTTTCGGTCTCAAATGTCCCTGAAGGAGTTGGAGGGTTGGTGTTGACAGAGCCCCTGCTGCTGGCATGAGCTGGGTATCCTGATCCTTGGTTAGAAGCTGTTTCTGTTGAATGATATCCCAGAACTATTAATTCTGGAAGCTTGAAAACCACTTATGTAATGTCTTCAGAGCAATATTAAGGGCTGGTCTCCACAGGAGAAATCTGGGCCACAGTTACACAGGATCCCACCCTGTTTCCAGGGAGCATTTGCCTCTTAGCATTTGTTAAGAAGAAGTTACAGTTTATAGCTTGAAAAATATAAGGATGGCGAATGAGATCAATGGGATATTTCAGCTTTTCTCCGATTCTCTGTGAAACCTTTCCTTGTCAGTTTCCTGTGAATCCCGGGAAACTTTCCTGAGAAAATAAAATTAATACACAAGATAGACACATAAAATTAATGCATAAATTAACACACATGGAGATATTTATGAAGCATAGAGAAAACTTTATTGCCTGAGGCATGTGCTCCAGAAATGTGATGTGGACTAAACAGAAAGACAGAATGCCGTCTGAAAGGCCGCCTCCACGTTTAACAACTGGCCTTCGATGAAGAAAGATCTTCCAGAACGTAAATTTGCCTGGTATTAATTAATAGGAAGAGTTAATAAGACAATATAGAAGATCATGAATGCCAAATTTTGCTGATTGTAGCACGATAAAACTTTTTCTCATTGTAGCAGTAAATAAAAAGTGTACCATCAGGAGAAATTCAGAGCTGGGTTTAGATGAAAGAAAATGTCATCAATAGCATGTCCCAGGATGGAGCCTTTCAAGCCAATTATGTAAAATTCTCTTGTAGAAAGTTAATGTTTATTCATCCATATTATACGCATTCTTTATTAATTTTATTTTGATGGGATAACAGATAAGATAAACAGTGCCTTTTCAGATGTCCTCATAACTAGAAGCCTTGGACAAGGGCTCTCTTGTTTCTCATCATACACCATTGTAATAGCGTGATCATCTCGGCACATCTCCTCTGGAAAGGTGGAAAAGATAAGCTCGCCTTAAAACACTCATTTCCCAAATGGCATGTTTTTACCCTCTGTGGTTTGGATCGGGTTGCTGGGAGGGGGAAGTTCTTATAGGTGAGTGTCACGGACAGGAACGTCAATATCAGGAATATTTGTTAGCCACATAGAAATAATTTTCATCACTTCCACACATATTATTTTATGTCATCAGTAGTTTCTGTTAACTTCATCAGGTATTATCATCAAATACAGTAGGTGATTAAAGAGGGTGCACCCATCTACCTGGGATGCCCGGTGAGGCTCAGCATTCACCCAGACTCACAGGACTTGCGAGGCGGTGCAGGATGGCAGGCAGGCTGCCTTCACATCTGGGCTCTTCCTCAGCGTGATCCACCCCACATCTCACTGAAGCCACGGAACACAAGACACCAACCTACGGACTCGTCAGCTGGAGGTTAATCTAGTGAGAAACACCATCTGTGGCCACTGACTAGAGACAGAATTCAAAGATCCTCTGCAAGGAGTTGCTCTTTGGAATTTGTCTAAACGCTGCAGAGCCCATTCCTGTTTTAGATGACAGGTCTGTTAGCATCAAGGCCCTTAGATCTGGGAGAGGGACCTAAACCTCGGTGTAGGCAGAGGGAACTCGGGAGAGCAGCGATGCTGCTTTTATCTCCCCTGATTTGCTGCTATGAAGGAAGGGCTTTCCATCTTGCAGGCACAAGTTAAAAATCACTACCAACCTTTTTTCAATAAAATTCAAAATTCCTTTTCACTGTTTCCATAGACTTTACAAAGCCACTTTGTAAGACTGACAACAAACAATAGCTTTTAAAATAGTTTTGGCCCTGATGTGGTTTGGCTCTGTGTCCCCATCCAAATCTCATCTTAAATTGTATTCCCATAATTCCCAAGTGTTGTGGGAGGGACCCAGTGGGAGATAATTCCATCATGGGGGTGGTTTCCCCCATACCGTTCTTCTGGTAGTGAACAAGTCTCACAAGAGCTGATGGTTTTATGAAGGGTTTCTACATTTGCATCTTCCTCATTTTCTCTTGCCGCCGCCACATAAGAAGTGCCTTTCACCTCTCATCATGATTCTGTGGCCTCCCCAGCCATGTGGAACTGTAAGTCCAATTAAACCTCTTTTTCTTCCCAGTCTAGGGTATATTTTTATCAGCAACATGAAAACAGACTAATACAGTAAATTGGAACCAGCAGAGTGGGGCGTTGCTGAAAAGATACTCGAAAATGTGTAAGTGACTTTGGAACTGGGTAACAGGCAGAAGTTGGAACAGTTGGGAGGGCTCAGACGAAGACAGAAAAATGCGGGACAATTTGGAACTTCCTGGAGACTTGTTGAATGGCTTTGACAAAAATACTGATAATGATATGGACAGTGAAATCCAGGCTGAGGTGGTCTCAGATGGAGATGAGGAACTTGTTGGGAACTGGAGCAAAGGTGACCTTTGTTATGTTTTAGCAAAGAGACTGGTGGCATTTTGCTCCTGCCTGAGAGATTTCTGGAACTTTGAACTTGAGAGAGCTGATGTAGGGTATCTAGGAGAAGAAATTTCTAAGCAGCAAAGCATTCAAGAGGTGACTTGGGTGCTTTTAAAGGCATTCAGGTTTTTTTTTAATCTATCATTTTATTTTATTTTATTTTTAATTTTTTTATTATAGTTTAAGTTCTAGGGTACATGTGCACAACATGCAGGTTTGTTACATATGTATACATGTGCCATGTTGGTGTGCTGCACCCATTAACTCGTCATTTACATTAGGTATTTCTCTTAATGCTATCCCTCCTCCCTCCCCCCACTCCACGACAGGCCCCAGTGTGTGATATTCCCCACCCTGTGTCCAAGTGTTCTCATTGTTCAATTCCCACCTATGAGTGAGAACATGTGGTGTTTGGTTTTCTGTCCTTGTGACAGTTTGCTCAGAATGATGGTTTCTAGCTTCATCCATGTCCCTACAAAGGACATGAACTCATCCTTTTTATGGCTGCATAGTATTCCATGGTGTATATGTGCCACATTTTCTTAATCCAGTCTATCACTGATGGACATTTGGGTTGGTTCCAAGTCTTTACTGTTGTGAATAGTGCTGCAGTAAACATACATATGCATGTGTCTTTAGAGCAGCATGATTTATAATCCTTTGGGTATATACCCAGTAATGGGATGACTGGGTCAAATGGTATTTCTAGTTCTAGATCCTTGAGCAATTGCCACACTGTCTTCCACAATGGTTGAACTAGTTTACAGTCCCACCAACAGTGTAAAAGCGTTCCTATTTCTCCACATCCTCTCCAGCACCTGTTGTTTCCTGACTTTTTAATGATCGCCATTCTAGCTGCTGTGAGATGGCATCTCACTGTGGTTTTGATTTGCATTTCTCTGATGGCCAGTGATGGTGAGCATTTTTTCATGTGTCTGTTGGCTGCATAAATGTCTTCTTTTGAGAAGTGTCTGTTCATATCCTTTGCCCACTTTTTGATGGGGTTGTTTGATTTTTTTCTTGTAAATTTGTTTAAGTTCTTTGTAGATTCTGGACATTAGTCCTTTGTGAGATAGGTAGATTGCAAAAGTTTTCTTCCATTCTGTAGGTTGCCTATTCACTCTGATAGTAGTTTCTTTTGCTGTGCAGAAGCTCTTTAGTTTAATTAGATCCCATTTGTCAATTTTGGCTTTTGTTGTGATTTCTTTTGGTGTTTTAGTCATGAAGTCCTTGCCCATGACTGTGTCCTGAATGGTATTGCCTAGGTTTTCTTCTAGGGTTTTTATGGTTTTAGGTCTAACATGTAAGTCTTTAATCCATCTTGAATTAATTTTTGTGTAAGGTGTAAGGAAGGGATCCAGTTTCAGGTTTCTACATATGGCTAGCCAGTTTTCCCAGCACCATTTATTAAATAGGGAATCCTTTCCCCACTTTTTGCTTTTGTCAAGTTTGTCAAAGATCAGATGGTTGTAGATGTGTGGTATTATTTCCAAGGGCTCTATTCTGCTCCATTGGTCTATATATCTGTTTTGGTACCAGTACCATGCTGTTTTGGTTACTGTAGTAAATGCATTCAGTTTTAAAAGGGAAACAGAGCATAAAAGTTCAGAAAATTTGCAGCCTGACAATGTGATAGAAAAGAAAATCCCATTTTCTGAGGAGAAATTCAAGCCAGCTGTGATACTTGTATAAATAACCAGAAGTCGAATGTTAATCTCCAAGACAATAGGGAAAACGTCTCCAGGGCATGTCAGAGACCTTTGCGGCAGCCACTTCCATCACAGACCCAGAGGTCTAAGAGGAAAAAATGGTTTTGTGGGCACTGAGCTGTGTGCAGCCTAGGGACTTGATGCCCTGTGTCCCAGCCGCTCCAGCCATGGCTGAAAGGGCCAATGGACAGCTCGTGCTGTGGCTTCAGAGGATAGAAGCTCCAAGCCTTGGCAGCTTCCACGTGGTGTTGAGCCTGCAGGTGCACAGAAGTCAAGAACTGAGGTTTGGGAACCTCCACCTGGATTTCAGAAGACATATGGAAATGCCTGGATGCCCATGCAAAACGTTGCTGTAGGGGCGGGGCCCTCATGGAGAACCTCTGCCAGGGCAGTGCAGAAGGGAAATGTGGGGTCAGAGCCCCCACATAGAGTCCCCACTGGGGCACTTCCTGGTGGAGCAGTGAGAAGAGGGCCACCATCTTCCAACCCCAGAATGGTAGATCCACTGGCAGCTTGCACCGTGAGCCTGGAAAAGCCACAGTCACTCAATGCCAGACCATGAAAGCAGCTGGAAGGAGGCTGTATCCTGCAAAGCCACAGGGGCAGAGCTGCCCAAGACCATGGGAACCTCCCTCTTGCATCAGCATGACCTGTATGTGAGACCTGGAGTCAAAGGAGATCATTTTGGAACTTTAAAATTTGACTGTCCCACTGGATTTCAGACTTGCATGGGCCCTGAACCCCTTTGTTTTGGCCAATTTCTCCCCTTTGGAACTGCTGTGTTTACCCAATACATTTACCCCAATTGTATCTAGGAAGGAACTAGCTTGCTTTGGATTTTACAGGCTCTTAAGTGGAAGGGACTTGCCTTGTCTCACGTGAGACTTTGCATGGTGGATTTTGGGTTAATGCTGAAATGAGTTAAGACTTTGGGTGACTGACTGTTGGGAAGGCATGATTGGTTTTGAAATGTGGGGACATGAGATTTGGAGGGGCCAGGGAAAGAATGGTATTGTTTGGCTCTGTGTCCACACCCAAATCTCATCTTGAATTGAACTCCCATAATTTCCACATGTTGTGGGAGGGACCTGGTGGGAGATAATTTGAATCATGGGGGCAGTTTCCCCCATACTGTTCTTGTTATAGTTAATAAGTCTCAGATCTGATGGTTTTATCAGGGGTTTCTACTTTTGCTCCTTCCTAGTTTTTCTCTTGCTGCTACCATGTAAGAAGTGCCTTTCACCTCGTGCCATGATTATGAGACTTCCCCAGCCATGTGGAACTGTTAAGTCCAATTAAACATCTTTTTCTTCTTAGTCCCAGGTATGTCTTTATCAGCAGCATGAAAACGGACTAACACAGCCCTAACAGAGCATGTGCTGTTTTTATCCAGTTGACAAATGCACACCCCAGGCGTTTCAGGGGACTGAAGCATTAGAACCTGTGCAGTGTGTGTTTATTTGTTGTTGCCCACGTTTGGGCCTGGCACTGGCACCGGGGAGAGGAAAATCCACTTTTACCCACAACCTTCCCAGGGCTCCCCCACCGAGTGCCAGCAACGGACATAGCTAAGCCTCAACTTCTCTGCCCAGGAAACCAGCCCTCGGCACCCACTGTGCTCCAGGACCTCTCAGCAGGAGGTGCTTCAAGTTGAAGGGCTGACTTGTCCTGTCCCTGCTTCAGTGGAAGTCAGATTAAAATGTATACCAGAAGGACATAGAATATCTACCTGGGACGAGAGGCCCCAAAGAAGAACGAAAAACCAAAACCAAAACAAAAGGAACCTGTGTCATTGGGTATTTAGAGTTGACCACATGGCTTTTGCTGGCCTGTGTCTCATGCTTGGGAGCACTCAGCTCTGTGGACGCGACAGCTTCAGGGTGTGACCCAGGTCTTATTACTGCTGGGTGTTAGGAAGCAGTGATGGCTTCCTCCAAAAACAAAGACTTCCTATAATTTCTTCCTATGTGTGAGGTGGAAACCCAATGTCTATATTTTCTATCAGTTACAAAAAAATTACTATTTTGAGATCCTGACTAAATCTTTACCAACAATGTAAAGAAGGACTTAATTCTTGTTTAGAAACCAAAAATCTACCCAAATAACCAATTTCCAAATTACATGAGTCTAGTTGTTTTGTCTTGGTTTGCTTTAAAAGGATAATTTTTCCATATCTATCAAGAAGTCTAATATACAGTAGGTGATTAATAAATGTTTGTTGAATAAATGAATGAATGAGAGTGTGATATATACTGTTAGAGACATTGTATTTTGTCAGTATCAATGATATTTATGATACAAGACAAGGCATTTTACTTCTGCCTTTAGAGATGAATTTAATTTATCGTGTATTACCATCATATTTATAAAGCCCCTTTCCATCTCTGTGTAGGGCAACTCAACACTCTTTATCAAGAGCAATCTGTGAATTTTGAAGAAAGAACAGACATCAGAAAAAGGAAATCTCCATCTAAAGATAAATTCACCTAAAATTGCCTAGAACATGATGAAAACTCATGCTTTGCTCCCTGGCTATAAGCATTTCTCTTGGGGTGGTTGCACATTTTACTTTCTGGCTTCCCACCGCTAGGATGCATGCCACACTGAACTTAAATTCCGTGACTAACTGCCATGCACAGATGTCCTGGAGACGAATACACACCAGAAAATATGCCAAGTATCAAATTCACACAAAACATTATAGAACTAGCAAATATTTGCTGCTTTTGGCTGTGTTGGAAATTATCTTCTGTGAGATAAATCTTTTGGCTAAAATATGATTTTTAAAGATTCTCAAATGTTCGAGTCTTCATTTCTGCATTAATTAAATTAAGATGGAGCCAGCGTCTCTGAGAAAGCTCACAAGCTCTTAACTCACGAGGTTGCTCCGAAGTATCTCACTCTGTTTTTACTCATCCTCCTGCGTGGCAAGGAAGAGAAAGAGCCAATAAATAAATGAAATAAACGAACAGTCCTTCAGCCTCAGGCCCAGAACGGAGGTCTCAAGCTTGGTAGAAAATGGGCTGACCAAGAAACCAAGACATGGTGTCTGAAGCACATGGACACCTACAAACAAGAGGCCTGTTCTTTCCCACTGGCCCACAGGGGCCCCAAAGTCTCGCATTTAGACTTTAGGCTCTTTCCTCTTTGTTAAACATATATTGTTGTATTGGTCTTAGAGTTTTATTTTGCTCTCTATGAAGACAATGCCTGTAACCATCTGTTGTATGTAATAGAATGCCACAGTTACTAAAATATGCAAAAATTACTAGACGCAGAAAGGTGAAATTAAAAATCCGTATTGTAGTAGCCACTAAAAAGAAGTCCTACTTCTATCTCCCATTTGCATTAACCCATTTGTGTATTTATTAACTCATTTGCCTGACAGGTACCGCACATTTCCTGTGTGACTTCAAAGCTGTTTCATCTCAATTCCCTTCTTCTCCAATTTGATTGAGGGGCTCTTCTAAGCCTTCAGCACCCAACTCAGTTCTTGTTGAAACACCGCCCGCCACTCTCGGCAGTCCCTGTGTTGAATGGTGGAGCAGCCAAAGTGGGTTCTGAGAGCCCGCTGCACCCCTCTGCAGACCCCCACCCACCAGCACCCTCCTCCTGGCCCTCAGAGGCCCGGCCTGTCCTGCTTCAGTGCAGTGACCCCAAAGCCTCCTCCCTCCAACGGGACACCTCCAGTAACCCCCCTTTTCCTGTGTGTTCCTTTCTCCTGGGATTTGCCCTCTCGCAGAGCATAGGCAAGCTCCAGCCTCTTCTGCTTCTGAAACCTCTCCTGGACCCTGCAGCCTCCTCCCTCTGACCCTGTCCCTGCCATACTGCTTCTGGCAGCTCCTGCAGGCGTCCCCTTGGTCATGCTTTCCAGATGTTCCCCCAACTTCTGCCCACACGGGGCTGAGGCTTCACTGGAGCTCAGGGACGCCCCACAGAGATTCCTGCTGCTTCCTCTCAAGGCCTGGGCACCTCCTGTGACTTCGGGGACAGAGTTCCTCCTGCCTCCCAGACAACCCGCTCTTTCCTGCGCAGGGCTCGGTGCCCTGCAGTTAGTACTTCTTTGTACCCCGCTGGCCTCTTTGCAGCGAGCTGCTTTCTTCAGCCTCCACTCTGCATGGCGAGTGGCTGTCGGCACAGGATGCCCACAGGCAGATCCATCTCAAGCCAACGCCAAACCCCCCTCCCCTTGGAATAAGCCCATCTTCCCACACCTTATTCCCACCCACCACTGTCAACTGGGGGATGTCAGTCACCCCAGCCTCCACCAGGCCCCACATCCTGATGACTTCATTTTGAAAATTTAAAATTTTCATATTTAAATTTTAAACTAATAACTTTGTAATTAGGGATAAAACTCAAAACCATAAAGAAAGCAAAATTAAATTATCCCAATTTTACCACCCAGAAATCACTAATGCCAATGTTCAGTAAGCATTATCACAAACCTCTCCATGAATGGGAAAGAATAAAAGAAGGAAAAACACATTTAAAAATGTGATTATACCATAAATGCTAAAATATAACGAAGTACAGAATTTTAAATGAATTTGACCAATAAAACAGGGACCTGGACTATAAATAAAGGAGAACTGTCCTTTGCAATTACAAAAGAAATGAGAGCTCCCAAAATACAGCTCTAAAGTTCGTCAAAATATTAACAAAAACGTGAGGAAGATGGAACTTTTTAAAACCCATGGTTCAGGTTTAGGTCACACTTAGGGCCCCTGGTTCCGAATGGGAAAATCAGCATCTGTGGACGCTCTTTTATCCCCTCTCTTCCCTAAGCTCAGGTTGTGTACACGTGTCCAATACATTTCCTATGATCAACATTTTTTATGTTAGTTCCATATTTAAATGGCTTCAGATGTTTTTCTGTAGTTCAATCTATTTTGACGCACTTCCTGTTTCTGACCTCTTCATTCAGGTTGTTCTCATTCGTGGCTGGATCACACCAGCAAGAAGGATTTTAAAGGACAACTCCTTGGGGCCGTCCAACACTGAAACCGCCTGACCGCTGCTGTCTTTGTGCTTGCAGAAAATCACGGTGGGCACAAAATTTTGGACACGATTTCGAGAGCGTGAGAGCTACTGTTCACGAATCCAGGGCCAGCCTCGTGTCTGTCTTCCTTTAAAGCACCTGGCTTGGTACCTAAAATGTTCCTTTTTTTTTTTTTTTTGAAATTCAATAACTTCAGAACAGGCGTTGATGTAGACAGATCTCCATCTTTTTGGTTTTTTGAGTGAGTTTTTGCTCTGTAGGCTGAATTCTTTGGAATTTAGTTCTGAAATCACCCTATTGTTGAGTATTCGTTTCCTAGCCATCTGCTGCTGTCTGCCTTTCTCTGCAACCTTGGTGGGTCTGACGAGCAAGAAGAGTGTGGGCAGCAAAGCCTCGGGGAAAGCCCAGAGCAGCAGAGCAGGGGTGGAAGGAGCAGAGCGGCAGGGGCGGAAGGAGCCGCCGGGCAGGGGCGGAAGGAGCAGAGCGATAGGGGCGGAAGGAGCCTCGGGGCGGGGGCGGAAGGAGCAGCGGGGCGGGGGCGGAAGGAGCAGCAGGGCAGGGGCCGTAGGAGCCGCAGGGCAGGGGCGGAAGGAGCAGCAGAGCAGAGCAGGGGCGGTGGGAGCAGCAGGGCAGGGGCGGTGGGAGCCGCAGGGCAGGGGCGGAAGGTGGCGGTGGGGAGAGGGAGATGTAGAGCGAGGAGCTGGGGTGGCTGTAGGGGAAACCTAGGGGCATGTTTATCATTGGTAAGAGTAGGGGGAGCAGAGCTTGAAACATTTATACAGTAGTTTTTAGCTGATGGAAGAAGGAAGATAATTTCGTGTCACATTCCTGAAAGCTATTCAAAATGGAATCTCACATCACATCTGAGACAGTAAACAAACGTTCACCATGGAATAGAATTTGAAACAAAAAATACAAATAGCTTCCTTTATGGAATACCTACTGCATGTCTGGCCATGTACCAAGTGTTCTGCAACATTTATGTTATTTAAACTGCCCAGTACTTCCATTGCTTCTCCTTTACAGATGGGGAAACTGAGTCATCAGGGAGGTGATTAGCGTGCAGAGGGTCACATTGCTGGTAACTGGAAGGGCCTGGATTTGACCACAGGTGTTTTATGACAACTCCAAAGACAAAAAATCAATACATATAGTTTCAACAAAAAGAAAATAATCTAATTTTAGTATTCATCATTGATAAAATGAAATGTTTTGAGAAAAACAAAGCAATGAGAAGAATCTGAGACAGAAACATAGAGGTTCTGCCTTGCACTCACCTGGGGCTCTGGAGTGAGATGAGACGGGGCCAGAGCCCCTACCAGCTGTGTGGCCTTAGGGAGCCTCTGTAATGATTAAAGTCATCCAAGTAAGAACTCCACCAACACCCAGAGGGCACTTGCCAGGTGCCAGGCCCCAGGCTGTGGGCTTTAGTCCTGTCATTGTTACCCCACTTTCTCCCCAGGTACTGAACATGCCAACCTCACGGGTTAGTTGAGAGAAGTGTGTGGGTATTCCCGGTCAAACACTCAGCCTAGGGCCAGCCGCTAGCAGCATTCCACTCTGATGACTGCAGGGACGTGGTTCACATCCATAAAACCAAAAGGTGAGGCCCATGTTTGAGTTTTCACAAAACGTACACACCCCAAGTCCCTGTGTCTCCAGTGGTGGAGATGCAAAAGCATGCTTCTAAACACACCCGCCCTCAGGTGACACGGAGACGTGGGCCTCCCCATCTGGAGGTGCGGACAGATCCCACAGTTGGGTAGAGACGCTTGGGTTGGAGGAGCTGGGCCTGGTGTTAGAGCAGCTGGGGTTCTGGAAGCGTTGCCACTGTGCAGGGAGAAGACGTGGAGAAAGCCGAGGCCGCCCGAGACTGAACCTGGGGAACAAGTAAATAACGGAGGCGCCAGGTGGAGGGCAGGCGACAGCGGAGGCTGGGGCGGTGCACGGGAATCGGGAGGGTCAGGGTGCTCAGAGGACATCCTTGCTTAGTGGAAGCCACAGGATTTGCCGGGAATAAGCGGAAAGTAAAAACCATACCCCCTTCTAACAGGGTGTGCGTGCTGCTGAGAGACTGACTATCTGTGTCACTCCCCAGCACAATTTGGTAGTAAGAATTGAAGTCTTTTTCACCTTTCACAGCATCAAACAACACTGAATTATTAAGGTGATGGGGTTTCCAGATGGTTCTGTGAGAGAGAATGTAATTCAACCAAAATGGAGGCCCACCCTTCACCTCAGCTGGTGAAGTGCGGATGAGAGAATCGCAGGCTCGGGCTTGAGGCTGGTCAGGGGGGATCCCGTGGTCCACACCCCAGTTTCAGCAGCTCCTAAAGTAAAAATGTGCTTGAGGAGAGCCCGCCTGTCTTTGGGGAAGCACAGTGGAACTCTGGAGGCTGGATGCTGGCTGTCGCCTCAGTCGCTCTCTGTGGTACCATCCTCAGCAATTCGCTTAACTCCTCCGAGGCACAGTTTTTCATCTGCCATGTGGGGCTAGAGTCCTCCCCCACAAATGAAGCAATGCACACAGAAGTCTCTGCTGGCTTCAAGAGCCAAGCAACTCTTAAATCCTCTCACTGGTAAAAACCTTTTATAAACAAGATATTTTAAAATAATTCAGTAGTTGGTCTTCACTGAATACTATTTATTTTCTCATTTATCCAAAGGGAGAACATGTTTTTGAAAGATTATAAAAGGTCGCAGTGCAGTATTGAAAGCAAATGGCAAGATGATGTATTTTCAGGAGATTATAAAATAATTTGAGCTTTTAAAATATAAAGTATAGGCCTGAACCTAAAAGTATAATTTGGCCAGACAGAATTGCGGGGGGTTTGCCCACTCATCCGGCATTTTGCAACATGAAACCAACCTCCCTCTCTCTGTTTCCTGCCCTCTCGGCCCCGTGGCCACACCAATGGTACAGGCTGCCACGCCTGCCTTGCCTGGGCTGACTTCACAGCAGGAGAATGTGCCTCCGTGTTCTCTGCAACGGGCCTCCAGGGCACAGCCTCCGGGAACACCAGGAGCTTGAGGCACAACAGTTACGGGCAACTCAAAATGCTCGCCAGTCTGACATTGGGTGACCCCACCGATGTCACGGCACCCACTCTCTTCCAAGTGACCCTTGGCAATTAATTTTTCCAGGACTCATCCGTCCAAAATCAATACAAAGCAAAAAATAAGATCTTTAACCTTAAAATGCCATTAAGCTTCTATTATCCTAATCTCCACTCTCAGACTCCTAGAAGGCGGCCATGTGTCTGCCCTGCCTCCTCACACCTGCTTACCCCTTACCTCGCTACGGGATCTGGTGTTCACCCTGCCCTTCTAACACAGTCTCTACAGGCTTGTCAAGGTGTAGTCCCCTGACAGGCAGCATCAGTGCCATCTGGAAGCTTTTATACAAAAAAACCCAAAACCCAGTGCTTCCCAGACCTCCGGAGTCTGCCTTCACATGCAGGATGTTTGCGTGACCTGTAGGCAAACTAACATTTGGAAAGCATTGTCCAAGAACATGAATAACCACTCAGTCACCAAACACAACAGTATTTTCTGAAGCCGTCTCCTCAAGTCATTTGTTTTGTTTTGTTTTGTTTTCGAGATGGAGTCTCGCCCTGTTGCCCAGGCTGAATTGCAATGGCATGATCTCGACTCACTGCAACCTCTGCCTCCCAGGTTCAAGCAATTCTCCTGCCTCTGCCTCCCGAGTAGCTGAGATTACAGGTGCCCGCCACCACGCCCGGCTAATTTTTGTATTTTTAGTAGAGACGGGGTTTCGCCATGTTGGCCAGGCTGGTCTCGAACTCCTGACCTCAGGTGATCCACCTGCCTCAGCCTCCCAAAGTGCTGGGATTGCAGGTGTGAGCCACCACGCCCGGCCTCTCCTGGAGTCATCTGTCGTTTGCAGGACTGGCCTGTGAGTGGCCGTCATATTTGTGAGTTGTCGCCTCCTGAAGCTCCCCGTCCTTTCTGGGCTACTTTTCTCAGTGTGCTGCTGCATTGCACGCTCTGTTGCTAAACATCTACTTATTCCTCCTCTCCAATTCTATTTTTTTCTATTTTCTATTTTCTATTTTTTTCAGTTAATAATAAAATAATAAAATCAAAAGCTTCCACAATTGTCCAAGGGCATTTGACTTCTAAACCACTGCCTCTTACTCTGCCGCCTGTCCCAGCTGTCCACAAGATGTCTCACCCGGAGGCGGTTGGCAGCGCAGGCTCAGCATTTCCCACATGGAAGGACCCCGTTCCTGTTCCATCACCTGCGTGAAAAGTAAAGACCCCCATTCCCGTTCCATCGCCTACGTGAAACAGAAAGACCCTGTTCCCGTTCCATCGCCTTCCTGCCTGAAGTCACCGAGCTTCCTAACCCCTGATTCTGCTGAAGGGCTCCCGCATTCTGGCCTGGAAACGCTGTCTCATTCCCTGCGTTTGCTTGAGTCCTTGGCTTGGTCCCTCGTAGGGCATTTTCTCCACGAGCCTGGGTATAAACCTCTGCAGGAAGCCCCTTCCCAGCCCCCACCTGGATCACATCTCTGTAACTCTCTGTGTTTCCATTCTGTCTGTAACATGAGCACAGAAATAGGTATGGGACCCTCATTTGATGCTCAAAGAAGAACATATAACTGGAAACCTTGTCAAATGCTAAGTATTTTACACTTTCATTCCTGGTGTACTGTGAGATGTTTCTGTCTCTGCTGCTGCCACCGAGTTCACGTGTTTCTGGGTGGCTCCGTGCATCCCGCAGGCTGCTCACTGGGGCCCACCATGCAGGGGTTGATTCTGTTGTACCAGATCACAGAGGACAGGGATCGAGCGCCCCTCATCCTCATGCATCTTCAGTTCTCACCACGGAGTCGCACATCGCATTGACTGCTCTGGAAACTCAGCACCCAGCAGTGTCTGTAGATAGAGACTTTCCCGAGCCGGGATGTTTACAGCAGGGAGCAAAGCAGAGGGGTCTCTGTTCCCATGTAGATGAAATCTAGTGAGGGGGTGCAGCAAACATGCATGTAAAGTTGATAAATCTCAAAAGTAAAAAACTCCATGAAGAACGTAAAATACAGTGACTTGCTGGAGGGCGAGGGCAGCCAGGGCCCTGGTGGAGGCTGCAGGGAGAAGGCGTCCGAATGAACACCAAGCTCTGGGGAGGAGCCAGGAGAGGACGAGAGGAGGATGGTGAACCAGACAGGGCAGGGCCTTGAGAGGGAGCGGAAGGAGGAAGGTGGGAAGAGCAATGAGGACAGGGAATGGCAAGGGAGGAGGGTGGGAAGAGCAATGGGGGAGGGAAGGGCAAGGGCAGGCCTCAGGATGGGAGCTGGAGCGTGTTCAGGAACCAAATTAGAAAGACCTGCCTGGAGGTGCCAGGGGGACCCGAGCCAGAGCACGTTGGCCTCTGAGCAGTTCTTACTCCGAGTCAAAGGACCACTTGCTTCCTCAGGCTGAGTGCGAGCCCTTGGTCAGTCGTCCCGGATTTGGATGTGCCAGGAGCGCCTGGATTTGGGAACTGGCCCCCCACCACTGTTTTCTCAGTCCTCCAAGAGTGGCTGATGTGGGAGGAGGCTCAGCGAGAGCTTTCTGGACACGAGTAGGTGTGGGGCAGTGTGGACTGTGGGGTAGGAGGGGTGGGGGGGCAGGGAAGCCAGGTGTGGGCACTCAGGGCTGAGATGCGCTGGGACACACACACCCAAGTGTGTGCAGATGTGTTTAAACTCGATCCCCACCAGGTTCGACAGGTTCCTCCACGTCTCCTGTCTCTAACACTTCTTGTGTTGGTGAAAACCAGCCCCTGTAACCTCTGGAGCTGCTGAGATGCAGCCTGCTTCCAGACAGTGCCATAAAGACATTCCCCGTGCGCCCACGACGTTCTCTTAGTGACGTGTGACACCTGTGACACAGCATCCTCGCACTTACTAGCCACAGAGCAGTTGAGGCTGGACCTGGCTTGTTCCGGCCCTGGGTAGAATATCCTCCTATTACCTGCTGCCCGGAGCCCAGGTTCTGTCCCGGGTGTGGCTGTGACTCTGTCATGGTGAGCAGAGACTGAAGATGGGTGTGACCTGAAAGAGGTGGAAAGTTTGCCAGGAAATCCGCCCATCACATCATCAAGTCACTCCCGTCCAGGCTGCTCAGGCCTGTCCACAGCGCTCCTCGGAAAGGGACGCTCCGGGCTGTCTGTGTCCCCTTCCTCCCCCGCTCTCTCCTCATCTGCACGCTTTTCTCTCCTCCCCACATCCCGTCTCTCTTGGTTCTCCCTCTCTCTTTCTTGGCCAGCTTTCTTCTTGCCTTTTCCATTAAACTTTTACAAATTCCTCCCCTCCCTTTCCTCGTACTTTATCCATTCATGACATGAAACTGCAGAATGGTGGCATATTCTGTATTTTTCAACAAAGTTTAAAGAGGCAGCTTTTAAATTTAAAATTAAATTACTGGGTGTTTCATTTTTCTCAAGGGAGAGAAAAAGCTGCATTCAGTGATGTTTGGTAAAACGTCTCTTATGACTCTGCCCCCACCCTCCACCGTGCTCTGGGGGCCTGTGGGGGTCTGGAGTGCGCGCATCTCCCCATCCGAGAGCCGCAGGGCACCAGAATCTATAGGGAAAGTGCTTTCCGGCCCACGGATGTGTACGTAGTTCTGCACATTTTTTGCTGTCTCTGGGAGACAGGCCTAATGATCCACTCGGTAGATGGTGGCAGCCCTCACGCTATGGAGAAAGCATATTGTGCTCAGTGGACTGAGCTTTCCCGGCCAGCGCCCTGGGAATGCAGCCCCAGTGGAAACTCCTGTGAGAACTGTCCGCACTTTTCTCTGTCTCCTTATTTTGTTTAGCGTCGTTTGCTTACCGTTTAACTATTTAAGACTAGATGATGACAAAATTTTGATAAATTCAAGGTATACTTTGCCAATGGTGCAAGCAAAATCGCACTCACCACCCTCAGTGCCCCGAATATCTACATTTTCGCCCAGCTAATAATTAGTTTTGAGAAAATTTAGATAACTTGGTTCTCCCATTTCCTTTCTCAGACTTTTATAATTCACTTAAGCATTCCTTTTAATAGATCGCTTTTCAAATATTCTCCTGATAAAGCAGAGCTCCCTGCGGCCCCAGGTCAGCAGGCAAGTCCCTCGCAGCGGGATCCGCGCCTGCCTGGCGCCGCCGCCGCCCTGGGCGCACGCAGCAATTTCACTGTGGGCTCTCCGTCCTGGCGCAGCTGTTGCTTTGGACTTAGTTTTTGCTGAAACTTTCAATTTTCTACTTGCGTATGGTAACATATCATTATTCACCACCTTATGATTTCTAGTTTGTTCAAAATTTTTGTGGAGGTAGCTCAGTTTTGACGCTGTGTTTAGGGCCCTGGGGGGACAGGGTTGCACCCTCAGAAGACCGCCTGCCCCGCGCAAGGCTGGGTGCCTGCAGGCGCCCTGCCGCCCACGGAGATGATGCAGTCCCTGGAGCATGCAGGCCGCCCCGTCCAGAGCGTTTTATCAGTTCGTGGGTCAGACGAGGAAATGCTTATGACGTGACTGGAAAGCCATGGAATGAAGCCGAGCTCCCTTCGGAAGGGAAAGCTGGGAAGAAAAGTGACAGGCAGCTGGGAAAGAGCTTGGGAAAAGCCACGTCCTAAGCGTAGAGAAGGGGCCACCTGAGAACCAGCCTGAGGCTGGGTGGTCTCCGTGGCAAGACCCAGGGGGCCTGGGGGTTCTCCAACAGCCCCTCAGGGAGCCCGTGCCAGCCGTGCCGAAGCGTGACCAGGGGATAGTGAGCACCCCACGAAGCCGTTCTGGTGGGAGAGACACCCCGACCCCGTGGCCTCATCTGCTGACAGTCAAGCCTCCAGCCCGGAGATGCGGCAGGGCCTGCTGGCGGCACAGAACCGCTGGGGTGGCGCCCGGATCCCAAGGCCGTGGCCCCACGCTGCGCCTCGTCTAGGGGGCTCTTCCTCATCAGCTACCTCATGGGGCCCCTCCTAGTAGCTGAAAGTGAAGGTGATTCATCTACATGGGTCTGCGGATCTGCCTTAATACTTGCAGTGAAACACACTCCTAAGTCAGGTGTCAGAACTATTCCTAGATTTAACTCCCGGGACGTGCAGCGTGGCATGCACGCTGACATGATCCTTTTTCTGAAGGCCCGAGCTGCCCAAAACCCGGCCCTCCTGCTAAGATGGGGTTGCACCCGCGGGGTGACTCCACCGTCATCTCTGCTCCGCATCTGCTTAGGGCTGTGTGTGCCGGCGCTGCACTGAGACGCCACACACCGATGTCGCTTCATCCCCCACACTCGCGTGCACAGGTGAGGAGTGAAGGTGCCGGTGGCCGTACGCTGTGCCCAGGCATTGCCTCGCGTCAGGGAGCCCGGGGCCGGGCACGGTGCGCAGAGCCCCGGGATTCCACGCTGCTCTTAGGAAGCCCGCCTGCCGGGGCCGCAGTGGAGCTCAGCCTCCGTCCAGTGTGAGGCCTTGGGCCGCCACTCCTTGGAACTGTCTCAGGGCAGTTCCATCATCAAGGGATGCCGAGTGATGATGGTGCCCCAGGCGTGTGTCTTTCTAGAAGGGAAAGCACATCCACATGAAGTCATGTCCGCGGCGTGCTCTCAAGAAGCATTGCTGGGCCCTCTGCTGCCCTGCCTGGGAGCGCTTCTGTGAGCCCTGGCTGGGCTGGGCTGCTGTCCTGCCGTCATTTGCCCTGTCCTTCCTGGACCCAGCCCTCATGTTCAGGCCCCTGAGATGTCCAGAGCAGGGCTGTTTCTGCTGATTGCAGCCCTGTTTCTGATTCCTGGGCCTTGTTGTGATGAACTGAAATTGACAATCCAACCTGGAAACCTCTGCAGTCTTCCTGACCAATCAACTAGACTAGAGCTCCAATCCAGGGATTGATTATCCGTTCTCTTCCCCTACTTCCCCATTCTCGGACGATTTTCTTCTCTAATATCTTATAGGAGGCAAAGTTACAAACAAAAATACTTCCACCAAGAACTCTCTTACTTTCCCCTTTTTTCAGCTTTCCTAGGGGACGCGCCCGCCCTCTACCAGCCCACCTCATGAACAGAGGCAGAAGTGTTTCTGCTGTACGGTAAAATCCTGTGGTGTGTGCAATGCAGGGATCTTCTCAAAGTCACTGTCCCCCTGGAAACTGCAAATCAGTCACTCCATCCCTTACAGGGCATGGACAGAAAGCAAGTTCTCTAAAGCCAGGCAAAGCAGAAAGCTCTAGAAACAGACCAGGAGACAAGACGCCTAGATAAACCTGCTACTCAGGTTGCTGGCTAAGAGGGTCACTGCTAGTAGGAAAAGGGAATCGTCGTCTCTATGTCGCTAAGGGCTCATCTTCATGATCTCCAAACCTCCCCTATTCAAATTCACAGGGAGACAGAAGCAGGTTTGTAGGCACAGTTTCAAGCTCTCTGGTCCAGACATAGCTCTAAGGCCTACCCAGGACAGTGTGTGCAGAAGATGTCCTGGTGGCAAAGCCGCAGCACACAGGGAAGTGCCTCTGTGATGAAGACACTGCTAGAGCACAACCCACAGCCATGGGTGCCAGAGCCACTGAAAACAGCACACCTGCTGCCGGCGGGGGAGCTGACGCCTCAGTGGATAAGGAGAAGACGCATTTCAGTTTTACACTGATTACTATCTCACGCTGACTGTGAAAGGCTTTCCGTGCCATAGAGAGCATCCCCACTGCCCACAGGCTTGGGAGAGATGTCAGGGGCTTCACCAGACAGTGCCTGGCAAGGCAGGTGATGATGACTCCCTTTGAGGGCCACAGCGGGTGCAGTCGGTCACTAGCACATGGTGGCCAGGCTCTCATGCACTCTAAGCCATCACCCTTTCAATGGCCTCAATGCAAGTTCCTGTGTAATTCAAGGATAAAGTGCAGGAGGAGGCTTTGACCCACCTGCACTGTGTCAGAGGAAGGGGAGCTTCTGCATAGAGGAGTCAGTTCCCAGCAGGCAGACTTGGCAAGCTTTACAATCTAGGACTAAAAGCCACACACACACAAGGAATATGCAGTCAGGAGTTTTAAAAGAAAAACATTTGTATCCAAAGACACAAGTGAAATAAGACACTGACTATTCAGTCCCCTAAATTTCATTCTACAGTTGGAAATGTACAAAGCAAACCTGGCTCATTTTATATAAAATTTATCTTCTGTGAACTTTGGGTACAATCCCACTACCAAAGGCATTCCACTGGACCTGGATTGAGTACGTCTCTATCTTTTAAGTATTAACCTAAGAAATTGTGGATACACCCCACACCTAACAGAATCAACCAAGAGAAGCAGCTTTGGTGACAAAAAGGGAGCTCACGATGAGGACAGCTGCATTCAGCACCCACAGATCTTTGGCTAGCCTGAGCACTGCCTCAGGGCACAGCAGGAAAACGCTGGCAGGTTGCAGAGCCCAGCTGTCCACCCCATCACCATGGACGGCCCCATATATAGGCAGATTTGAGAGGGGTGGATCAGAACTCACCAACAAACTCTTCATGGCATGAATATTGGAAAAGGTACTTCTAATTCTGTGAAAGAAAAAAGTTCTAGAATCCTCCTAAGTTAACATGTGCTGATAATACGCAAGTGACTGTTGAACTCATACCGCCCATGTATATATAACATAGAAAAGTAAATCATCATCATCATCATAACTTAGAAGGCTTACTTCCAAAATGTGAGCACTACTCATTTCTGTTAATATAAGGCCATCATAAGCAGAAAATTCATTTTTGTTATTTTTTTAAAATAAAGATTTAAACTGAGATTTCCCTTATGATTTAAACCAGGGGTTCCCAGTCCTGGGAGCATGACTAGTACCGTTCCATAGCTTGTGAGGAACTGGGCCCCAGAGCAGGGGGTGAGCAGCAGGTGAGCAAAGCTTCATCTGTATTGACAGCCGCTCCCCATGGTTCAAGTTACCCCTTGAGCTCCACCTCCTGTCAGATCAGCGGCAACATCAGATTCTCACAGGAGCTCACATCCTCTTGTGAACTGTGCATGCGAGGGATTTAGGTTACGTGCTCCTCATGAGAATCTAATGCCTGATGATCTGTCACTGTCTCTCATCACCTTCAGATGAGACCATCTCATTGCAGGAAAACAAGCTCAGGGCTCCCACTGATTCTACATGATGGTGAGCTGTATCATTATTTCATTATATATTACAGTGTAATAATAATAGAAATAAAGTGCACAACAAATATAATGCACTTGGGCTGGGTGCGGTGGCTCCCGCCTGTAATCCCAGCACTTTGGGAGGCAGGTGGATGGCCTGAGTTCAGGAGTTTGAGACCAGCCTGGCCAATATATGGTGAAACATTGTGCCTACTAAAAGTATAAAAATTAGCTGGGCATGGTGGCGGGCACCTGTAGTCCCAGCTGCTCGGGAGGCTGAGGCATGAGAATCGCTTGAACCCGGGAGGCAGAGGTTGCAGCGAGCCGAGATTGTGACACTGCACTCTAGCCTGGGCAACAAGAACGAAACTGTCTCAAAAAAAAAAACAAACTAATTAATTAATTAATGTAATGCACTTGAATCATCAAGAAACCACCCCCACTGCCCCCACTGCCCCCACTGCCAGTTGATGGAAAAATTGTCTTCCATGAAACTGGTCCCTGGTACCATAAAGTTTGGGGACTGCTGATTTAACCAACACAATATATTAAAAAGGCAGACCCCTATTTCTGGCCTGAGGCCACTTCTGTTTCTGGAGGCAGCATCCTTGGCTGGGTAAATGCAGCTTCCCCAAAGGCAGCCACATCCTGATGCCTCTGAAGATATCAGCAGAACAGGAAAACTGAGCACTCAGCCCAGTTCCTGCCTCTCAGTGGGCAGTTCCCACCCCTCAGCAGGCAGTTCCAACCCCCTGGCCAGCAATTCCTACCTCTCAGTGCACAGTTCCCACCTCTCAGTGCACAGTTCCCACCCCTCAGCAGGCAGTTCCCATCCCCTGGTCAGCAGTTCCCACCTCTCAGTGCATAGTTCCCACCCCCGGGCCAGCAGTTCCCACCTCCTGGTCAGCAGTTCCCACCTCTCAGTGCCCAGTTCCCACTCCCCAGCCAGTAGTTCCCACCCCTCAGCAGGCGGTTCCCACCCCTCGGCCAGCAGTTCCCACCCCCCGGCCAGCAGTTCCCACCTCTCAGTGCATAGTTCCTACCTGTCAGTGAGCAGTCCAGTGCCACATGTCATCCACAGGACACAGCCCTGCAAGGGTCAGGACTTTGGCCCGGGGCACCCAGGCCTGGGCAGTGTCTCCTCAGGGCAGCCCATCCCTACAGTGAGAGACTCTTACAGACCCTGCCACTTGGTCATTTTGCTCCTCCATTTTTCCCCATGACTCACAACAGCGTGGACACATGTGTAAGTGTCAGTGATCTCAGAACTCAGTGATGAGTCAGTAAAGTCCATGTAGTTTTCTCTTTTGGAAAGCATTATGCCCTTCCTGCTTATGCCTTCAGGGGCTGTCCTCTGTGCTGCCGTGACTCAGGTTTGCCATTTCATGATTTTCCCCCTTTGTGAGAACCAACCCCTCCCAGAAAGGAGCCTGGGAACTGCATGGCCTGGGGCGGGGCCTACCCAGGGCGGTGCCCCAGCCACAGCACCAGCCCCTCCGGGCGGAGAACAACAAGGTCTATTGGTCTATGTAATGCTGGTGCCAAACAATAAGAAAAACCAACAAAACACTGACCTTGGTCCACAGACAACACCCACGTCCACGTGGTGGGTGGGACTGGCTCCGTCAGAGGATGGGAAGATGAGAAGTGCTTGTCGCAGGCCTGGAGATGGGGACCACCCAGGCATGCAGGGGATGCTGCCTCTCCTCCATCCAACAACAAGCCTGCGTGTGCCCAGCCCCCTCTGGTACACGCATTGCTCCCCATCCTCGGCATTGATCAATTGAAAATAAGACCTTGGAAGAACCCCTTGCAAAGCTGACATTGTACGAGCCAAGGCAGGTAATAAAGCGTAGATACAGTGAGGGAGGGGGCGGATGGCATGACAAGTCAGAGGGTGATGCCTGCGGCGGGGATGCACTGAGAATAGAGAGGGCAGGTGCGGGGCTGGAGACACACTCCTGAGAGGGAGATGGGAGAGAGGGCGCCTCGCGGATCCCGAGGAAGGCTGAAGACAGGAGAAGGGAGGGGTCGCACACGTTAAACGCTGCCGAAAGGCCAGGAGAGATTAAGACAGAAATGAATCACTGGATTCGGCCAGGCTGCGGTTATTGACAACAGTGGGAAGAGCAGGTTTGGCGCCGCGGTGCCCGCATTTGGGGTGGCGAGAACGTGAAGGAGGACCTGGCCGTGGGGTCAGCTGCACAGGCCAGGAGCTCGAGGGTGGTGGCTGGCAGAAAGTGCAGTCCAAAGTACTCTGTTTTGTTTTGATTGTGTTTTAAAATGGGACAAATAACAGCATGTGTGTTTGCTGATGGGGAGAATCCAGGAGAAAAACAGTGAAGTTGAGGGTGAGCAGAGCTGTGCTGGCAGAAAGCTGCACACGGGGCGGGCAGGCCAGGCCACGGACTGGCTCTGCGGGGCGGGGATGTGCATCGTGGTCCCCAGTGTGGAGGGCAGGGCCCTGGATACAGGGGCCGGGGCACCCGTGGACAGGGCAGGGGGAGGAGACCGAGACTTCCTTCAGATCACCCCCACCTTGCCAGGGACCAGGAGAGAGCAAGGCTGGTGCTCAGCGGGAGGGTGAGGCCCGAGCTGGTGCAGGTTGAGGAGAGGGAGAAGGCACCAGTGTCAGCCAGGAGATGGGTAGGAGACCATGAGGGAGGCGCATGAGGCTGGCTGGTGGCATGATGCGGCCTGCTGGACTGTCTCTGTGGGTGGTTTTGAGATTTTTACCAGTGATGACCAGTTGTGTAATTGCACACAGAGATGGAAGAGAATAAGATTTAACCAAGCAAGTTCAATAAACAGAAATCCAAAAATGGTGAGATTGCAGGCAAGGCAGTGTTAAAAATGATTTGTCATGGAATTCAAATATGTAAGGTGGAGAGTTTGGACAGCTGGAGGATGGGAGACTGACCCCAAAACAGTGATAGGATCAATGGGTTAGAGCTGGCAGCAGGGCCAGCAGATTGTATGAACCCCTTTCCCAGAGGGTGAGTGGAGAGGACAGGAGGAGGTGGCCAAAGCATGGGTGCAGAGGCTGAGCTGACAGGGGCTGTGCTGAGGATGAGGCAGCCCTGCAGTGGAGCCGAGGAGGCTGGAAGACAGGGTGCCAGGCTGAGGGCCTGAGGCCAGGCTTCGAGAGAGATGGGGTGCAGACAGGGAAGCCACCAGGAGATTATGCAAGTCAGCACTGAGTGGTCCCATAAGTTCTTAGGATCTCCAGTTTATGGCTTTAGCAGAAATGGAACTCCCTTCCCCTCACAGTGAGCCTCACAGGGTCAGGGGGAAGACAGGGGATCCCGAAGATAACGTCTGCTACGAACTCAATTGCATCCGCCCCGGGCCCTAAGTTGAAGCCCTAATCCCCACGTTGACTGCATTTGGAGAAGGACCTTCAGCACATGATGGAGGGTAAGTGAGGTCACCAGGCTGGGGCCCTCATCTGCTGGGGATCCTTCTAAGAAGCAGAAGAGGCACCGGGGTGAGTGAGCACCGAGGAAAGCCAGGCGGGCATGCAGCCAGGGGCGGCCATCTGCAGCCGGGAGGAGATCCTTCCCCAGGAACCAGCCCTGCCCACACCTCGACCCCCAGCTTCCAGTTGCCAGGGCTGTGTCGAAAGGCCCTTGTGTGGTTGAAGCCGCCCAGTCTTCGGCATTTTGTTATGGCAGCTCCAGAAGACGAAGCCCGTTCTCTATCCCTGACTTGAAGGTCCCTCACTCAGATTCTCTAATCAGTTTGGATGATGAATTACTCACTCCCAACCTGGGATTCAGGCCACACTGTTCAGATGACCTGGGTTTGAAGAAAGGGATGTCCTCAAAGCCGTACGACCTGGGTGGTGTGAGCATCAAGGGGGGCTTCCCTGCCATGAAACACAGCAGTCACCCCTCTGCCTTGAAGGCAGCACCCTGCAGATGCACCTGCCCCAGCTTCAGCACCAGCCAGGGCTGGATTTGCATCCTGCCTCTTCTACTGTAACATTTGAAAACATGGCTTTCCCCTCTCAACTGTCAAATCTGGAAAACAGAAGGGCCTGCACGTTAGCCTGCTGCGAGGATCACATGAGAGGCTGAGGAAGCCCCCGTCAGGTGCAGGGCCTGGAACTCGGCCAATTCCTGCTCCTCTGGGCCAGGTTCGGTGGTGTGGCAAAGGGTCCAGCAACACAGGCTCCCCCGGAACCCGTGGGGAATTCTTGCCACGTTGCTGTCCCATGACGGGCAGCTGCTGCTGTGGCTGCTGAGCCGGCAGGCGTCTCCGTTCCACCAGGTCACTCCACCCAGGTCCCTGCTGCTCTGACATCCTTCCAGGCGTGGTCCTCATTGGGTCAAAGCTGCCCGCCACAGCAGCGGGTCCAAATTCCAGTCCACGGGGAGACAGTATTGCTGAGGATTCACTATTTGTAACTCATTCTGCAGCACGAGACCAATGTCTCTTTACACTCTTCTTTGCCCGGCCTTCCGAATGGCTGCCCAGTCTCATTTCCCCAATCATGACGCTTGAGCTCTGAGGCTGGGGATGCTACCCTGCTAGCACCCAGGCATTGAGGAGAAGGAAGGGTCTCGCCACAAGGAAAGTCCATCTTGGCAGGCATGTTTCGTCAATGTTACATTCCTGTTTCTTACACATTTTTTAAAGTCAGGGACTTGCTGGGCTGTGTCCTAGAACACAAGCATTTTCTTCACAAAACTACCCTTTCCTTGGAGTTTCGCTGGGATGTGTTCTCCCGTGGAAATGATGCCGTGGGGGTGGCTTGGTCCCGTCAAGTTCTTACAAAAGCCGCCTTGGCCAAGTGCAACTGGAGGCTCCTCCTCTGCCACAAGTGGTTGTGGAGGTAGTGAAGGAAGAGGCGATACCAGCGGGCTGTGTTGTATTTGCTAAGGACATCGTGCATTGTGGGAAGCTTCACAGACTTGTGTAAAACCAATCAGTGGGCCCTCAGGGAGCCGGTGCCAGCTGTGCCGAAGCATGACCAGGGGATAGTGAGCACCCCACGAAGCCGTTCTGGTGGGAGAGACACCCCAACCCATGGCCTCATCTGCTGACAGTCAGGGCTCCAGCCCAGAGATGCGGCAGGGCCTGCTGGCGGCACAGAACCGCTGGGGTGTCGTCCAGATCCCAAGGCCGTGGCCCCACGCTGGGCCTGGTCTCGGGGGCTCTTCCTCATCAGCTACCTCATCGGGCCCCTGCTACTAGTGAAGGGGATTAATCTACGTGGATCTGTGCATCTGCCTTAATATCATGCAAGAAAACACATTCTTGAGTCAGATGTCAGAACTATTCCTATATTTAACTCGGGGGATGTGGAACATGGCTAATCAACATCACCCTTTCTTTTCGTGAAGGACCGAGATGCCCAAATCCTGGCCCTCCTGCTGGACTTTCATTTTAAAGAACAATAAAATTAATGTTAACTTCTAGCAGCTTCCAAGCTCTGGTAAGGTGATCCAACCCTAAATCCCAGTAGTCACTACTGGAATACGGTGAACCTCTCTCTTTGAAGCCTGGCTTGGCCGTGTGTCACTCCCAGTGGACGGAATGCACTGTCTCTGGTAAAGGGGCGTATCCCATCTCTGCAGGTTTTCAAACACAGGCTAAGGACGTGTCAGAGATACTTTGACGGCGTTAACAGTTCTAGTGAGCCGTGTGCCAAGACAGCCTGGAAAGTTTAGGGGTTCCCGTGCCCTTTTGGGTATAGTTTGCAAACTCTTATGGGCACCCACCAGGAATAAAGGATCCCCAATATCATCCATGGCTTATGGCTGGAAATCCCGAATACATCTACAAAATGGTGACATTGCCGAATAATCTGTCACCCTGGGGAGTTGCCACAAGGAAAAACCCAAGCCGCTCTGTAGCAACATGGTCAGCAGAACAATCACTGAAGGCTGACATGGGGTTTGGAGTGTTACAAACCACACTTGGACTTCTAGGCTGCGATTTTAACTGCCCCTCATCTGAATTCAAGCTTACTTTGTTTTGCATTGTTGAAGCTGATGCCTGTGCTTTTCTTCTTCCTTTGCAGTGGCCCCGGAGAGGGTCAGCGAGGGGCCTCCACTGTCTGAGTCCGCTCCTGGCAACGCCTGCTCTCTGCACTCAGAGGCCCGGTCCCGGCAGCTGCCACGTTGCTCAGAAGTTCTGGCAGGGGGAGCCTGAAACCCCTGTCTGCTGGCGACACTCCCGGAGCAGCAGGAAATCTCTACATTTTATTTTTTTTCTTAACAGACAAAAGTATTTGACTCCAGAATGATTTCCAGGAATTACAGTATGAGAACTTAGTCTTTGAGATTTTTATTTTCTTCTTAAAAAAATAAAAATGAAATCAAAGCAGAAGACACTGGTTGAGCAGACAGCACACTAGCACATTCCACTTCGCAACAAAACCTGCGTGTTTTCTGCCCGGTCTACCTCAGACAGGGATGGTGGGCTTCATAGCCTTTCCTGTGGAAGGAGTTCAGGGCGGGAGGGAAGTGCTGGGGTAGGAGGGGCAGGCAGAACCTGGAAACTGCGCCCCATTCTTTCTTCTCGGAACTCCATTGCCAGAGGGCTTGGAGTGCTTCTCGGCGATTTGGCATCTGCTTCTCCTCTGCCCCTCATTCAGAGTTCTCATTGCAAGAAAAGCAGGGAAAAGGTTCAAAAAACCCTTCAGACTTGGAGCCGTTCCTCGGTGATAATTGAACCACCAGAGGTGCTGGCAGGGCCATGGCGAGAGGCACCTCTAGGAAATCTCACACAACCCACACTGCTCCCCTCTCCTGCATGGCAGTGACCCTCCCATAAAAGGGTACAGCCTGTTGTGCCAGCTTTGCAACTGGGATCATTGCAGTCTCTGGCTTTTTGACTCCAGGCGGGCTCCGTGCCCTCCGGGGCCTCTTCTTCCTTGTCAGGCCAGTGGGAGCCACAGAGGCCTCATTGGCTTCCTATGAATATTAAATGGGATTCTCTGTGGGGGAAGCTTCCATAAGGCAGGAAGGGGTCCCCGGTTGTTGGCTATTAGTGTTATTTTCTTTTAAATCATCTGTGCTCCTTCAAAGACGACGTAAGAAGCTTGTGCCCTGGCGTTGCAGAAATCTCTGGCTGTAGGGATTAAACCTACATGTCTTCCTGATGGGGTGGTGAGGACGTAAACGGTGAATAGTGCCAGCCACAGGGAGCATTGCAGAGAGTAACCAAGTGTGTGATAAACATGCTGTCATATGTGTGTAAACGGCCAAGAGACCACTGCTTTTGCCTGAGTGACCTCCGCAAGGACACAGAAATAAAACATACAAAAAAGTTGGCACTGAGTGGTCTAGAATCTTCCATCTCTGTTTTTTCTTGGTAGAAACTAGCCTCAAAGAAAACATGTGCTTCAGGTTGACAAGATCTCCAGTCTACCAAGCCTATCTGTCCCTGAGAATTGGTTATCTATTGCAGCATAACCATTCACCTCCAACTTTAGCTGATTAAACAACCCTTTCTCATCTCACACAGTTTCTGGGCTCAGAAGTTGAGAAGCAGCCTAGCTGGCTGACTAGCTGGCTGAGGCTCAGGGGGTCCCTTGGGTCTGCAGTTATCTGAAGACTGGATGGGACTGGAGGTGAGGCTTCCAAGCACACTCCTGCGGCCATCAGAAACCTCAGCTTCCCAAGTGAGTGATCCAGGAGGGCAAGGATTTGCCTGGCAGGAAGCTGCGGCCACTTGTGGCCTGGTCTCAGAAGCCCACACCCCCCTTTTGCCATATTCTGAGCACACAGACCCCAGCATGAGGCAGGCAGGCTGGAGCAGGGAGAGCCACAGCAGGCCAGGACCTGGGAAGACTGTCTTGGACGCCGGCCGTCACTCCCAGATAGCACTATGTGGCTGATTGCATCAAACGACCATCCATGCCTTTCCTGCTTCAAGGATGTGAATCACAAGCCTGGTGAGGAGCCTCTGAAATGCACGAGGGAGGGGTGTGTGTACAGCACCCTGGGAGCCTGTTACCAACAAAGGAAAATGAACCACGGATGCCAGGTCATTCCCAACAGCAGATAGACATGTGATTTCACCCATCTTAAAACAAAACAGAACAGATTCTCCCAACCCATGCTGTCAGTAAGCTACGTCCCCATTGCTCTGCACCCACTCCCATCAGCCGTCACCCCCACCATTTAGTCCATACCACTCTGTGTCTGTGGGGGCAGCACTCGGGTGATCCCGGCGGTGCCTCTCAGTCCCCTTCCACGGGCCTGTCAGCACACAGGGAAACTCCGACAGCGTCTTCAGCTCACTCCTTGCTCTTCACTTGGCCTCTAGGGTCCCGCTCTTTGGTTCTCAGCTGCCTCTGCTAATCCCTCTGTTCCCAGCTTCTGAATATCGAAGGAACCACAGACTCATTCCCGGATTTACTCCTCTTCTCTGTCCACATGGCTTTAAACACCATCCTCACACCTCTGACTCCGAAATTCATACCTCAGGTTCAGACCACTCCCCGACCCCAAAACTCATATAGGGTCTGTCCACCGAACCTCTCCTCTCAGTAGACATGGATAATTCAAAATGTCCAAACTGAGCTCTTGATCTCCCTTTCCAATCCGTCCTCACCTGCAGCCACCCCACCTCAGGTGAGGGCAATGCCGTCCTTTCTGTTGCTTAGGCCGAAAACCTTGAAGAGCCCCTGAATTCTCCCTTATCTTACACATCACATCCAGTCCGTCCAATTACCCTCCTAGTGCATGTCCAGACACACCTCCTTCCCTCCTTGGTGACGCCCTGGTGGAGCCGCCATCACTGCCCACCTGAGTGAGTGCAGTGGCTCTCCCATGGCTGTCCTATTCCTCTCCTTCCTCTCCATGGGGAGTTCCTTCCATCATGAAGGCTGTGCCACCCTGGCTCCTCGCTCCCCCTTGAACACACCCATGGGTGTTCCTGCCTAGAGGCCTCGGCACTGCTTTCCCCTCTTCCTGGAACTCTGTCCCCTGGGATCACCACCTGCCTAATTTCCCCACCTGTTCCTCGGTTTATACAAAAACCACCTCCCAACAACGTAGTTCATGGTAAAGGCACCACCTGCCCTGCTCACCCTGCACCCTGGACCACTGGTCTTGCTCAATTTTTCTCTTCGCTGATGCATCTCTCATCATTCTCTAATGAACTGGGTCATTCATGGCCTTTATATCTGTTTTTTTGTAATCTTTCCCTTTTTGGTTCATTAAAATATCAGTCCCTGTAAGGGCAGGGTTTTTTCCCCTTTTTTCTTTTCCATTGTCATGTTCCCCAAACCTGCCATAATGCCTGGCACGTAGTAGGTGTTCAGTAAATATCCAGTGCATGAATTCCCTCACCGATGAGGGAAGCATGATAGTTTGAGGGCGCTATAACAGGGGCCTACATGAATTAATTGTACTAGTTATTGCCTATTATAGAGACATTTTCATACTAAGTTGGCTCCTTTAAAAATGTTTCAGTTAACTCTCTTGGCATTTAACTTCATCATTCTGGGAGAGTGAGAGTCAAGGCACCAGCTGGACGGTGCTGAGAGCGAGCGGTGAGCGTACAGAGGAGCGCTTCTGCTCTTGCTTAGCACACATTTTTAATGTCAACACCCTTTTATATTAAAAATATATTTTTGAGAGGGCTGGTAGAGTACTGAAATCTCCCCAGCATCCACAATGTATCAACTACCAATTTGGAAGTCTTGAAGGAACAGCTTTCTGCCACAGTAATGCAATCCCCTTGCGGTGGCCTGTTTCTTCAGCAACCTCCAAACCAGCAGGGTGTGTTTTCTCATGACTTTCCCGCAAGGTAAAATATACCACAGTGAGCCTACTGTTTCAACGGTCAGACTGTTCCCATGAGGATGCTAGCCTTTCCATGGCTACTCGCACCATTTCAGACATGGGGGATGCATTCGGAGCATATTTTAGGCCTTCCCTTTTATAGAAAGCATGGTAAACCAAAAAGTTTTACTGAAAGTGTAATCTCTGATCATCATGGTACAACACTCAATTATAGGTTTTAATGGCATTCTTTGTTGTTTATACATCCATACAAATTCCATTAAACTTCGTGTTTGAAGATGATGTTTCCCAATAGGTAAAAGAACAAGGTATTTACCATGTTGACTTTGACTTGAAAGTGATTCTTAGAATACCACTGGGCTCTATACACAGCTGCAATTTTTCACATTGTGGTGGCATCTAGGACTTCCACAACTCAATAGCAAAAAGGAAAATAAAAGCACAGCAAAAATAAAATTAAAATGGTCAAAGGGCTTGAAACATACATATCTCTAAAGATGACATTTAAATGGACAACAAACATGTAAAAAGACACTCAACATTATTAATAATCAGGGAAATTTAAATCAAAGTCACAATGAGATATCACCGCACCTGTGAGGATGGCTAAAAAAACACAAAACTAGAAGACAACAAGTGTGGGTTGATGATGTGGAGCAACTGGACCCTTGTGCACTGTTGGTGGGCATGCAAAGTGCTGGAGCTGCTCTGGGAAAGAGTGGAGGTGCCTCAAAACATTAAGAATAGAGCTCTCCAAGGATCCAGCAATCTCACTTCTGAGCATATATCCAAAGGCACTGACGCGAAGATCTCAAAGGGGAGCTGCACTCCCTTGCTTGTTACAGCGTTATTCACGATAGCCAAGGCGTTGATGCAACTTCAATGTCCACTGATGAATGTATGATAAAGACAATGTGGTATGCATGTAGAATGGAATATTATTCAGCCTTTAAAATGAAGGAAATCCTGCCATTTGCAACCACGTGGATAAACCCTGAGGATGTTATACTGACTGAAATAGGCCAGACGCAGAAGGACAAATACTGCTTGATAGATACCATGTATGTAATGAATTTAAAACAATGAAACTTACAGAAGCAGAGAGTAGAAGGGCGGTTGCCAGGGGCTTGGAGGAGAGGGAAACAGGGAGGTGTTAATGAAAGATGAAGAAGCCCTAGAACTCTACAGTTCAGCACAGAGCATACAGTGAAGTGTGCTTATTGCCAACATCATCATCATCATCATCATCATCATCAGCAGCAGCAGCAGCAGCATCATCGAGTGGGAAGAGACTTTTGGAAGTAATAGAAAGGCTTAGGGCATGATTGTAGTGATGGCTTCAAAGCTGTCTACTTATTTCCAAACCCATTAAGTTGTATACATTGAATATGCGGTTTTTATATGTCAACTACACCTCAGTAAAGCACTTTGGGGGAAAAAACAATTGAGTTTACTGAAATTTATGAGCTTATTCACGTGTTAATTCTGAAAATAATTTAACATTTTTATGAATAAAATAATGCATTGTGTTCTGGTCAGAAATGAAGTCCTCGTTCTTGTGCTAGATTTGTATCTGTGTCAGTATTCTGAGATTTTTTTAAATTACAGAAAACCTATTTTTATAATTACATTTTCTTAGATCCAGTATTCAAATACTGACACATAAAGAATGGGACACATATAAGCAATCTTCAGATGTGCCACCACTATTATTAAAATGCACAGGAATAATTCAAGATGTTGAAGGAACACAATAAAACATATTCAACCAGGTGATCTTCTCTGGACAAACTGCTTAAGGAAGTGTTCTAGCAAAATAATTACTTAAACTTAAGAAAGACAAAAACCAACAACAGCCACATGGCTGTGCACAAAGCCATGAGGATGGTGGGTATGCCTCACACCTGGAACATGATCTGTGTAAACTAGAACAGGATTGAGTGCTTTCCAAAATGAATTTCTTCAAAGGCAGTGGACACAAGAAAAAAGAAGGAAACTGTTTTCAATCACACCATTGCTAGGGAGAGGGAGGATTGAAGGGAGCAGTCTTCAAGCTCTTTGCTCATGAATGTAAAAGACTGCACATTTGTAAGTAGGTATCTAAATTTTTCTCCAAAGTTTAAATAGTTGCAAACAATATCATTGACGTGTCAAGTAAAATTGCCACACCAGTTTCAAATACATACAGGGGCATTGAAATACCACGTCTGCTTTACACCAGAATCATCCACATGAAAAAATACTAGGAAAAGCTTTTTAACAGTCAAAATGTTAAATTATTACACGTTTCTTGAATTTGCAACTCCCTTCTATTTTTCTAATTATTATTTTTAACCTTACATAATAAATTTTAGAATAGAAACATTTGAGGGATCACTATATCATACTCCTCTTCAACACAAATATGTAATTGAGAAATATAACTTAAAATGATGTCATTAAGACTGCATATTTTTAAAGTTTCTGATTGTGTTAGTACTATTGTTTTAATGCTTAACTTGTTAAAACAACATAAAAATTATATGTTTTAAGAGTATTAAATATAAAAGCAAAACTTGATGAAAATACATCCTTAATTATACAGGTAAAGTTCCTTTCTTGATCAGTTCATGTTACCTACTGCTGTAACTAGAAAAGACTGCAAATCAATTACCCTCTTATTATTCATTCTTGTGTGTGTGTAAATATCGACATATTTTGTTCAAATACTGAGTGGATCAGAATCAGAATGTGGTTATAGTGTTTATCTATGTGATGATGATGAAGTAGTTCCTGCTGGGAATGACTCTAAACATGAACGACATTTTATTCATTTTATTTTACTTTATGTATTTATTTATTTTATTTTAAGGTCTGGAGTACATGCACAGGACATGCAGGCTTGTTGCATAGGTAAATGTGTGCCATGGTGATTTGCTGGACCCATCAACCCATCACCTAGGCATTAAGCCCAGCATGCGTTAGCTGTTTTTCCTGATGCTCTCCCTCCTTCCATACCCCCCAACAGGCCCCAGTGTGTGTTGTTCCTCTCCCTGTGTCTATATATGTACAACATTTTCTAAAGAGCTGTTGGAAGATTCTGGAGAACAACCAGAGTAGCCATAACTGGAAAAGCCAGAGAGAAGGAAATTACACAAGGCTGGACCCAACTTTCTCTTCCAGTTTGGCCAATTGTGGGTGCTTGGAGCACAGCAGCTGAGGGTAAGAAGATCAGAACTCTCAGCATCTCCCACAGATGAGGAGGTGAAGGCTGGAGAGTAGAGTGGCCTCAGTGGCAGGACTTGCGGGATGACGTCCTGGAGAACAGAGACTCTCTCTACTAACTTAATATCCTGGAGAAAATAGACTCTCTCTACTAATTTTAATATCCTGGAGAATAGAGACTCTGTCTACTAATTTTTATCCTGGTGAACAGAGACTCTCTCTACTAATTTCAATATCCTGGAGAACAGAGACTGTCTCTATTAATTTTAATGTTCTGGAGAACAGAGAATCTCTCTACTAATTTTAACATCTTGGAGAACAGAGACTCTGTCTACTAATTTTAATATCTTGGAGAACAGAGACTCTCTCTACTAATTTTCTTTTGGAGGCTTATAACAATTCCTAAACTTCAGGGAATTAAAGAGAAAAAAACATGCAAGAACTGGTATCTGAAACTCTGTAAATCTAAGGAGAGATTTCCATATTCTTAAGGTGTGGAATGGAAAATATTGAAGTTTAATTTCCATCAAAAGGGATACTAGTAATAGCCAAAGTAAATCTAGTCAATTTTATACTTTCACCTGAGATCCCTGAATGACTATTTCCTAGGAGTAAAAGAAAATACAAATTGTACCAATCATCAAAAAGGGCAAAGCAGAAGGGATTTCTATTATTCATGCTAACAAAGCATCTAGAACTGTGGGGAAATTGGCCCCACAGCCTTAAAACAGTTTAATCTCTGATATAATAAAGGTAATTTGTGACTACTCAAAACTGCATAGAAAATTAGTTTTTCTCTGGAGCAAGATAATATTCTCCAAAGCTTCTATAATTTTTCATAAGATAGTGTCAATATTCAAACAAAAGTTACCAGCCATAGTAGAAAACAAATTTAAATTATAGTAAATGAGGGGAAAAAAACAAAAAATGGACAAGAGCAACAAACTCACTGGTAATCTAGATAAAAGAGTTATCAGAAAATGACATTAAAATAATCAAAATATGCATAAGAAAACTGGTGATATTATGGGGAATTACATGAGAGAACTGAAACCCATTAATTAATATTATAGAACTGAAAATTAACTGAAATCAAGAACTGAAACCAATAAATGGATTTAATAGCAATGAGATGGAGTTGAAAAGAGTATTGATGAATTGGAAAACAGGCAAGAAGAAAATATCTGGAAGGAAACACAGAGTTAAAAAAAAAAGATTGGAATGTATACAAAAATAAACTAGGAGAAATGGAGAAAAAGTCTAAACAGTATTGACTGCAGACCCAAAAAGAGAGGAGAGAAAAAAATGTGACAAAAACTACTAGAACTATTGGCCAAGTAGTTTCTAAAACTGCTAAATCCATCATTCCAAAGATCCAAGACATGTAGGCAGATAGATAAATAAGTCACACCTACTCACATTAATGTAAAGCTTTTGAAAGCTAAAGACAAAAAAAATCTTTCTACCAGAGGAAAACTGAAAGACTATGTGAGCAATAATAAGAATGGTAACTGACATTTAAGAAGAATGGGTGTTTGGAGACACTGGAATGTGATATTTAAAATGCTGAAAGAAATAACTAACACTAAAAATATTCTTCAAAAACAAAAATCATAATTTTTAGGTAAACAAATACTTAGAAAACTTTTAGCAACACAGCTGCACTACGAGGATGACCAGAAAGTCTGTAGGAAGAAGGCAAATGATCCCACAGAAATACCAAATAGGAAACAGAGCAAGCATAGAGTTAAAAAAAAAAATGTGGATTCTATCAAATGGGAATAATACAGTTTTGATGATGTTAAGATCAAATAGAGCTGGGTGTGGTGTTGTGCACCTATAATCCAAGCTACTCAGGAGGTTGAGGCTGGAGGATCACTTGAGGCCAGAAGTTCAAGACCAGCCCTGGTAACATACTGAGATCCCCATCTTTAAAAAAATAATAAAATAAAACAAAAAGATCAAATGCAATGGAAACACATTTCAAACAGCAGAAACAAGAGGTGTTTGTGGTAGGTGGTTAGCACAGCTGACTTCCAAAAAGCACAAAGAGCAAAGAGGACTGATCATGCTAGTGTTCTAAGGTCCTTCATCATTTGGAAGTGGGAGCAGTAATAACATCAGCGAGAAATAAATCAGGAATGGGTGTGTTAATCTTTAAAATGCCATTAAGAGAAGAGTGAAAACATAATTAGAATAGAAACACTTGATTAATGCAAAAATAATTAAAGAAATAAGAAAAATGAATTAAGACCAGATTTCACACATTAAAAATGAAATATAAAAGAGTAGACTCACATCCAAATATATTGTAATGGTATGAAAATATGGATGAACTTAGTGTGCCAGTTAACCAATAATATTGCTGAATTGGATTAAAATAACAAAATGTAACTACACGCTCTTTACAGGAGACATACTTTATGTAAAAGGACACAGAAAAAGCAGGGAAATGTATCATCAAAGGCAGAAAATTTCTAGCATTAGTAAGTAAGGAAGTTTTTGTAATGAAAACAAAGAGCCATACACAGAAGATATACCAATTCTTAATCTAAATAAAATTTAGATTTTAATCTAATAAAATATTAGTGCACCTAAAAAATAACCTCAAGATATATAAAACAAAAATGGGAAAAAACCGAAGGAGAAATAGATAAGCCCACAACCATGTTGGAATAATCCAATATACTTTAGTAACAGAAAGGTAAAACAGACCAACTAAACATCAGTGATAACATAGAAGAGATGAAAAACTAGATTGACAAAATTGACCTAATAAGCAAACCCAGTGTCCCAGTTCATTCAGCCGTTAAAGGGCAATAGATTGGGTGGCTTATAAACAACAGAGACTTATTTCTCATTGTCTTGCGAACACAAAATATTTGAGACAGATCTCAGTCAATTTAGAAAATTTATTTTGCCAAGGTTACAGACACACACATGACACAGCCTCAGAAGTCTGCTCAGAATGATGGTTTCCAGCTTCATCCATGTCCCTGTAAAGGACATGAACTCATCCTTTTTTATGGCTGCATGGTATTCCATGGTGTATATGTGCCACATTTTCTTAATCCAGTCTATCATTGATGGACATTTGGGTTGGTTCCAAGTCTTTGCTATTGTGAATAGTGCAATAAACATACGTGTGCATGTGTCTTTATAGTAGTATGTTTTATAATCCTTTGGGTATATACCCAGTAAAGGGATCACTGGGTCAAATGGTTTTTCTAGTTCCAGATCCTTGAGGAATCACCACACTGTCTTCCATAATGGTTGAACTAGTTTACACTCCCACCAACAGCATAAAAGTGTTCCTATTTCTCCATATCCTCTCCAGCATGTATTGTTTCCTGACTTTTTAATGATCGCCATTAAAATCCTGACTTTTTAATGATCATTTAATGATCGCTTGAGATGGTATCTCATTGTGGTTTTGATTTGCATTTCTCTGATGACCAGTGATGATGAGCATTTTTTCATATGCCTTTTGGTTGCATAAATGTATTCTTTTGAGAAGTGTCTGTTCATATCCTTTGCCCACTTTTTGATGGGGTTGTTTTTTTCATGCAAATTTGTTTAAGTTCTTTGTAGATTCTGGATATTAGCCTTTTGTCAGATGGGTAGATTGCAAAGATTTTCTCCCATTCTGTAACAGCAAAAGAAACTATCATCAGAGTGAGCAGGTACTCAGTTTTTAGTACGTACTCAGTGAACATTTGTTAGATGAGTCAGCAGGAGAATCCTTTATGTTGTCTAGTGCGAAGTTCCTGCAATGGCCCACCCTCCTTTGCCTCAGTCTTCCATTCTGACTTCATCTTCTGTGGGCCTTCAGTTAGGAACTGCTCTAATATTAATACCTTCTAAACTGCAAATACTATGCAAGGTTAGCTTGGGAAGGATGGTGTCTTACATGTATTGACTCTTGGACCATCCGCCTCTTTGACTGCTTGTCTGTATGTGCATTTGTCGACATCACAGCTTCAGATACTCCGTTGCGTCCTAAGTGGTCAGGCCACAAGTTGGTTTTATACATTTTTAGGGAGGCATAAGGCATCAATACATGTGAAATGTACATTGGTTTGGTTGGGAAAGGCAGGATAACTGGAAGCACGGGCTTCCAGGTTATAGGCGATTCAAAGGTTTTCTGATTGGCAATTGGTCGAAAGAGTTATTGTCTAAACCTGGAATTAATATAAAAGAATGTCTGGGTTAAGATAAGGGGTTGTGGAAACCAAGGTTTTATCAAGAAGTTGAAGCTTCCAGGTAGCAGGCTTCAGAGAGAATAGACTGTAAATGTTTCTTATGAGACTTAAAGAGTTTGTTCTATCAGTAATTCCAAAAGAGAGGAGGGTATGATAAGGCACATCTGACTCTCTCTTCCCATCATGGCCTGAACTAGTTTTTCAAGTTATCTTCCCAATGGCCTTGGCCGAGAGGAGGGGTCCATTTGGATGGTTGAGGCTTAGAATTTTACTTTCGGTTTCCACATCCCTCTGGCTCTCAGCCTCTACCTTGGTGGGCCTCATTACCTGAGCTGGGTGGGGGATGAAATGAGCTTGGAAAGACTGGGCTGGTTTTGAGAGAAATGATAGAAAGTGTCAGGCTTTGCCATGGACTTTCTGGAGGCTATGGAGAGGGGAAAGGACAAGGGGTAGGAACAGAGCTTCAAACTTGAGAATGCAGAGAATCCAGAGCATGAGCCCTGAGTGTGTGTGGACACCAAGAAGGGGGAGGGGTGTTAGTTCACTTTCCTGCAGCTGATAAAGACATACTTGAGACTGGGAAGAAAAAGAGGTTTAATTGGACTTACAGCTCCACACAGCTGGGGAGGCCTCTGAATCACGATGGGAGGTGAAAGGCACTTCTTACATGGTGGCAGCAAGAGAAAATGATGCAGAAGCAAAAGCAGAAACCCCTGATAAACCCATCAGATATCGTGAGACTTACTTATATCATGAGAACAGCACAGGAAAGACCAGCCCCATGATTCAATTACCTCTGCCTTGGTCTCTCCCAAAACATGTGGGAATTCTGGGAGATACAATTCAAGTTGAGATTTGAATGGGGACACAGCCAAACCACATCAGGGAGTCTGTTTGTGGGTAAAGCATAGGCGTCTCTGACCACTGAGACACCGCCTCCAGAGCAGCCACAGACACAAGGCAGAACCTGCTGCCATATGCAGTTGGCGTGGAAAGGAACACACGGATGCTGCATTTAATAACTGTTGTGTTTCTGTGGACGGTGAAGGCACGCAAGGCTCCAGCTTGTTTTGAAGACTGAATTTTAGAATCCCTTGACCACCCATTCCTTTTCTCTAAATCTGAAATCCTTTTCTTTCTGGATTGCATCCAAAGAGAAACTTGTGATGAATTTTACCATGTGCTGTGCTGACTCCCAGCCATGAAGCACAGGCCGTTGCTGGAGCCACGTGTGCAGATGGCGGCTGATGGGGAAATGAGGAAAGACACTTGCTCCCACCGCAGGGAATAATGCATCTTTGTTATTTCATTTCTGAAAGAAGGAAATTGTTCCACTGTGCTTTGATAAAATAGATGATCCTTTCTTTTTAAAGAGAATGAAATAAACAATTCTGAGGTTAGTTGCTTTAAAAAATCTGTTTATATATCAGTTTCTGCCAAAGACCTTGAAAAAGTGCATTGCTGGTGGTGGTGATGTTTCTCCCCGCCCCTCCCCGCCCCCCGAAAACACATTGTATTCATTATATGGTCTGCATTTTGCCTGGGGTTAAGAATCCACAGGATTTTTCTCTTGAGTCCAATTCAGAATGTATGTTTTAATTCTTCGGAGAATTTATCTCTTGCCTGTGTGGAGGTTTGAGACATGTAAACATCTCTCCAAATAACCACCACCAGCCTGTGACGGACGCAGCCAGCAGTTATTCCAGGCATGTGGGAGATGGTTGCTGATCCAGCCTGGGAGTCACTGATACCAAAACAGAATGTCTGTGTTGATGGAGAATCTACCATTCAGATTCATGTCTGGAAGGCATTTTTTGATTGTTTCTGTAATTCTGAAATATTTCAGAGACCATAATCCCCATAAAATAGGAATTTGTGACCCTGACTCCGATGGAGGTAGCTTAAGATTCATTTCTTTTTTATGTTCTGTGATTTTACATATCACTTAAAATGGGATAAGTTTTTTAGTTGCTGACTATTTAGTTATGGGCTTAGCAAGAGTGTCCAGAAGAGCTTATTCAGCACAACATCATCACGAGTCTATGGCTGCAGAGTCTCAGCCATGTGTATTCCATGTGTATTACAGTGTATTCATTAACCTATTAATAAATCATTTATTAATTTATGTTTTAAATTAATGTATGTTTATTCCAGAGAATGGAGATACAGCAGTGAACAAAACAGTCAAGTTCCTTGTTATTATTGAGTTTACTTTCAAGCGGAAAGATGCATAGTAATATATTATATATCAGAGGCTATGGGTGAAAAGACAGAAAACTAGAGAGTCACAGAGAAGGGCATGTTACTGTGGATAGAGACTCCTATCCAGTGAAGACCTGAACTGCTGGAGCGGGTGCACCCAGCCCCACAGGAGCAGCCCAGGCAGAGACAGCAAGCGCACGCCTGCATTCGAGCTGCTTTGCAAAGGGGCAGAAGGCGGCTGAGTGAGATGCAGAAGTTTAAATACTGCCCTATGGTCAGCTTGTGCCTTGGATAAGCTCTCTTGACAGGCAATCACAAGATTTGTCTTTCGTATTTTCTATTTAAAACAAAGAAAATAACTCTAAACTGATATTTTAATAAAAAGCAATTCCGGAAGCCAACTTTCTGTTCCTTCCTGAATACCTGGACCCATAGAGAAGGGAAGGCTGGGCTTATGGGCATGGGTGAGCAGGGATGAGGCTGAGGAAGTTAGTAGGAAATGCTTTCTAGATCACTGGCCTCCTCTGCCTGGTGAATAGCAAATGCTGGAAGAATTATTTGCAGAGCTGCACAACATATGTTGTCTTTGACAGCATGACCTCTTGGTAAAGAATTCTGCATCTCAACCATGTGGAGGTACCCACTGCACTGAGATAAATCAGGAACAGCAGATGTGTGCAGCTCTGTCATTTACTCTGCTTAAGGTGTTTTAATCCCAAAGAGGTAAGAAGAAATTAAGACAAAATCGAAGTCACCTGTATTAAAAGAATCAAAGCATCTTGGAAAATAGGGATATTTTCTCCTGGCAGCCCTCACTGTAGGGTACCCCTGGGCGTCTTCTGTACCTCCTGTCCTCTCTTGAAGGTTTATTTCATTGTGAAGGAGACATCTGCCAACTGAAGTGTGTTTGCTCATATCAGCTAACTGGATTCTACTTTTTCAAAATGTGAATTAAATAAAATGTAAACAATGTAAACTATTGTAAAAGGTTGTGAAATTAGTTTTCATTATACAACAATATCAATATAATAAAAAAATAAATTCACTGTGTGTTCTTAAAATTTGAATAAAGGAAATTCTTATGAAAATGTAAACAACTCTTTCCCCATACATTTCTGAGCTCCACTAAGAAGAAGAAAACTATTTATGCTTGATAGCTTCTCTTTTCTCTCCACAGTTCACAGCAGAAATAGTTGCAAAAGTATTTTCCTAAACTAAAATGTAATTCAACAGAGAAGCTGCTTCACCTGTTATAGACAGGAGACAAGAAAATATGGCGTAGAAGAAGGCAGTTCCCCCAGCAAAGGCCCCACCCTCAAGCCTGGAGACCCATGGCCCTAAGTGGGAAAAGGCTTTTCTGTTTTTGAGCCGAAAAAGTTGCCTTTGGCCCACCACACCTCCCCCCAATTCTGTACCCATATAAACCCTGAACCCCAGGCTCCAGAAGCAGATGAGCAGGTGAGGAGACAAGCAGATAGACAGCAGAACAAGGCAGCAGAGAAAGAGAGAAGAGGAGGAGTGTCTGAATGATGAGAGGAGTTCGGCTGGGTGTGGTTGGAGAGGACTTCGGCTGCTGGACAGCCAGACTCCAGGGGAAGATCGCCTTCCCACTCCATCCTCCCTTCCAGCTCCCCATCCATCCCACCGAGAGCCACGTCCACCACTCAGCAAAACCCTGCATTCATCCTTCAAATCTGTGTGTGACCCGATTCTTCCAGGATGCTGCGCAAGAGCTCAGGATACAGAAAGCTGTCACACTGGCCCTTGGCCCTTGCAAAAGGCAGAGGGTCCACTGAGCTGGTTAACACTTAAGCCATCTGTGGATGGCAAAGCTAAAAGAACATGGTAACACTGGGACTGCAGGCACCCACCCCTAGACACTACTGCAGGGCTGGAGCCCAAAGCAATTGTCCCTGCTTGCACCTGCCTGTCTGCATGCTCCCACTCCGGTCAGGGGTTTGGATGGTGGCGGCGATGGAACAGGTGAGCCACACCCCCATTACACGTTATTTGAGGGGGATCAGGAGACTCCCATTTCACCTATAGACATTTATTTCAAGAGAAGCATTTCAGGAATATATGTACTTTATTAAAGATGTATACCTATTTTTAAAAATCGTTTTGTAATTAGCTTAGTTGATATCTTTGGAAGCCTTAGAGTGAGAAAAAAATACTGCTTGTTGGACTGGGAAAAGAGGGATGAGAACCACACAATTATATGAAAGAATTAGTGAATTAACTGCATTTAGTCCATATTTACTGCCTTACCTGCTTCTGTTGTGGGTTTATACATGTGATGATAACTGACCTTTGGGTAGAAGCATCGTCATCTCTGCTGGGATCAACACTCATCCTGGTTTAGGCTTCAGCTTCCTGTGGAACATGGACCCTTTGTTGCTGGGACAGGTGGCCCTCCTCAAGGACTCTGAGAAGCAGGTGCGTGCTTTGGTGGGGGTAGGAGTACCGAGGGGATGAGGAACGGGAGGAACTGCTGGCATTCTAAGCCATCGGATGAGGGAATGGAGGAGCGAGATTTGCCATAAGCGATGTCCTGTCTAGGGAGCCATGACCGACTTGCTCGGGCTTCCATGAGCAGCATCTGTCCGAATTAGGGCTGCTGCCCTCCTCTGCACCACGGCCTCCAGAACAGATCTAATTATAGCGCTTGGCATGCTCTAGTTTAGTTCACTTCAGGAACTTCCTTTTTACTTGCTTATTCTCAGTGCTTCTGCAAATGCATGACACATAATTGCTACAGTGATCCTTGAGGGGGAAAAACATGAATGCAGCCATCCCCATTGCTGGGGAAACTACAGTGATCCCTTGAGGGGGAAAAACATGAATGCAGCCATCCCCATTGCTGGGGAAACTACAGTGATCCCTTGAGGGGGAATACATGAATGCAGCCATCCCCGTTGCTGGGGAAACAGTGGCGCTGGGGATATGCCCTCCTGGCAAAGGCCTTAGTTGGCAATTCAGGGCCGGGGCAGAGAGAGAAGCAGACCTTTGTCAAATGTGTTGAGTTGCGCTGCTAACTGGTTTCTGAGCAAAGGCTCCCTGTGCGTGTTCCAGCATGATCTGTGCTCAGGCCCACACATATGCCAATGCTGCTGGTGACCCTCCAACCCCGTGACACCACCACCTCAGCCGGCTCACACTGTGGACGAGGAAGAGGCCCTGTGCGCCGGGGAGGGAGGCTCTGCTTGTCAGGAACAACTTGCGTCTATCATGACTCTTGAGTTTGGACCAACTTCTGAAAGTAAACAATCCTGTCCTGAAGCAGGGTGAGTGGACGACCTAATTGGCTCTGACCAGTCCCCACTTTAGCAGCTGTGACTTTGCTCATCCTGTTGGAGTGTCTTTGCGAATTACACAGAGGACCATCAACAGCCGATCCCAAGAGCAGATGTGAGTTGTCATGTTAATTCTTCATAGAGAAGGAAGAGCTCAGCTGAAAAGCATGCAAGTTTACTTTATTATTATTATTATTTTTTTATGTAACCCGAGATTGGGTCAACATTAGCAGTATTTCAAAAGTGAAAAACACCAGAACTACCATAGAGGTTGCCTGGAAAGCCCTGATTCCTCTCCAGCATTCTCTTCTTATCATAACTCCATGGAGGGCATCTCTCTTCAGCATACAGGAGACGCCATGGAAGGCTGGCACGCTTTCCGTGGCACAGGAGTCCGACGGGATGGTGTCCTGTGACAAAGCTCTTTAACGAAACCTGAAGTGGTGTGGATTTTTCAGGGATGGCGAGAAAATGAATCCCTAACCTAAATGGGCGTTCTAGTGCCATCCAAGCACACAGGACCGCAATGGCCAACCGTCCATCCATCTGTTCCTGGAGCCATTTCCCCATTTGTGAATCATCCCACTGTGCAATCCTTATGCCAGGAAATATTCTTCCCACCTCTCGCCCATGGTAGTAAGTGATCCAGAGCTCCCATATAATGCCCTTTTGTCTACTTTTTTCTCCCCAGCCAGCCTGGAATCTGATGCTAATGTTAATTGAATAACAGAATCATGGCCCCTCAGGGCTGGACAAACTGATGGAGGAGAGGGATGTACAGAGAGTCCTTGGGACTGGTTACATGATCAGATTCACCCTTAGAGAAAGTGATGACAATGTGAGCCCAAACCAAAGGACACACAGATTCACCCTTAATTTAGGGAGCATGTATATCAGGCACGTAGATTTCCAAACGTCATTTCAAAGTTTGCAAACAAGTTGCTTAGTCTTTCCTTGAAGCCAGCATCAACTAAAGCCAAAATCGTGTGCGATCTTATCAGCTAGTACGCTGCGTGAACGTTTAGAACAAGGAATATGAGATCAGCAGTCATCCTTACCTATGTAAGGATCGAGCTTTTTCAGCATTCGGGTTTGACTTTAATCTTCTGATACTAAGCACAGCCCTGTGGAGCCGCTGAGAACACGGACTGCCCAGGAAGATGTGAATGTGAATTGTCCCGTCCTGGGGGCAAGCCCACAGGAGGTCCCCACGGCTGCCTGAGCCACCCCAGCAGGCGCACAGGAGCCTTGACTTCTGTACAACTTATTATGCTGGGCTAATAATCTTCTTTTTTTTTTCTATTTTTCTTTTTCTTTTTTCTTTTTTTTAAAGGAGTGATTGTAGATGCTAAGGCGGGGATTTAAATCTTCTCAAATGGCAAGGTAAGAGCACACATACACACACCACATACGAGCACACACCTGCAAACGCACGTGGACACACAGCCAGGGGCTCAGAGCATGGCTCTGCCTCTCACGGATGAACTTGAGAAAGTAACTTAAGATTCCTGTGCCTCAGCTTTCTCTCCTGTAAAATGGGGATAAGACCCTCCCATTCCTGAGAAACTGGGTTTTGGCGAGTGGCAAATAAGGCGTCCACTACAGAGTACATGCGTGTACCTGGTATTATTGCTACTGAATGCAAGAAGCCGGGAGCTGAGGAAATCAGAATGGAACCTGGGGCTCCGGAGGCCCGGGCCGGGATCAGCAAAGCTTTCGGAAGATAGAGAGGTCAGGTGCGTTCACCACGGGTTTGGCTTCGCCGCAATGGGAAAGCAGCTCCGTTCCAATGAAACTTTATCTAGAAACACTCGGCAGGCTGGATTTGGCCTTGAGTCATGGTTTTCTGAGGATTCTAGACCAAGACAAGCCCAGAAGCTGCGGAATTCGGGAGGACGTTGGAGTGCAGCCTCCATAGTGGTTCCTTCCCCCTCCGCGGTGAGCGCGGGCCGGGGGCGCAGAGCTGAGTCCGGTGCCGGAGGTGACTCGGTGGCTGAGTTCCAGGGGCCCGGGCTCGCGGCCTAGGAGAGGTGGCAGGAAAAGCAGGCCTGGGCGTCCTCGGCGGCGGAGAGCTCCGCGGAAAGGCCATGCGGGGGGACCCGGCGTCCTGCCTTGAGTGTCCCCAGCAGGGCTGGAGCCTGGCGGTCAGGGATGAAGGGCGTGTCCGTGCCCAGGGCGGGTTGCCGGCTCCCAGCCCTGCAAGGCCAAGCTCAGGCCACTGTCCCGGAGGCCTTTCCACGGAGCAGCAGAGAAGCTGGCCAGGACCACGCCGCAGGAGCCTTTTTAAAACTCAAGTCCACTGACGGCCTCCACCGGAGCTGCTCAGCACCGGCCCTGGTTCCCCTGGCGCCGACCTCCTCGGCCTCACTTGTGGGGGACGCGGAGCACTGGGCATCTGGAGGGCCGGGGCACGGAGAGAGGCTGACCCAGCGAAGGGTGCTGGATTCACCACGGTGAGCCCCAAAGATGCCCGCTGGCAGCTTCCAAGAAAATGCTCATGAAAAACTCTGGCCTTGCCTCCACGCGTCAGCCTCGCCTCTGTCCTCCTCCCCAGCGAACCCACCCTCCTTCAGGCATGTTATTTCCAGACTCAGCCTGGGATCCAATGTGTGATCTAACCTTTGCCCTGCACCCCTCACTGACATCAGGCTGAGCGGTCCTGCCTCTGAGCCACCAGGAAGTACTGAGAGGGTATAAGCGAGATCTCCCAATAAGAATTTTTTTCATAACAACAAATAGTATGCTGTCTGCATTGTTGTATTTTTTTTCCATTTTCCAAGGAGATTTTCCAGAAAAGCAAACATTTTCTTCCAAAAATGGAATGTTTTTTTCTTTTATTTTGTTTATTTATTTTGGCTGCTTATTTCATTTTATTATTTGGCTGTTACACTACATATATATACATAGTGTAACTATATAGTGTAACTACTGATGTTGTATGTTGATTTTATATCCTGCAACTTTACAGAATTTATCAGTTCTAATAGTTTTTTAGGTGGAGTCTTTAGGTTTTTCCAAATATAAGATCATATAATCTGCAAACATATATATATATATATATGCTGAATTAAATATTTTGGTACAGGCATGCAATGCTTCATAATCATATCATAGAAAATTAGATATCCCTCCCCTCAAGAATTGTTACAAACAATCCAATTATACTCTTTTAGTTACTTTAAAATTTGCGATTAAATTAAATGATTATTGACTATAGTCCTCCTGTTATGCCTACAAGTACTAGGTCTTATTCCTTTTTTCTATGTTTTTTGTACCCATTAACCATCCCCTCCTACCTCCCTCACCCCGCACACCACTACCCTTCCAAGACTGTGGTAACCATTTTTTCTACTCTCTATCTCTATGAGTTCAATTGTTTTGATTTTTAGATTCCACAAATAAGTGAGAGCATGTGATGTTTATGTTTCTGTGCCTGTCTTATTTCACTTAATATAATGACCTTCATTTCCATCCATGTTGTTGCAAATGACAGAATCTCATTTTTCTTTATGGCTGAATAGTACTCCATTGTGTATATGTACCACATTTTCTTTATCCATTCATCTGATAATAAACACTTAGGTTGCTTCCAAATCTTAGCTATTGAAAACAGTGCTGCAACAAACATGGAGGTCAGTTGTGTCTTTGATATACTGATTTCTTTTCTTTTGAGTATATACGCATCAGTGGGATTGCTGGATCATAAGGTAGCCTCTATTTTTAGTTTTTGAGGAACCTCTAAACTGTTCTCCATAGTGGTTGTACTAATTTACATTCCCACCAACAGCGTATGAGGGTTCCTTTTTCTCCACATCCTCATCAGCATTTGTTATTGCTGAGTTTTGGATAAAAGCCATTTTATCTGGGGTGAGATGACGACTTATTGTAGTTTTAATCTGCATTTATCTAATGGTCAATGATATTGAGTACCTTTTCATATACCTGTTTGCCATTTGTATATCTTGTTTCCAAAAATGTCTATTCAAATATTTTGCCCATTTTTAAATCAGTTTATTAGTTTTTTTTTTCCCTATAGAGTTGATTAAGTTCCTTGCATACTCCGGTTATTAATCCCATGACAGGTGGGTAGTTTGTAAATATTTTCTCCCACTCTGTGGGTTGTCTCTTCACTTTGTTGATTGTTGCCTTTGCTGTGCAGAAGCTTTTTTACCTGATGTGATCCCATTTGTCCATTTTTGCTTGGTTGCCTGTGCTTGTGGGGTATCATTCAAGAAAATTTTGCCAAGGCCAATGTCCCAGTGAGCTTCCTCAATGTTTTTTGTAGTAGTTTCATAGTCTGAGGTCTTGGTTTTAAGTCTTTAATCCATTTTTTATTTGATTTTTATATATGATGAGGGATAAGGATCTAGTTTCATTCTTCTGCATACAGATATCAAGTCCTTTCTGCACCATTTATTGAAAAGACTGCCTTTTTCCCCATGTATGATTTTGGCACCTTTGTCAAAAAATGAGTTCACTGTAGGTGTGCGGACGTGTTTCTGGGTTCTCTATTCTGTTCCATTGGTCTATGTGTCTGTTTTCATGCCAGTACTTTGCTGTTTTGGTTACTATACCTCTGTAGTATAATTTGAAGTCAGGTAATGTGATTCCTCTAGTTTTATTCTTTTTGCTCAGGATAGCTTTGTCTATTCTGGGTCTTTTGCGATTCCATGTGAATTTTAGGACTGTGAAGAATGTCATTGGTATATTCATAGGGATGGCATTGAATCTGTAGATTGCTTTGGATAATATGAACATTTTAACAATGTTGAGTCTTCCAATCCATGGACATAAAATATTTTTCCATTTTCTATCTGTCCTCTTCAATTTATTTCATCAGTGTTTTATAATTTTCATTGTAGAGATCTTTCACTTTTTTGATTAATTCCTAGGCATTTAATTTTATTTGTGGCTATCATAAATGAGATTACTTTCTTATTCTTTTTCAGATTGTTCACTGTTGGCATATAGGTATGCCACTGATTTTTGTATATTGATTTTATATCCTTCAACTTTACAGAATTTATCAGTTCTAATAGTTTTTTAGGTGGAGTCTTTAGGTTTTTCCAAATATAAGATCATATAATCTGCAAACAAAGATAATTTGACTTCCACCTTTCCAATTTGGATGCCCTTTATTTCTTTCTCTTATTTGATTGCTCTAGCTAGGAAATCCAGAGCAATGTTGAATAACTGTGGTGAAGGTATATATCCTTGTCATTTTCCAGATCTGAGAGGAAAGGCTTTCAGTTTTTCCCCATTTAGTATGATACTAGCTGTGAGTCTGTCATATATGTCTTTTATTATGTTGAGATATTTTCCTTCTATATCCACTTTTTTGAGGGTTTTTATCATGACGAGATGTTGAACTTTATCAGATACATTTGCAGCATCGATTGAAATGATCATACGGTTTTTGTCTTTTATTCTGTCAATATGATGTACCACATTGATTGATTGGAATATGTTAAACCATCCTTGCATCCCTGGGATAAATCCTACTTGATCATGATCAATGATCTTTCTTAACACAGTGTTGAATTTTGTTTGCTAGTATTTTGTTGAGAATTTTGGCATCAATATTTATCAGAAATATTGGACTGTAGTTTTCTTTTTAGGATGTGTCTTTGTCTGGTTTTGGTATCAGGTAAAATACTGGCCTCATGGAATGAATTTGGAAGTATCCCCTCCTTTATTTCTTGGAACAGTTTGAGTAGGACTGGTATTAGTTCTTTACATGTTTGGTAGAATGTAACAGTGAAGTCATCAAGTCCTTGGCATTTCCTTATTGAGAGACTTTTTATTATGGCTTCAATCTCCCTACTTGTTATTGGTCTGTTTTGGATTTCTTTATAGCTCAATCTTAGGTTGTATATGTCTAAGAATTTATCCATTTCTTCTAGATTTTCCAATTTATTGGCAAATAATCATTCATAGTGGCCACTAATGATCCTTTGAATTTCTGTGGTATCAGTTGTAATGTCTCCTTTTTTTGTCTCTGGTTTTGTTTATTTGGGTCTTCTCTCTCTCTTTTTGGTCTGGCTAATGGTTTGTCCATAATTTTATCTTCTAAAAAAACCAATTTTTTGTTTCATTGATGTTTTGTGTTTTTTTTCTTCATTTCAAATTATTTATTCTTCTTCAATCCTTATTTCTTTTCTCCTAATTTTGGGTTCAGTTTGCTTTTGCTTTTGTAGTTCTTTTTTTTTGAGATGGAGTCTCACTCTGTTGCCCAGGCTGGAGTGCAGAGGCACGATCTCGGCTCACTGCTGCAAGCTCCGCCTCCCGTGTTCACGCCATTCTCCTGCCTCAGCCTCCAGAGTAGCTGGGACTACAGGCGCCTACCACCACACCTGGCTACTTTTTTTGTATTTTTAATAGAGATGGAGGGTTTCACCATGTTAGCTAGGATGGTCTTGATCTCCTGACCTCATGATCCACCTGCCTTTGCCTCCCAAAGTTCTGGGATTACAGGCATGAGCCAGCACGCCCGGCCGCTTTTGTAGTTCTTTAAGATGCATCATTAGGTTATTTATTTGAAGCTTTTCTTCTTTAATGATGTAGGCACTTACAGCTATAAATTTCCCTTTTAGTGCTGTTTTCACTATATCCCACAGGTTTTGGTATGTTGTGTTTTCATTATTATTTGTCTCAAGAAATTTTTCAATTTCCTTCTAAATTTCTTCATTGACCCACTGGTCATTCGAGCATATTACTTAATTTCCATGTATTTGTATAGTTTCCAAAATTCCTCCTCTTATTATTTTCTAGTTTTATTCCATTGTGGTCAGAAAAGGAGTTTGATATTATTTCAGTTGTTAAAAATGTTTTAAGACTTGTTTTGTCACCTAATATATGATCTACCCTTGAGAATGATCCATGTGCTGAGGAGAAGAATGTGTATTCTGAAGCCAATGTAGGAAAAGCTCTGTAAGTATATAAGTCAATTTTTCCTATAGTGCAGATTAAGTCTGATGTTTCTTTGTTGATTTTCTATCTGGGAGATGTGTCCAATGCTAAAGTGGGGTGTTGAAGTCTCCAACTATTATTGGGGTCTATCTCTGTCTTTAGTTATAATAATATTTGCTGTATATATCTGGGTGCTCCAGTGTTGGGTACATATATATTTATAATCATTATATCTTCATGATGAATTGACCTCTTTATCATTATATAATAACATTTTTTGTCTCTTCTTATGATTTTTGTCTTGAAATCTATTTTTTTCTGATTTAAGTATAGCTACTCATATTCTTTCTTGGTTTCCATTTGCATGGAATAACATTTTCCTATGCTTTATTCTCAGTCAAGGTTTATCTTTTCAGGTGAAGTGTGTTTCTTGTAGGCAACAGGTCATTGGGTTTGGTTTTTTTTTTTTTTTCATCCATTCAGCCACTCTGTGTCTTTTGATTAGAGAGTTTAGTCCATTTACATTTAAGGTTATTATTGATAATTAGGGACTTACTCCTGCCATTTTATTATTTGTTTTCTGGTTGCTTTGCAATCTTCTCTTTCTTCTTTCCTGTCTGCCTTCCTTTTAGTGTAGGTGATTTTCCCTGGTGGCATGCTTTAATTTCTTGTTTTTTAAAAAAATTTTGTGTATCCATTGTATGTTTTTTGATTTGAGGTTACCAGAAGACTTGCAAATACTATCTTATAACCAATTCTTTTAAACTGATGAAAACATACCACTCATTGCATATACAAACATACAAAAAGAAAACTAATAACTCTACATTTTAACTTTGACCCCCTCCTTTTTAACTTTTTGTTGTTTCTCTTTATGTCTTACTGTATTATCTGTGTCTTGAAAAGTTGTCATAGTTTTTATTTTTGATTGATTCATCATTTAGTCTTTCTACTTAAGACGAGTAGTTTACACACCATTACAGTGTTATATTATTTTGTGTTTTTTGTGTGCTTAGTATTGGTGGTGAGTTTTGTACTTTCAGATAATTTCTTCTTGCTCATTAACATCCTTTTTTCAGATTAAATAACTCTCTTTAGGATTTCTTGTAGGACTGGTTTGGTGTTGATGAAATCCCTCAGCTTTTGCTTGGAAAGGTCTTTATTTCTCTCTCATGCTTGAAGGATATTTTTGCCAGGTATACTATTCTAGACTAAAAGTTTTTTTTCCTTCAGCACTTTAAATATGTCATGCTGCTCTCTCCTGGCCTGTAAAGATTCCACTGAAAAGTCTTCTGCCAGATGTATTAGAGCTCCATTATATGTTATTTGTTTCTCTTTCTCTTGCTGCTTTTAAAATCCTTTATTTATCCTTGCCCTTTGGGAGTCTGATTATTAAATACCCTGAGACAGTCTTCTTTGAGTTAAATCTGCTTGGTGTTCTATAACCTTCTCGTACTTGAACGTTAATCTTTCTGTAGGTTTGGGAGGTTCTCTCTGATATTATCCCTTTGAATAAACTTTCTGCCCCTATGTCTTTCTCTGCCTCCTCTTTAAGCCTGATAACTCTTAGATTTGCCCTTTGGAGGTTTTTTCCTAGATCTTGTAGGCACGCTTTATTGTTTTTTATTTTTTTATTTTTTCTCCTCTGTGTGTCTTCTCAAATAACGTGTCTTCAAGCTCACTAATTGATCAATTCTGCTATTAAGAGACTCTGATCCATTCTTCAGCACTTTTCAGTTGCACTTTTCAACTCTAGAATTTCTGCTTGATTCTTTTTAATTATTTCAATTTCCTTGTTAAATTTAACTGATAAAATTATGAATTTATTTTCTGTGTTACCTTGAATTTCTTTGAGTTTCCTCAAAAGAGCTATTTTGAATTCTCTGTCTGAAAGGTCATATATATCCGTTTCTCTAGGATTGGTCCCTGGTGCCTTATTTAGTCCATTTGATGAAGTCATGTTTTCCTGGATGGTGTTGATGCTTGTAGATGTTCGTCAGTGTCTGGGCATTGAAGAGTTAGGTATTTATTGTAGTCTTCACAGTTTGGGCTTATTTGTATCTGTCCTTCTTGGGAAGGATTTCCAGGGATTTGAAGGGACCTGGGCCCCAAGCCCAATAATGCTGTGGTTTTTGTAGACTCATAGAGGTACTTCCTTGGTGGTCTTGGATAAGATCCAGAAGAATTCTCTGGATTACCTGGCAGAGATTCTTATTCTTTTCCCTTACCTTTCCCCAAACAAATGAAGTTTCTCTCTCTCTCTGTTGAGCCGCCTGGAACTGGGGGTGGAGTGACATAAGCACCCCTGTGACCACCACCACTGGTACTGTGCTGGCTGAAACCTGAAGCTTGCATATCACTGGCTCTTGCCCAAGGCCATTCCCTTCAGGGTAGTGAGTTCTCCCAGGCCCTGGGCATGTCCAGAGATGCTGCCTGGGAGCCAAGGATTAGAGTAAAAAACCGTAGCAGTTTACCATATATCCTATTCTACTGTGGCTAAGCTGGCTCTCATACTACAATACAAAGTCTTTCCTGCTTTTCCTCCCCATTCCATAGGCAGAAGAACCTTTCCCTGTGGCCGCCACCACCACTGGTCCACAGGGGTTCTGCAAGGCCACCACTGATGTTCACTTAAAGCCCAAAGGCTCTTCCACCAGATTGTGGTGAATGTTTCCAGGCCTGGGATTCACGCTTCAGGGCAGTGGGCTTCCCTCTCACTCATGGTAGGTCCAGAAATCCTGCCTGAAAGCCTAGGCCTGGACTCAGGGACCCCAAGAGTCTGTTTGTTACTCTAACCTACTGTGTTCAAGCTGATACCTAAGGTGCAAAATGAAGTCCCCTTCGATTTTCACTCTGCTTTTCTCGAACTGAAGGAATCTTTCAGCATAGCCTCCCCAGCTGGGAGTGCTCTGGGCCACTAGTTAAGCCAGCACGTCTCAGAGCCTAAGGCTCACAGTGTACTCCCTGGGTATTGCTGCTGGTTATTCAGGCACCAAGGCTTTTTAGCAGATAATAAATCTTGCCAGGACTGGGTCCTTCTCCTCAAGGCAGTGGGTTCTTTTTTGGCCCAAAGTGCATCTAGAAATGTCCAGGAGATAGGGTCTGGAAGGGAGGTCTCATGACTTTGCCCCGTGCCCTATCTTACTGTGGTTGAACTGGTATCCAAGGTGCAAGACAAAGTCCTCTTTAGTCTTCACTCTCCCCTCCTTAAGCAGAAGGAAGGAGTCATTGTCATTGCTATGAGCTGTGCTGCCTGGGTTTGGGGGAGGGGTGGTGCAAGCACTCCCTTAGCCACCCTAGGTCATCTGTCACCCTAGTCCACTGGCTCTAAGCCCAGCCTTAGAATTGCAGTCCTAGGAATTGTAGTCCTTGTATCCTAGACTACCTTTCAAGTTTATTTAGAACCCCAGAGCACTTCAGCCCACAGTGGAAAAGCTTGCCAAGAAATTCAAGTTCTCACTGCTGGCATGGGCAATTTTCCTCTGGCTAGGGCTGCTCCAAATGCTTCCTCCATGCGTCGGTGCTGCTGAGCCCACCATTCTCTGCTGTGACTGGGCAGCACTGAGTTCAATGTAAAGTTTTCCAGTCGCTGTGCTTTCCCTCCACAGAGTGCCTAAACTCTGTGCCACATGGGTGCTGCCCAGGGGCTGGGGGAAGGGTGACAGCAGTCCTCAAGATTGTCTCTCCTGCCCTCCTTCATGCCTTTTTCAGTGATATGAAGTTAAAACCAGATACTGTGATTCCTCACCTGATATTTGGTTCTCGTGATGGAGCTTTTCTGCGTGCAGATAATTGTTAAAATATGGTGTTCCAAGGCCGGGTGTTGTGGCCCATGCCTGTAATCCCAGCACTTTGGGAGGCTGAGATTAGCAGATCACTTGAGGCCAGGAGTTCAAGACCAGCCTGGCCAACATGGCAAAAACCCACGTCTACTAAAAATACAAAAATTAACTCAATGTGGTGCCTCATGCCTGCAATCCCAGCTACTTGGGTGGCTGAGGCACAAGAATCACTTAACCCAGGAGGTAGAGGCTGAAGTGATCTTAGATCACACCACTGCACTCCAGCCTGGGCAACAGAACAAGACTCTGTCCAAAACAAAAACAAAAACAAAACAACAACAACAACAAAAAAAATATGGTGTTCTATGGTGTTCCGGCAGGGGGAATGAATGGTGTAGGTTTCTATTCCATCATCTTACTCTGCCAGAATTTTTAAATATATGTATATAAAAGCATAGAAATTGCTTTCTCACTAAGAAGAACTTCTAGTGTTTTGTCACGTTTGGTCTATTTTGGGAATATAGATTACATTTTCTGCCATTTATCTTGGATTCTTTATATTGAATATATTCTCCTTACTGTTAAGATATGTCACTAAAAATAACTCTATGATGGTTAATTTTATGTGTCAACTTGAGTGAACCATGGGATGCCCAGGTATTTGGTTAAACATTATCCTGAGTGTTCTCACGAGGGTGTTTCAGGAAGACACTGGCGTTTGAGTAGAGGACTGGGTGAGGCAGATGGCCCTCCCTAATTTGGGTGGGCATATTCATTTCCCTGAGGGCCTGAATAGAATTGAAAGTGGAAGAGTGCTGTATTCTCTGCCTGGCTGCTTGAGCTGGAACATCCATCTTCTCTGGGTGTTCCTGGCTCTCAGGCCTTCAGACTTGGACTGGAATCTACACTATTGGTTCTCTGGCTCTAGGCCTTTGAACTTGACCATTGACTTCCCTGGGTCTCCAACTTGCAGACAGAAGATTGTGGGAATTCTCGGCTTCAGTAATCATGTTAGCCAATGTCTTATAATCAATCTATTTGTCCATGTGTGCATGTGTATCTCCTATTGTCTGTTTCTCAAGAGAACCCTGACTAATACACTCTCTAAATGTAAGTCAGAAAATGTGCTGTTAGAGCTAGCTAATAATTTCAGAAGAAATTGCCACTCTGGGAACCAACTTCTTTTTAAAGGTTTGTATTTTGTTTGAGCAATAGAAGCTGTTGACATATTCTGAGAATTAGAAAAAAATAACTATGCTGAGAGAGACTTGTTTCTCTTCTGACTGCATATGTATTAAGAAATTAGATTAATATGCATTAGTTTTCTCCTTAGATTCAAGTTAACAGAAAAGAAAAACAAGAGAAACCAAGTGTTCTCCCTCTATAAGAACATGATATTGCACTTAACCTATATATTTAACAAATATATTTTAAATCAAACAGCAAATATTTACTGGGCATCAATTATGCACTCATATTCAAATTGCTTATAATTTAATAGGGGAAATATAGTTATATGCAAATCAAATCACAATATAATATTGTGTCATATTGAAATGGGAAATTTCACTTGACCCCTTCATGGGCCTTGAGATTGAGGTGCCTCACTTAGCCTGCATGAGCCTTGAGATTGAGGTGCCTCACTTAGCCTGCATGGGCCTTGAGATTGAGGTGCCTCACTTAGCCTGCATGGGCCTTGAGATTGAGGTGCCTCACTTAGCCTGCATGGGCCTTGAGATTGAGATGCTTCACTTAGCCTGCATGAGCCTTGACATTGAGGTGCCTCACTTAGGCTACATGAGCCGTGAGGTTGAGGTGCCTCACTTAGCCTGCATGAGCCTTGAGGTTGAAGTGCCTCACTTAGGCTGCATGAGCCTTGACATTGAGGTGCCTCACTTAGCCTGCATGAGCCTTGAGGTTGAGGTGCCTCACTTAGCCTGCATGGGCCTTGAGGTTGAGGTGCCTCACTTAGCCCGCATGGGCCTTGAGGTTGAAGTGCCTCACTTAGGCTGCATGAGCCTTGAGGTTGAGGTGCCTCACTTAGCCTGCATGAGCCTTGAGGTTGAGGTGCCTCACTTAGCCTGCATGGGCCTTGAGATTGAGATGCTTCACTTAGCCTGCATGAGCCTTGACATTGAGGTGCCTCACTTAGGCTACATGAGCCGTGAGGTTGAGGTGCCTCACTTAGCCTGCATGAGCCTTGAGGTTGCAGTGCCTCACTTAGGCTGCATGAGCCTTGACATTGAGGTGCCTCATTTAGCCTGCATGAGCCTTGAGGTTGAGGTGCCTCACTTAGCCTGCATGAGCCTTGAGGTTGAGGTGCCTCACTTAGCCTGCATGAGCCTTGAGGTTGAGGTGCCTCACTTAGCCTGCATGGGCCTTGAGGTTGAGGTGCCTCACTTAGCCTGCATGAGCCTTCAGGTTGAGGTGCCTCACTTAGGCTGCATGGGCCTTGACATTGAGGTGCCTCACTTAGGCTGCATGGGCCTTGAGATTGAGGTGCCTCACTTACCCTGCATGGGCCTTGAGATTGAGGTGCCTCACTTAGCCTGCATGAGCCTTGAGATTGAGGTGCCTCACTTAGCCTGCATGAGCCTTGAGATTGAGGTGCCTCACTTAGCCTGCATGGGCCTTGAGATTGAGGTGCCTCACTTAGCCTGCATGGGCCTTGAGATTGAGGTGCCTCACTTAGCCTGCATGGGCCTTGAGATTGAGATGCTTCACTTAGCCTGCATGAGCCTTGACATTGAGGTGCCTCACTTAGGCTACATGAGCCGTGAGGTTGAGGTGCCTCACTTAGCCTGCATGGGCCTTGAGGTTGAGGTGCCTCACTTAGCCCGCATGGGCCTTGAGGTTGAAGTGCCTCACTTAGGCTGCATGAGCCTTGAGGTTGAGGTGCCTCACTTAGCCTGCATGAGCCTTGAGGTTGAGGTGCCTCACTTAGCCTGCATGGGCCTTGAGATTGAGATGCTTCACTTAGCCCGCATGAGCCTTGACATTGAGGTGCCTCACTTAGGCTACATGAGCCGTGAGGTTGAGGTGCCTCACTTAGCCTGCATGAGCCTTGAGGTTGCAGTGCCTCACTTAGGCTGCATGAGCCTTGACATTGAGGTGCCTCACTTAGCCTGCATGAGCCTTGAGGTTGAGGTGCCTCACTTAGCCTGCATGAGCCTTGAGGTTGAGGTGCCTCACTTAGCCTGCATGGGCCTTGAGGTTGAGGTGCCTCACTTAGCCTGCATGAGCCTAGAGGTTGAGGTGCCTCACTTAGCCTGCATGAGCCTTGAGATTGAGGTGCCTCACTTAGGCTGCATGGGCCTTGACATTGAGGTGCCTCACTTAGGCTGCATGGGCCTTGAGATTGAGGTGCCTCACTTAGCCTGCATGGGCCTTGAGATTGAGGTGCCTCACTTAGCCTGCATGAGCCTTGAGATTGAGGTGCCTCACTTAGCCTGCATGAGCCTTGAGATTGAGGTGCCTCACTTAGCCTGCATGAGCCTTGAGATTGAGGTGCCTCACTTAGCCTGCATGAGCCTTGAGATTGAGGTGCCTCACTTAGCCTGCATGGGCCTTGAGATTGAGGTGCCTCACTTAGCCTGCATGAGCCTTGAGATTGAGGTGCTTCACTTAGCCTGCATGGGCCTTGAGATTGAGGTGCCTCACTGAGCCTGTATGAGCCTTGAGATTGAGGTGCCTCACTCAGCCTGCATGGGCCTTGAGATTGAGATGCTTCACTTAGCCTGCATGAGCCTTGAGATTGAGGTGCCTCACTTAGCCTGCATGAGCCTTGAGATTGAGGTGCCTCACTTAGGCTGCATGGGCCTAGAGGTTGAGGTGCCTCACTTAGCCTGCATGAGCCTTGAGGCTGAGGTTCCTCACTTAGGCTGCATGGGCCTTGAGATTGAGGTGCCTCAGTTAGCCTGCATGAGCCTCGAGATTGAGGTGCCTCATTTAGCCTGCATAAGCCTTGAGATTGAGGTGCCTCACTTAGGCTGCATGGGCCTTGAGGTTGAGGTGCCCCACTTAGCCTGCATGAGCCTTGAGATTGAGGTGCCTCACTTAGCCTGCATGGGCCTTGAGGTTGAGGTGCCTCACTTAGGCTGCATGAGCCTTGAGGTTGAAGTGCCTCACTTAGCCTGCATGAGCCTTGAGATTGAGGTGCCTCACTTAGCCTGCATGGGCCTTGAGATTGAGATGCTTCACTTAGCCTGCATGAGCCTTGACATTGAGGTGCCTCACTTAGGCTGCATGAGCCTTGAGGTTGAAGTGCCTCACTTAGCCTGCATGAGCCTTGAGATTGAGGTGCCTCACTTAGCCTGCATGGGCCTTGAGATTGAGATGCTTCACTTAGCCTGCATGAGCCTTGACATTGAGGTGCCTCACTTAGGCTACATGAGCCGTGAGTTTGAGGTGCCTCACTTAGCCTGCATGAGCCTTGAGGTTGAAGTGCCTCACTTAGGCTGCATGAGCCTTGACATTGAGGTGCCTCACTTAGCCTGCATGAGCCTTGAGGTTGAGGTGCCTCACTTAGCCTGCATGAGCCTAGAGATTGAGGTGCCTCACTTAGCCTGCATGAGCCTTGAGATTGAGGTGCCTCACTTAGGCTGCATGGGCCTTGAGATTGAGGTGCCTCACTTAGCCTGCATGGGCCTTGAGATTGAGGTGCCTCACTTAGCCTGCATGGGCCTTGAGATTGAGGTGCCTCACTTAGCCTGCATGGGCCTTGAGATTGAGGTGCCTCACTTAGCCTGCATGGGCCTTGAGATTGAGGTGCCTCACTTAGCCTGCATGAGCCTTGAGGCTGAGGTTCCTCACTTAGGTTGCATGGGCCTTGAGATTGAGGTGCCTCAGTTAGCCTGCATGAGCCTCGAGATTGAGGTGCCTCACTTAGCCTGCATGGGCCTTGAGATTGAGGTGCCTCACTTAGGCTGCATGGGCCTAGAGGTTGAGGTGCCTCACTTAGCCTGCATGAGCCTTGAGGCTGAGGTTCCTCACTTAGGCTGCATGGGCCTTGAGATTGAGGTGCCTCAGTTAGCCTGCATGAGCCTCGAGATTGAGGTGCCTCACTTAGCCTGCATAAGCCTTGAGATTGAGGTGCCTCACTTAGCCTGCATGGGCCTTGAGATTGAGGTGCCTCACTTAGCCTGCATGGGCCTTGAGGTTGAATTGCCTCACTTAGGCTGCATGAGCCTTGAGGTTGAAGTGCCTCACTTATCCTGCAGTTCTCAACTGCTCGAGGGAGGGTGTTTTGGTCCATTTTCACACTGCAGGTAAAGACATACCCAAGACCGGGCAATTTACAAAAGAAGGAGGTTTAATCGGACTTACAGTTCCACATGGCTTGGGGAGGCCTCACATCCTGGCAGAAGGCAAGGAGGAGCAAGTCACATCTTACGTGGATGGTGGCAGGCAAAAAAGAGAGTTTGTGCAGAGAAACTCTTGTTTTTAAAGGTATCAGATCTCATGAGACCCATTCACTATGGCAAGAACATCAGAGGAAAGACCTGCCCCTATGATTCAGTCGTCTCTCACCCGGTCCCTCCCACAACACAAGAGAATTATGGGAGTTACACGACGAGATTTGGGTAAGGACACGGAGCCAAATCATATCAGAGGGTGTGCACACAGGTGAATGGGTGCAGGAGCCAGAGCGAGCACTTTTGGATGCCAGTGGGAGCAAAACTTCGTGTGGCCCTGCAGCAGTGTCTGGGGGGGTACCCACAATCCCTGAAGCCCTAGAGGGTGTGTGTTACAATGCACTCTTTTAGCTTTGCCATCTATGGATGGCTTAAGTGTTAATAGCTCAGCATAGGGTCAGTGTGACTGCCTTTTGAACCCATACCTGAGTCCTTTTTCAGTGTCCAGGAGGATTGAGGTCGCAGAAACAAATTGAGTGGTGATGAATGCGGAGGATTTTATTGCTGATGAGACTGGCTCTCAGTGGGAAAGAAAGCTGGAAGGGGGATGGGGTGGGAGGGTGACGTTCCCCTGGAGTTTGGCCGTCTCTAGCTAGACTGGAAGGGGGATGGGGTGGGAGGGTGACGTTCCCCTGGAGTTCGGCCGTCTCTAGCTAGACTGGAAGGGGGATGGGGTGGGAGGGTGATGTTCCCCTGGAGTTCGGCTGTCTCTAGCTAGACTCTTCTCTAAAGTCCTACCATCAAGCCATCCCTCCGAAATCAAGCTGCTTCTCTCTGATGTATGGCTTCTTCTTTTCTTCTCTCCTTCTCTCTGCCCTCTGCCAGTCAGGTCAGGAGTTTTAATGGGTACAGAATGGGGAGTGGGGTGGGCCATGGATGATTTTGGAAAAGGCACAATTTGAGCAGGAAAACAGGGATGTAATGTTCTCACTGGGCCACAGTAACAAGATTGAGGGTGGGGCCATGGCCAGGGACCCCACCCTTTTCTGCCTAGAATTTCTCTGCTTTCTGTTCCTATCGTCCCCCTACCCCCACACCGAAGAGTCACATCAAACTGCAATTAGAATATAGATGATGAGCAGTCTTAGCTACTTTCTGCTGACAGTGGGCATTGTTTTGGGGAGAATGGCAGTCAGATTCCTCCCAGAGGTCTACCTAAGGGTCCCTGGCAAAAATCATCTAAAGCTTTGGTTGCCTGACAGTTTGGAGTTTGATGGACTCTAGGCAAGAAGAAACAAGTTCTACAAGGTTAAGTATGCAGGATCAAATATATGTATTATACAAAAAGGGGTTAAAAGGAAAGAATTTAGTGTCGAAGATTACAGAAATAACAAGTGAAATGTGGTAAACATTCTGAAAACAGCAGTGTACCCCATGATATAGAGCAGAACAAAGGTAAAAACAGCAAACATTGGCAAGACTACAGAGGATATCCATGGAAGATGAATTGTGAACACTAATCTTTTGTGGTTTTTAGCTTGAGATCACCAATCTCTTCACACTGGTACTTTGGGTGCTCTTCTGGGTCGATGGAGGTAACTCCATTGGCCTCCCAGGCCTTTACTTGGGTATAATGAATCCAAGAGTCTATTCCAGTGACCCTCACTGTAGTAGGAGTAGAAAGAAGTAGTGTAAGGTTCCTTCCAATCTGAGCTTAGAGAAGATTAAAGGGAAGGTAGTACCTTTAGCAGCACCAGGTCTCCTGGGTTGAATAGAAGTGGCTCTGGTTCATGGGATTGGGCCTCTGACAGATATTTTAGTTCCTGTTGGAAATGAGCTAAAAAAGTAATGTGTTTAATAAAATCAGAAGTTTCTTGGTCTAGCAAGAAATCATTGCTGAGAAAAGGCTGTCCATACATCATTTCAAAGACACTTACACCCAGCTTTGAAGGGGTGTTTCTAATACATAGTAGGGCTATGTAGAGAAGGGTAGTCCAGTGGACATAAGTCTCCTGAGACAGTTTCCTGGTGTGCCTTTTGATAATACCATTTGTCTTTTTCACCTTTCCTGAGAATTGTGGTCTCCAAGCACAATGAAAATGGTACTGTATGCCTAGTGCCTTTGAGACCCCCTGGGTGACAGCCACCTTGAACAAGGGGCCATTATTACTCTGGAGGTACTTAGAAAGTCTAAAATGAGGAATTATGTTATTGATTAGTACTTTTATCACCTCAGAGGCTTTCTCTGTTCAACATGGAAATGCTTCTACCCAGTTAGTGAAGGTATCTATCCATACTGAGAGATATTGGATGCCCCTTGCCTTTGACATGTGGGTGAAATCCATCTGCCAGTCTTCCACTGGGTAGCCTCCTATCTTTTGGGTTCCTGGGGGAAGAAGCCATCACTTGAGAGGATTATTTTTAAGGCAAGCCTCACAAGCATTAACAGCTTGTTTAACCATTTGTATCAGGTTTTTACCTGAGAACAATCTCTGGACCAATTTAGGTTTTTTTCTTACCTAGTGGAAGGCCTGAGGAAGGCTTTTAAGAACTTTCCGTTGGTTGGCAGCTAGTAGATGAGACTTGCTGTCCTTCAATTGTAGCCACCTGGAAGACTAAACGGTGTATCCATGAGAGGTGGCCCATTCTATTTCTGCAGCAGACTATTGAGGTTTTATTTCCCTGATTGGGCCCTCTCAGATGAGTGGACCTTCAAGTGGGTCAGAGACCTGGGGCCCCCTTGCTGCTGATTTAGCTGCTTGGTCTGTCAACCTATTTCCCTCAGCCACTTCATCCATTCTTTTTCAGTGGCCTTTACAATGTATTACTGTCACTTCCCATGGGAGGAAAACCAAGGATAATAGTCTATTAATTTTCTAATGGCATTTAATGGGAGACCCATTAGCTGTGAGGAAGTTTCTCTCTTTCCAGATAGTGGCATGGGCATGGAGGATTAGGAAATTGTACTTAGAATCAGTATAAATGTTAACTTCTTTCCCTTTGCTTAATGCAAGCCCCTCGATGAGGGCAATTAGTTCGGCTAATTGAGCACTTGTGCCGGAGGAGAGAGGTGTGCTCTCAGCAGTATCACTCAGGGTAACTATTGCATACCCTACTTTATATGTCCCTTGTTCTACAAAACAACTTCTGTCCCTAAAGAGAATCCAGTCTGGGTTCTCTAAGGGAGTTTCCTTGAGATTCTCCCTCAAGGGAGGGAGGAAGTCGGCTGGATTTAGGAAGGGACAGGTTCTTAATTGGACTGCAGATTCCTCTAATAGCAGAGCTTGATATCTGAGGAGATCGTTGTCCATTAGCCAGAGACTCTTCTTAGAAGACAGCAGTCCTGCCACATTATGTGGAATGTAAGCAGTGAAGTTATATCCCATGGTTAACTTAGTAGCCGCTGATACCAGCAAGGCTACAGCTGAAACCACCCAGAGGCAGGCTGGCCATCTTTTAGCTACCAAATCAAGCTCCTTACTTAGGTAGCCTACAGGCTGCTGGGCTGGACTGTGGGCCCGTGTTAGAACTCCCAGTGCCATTCCTTTTCTTTCTAACACTAAAGATTGAACATCTTCCCTATGGGGAGACCAAGGGCTCCCTTAAGCAAGGCTTGTTTTAGTTGGTCAAAGGCCTTTCTAGCCTCTGGTTCCCAAATTAGACAGTGAGTTTTAGCTGTCTGAGTCTCCTTTATTAGGTGGTATAAGGGCTGAGCTATTTCACCATACCCAGGTATCCATAGTCTGCAAAATGCTGTAATGCCTAAGAATCCCCTTAGTTGCTTGAAGGTTGTGGCGAGGGGAAAGGAAGAGATGGCCTTAATCCTTTTTTCACTGAATGCTTTGGTTCCCTCTGACAAGACCAGGCCTAGGTACTTCACTGAAGCTGGCAGAACTGAGCTTTAGATTTTTTTAAACCTTATATCCTCTGTTAGCCAAAAATTAAAAAGAGCCTTACTGCCCTCCTGAGAGATTTCCTCAGAGCACAGAGGAGAATGTCATCTACATATTATAAAAGTTTAACCTGAGGATAAAGGAACTCAGAGAGGTCCCTTGACAGTGTCTGTCCAAACAAGTGGGGGCCATCTCAGAATCCCTGAGGTAACACTGTCCAGGTTAACTGGGTGATTTGGTTAGAGGGATCCTCAAATGCAAATAAATACTGAGAGTTGGGGTGTAATGGTATGCAGAAGAAGGCATCCTTTAGATCCATGACTCTGAACCATTTAGTTCCCTCAGGTATTTGAGCTAGCAGAGTATATGCATTGGGAACCACCAGGTGAAATGAGGCAGAGGTCCCAAAGTAGCCTCCATTCCCTGCTGGGTTTTTGTACCCCCAGTATGGGGATATTACAAGGGATGTTGCAGGGTTTGAGGAGGCCCTGCAAACTTAAGTTATCAATGACGGCTTCGAGTCCTTTCCTAACTTCTGATTTCAGGGGATATTGTTTCTGGTTATGATTGGAGGAGGGATCTTTAAGGTGGGCCCACACAGGTATGGTGGTTGTGGCTTGGCCAATCTTCCCTTGAATTGCTCAAACTTCTGGGTTAGTATTGGTTTCCTCTAGGGGGAGACAAAGAGTTTGTCCTGGGCCATCAGAATGGTGGTCCCAATATGGGCCAGAATATCCCTGCTCAACAGAGGAGTTGGGCTTTCAGGCAATTAGAAAGTCACGGGTGAACAAGAGATCTCCCCAACTACAACTAAGAGCTTGGAAAAAAAATGGGTTAAAGGCTTTCCTGAGACACCCCTCATGGTTGTGCTAATGGAGGAGAGGGGGTCTGGATTGGAGAGGAGAACCAAGAGACCAGCCCCAGTGTCCAAAAGGAAGTCCACTTTCCTCTCTTCGAATTCCAGAATTACCTAGGGCTCCTGGATGGTAATGGTGGTCTGGACCACTGGAGCTGGGGAGAGGAGCCCCAGGACCCATCAGTTCTGCTGCTGGACCATTTGGGAGATTGGTTCTGGATCCAGTGACCAGTGTCCCTGGGGACAGTCAACCTTCCAGTGGTCCCCATTGCAGATTGGACAGGGTTGGAGTGGCTTCCTCATGCTGCCTAGGCAATCCTTAAAATGCCCCAGCTTACCACATCTGTAGCAGTTAACAGGTGCACCTTGGGAGTTCTGGGGTTTGTGGGCTTGCATGGTGACCATTAAGTCCTCTGCCTCTTTCCTGTGTTTCCTCTCTCTCTCTCCTGGGCCTCCCTATCTCTATTATAAAAGACTGAGGTGGCCACTTTCAGGAGGTTTTCTAAAGTACTATCTGGTCCAAGGGCCTGTTTCACAGCTTTCTCCTAATATCAGGGGCCGCCTAAATAATAAATTTATCTTTTAGGATTAGTTGCCTCTCAACTGAATCAGTAGATAGAGAGGTACTTTACCAAGGCCTCTCTTAGCCTTTCCCAGGAAGGTAGTGGGATTCTCGTCAAATATCTTGTCTCTCATAGATAGGTTGCTATAATTGAGAGGCTTGGTCCTAGTACTATGTAAGCCCTCCATTATACACACTTGAAAGTATCTCCTCTTCCATTCTCCCATCAGGCCTTTGGGATGCCATTTAGGGTCATCCACTGGTACTGCTTCTCTTCCATTTGGATAAAGTTTGACTCCTTCCCTGGCACTACATGTGATACAAAGCTCTTCCCCAAATTCCTTTACCACTTGCAGAGCAGTCTGCTTCTCCACTGTTAGTCAGGGTTTGATTCAAAAGTAACATAATGTCTTTCCAGAAGTGTTCAAATACTGAGGTTAAATTCTGGAAAGCCTCTATATATCTGTCAGGGTCATCTTAAAACTTGCCAGATCCCCCTTCATTTGCCTTCAGTCCTGTAGAGAGAGGGGACCTGGAACTTACTGGGGCCAAACTCGCCAGGCATCTGTTGGAAGGGCAAGAGTGAGACTGGGGCTTATCTAGGGTGAGGATTTCTAGGTGGGGGCAATTGAGAGAGAGAAGCTGGATAGGGAGGATGGGGTGGACCAGAAGAACAGGGCCAGAGGGAGCTGGCTCCTCTGCTGGAGGGGCCTCTAGGGTTAATTTCTTTAGTTCCCTGGGATTGCCCCTTGCAGCCTCTCCTGAGATGGCAAACAGAAGGGCTGGGTCAGTCCTAAACTGTCAGCAAAGGTCTGGATTACCCTGCAAGGTATAGAAAGCCTGCACGTATGGGGCCTCAGACCACTTGTCATCCTCAGGTTTACAGAAAAGGTCTAACTGTAGGTTGGTATTGAAATGAATGCTTCCTTCCTGAGGCCAAGCTAGCCCTTCCCACAGATCATAATTCAGCCAAATCTATGTGCAGAAGGCTATGAGGAATTTTTCCTCCAGAGTCTGAGGGTCAAAGCAGTCTCAGTGATTGAGGATCCACTCCAGGGAGTATAGACGGGGGGTGATGAAGATAGCTGGTTGCCCATTCTCAAAGATAGGGAGATAGGTGTCCCTCGTTTCCTTTGCTCCTTTCAGCAAAAACTTGGGGTGTGAGGGAGAGAGAATGTGGACATCCCCCTTTTCTCTTCTGTTTTTTTTTTTTTATCCCCAAGACTCAGTGACCTTAGATGGACACCATCCGTGGGTGCCATTGCGGCCAGCACCCATTAGGCAGGGAGGGCCTAGAGAGTAGGAGTTGTCTACACTCACCTATGCCTTCATCCCTCCTACTGTCAGCAACCTTTGGGTTACCTGGGCCCCATCTATGCCATGGAGCATGGCCTCCTCCCATGAAGCAGGGGCTTAATCATCAGGAAATAGTCCTGCCCATTTATACTGTGCCTGTTACCTTGCCTTGGATTTCTCCAATCTGGTTTTCCTTCTAGGGCTTCAACTAGAAGCTTGGAATCAAATTTGGGCCAAAAAGGTGTCTCAGGGGATGCGTGGGTCCATTTAGATTAATTCTCACACTGGTTTTGCCAAACTTGCAGTTCATAGTCGGTGGTGTCACTCCTTTGTTGCCTCCCTGTTATAAGCAGAGTGTTGAGGTAGGAGAAGAACCCTCTCGCATTGAAAAGGAAAGAAAAAAGAGGTTTAAGAGGGGGGAACTCTTGCTTTCTGCAAACGGGTTCCTTTAATCACTGCATCTCTCCCCCAGTTTGGACCAAGCTGAACTCCTTGGCCAGGGGAAGAAAGGCTCTGTGGGTGTATGGCAGGAGGGGATGGCGAGCAGGAAGCACTGGCCAGCTGGCTGTACAGGGTCCCTGGCCCCTGAGGCTGCCCTGGGGCCCGGGTGTCATGCATAGCTCACTCCCACTCTCACCTGGCTTGGCCACTGGGCACGACACATGCATGCAGTGGACATGCCCAGGCCCTCCAGCCGGGAGGGGAGCCACTGTGCACAGCATGTACCTGCAACTGTGGGGGTGGAGTGGGGATGGAACTGCTAAAAACAGACGGAAATCATATTGATCTGAATTGCTACCTGATGGCTGGGCCAGTCTCTCACTGTACTTAGTAACATGTCAGCAGTTTGCAGCAAAACCCTTAACACTATAAAAGAAGAGATAGGAGCCATTTCAAACCATGAAAGAAGGAAGGAAAGATACCATAGAAAAGTCTGGGGGTCTTGGCTGAACCTTAACAGGTGGTTGGGGACCAGGTTCAGTCATGTGGCCTTCTGGCAGCACCAAGGAGTGGCATTGGCCAGATGCCTTCAGTTGCCCCAGAACTTTATTCCAGTCCCATGCAATGGCTCCACTTTCATGAGGGGAAACAGAGCCAACATTCCTTTCACCTGAAAGAAACAGAGAGAGGGTACAGTTGCTTCCTGTCCCCTTCAAGTGCTTAGTTCAGAGGAAAGTCTGAAGACAGAAAGAAACAGATAGGGCAAATCTGCATTTACTCACCCTTGCAACGTACCCTGGGAAAGCCCCCAGATGAAATGCAAAATTTTCCTCGACCACTTCACGGGCCTCGAGACAGGGGTGCCTCATTTACTTGGCCTACAGCTCTCAACCCCCTGTGGGAGAGGGAGCGTGCAGGTGAGCAGGTGCAAAAGCTGCAGCAAGCACTTTTGGACACTGACAGGACCAAAACTCCATGCACCCTGGTGGTAACATCTAGGGGGTATGTACCCACGAACCTTGAAGCCTAAAAGGGCATACGTTACAGTGTGCTGTTTTATCTTTGCTGTCTGCAGATGGCTTAAGTGTTAACAGCTCAGTAGAAGATCAGTGTGACAGCCTTTTGCACCCACACCCAAGTCCTTGTCTGATGTCCAGGAGGAATGAGGTTGCACGAACAAATCGAATGGTGGTGAATGCAGAGGATTTTATTGCTGATGAAAGCAGCTTGCAGTGGGAAGGGGAGCTGAAAGGGGGATGGGGCAGGAAGGTGATCTTCCCCTGGAGTCTGGCCATCTCCAGGCAGACTCTTCTCTGAAGTCCTGCTGTCAAGCCATCCCTCAAAAGTCAAGCTGCTGCTCTTCGATGTCTGGCTGCTTTTTCTCTTCCCTCCTTCTCTCTGCCCTCTGCCAGTCAGGTCAGGGGCACAGGATGTGGGGTAGAGGCAGGCCATGGATGGTTTTTAAAAAGGCATCATTTGAGTGGGAAAAACAGAGATGTAAAGTTCTCTCTTTGGGCAGCAGTTCCAGGCTGGAAGGTGGGACCATTGCCAGAGACCCTGTCCTTTTCTGCCTAGAATTTCTCTGCATCCTGTGCCTATCAGTATTTTTCTAGTTATTGGGTGTAACACTATGCATGCACACAATATTTTACATTATTATTTTAATTTTATAAATGAGGAATCTAAGACTAGTAGAGATTAGAAAACTGCCTCAAATTGTCTGGGCGCAGTAGCTCACACCTGTAATCCCAGCACTTTGGGAGGCCAAGGCAGTTGGATCACAAGGTCAGGAGATCGAGACTATCCTGGCTAACATGGTGAAACCCCCATCTCTACTAAAAATACAAAAAATTAGCCAGGTGTGGTCGCACGCACCTGTAGTCCCAGCTACTCAGGCGGCTGAGGCAAGAGAATCACCCAGGAGGCGGAGGTTGCAGTGAGCCAAGATCGTGCCACTGCACTCCACCCTGGGTGACAGAGCGAGATTCCGTCTCAAAAAAAAAAAAAAAAGAAAGAAAAGAAAACTGACCCAAGTTTACATAGCAAGTGAATGTCTACTGTTGGTGCAGGCAGAGTTTAAATGTTTTTGAATTAGTTTCTAGTATTTCAGTATTAGACAATTTTTTATGCATGCTTGAATGAGGGGTTTCTAGTTAAAAAAAAAAAACGTAGCCCAGGAAGGGTGGCTGGCAGCTGAGCCCATGGGGCACAGGAGCTGAGTTGCACCAGCTGTTGCTCTGGGGTCCAAAAGGCAGGCCCACCCACCACTCTGAGGCCAACTGTCATGTGTACCTTCTCTGCAATGCAGCACGCATGAGGACAGTTCTGGTGGAGAGTGACCATCTCTCACACCAGTGTTCATCTCACACATGTCCACAATAAGACCAGGCTGGGCATTCCCTCAGGAATAGCCTCCTCTGAGTTTGGATCACATATATTCATCAGCAAATGTTTAATAGCGAGGTGTGAGTTCTTCATCAACAAAAACATGCTCTTTCATTCAGTAGCATTTAAAATAGAAGATACTGTTCTTCAGGTAGTTATTTTTACAATTCATTTTAGTAAAGATTTCTCAGGAATCTGATGACACCAATCTACAAGGTGGAACAATTTCTTTATATTATAACCTCTGGTCTTAATAGTTAGTTAGTTTCCCCTTCCCCCACATTGACTATCTTTTTGGTAATTACAGGACTCAGAAGTACTTTGTGTTGCCCTGGTTTAATTTTTTTTTTTTGTGGGTAGCTTTGAGCTTAGTGGCCTGAGCTGAAACAGACCCACATCTGAGCTTGGACCAGCCTTAAGGCTCAATCCAGCACTCTCTTTCATTTTCATTTCAGCTATTAGAGATAACAATGACCTAGGAATTAAATGTTTTGCTTTTTTTTTATTAGTTTGCATTTTTCATGTATTCAGTGAACTGACTCCCTGGGAGTGTGAGCCATCTGTCAATTCCCCTGGTAACTTTCCCCTTTCGTAACTGAGTGCAGCCCAGCTCAGCTGCATAGGACGGTTCACTACACGGACACCCAAGAGTAAAAGGTTTCTCATTCCCCACCCTTGTATCTTTTCTCTTTATCTATATAGTTTTATCTATACAACATTTCCTTTACTTTAAACTGACCCTTAAACAGCCTCTAAACTAGAAAAATTACATTTTCTTTACCAAAACCACAACTTCATGTTTTTATAAACCTCATCAACAACACACTTTACTGTTCTACTATTCTAACTCTTAGTAACCCACACTCCCAGCGAAAAACCTGGCATTATTTAATTTAACATAACATGACTTCAAGATTTTAAATTACTGGAGAGAGTTGTGAGATTAAATTTACCAAATTAATCTTACCAAAGATTACTAAAGTCATGTGAATTAAAACGCACCTGAAGTAGCTGCTATTCATCTAAGTGGTGACTTTTCTTTAAGCTATTTGATTAGAACTCTTTCGTATAGTTTGGCAATGAAATGTCACTTTCACATGACACATATAAACATACAGAAGTAACAGACAAACAGAGGCAGATCTTGTAAGATTTTTCATTTGCCTGTTTTCAAAAATTATCTCCCTTACTTTAGACTATTAATAAACGATGTTACAGGAGCCAACAAATGTTGAAAGAGAGAGTTGCCATCCCAGGCCTTCTCAAAAGAAAGAGCTGAAGCAGCAGGACATGGCAGAGGTTGAACTTGAAGAATTTCAAAAAACGTTATAGAATTTAAAAATTAAAAGCTTGCAATTTCATTACATCAATCAATATTTAAAGAAATTCTTGTTCTAACTAATTATTTAGTTTTGTATTCAGGTGGTTTTTTTGTTGTTGTTTGTTTTTGAGGCAGTCTCAACCTGTTGCCCAGGCTGGAGTGCAATGGCGCAATCTCGGCACATTGCAACCTCTGCCTCCCAGAGGATTATCTTGCCTTAGCTTCCCGAGTAGCTGGGTTTACAGACACGCACCACCACGCCTGACTAATTTTTGTATTTTTAGTAGAGACAGGGTTTCACCATGTTGGCCAAGCTGATCTTGAACTCCTGATCTCAGGTGATCCGCTCACCTCGGCCTCCCAAAGTGCTGGGATTACAGGTGTTAGCCACTGCTCCTGGCCTGTATTTACGTATTTTTAATATCAAAGTTCATTTCTAGAAAGAGTATTGTAATTTCATTTTAATTATGGCCAACTTAATCACATAATATTTTTTATAATTTTTTTTATATGAACCTTAGTAAGACTTACACAGATCGTTCCTGAAAGGCTTGGATTTTCTGGTTTGTTCTAAATATCCCTCTTTCTTACACAAGTCATTTTATTTTAGGGCAAAAATTTATGATACAAAATTCTTTTTCATACAAAATTATTTTTATTTTAATTTTTCTAACCAAAAATACCTCTTTATTTCTGTAACTTTCTTTACAGCTCTTATTTCCTGATTCCTTTTACCTTGATTCATAAATAATCTTTAAACAACCTTGGAATCAGACAAAACTTCATTTTTTAGAAAATTTTTTTCTATAATTTTTAAATTGGAAATTACCCAGACATTTAATGAATATCTGAAATTTAATCTTTAGATTCTAAATTATATTTCCAGCTTATTTATAAGCATTTATTCCTAAGCATTTACCTAATTAATTTATTTTCATTTTTTAAAATAGTTTACCTAGATTATTTATAAAAACTGTGATCGTCATCATTTAAAGTAATTTCTCTGCTAATAATTTTTATAGGCTGTGAATTTCAGGTGTTTACCTAAGATTCTTAAGGTTAAATATAAGAATATTTTATCAAACACTCAGGATTTAGCTGTTTTCATTACGCTAACAATGTTGCATGTCTTATTTATCAAATTTACATAGAGATTATTCTGGTTTTGGCTAGGTTTATAGTTTTGGAACCCTTCTGCCAAACTTTGGACCCCTTATAATATCTGGCTGAGATAAATATGAAACTGCTTGATCAATAGAACCAAACAAAAAATTATGCCAACAATTCTTTAAAAATCTGTAGTATTATTCTACTAAAAATTCTAAAGCCAGCTTATTTATTAAAGGTTTTATTTAAGTCATGTGAACTTGAAAAACAACTGGGATTGTTTACTTAATTTATGGGTACTCCTTCACTTAGGTCAACTTGGTGCCTTGTGTCTGCAACACATCAAACACCCATACAAAGATTCTATAGCTTTTGCTTCCAAACTTCAGCTGAGAGGTATCAATACAACCTCTCTGGTTCACAAGAAAATTTTTAAAAAGTTGGATCCAAAGAGTGGTTTTTATCTCAACACCAGTAGAAAAGTAATAGTAGACTTACAGCATGCAGAAATGAAAATAGAGAACTTAGGAACTTTATAGCTGAAGGTCAGCCTTTGTGCTCTGAATTTTCCTTGATGTGATTTCCCATTAGTTTTAAATGTGAACAAGAACAGACCTAATGTGTAACCAGCGGGAGTGCTAGAAAACCTGGCATGCCCTTGAACTCTTTCATTGGCACAAACACTTGCAAATAGAGGCTCCGTAGAACCAACGGGGTGCCTAAAAAGGGGTCGTTTTTCTTGTCTTTCCTCATTCTTAGGTGATTTGTTTCCCACCTTTTTTTTTTCTTAAAAGGAGGAACTGTGCTGTGACCCAGGGTTTAATGTGGTGGATTGATGCGTGCTGCTTGTCAGTGGGATGCCACAGTGTTTCACCACTGAGTCGTTTCTGCCCTCTTACGTGTCTCAGTTTCTCTTTCTGGAGGGCTATTGCTTCAGAGAGGGCTCAAAACTGAGTGATCAGCTCTTATATGCATTTCCTAGACGAGTCTTTTAAAACTAGTTTTGTTGGGGGATTTCCTGTAGGGTTGCTGCGTGTCATGGCGGGGGTCATCCCCCCAGACATTTCCACTCAGCCCTGGTCACCCAGGGGTGCCTTTCAGCTTGAGAAGTAAAATGCCCTTTCTCTTTGAAGCTGAGGAGCTCAGGCTCTTTTATGTATGAAAATGACAGTTCACTTCCTCATGCAAATACACAGATAAGCCAATAGAGATTAATTTGGGAGAAAAGGCAATGGAGAAAGCCCTTTAGAATGCACTTGCAAACCAAAATTAGGATCTTAAGCAACTTCCTAGTAGAAAAAACAAAGGCTCAGAATAAACCAAGGACCATCAACCAAAACAGGATATCTGGGACTCAGGAGGACTTAACAACAGTTGCAGCCAGGGAGAAGCTGAAACTGGGGAGGTTGGCAGGAGCTTTCAACATGCACCATAGCTCTGGTTTCAGGCAACTCCTTCAAGGGTCCTGAGTCTTCTCTGAGGCCCCATGTTGGGCACTAATTATTGCCAATGAAAAGAGTCAAACTGTAAAATATGTGAAGAGATTTATTCTGAGCCAAATATGAGTGACCATGGCCCATGACACAGCCCTCAGGAGATCCTGAGAACATGGTTGGGCTACAGCTTCATTTTATACATTTTAGGGGACAACTAGAACTTGGGGCTTCCAGATTCAAAGATTTTCTGATTGGCAATTGGCTAAGAGTCTATCTAAAGCCCTGGAATCAATGGAAGGGAGTGTCTGGTTAAGATAAGGAATTGTGGAGACCAAGGTTCTTATTATGCAGATGAAGCCTCCAGGTAGCGGGCTTCAGAGAAAGTAGATTGTAAATGTTTCTTAGACTTAAAGAGACAGCTTTTCAGGGCCATTTTAAAATATGTCAAAGCAATATATTTTTGGGAAAAATAATTTTATGTATTTCAGGTCCTACTATCATGTTGGTGTCTTATTGCTACAAAGAATCTGTTTTGTCAGTCTTAAGATCTCTGTTTTAATGTTAATGCTGGTCGGCCGTGCCCAAGTTCCAAAGGAAGGAGAGTATAGTGAGGCATTTCTGTCCACTCATTCCCATCATGGCCTGAATTAGTGTTTCAGTTTATTTTCAAATGCCCTTGGCCAAGAGAAGAAGTCCATTCAGCTGGTTGGGTGTTCTTAGAATTTTATTTTTGGCTTACACAGATGCCTACTCCTCTTGTTGCTATAAGCCTCCAGGCATTTGTTGACATTTTAGTGATTTTGATGGTTGAGTGATTTTTCTGTGTCACTCGGGCCCAGCTGTTTGGTCAAACACTAGCTAGATATTTCTGTGAAGATGTTTTTTAGGTGAGATTAACAATGAAATCAGTTGACTTTAAGGAAAGCAGATGACTCTCCACAGCATGGGTGGACCTTATGCAGCAAGGACCTAGAGAGAAAAGGCCAGGGTCCCCCCGGGGAAGAAGAGATTCTGCCTCCAGACTGTGGCAGAGAAAGGCTGCCTGCTGGCCCAACCTGCAGATGATTTACTCAGGACCGCAACATCAACTCGTAGCAGAATGTCCAGCTTCTTGGCCAACTCTGGATTTCAGACTTGCCAGTTTCCATGACCCAACAATCACCTGAGCTATTGCAGGTAGTGAGACAGGCATAAGCGGGGCAGGGGAGGGCTCTTCCCCAACCCAATAGTAATGTCAGGTGATGGCTCGACAATTACCACATTGCCTCTCTAAAGTGATGAATTTGCAGTCAGCTGGCAGGGAGAGGCCATCTCCTGATGGTCCACACCTGTTACACTAACGTGGTAATTGAATGCAGATGCCAGGGAGACACATTAAGAGACAAAATGATGGAGTGTGACCTTCCAGGGGCACTGGAGAAGGGAAGAAAGATGGGCACAAGTACAACTTACTAAACACACTGCATGTGCTCACCTCCCAAGGGTAAGGGGGGCAGTGTGCATGTGAGCAGCCCACCCTAAGGGAAGAATCATGGGAAGGGGCCAGCCTAGAAAGTTCCAGGATCAAAGTTAAACATAGCACTTGACCTCAGTGCCCACTTGAGACTCTTCCAACTATATATTCCTTTATTTCCTGTTCTAAAGCTGTTTTAAACAAACTTCCACTCCTGCTCTGAAACTTGCCTCAGTCTCTTTGTCTGCCTTATGCCCCTCAGTTGAATTCTTTCTTCTGAGGAGGCAAGAATTGAGGTTGCTGCAAACCTGTATGGATTTACTGCTGGTAACTCAGATACCTTCCACTGACAACAAACCAAATTCCTTAAAATACATGTCTCCATATATACATCCATATATACATAAACAATCTCGATCTGCAGTGAAGAGGGCTGATAGACAAATTTGTCCTTAGTTTTCTGACATGGTTATTATACCATCGGCAGCACAAAGTCAGCCTGGGAGTTTTTCCATCATGGGAATTGGTAAAAGCTCCACCACCTCTGTGCCATTCTTTCCCAGGAAGATGTTAAACTTTTTACCCACACACAGCAGCAGTAATGCTGTGGTTTTAAGAAGTGGTGACTCTGGACTACAGAGGTCTTGAAAAGCTTCACAAACGGACCAGGGAGCTCAGCTAGGACTGCACCAGGACTCATGCACTGAGGCATGGGTGACGGGATCATCGTTGAGAGCATTTTCTGGAGAATGCTGTGCTTGAAACTGCATGGAGGCTGACTCGCTTCTCTCCCATTCCTAGCCCAGGTGAGGTGGGGAGGAAGAAGGAGGAGCACACTCCCTGATGTGGGAGATACCTCCCCTTCCACCAAGGAGATGCTCCATCGCAGTGTCCTTGGTATTCCAGAAAGGACCACTCAACTGTGAAAGCAAACAAGGGCTCTCAGGTCTTATTATAAATGATTCACAAAGGTTTGCTTTTCTATCCTTCCTTCCAGCTCCTCTTCCTTTCACACGCCTTACTTGTCTAAACTGAAATACAGCTATTGAAGTCTGTAAGTTCCTGAAACTTTATTGCATAGAGAGCAGGCTGTAAATGAATTCCACAGGCAGAGGGGTTGCTTTGGGGACAGAGAAGATTATGTAAATGACAGGATCACTGCACTGTCCTACTTGGGTTGGAAACAGACGGAGATACTGTATCTTCACCCAGATGATCTGCCAGGGGTCAGGGTCAGATTTAGGTTTGTCAGCAGGCCAGGAAGATTCTTCTGCATCTTTCTTCCCTTTCTGTGCTCTTTCTGTAATTTATTTGCTCCCCACTGACTCTGTAGAACAGTTGACAAAACACAGCATGTTTCAAGGTTGAATTCCCACTTGGCTTTGTATTAACTGAAACAAGATTTGTCTTTGCTAAGCCTCATATGTCCTTGGGACTAAACCACGCACATGCTCTCCATCCTTAGGGCCACATGGAGTCATTGGGGGTTAAACAAGAGTGTGATGTGATTCCACTGGTATTTTAGGAAGATGGATCCGAGAGGACCAGAATGAAGAAAGGAAAACAGAGCAATGGTCTAATAAGTAGTGGCAGGGCCTGGCCCTAGAGCTGAGTGGAGGTGAGGGACATGAGGGTCCCAACAGGAAGGTGAGACCTGGGGTGAGATTAGCTGTGGGGATGAGAACAAAGAAGAGAACCAGGAAGACCCCTATCTGCCTGGATGAGCATGGGAGAAGGGTCTCATCCTGAAGTAGGGGAGGCAGGAGACATCTGGTTATGGGCCTCATGCTGAACACAATGTGTGTTTCTCTGATCCCCTCGGAGAGCATGTGAAGAGACAGAAACCAACAAGGACAGCAAGAATGGAGAAGAAATAGCAGCAACAATGTGTTATGCAAGCTGAAAAGCAGATTTGTGAATTATAACCAACTCAGCGGGTCTGAGAAGATGCGATCCTGAGCTGGCAGTGGGGGAAGGCATGAAGGGGACTAATTCCGTAAAGGAGTCTAGTTCCCCGGAGGGGCCTAGTTCCATAGAGGAGCTTAGTTCCATAGAGGGGCCTAGTTCCCCAGAGGGACCTAATTCCATGGAGGGGCCCAATTCCATAGAGGGGCCTAGTTCCATGGGTGGGCCCAGTTCCATAGAGGGGCCTCATTCCATGGAGGGTGGGGGCAAAATGCTGCCAGTCTCTTTGGTAAAACATAACAAGAGTCACCTTTGCTCCATTTCCTAACAAGTTGCTCATCGGCATCTGAGTCCACCTCAGCCTGCATTTCATTGTCCATATCATTATCAGCATTTTGGTCAAAGTCATTCAACAAGTCTCTAGAAATTTCCAAACTTTCCCACATTTTTCTATCTTCTTCTGAGCTCTCCTAACTGTTCCAGCCTCTGCCTGTTACCCAGTTCCACAGTCACTTCCAGGTTTTTGGGTATCTTTTCAGTAATGCCCCACAATACTGGTACCAATTTACTGTATTAGTCCGTTTTCACACTGATTATAAAGACACACCAAAGACTGGCCAATTTACAAAAGAAAGAGTTTTAACGGACTTACAGTTCCACGTCACTGGGGAGGCTCACAATCATGGCAGAAGGTGAAAGGCATGTCTCACATGGCGGCAGACAAAAGAAGAGAGCTTGTGCAGGGAAACTCCCCCTTATATAATCATCAGATCTCCTGAGACTTATTCACTATCACAAGAACAGCACAGGAAAGACCCACCCCCATGATTCAATTACATCCCAATGTGTGCCTCCCACAACATGTGGGAATTCAAGATGAGATTTGGGTGGGGACACAGCCAAACCGTATCAAGGCCTAGTTCCATAGAGGGGCCTAGTTCCATGGATGACCTAGTTCTGTGGAGGGGCCTAATTCCATGGAGGAACTTAATTCCATGGAGATCCTATTCCATGGAGGACCTAGTTTCATGGAAGGGCCTAATGCCATGGACCTAATTCCATGGAGGGGCCTAGTTCCCTGAAGGAGCCTAGTTCCCCGAAGAAGCCTAATTCCATAGAGGGACCTAGTTCCATGGAGTAGCCTAATTCCCAGGACCCATGGCTCTTTAGGAGGAGACACTGGAGTGTGTGAGAAAAGTGTGCTGTGGGAAATGTGAAAATTCAAAGGCTTGTTGAGAAGACGGGCCCAGGATCGATCATCAGCCTCCTCACCACCAGCATAAAGAAAGGCAATTCTTCTCTGAAAGGCAAAATAGAGCAACTCTGCACTGACATAGCAGGTGTTGTTCAGGATGTGGTGCCAAATTGAAAAAAAGAAAAGGATTAAATAAAAGTTTAAACACTTAGTGTTAAAACACCTTTCGTCATTCATTTTGTTGCTGAATCAATAAAAAACAAGTGTCAACACCCAGGCAAAGGGTTGGAAGAGTTTTCTTTGGGCATCTGATCACCTTTCCCTCAAGCCAAAAGCAAAGGCATGAAGTTGCTTAAGTGACAGATAAGACAGCCCAGCAGAACACCCTCCAGAAGTCAAGTCAATGACTATAACCATGGCTCAGAGACCCCAGTGGACTTTTGAATCCTTGCCCTTCCTTCTTTCCTTCCTCCCTTCTTTCCTTCCTTCCTTCCTTCCTTCCTTCCTTCCTTCCTTCCTTCCTTCCTTCCTTCCTTTTTTTCTCCCCCTTCTTTCTTCCCTCCTTCCTTCTCTTTTTCTTCCCAATTAAGTGCCTAAACCATCTGGTTCTAGACTTGAGAAATGGATCCATCAAAAACAGATCCTGGGTTCCTAATTTGTTCCAACCCACTCTGAAGGCAGAATGTCAAACCCTGAGGATGGGAAGTTCACAGAGCTGAGACCTAGCTAGGCCTGCAGCCCCCTTCCCCTCTCCTGGATCTGCTTTCACACCCCAGTTTTTGCCCCTGACTTAGACAGGAGGAGCAGAGAGCCTGGTATCTATGAGCAGCAGCTCTTGCTAGGAACACACAGCAAAGTAAACACACACAGCTTGGAGGAGGCAGAGAGCATCCAGGGAGAAGAAAGCATTTTCATTATAAAATCCTACTTCAAATAAGTGATAAGGAAAGACTATATATGTATGTGTATGTATGTATGTATGTGTGTGTATATATACAGCACAGGAACCGGTTACTGCGAAAACGAGTATGTGCAGAAAAACAGAAGAGCACGTGGAAATTAATGTATAAAGACAGGGACATGAAAAATAGGATGAAACCAAGGGCGTATTCAAGAACCAGGGTGAGGGTGTTTTAATATCTGAATACCAGACCTTCCAAAAGGACAGAAGAAAGAAAAGAGGGGAGGGTAGAGAAAATCATGAAATCAGTCATTTAAGAAAAATTTCTTCTGCCAGATACCCTAAGAAGAATTTCCAGAATTGAATCATAATTTGCCAGATTGGAAGGGTCCACTAAGTGCCCAGCATAAAGATGAAAGTGTCTTCATGCCAACGCCTATCTTTCAATTGTTGGTTTAAGTGTTTGGATTGAAGAGAAGTCAAGCAACTTTCAGGAGAGTTTGGACAGGTGAGAATAAAATGAATCTTAAATGTAAAGAATTTGTCAGTAATTTGGCATTCAGACTCAAAAATACAAAGAATCATATTGAACAATCAACTTACTGAGCCCTCCCAGAATCTGAGACTGGGTGCACTTATCTGCATTCCTAAATTAGTCACATCAGAGGCATCCGCAGGGCAGAGGCTTATTTGATCTTAATTCAATTTACGCTAAATAACAAATCACATCTTCAAGCTGGTACTGTGAATTGTGGTGGCTTATTTATTGTCTAAGTAAAAAAATACTCTTAATCTATACTAAGAAGTTTCCAGAACTTATCAGAAAAGGCAGGATCAAAAATTACCTATACATAATTAGCTTTTTCTTAGTCTAGCTTGGTCATAGTTTTGTATAATATAGAGATAAGATAGCATGAAGCTGGCATTAAGAACAGTTTTTAAACGCCTTCCTGTTAATCAGGTAGTCTTGATTTAAAAACTAAAACAAAGACAATATTTATGTAAAGTGAAAACAAAAGCAAAGCAAAACACAATAAAAACAAACACAGGACACTAACGTTTAAAAGTCTTAGTTAAAGGAAAGTCAGGAAATTTCCCTCTTAATTTCTTTTGAAATGCCAAGGATGGGGCAGAGGTTTACATATCAGTGGTGTGATACAAAATATGCACCAAATAATCCAGTTGAATTTTGGCTCATGGGTTTTGGGTAACTGAGTCTCACTGATTTCTTATTTTTGTTGTTTTTCATTGGGTAAAACACAGAAAAGTTAGCCCTTTCTGTTGGCAGACACTGTAACTCAAGATGCAGTAGAGAAATGCATGAGCTGAAAAGGATGGTTCTAAGAAAAATCTCTTCATCACTCTAAGAATACTCAATAAAATAGATTTGAATGTTTCAGAAATGTCTCAGTAAAGTAGGTAATGAAATTGTAAAACTATTCTGAAACATGTACTGACAGTGATTTATCAGGTACAACTTCATACATTGGTAAATTTGTACTTTATGTTGCCTTCTGCTTATGTGAATTATCAATTGTCCACTTACCTAAAATATTCTTCTGTGCACTATTTAGTTTTTTGGAATTTATTTTTTGTATGAGGCAAAATTAAGTTTTTGGCACACAGTTCTGTGCATTTTGACATGCATAAAGTCATATTCCCAGCACCTCTCCTGTATATAGCTCATTGATGTTCTATCAGTGATTGTGTGTATGTGTGTATATCAGCTTTATTATTATGTAATTGACATGCTTTACAGTTCACTCATTAAAAGTATGCAATGCAATGGTTCTTAGTATATTCACAGAATATTGCCCAGTCAATTGTAGGCCATTTTCATAACTTCAAAATGAAATTCCATACCCATTAAAATCACTTCTTTCCCCCAAACCCCTAGCCCTAGGTAACCACTAATCTATTTTCTGTATCTATAAATGTGCCTGCACTGAACATTGTATATAAATGGAATCATATAATCTGTGTCCTTTTGTGACTCATTTATTTCACTTAGTGATATAGTTTGCCTGTGTCCTCACCCAAAATCTCATCTTGAACTGTAATCCCCATAATCCTCATGTGTGAAGGAGAGACCAGGTGAGAGACCAGGTGGAGGTAATTGGATCATGGGCGATTTTCCCCATACCATTCTCATGATAGTGAATGAGTTCTCACCAGATCTCATGGTTTTATAAGCATTTGGCAAGTTCCTCCTTCAGTCATTCTCCTTCCTGCTGCCTGTGAAGAAGGTGCCTTGCTTCCCTTTTCCCTCCACCATGATTATAAGTTTCCTGAGGCCTCCCCAGCCATGCCGAACTTTGAGTCAATTAAACCTCTTTCCTTCATAAATTACCCAGTTTCTGGCAGTTCTTTATAGCATAATGTGTTCATCCGTGCTATAGCATTTATCAGTATTTTATTACTTTTATTTGGCAAATAATACTGCAATTTATGGATATATCTCATTCTGATTTTCCAGTGATGGTCACTTGTGGTTATTTCCACCTCATTTGGCTGTTGTGAATAATGACGCTAAGAACATTTGTATACATTTTTTTTGTGTATTTTTTTAGGCACAAACTTAGATGTGAAATGTATGGGTCATAGGCAATTTTACGCTTAACCTTTTGATGAACTTCTTATTTCTTTTCAAAGTTGATTCACTGTTTTACATTCCTGCCAGCGATGCGTGAGAGTTCCATTATCTCCAAATTCTCATCAATATCTGTTCTTATTTAATGGGGATAGGGGTGAATTAGTATCTTTTTGTGATTTTGATTTGCATTTCCTTGATGGCTAATGACATTGAGCACCTTTTCATATGCTTATTGTTCACATGTATATCTTTCTTGGTCTATTCAGATCACTTGCCTATTTTAATTATTATTTGTCTTTTTATTATTAAAGAGTTCTTTATATATTCTCTATATACTCCCATTACCAGGCAGATTTTCTCCCATTATCTGAGTTCACTGATCTCTTGAATCTTTAAATTTATGTTATCTGTCAAATTTGAAACTTTTCAGCCATTACTTCTTCAAGTTTTTTTCTGGAAAAATTTCTTTTTTTATTTCCTTGTCAGACTTCAATAACATGAACATTAGATATTTGATATTATTTCATGGGTCCATGAAATGCCATTTATGCACTTGTCTAGTATTTTCTTTCTGTTTGCTATTTAAGTTGGATATTTTCTATTGCCTATCTTAACTTTCACAAACTTTTTTCTTTGCTATCTTCATTCTGCAAAAAAGCCCATTTAATAAATTACTATACTTATTGTATTTTTTATTCTAATTATTTTGGTTCTTTTTAATAATTTCTACCTCTGGCAAGCATGTCTACATTATATTGATTTCAATAGTGTTCACTCTTACTTAATAAAACATGGTAAAAATAGCTGCTTTACAAGTCTTTTTTGGACAATTCCATCCAGGTTATCTCTGAGCTAGTGTCTGCTCATTGTCTTTTCTGTTAAATTATTGAAATTATCCTGGTCATTTTTATGATAAGAAACTCTGATTATATTTTGGGGATTTACAATATTTGGTAAGAAACTGTGGTGACTATTAAAAGTTTCTGGAAAATTTTAAGTACATTTGTTTTCTAACTTTTGCAGGCAATCTATGAATTAGGTTCAGATTATACACCCAATCCACCTTCTGTTGCTTGTGTTTCCAAAGTGAGTTACATTTTCAAAGCCTTAGCTATTCTATTCAGGTCCTCCTGAAGTGTGCACCATGCTGGGCCAGCTGGGCCCTGGAGCATTCAATCCTGTCATTTGGTTCTAACAGCCTTCGCTGGGCTGCTTTGGGTCAGACCCAGGCATGCATAGCTTTGCAGTGAGCCCAGAACTTGCACATAGATTAAGGGGAGCCTTCTCCAGATATCTCCTCTCTGAGACTTTCCTCACACTCCATGGTGACTAGGGGCACGTTTTTCTTGTCCTCTTGTTAAAAGTCTGGGATCATCGCCTTTATGCACCATCACTGTTCTTATAAGATTTGAAGGACAAATCTCCCTTCATGTTCCAGGGGCTCATTGTCAAATTGTCACAGTTCCCAAGTTTACTCCAGTGAGAGAAACTTCTACCATGATTTTATAAAATAGTCTTTCACAGTCTCCTTAAAATCCTAATATCTTTACCTTATTATGCCAACTCAGATAATAAAAGGGACACAGGAAAGGTGTCTGGTGTTATCCAGCCCAAGATGCTTATCTTATCACAATTGACCAAACTAGACTACACCAAATCCCATGATGTGCCTCCAAAATTCTAAAAAACACATATATATTTGTATTTGTATGTACATGTGTATAATGTGAAAAATATAGGCTTTCATCTTTTCTTCTCAGAAGGGAAAGGTGTTTATATATTTTAAGTATTATAAACAAACAAAAAAACCAATATGTAAATACATGTTTATTCACAGCTGGTATTTCTTTTTTTTTTTTTGAGATGGAGTCTTGCTCTGTCACTCAGGCTATAGTGCAGTGGCATGATCTTGGCTCAGTGCAACCTCTGCCCTTTGGGTGCAAATGATTCTCCTGCATCAGCCTTCTGAGTAGCTAGGATTACAGGTGCCCGCCACCACACCTGGCTAATTTTTGTATTTTTAGTAGAGACAGCATTTCATCATGTTGGCCAGGCTGGTCTCAAACTCCTGACCTTAAGTGATCTGCCTGCCTCAGCCTCCCAAAAGGTTGGGATTACAGATGTGAGCCACCACACCCAGCCACAGCTGGTATTTCTGAAGTTTGTGTCAGCTGATGGAAGAGGAACAGTCTGGATGTGTTTTGCTGCCCTCTTTGCACTTAATGCTAATTTTAATTTTACATGACATTTGTATTAGTCATCCTATCCATTTCATTATTAAAATCCTCCTCTGCTGAGGTCACCCATTGATGAGCACTCACATGGGATCCAAATATCTTCCCAGTTTTTGATCACTCAGAGAGATCCATCCAAATACCTTTTCCCTAAATTTCTTTGTCACCAATTTTTCAATCATGCTTCTTCCAAGTCCCTGACCATCCAGCCAAACCATTGGCTATAGTCCATGGATCAGTACATAAGTCCAGTGTGTTTGCTACTTCTTGCTCACTGGGTCCAGTCAGCATAATGTCATCAATGTAACGGACCAGTGTGATATCCTGTGGAAGAGAAAAGTGATCACGAGCCCTGCAAACAAGATTATGACACAAAGTTGGAGAGTTGATATACCCATGAGGTAGGACAGTGAAGGTATATTGCTGGCCTTACCTGCTGAAGGCAAATGGCTTCTGGTGGGCCTTATGGACAGGAATGGAGAAATAAGCATTTGCCAAAGTAATGACTAAATACCAGGTACAGGAGATGTGTTAATTTGTTCCAGCAATGAAACTACATGTGGTACAGCAGCTGCACTTGGAGTCACCACTTGGATAAGCTTGCGATCATCCACTATCATTCTCCAAGATCTGTCTGTCTTCTGCACAGGCCAAATGGGAGAGTTCAACGGGGACATGGTGGGAATCACCACCTCTGTGTCTTTCAAGTCCTTGATGGTGGCGCTAATCTTTGCAATCCCTCCAGGGATATGATATTGTTTTTGATTTACTATTTTTCTAGGTAGAGGCAGCTCTAATGACTCTAATGGCTTCGTTTGGCCTTTCTCACCATAATAGCCCTCACTCTACCAGTCAGGGAGCCAATGTGGGGATTCTGTCAGCTGCTAAGTATATCTATGCCAATTATGCATTCTGGCACTCGGGAAATGACCACAGGATGAGTCTGGGAACTCACTGGACCCACTGTAAGTCAGAGCTGAGCTAAAACTCCATTAATTACCTGACCTCCATAAGCCTGTACTTTTAACTGGCAAACCACAATGACATTTTGGATCCCCTGGAATCAACATCAGCTCAGAGCCAGGGTCCAGTAGTCCCTGAGAGGTCTGATCATTTCTCTTTCCCCAGTGCATAGTTACCCTGATAAAAGACCAAGGTACGATGGGAGAAAAATTAACAGTATAAATTGTCAGTAGTGTAGCAGGGTCCTTCCTCAAGGGGACCTGGCCTCTCCTTCATTCAAAAGGTTCTGGGTCTGAAAACTGGTTCAAGTCTGGAAATAGATTGAGGGGCCATGATTCTCTATTTTTATAATTCAAATTAGTCTTTTGTTTACTCAACCTGGAAGTTTTCTGCTTATACAAATTAAGTAGGAATTAAGGCTTCCTATCAATTTTACTTCTAAGAATACTGTGATTAATTAGTCAATGCCAGAGTTCTACATGAATTAGACTATTCTGATTGCTGCTTTGTCTCTGCTGTCCATTATAGTAGCTACACCCACCTTGCCTTTGATGGTTGAGTGCCACCACTTGGCCCCTGCCATCTTGGGATCCAATTATTCACACTGTGTTTAAGTTTTCTAATTGAGTGACTGTGGTTCCCACTGTAAGATCCAGCATAGACAGAAGAGCAATCACAGATCTTCAAGGATGCAGGTGATCCTCACAAATCTGTTTTGCAACGTATTGGTGAAGGGTATGTCTTCTGGATGCTCCCAGTTGAGATAAGGTAGGTCTAAAGTGACTAATCCACTCCACCATCCCAATCTCGCTAAGCCTTTGAATCTCTTTCTCTACATTAAACCAAGGGAGATCAGGCATTTCCATCTTGCTCACAGTGGGCCATTTTTTGATCCATATTTCAGCTAACCAAGCAAATAAACTATTAGAACCTTTTTTTAATTCCCTGAACTGCAACATTAAATGCAGAATCCCTGCTTAGTGGGCTCATATCAATAAATTCAGTTTGATCCAACTTTATGTTCCTTCTCCCATCATTCCACACCCTTAATATCCATTCCCATGTCTGTTTTCCAGATTCCTGCTTATATAAATCAGAAAACTCAAGCAGTTCTTTCAGAGTGTACTGCACCTCCTTGTGGGTGACACTCTGAATCTCACCTCTAGAGCCTCACAGGACTTTAGCTGAGTCATAGGTTGACTTTAGTCTATAGTTATAGAAGCAAACAGGGGTGTTGGGTGTTGGTCCTGAGAAGAATAAGCGTTGTCTTGCCTGGCAACTGCCTCAAGGGAGGCCCTCACTGTTGCCTCAGGCAACACAGGGTTAATCTCCCCAAACAAAGGTGGAAAGGCTGATGGCAGCATGTGTGGGGGAGGGGATGTTGCCACCACTGGGGGTGGAGAGGCTGTTTCCTCTGTCAAAAAAAGGGTCATCAGAATTTAGAAGCTCAGTGTCTCCAGCTCATCAGGGTCCTCCCACACATCCCAGTTTCAAGTTGCAGGGTCCCATTCTTTTCCAATCACTGCCCTCACTTTAACAACAGACACCCGGCGAGGCTGAGCGTTTACCTTTCATTGCAGGTCAGCCATTGGTATGGTAAGAGCTTGTGTCTGAGTTTCCACAATTTCTGCCCCTTGTCTACAGGAGATAAGACTCTCCACTCAGGACAATCTTAGAAGATCTGAGGCTCGGTATGTGCTTTTGGAGCCTGGAGTTAGAATCCCTGATATCATCTGTTTTTTTTTTTTTTTTTTTCCATCACTTTGACCAGTGAACTTAGAAGCAATTAACCAACTTCATTATCTTCCTTGGTTCTCCACATATGTTTGAAGGTATTATGTATAGAGTCACCAAACTCCTTGCCTCTCAAGAGCAGTGAATCAGGAGTATCAGACGCATTTATTTTGTATAACTTTCTAAACAGTTCATGCCAAGGACTATCAGTGTTCTCCATTTTATTAGAAGTAAAGTCCTTAGCATTTTTGGGTCTAATCAGATTAAGCAGCCAACTTCAGAAACCCCCAAACCAACTAAATAAATTCATTCTTAAAATTCAGTTCCTCTAGAACCACTCCTGGTACAAAAATCTGTATTATCAGGGTTCTCTAGAAAGACAGAACTAATAGGATAGATGTTTACATAAAGGGGGGCTTAGGAAGAAGTATTGACTCACACAATCACAAGGTGAAGTCCCACAATAGGTCATCTGCAAGCTGAGGAGAGAGGAAGCCAGTCTGATTCCCAAAACCTCAAAAGTAGGGAAGCCAACAGTGCAGCCTTCAGTCTATGGCCAAAGGCCTGAGAGCCCCTGGCAAACCACTCGTGTAAGTCTGAGTCGAAAACCTGAAGGACCTGGAGTCCAGTATTGGAGGGCAGGAAGCATCCAGCACAGGAGAAAGATGAGGGTTGGAACACTCAGCAAGTCTGCTCCTCCACCTTCTTTTGCCTGCATTGTTCAGCAGCACTGGCAGCTGAGGGGATGGTGCCCACCCAGAGTGAGGGTGGGTCTGCCTCTCCCAGTCCACTGACTCAAATGTTAATGTCCTTTGGCAACACCCTCACAGACACACCCAGGAACAATACTTTGCGTCCTTCAATCCAATCAAGTTGTCACTTAATATTAACCATCACAAGGCTTCTCTGTGTGAATTAATATTGCTCTACACGGTGTAAGATCTTGCCAGAGAAAATATAATTAGTATTTAACACCAAGATATTAAAAAATGAATAAAAGATGTTTGAAGTCCATAAAATTCCTTAAAGCTTACAACACATGCATGGAAAGCACCTAAAGAATTTGCTATAGATTTGTAGAGACAGTGTAGGAATCCAAAGCTTCTTTAAGATTTTTACTGGGTAGCTCCAGCTGCATTTCTGAAATGTCTACTCGGACAGCTCAGCTTAATTCTTAAACATCACAGGTGACCAATGTTCCACTATCTGAGTCCAACTTAGCTTTCCATAAAAACCTTCCAGCTATTTCCCTGTGTGAATTTTTTTGGTCTTCCCCCAACAACACTTTTAACCAACACCTCTCCATGGGAGCTGGTTATTTTTTTTGTAGAAAATTCATTCCTTTGGAAGAGCATGCAAACTCTGGAAGGCTGGCTATGGAATGGTGCAGGCTGAGGTGGATACCATTTTAGTTGCCAAAACAGGTCCAGAGCCCAGTGATCAGAGGTGAGCACATGTCCAGGGAGGCCACACCCAGCACCCCTCTTGTGCCTCGCTCACACCTGTTTCCCCTCCTGGAAAGCCTCCTGCCTCCACTTCCCTGCTTGGTTCTAGTTCATGCCTGTGAGTCAGCGGGGACTCAGGATGCTCTGTGTTAGGAGGACAGGGTGTCGATTTTCCCCATCACTCTGAACATTTTTGGCCGTCCTCACTGAGTCTTTCCTCTTTCCCATGGTGCTTCTGTGTGCTTCCACTCTTGGTGAGTTAGGAAATCTGGGCCACTACTCTCACTTCTGTCCCTGGAGGCCCCTCCCTCAGATCATTTTTTGGAGGTAGGAAGCTTCTAGAAGCTAAATGGTGAGCAGAGAGGGATCACACGGACCCTCTCTCTCTGGACTGTGACTCTTCAGCAGAAATCCCCAAGAGCAATCCAGCACCGTAATCCCTTTATCTCAGTATACAGATTCTTAATATACAGATTCATAAGAAGCCCCGGAATCGAGCTGGTAGTCAGCAGCGTGACCACAGGGGTCAGCTACGGTCAGCTCACATGCTGAGTGGTTGTTATTCGTGCTCTATTAGTTGAGTCAGTACCCTCACATTGTTCCGGATTGTGAATGCTGTAAGAGAGAATAACACAGGGCCCTGGAGGCAGAGAAGACAGATTGAACAAATGTGCACTAATAATACTGACGCAGACAAGGGGAAGAATGGGTGAAAATAAGAGGCTTCCCCAGGAAGGAAGAAGAATGTCAGGATTGAGTTCTGGGAATGTAAGTGGATTACCCTACAATTAAAATCCCAGAAACAGAAAGGTTATAAGAGATAGGCTTATTGTGAGCACAGCAGTATTTTATATTTCCATAAAGCTAATTTCAAATCTCAAATTATTTTAATTTTTTATGCTTGTAATTTTTAAAATAGCAAACATTATAGCTAAAAATGCTTCAAACAATTATTAATTGGGGGAAATATAGTTATTTTGGGTCAGAACTAAATGTTAAAACTACAACAATAAATATCCTTGAGAAAACATGGGAGAAAAACTTTATTATTTTGGATTAAAATTATTTTAGATGTCACAAAAAAATCAACTTTATCAAAATTAAAACGTCTGTTTTTGAAATAAATTATCAAGAGAATGAATGTTAAGATAAAATATTTAAAAGCCATGTACTTGACAAGGTTTGTATCTGGAATATATAGAACACTAAAAACTCACTAATCAGAAAAAAACAATAAAAAAGTGGGCAAAATATTTTAGTAGACACTTCACTAAATAAGGTATATCAATGTCAAATAAGCACCTGCGTGACATCCAGTATCATCAGTTACCAAGACAATGCAACTGAACACCACTGTGGGGCTCCACCACTCCCCTGTGGAATGGCTAAAACCAACAGCCTGGCCCCTCCACAGCTGGGAAAGGGCGTGGAAGAACTGGATTACATACTCTGCAGTGGAAACGTAAAATAGCTTCACTTTGGAAACAAGTTTGGAAGTTTCTTAAATACTAAATCATGCAACCTGTCCTGCGTCCATCCAGCCCACCCTGGATCCTCACCCAGGAGGAGTGCCGGCAGGCAGCTGTGCAGAGACTTGCACACAACTCTTTGGAGCATTTGCATCTGACTGTCAAAAACCAGAAGCAACCCTCATCTCCATCATCAGATGGATGGACACGTGCTATATGACCCTGTGGCGGAACGTTGATCAGTAGTTAAAAGAAATGGCCTCTTGATACATGGTACAACACAGATGAACCGTAACATAGTTATTCAGAGTAAAGGAAGCCAGACTAAAAAGAGTACCTTCTGTGAGATTCTGTTTACACAAAATGTGAACTACTCCACAGGGACAGAAACAAATTCATGCTCCCCTGGGGGGTGAGGAGGGAGGAGGGATGGTGGAGGGCCAAGGGGCAGAAATGAGTGTTGAGGGGAGGCAGTCCGTTCATTACCTTGATGCCGGCGATTGTTAAAACATCCAATTGTATGCTTAAAATCTATAAAATTGTACCTCAATACATCTGTTACAAACATGACAGGGTGAGTGTTATCCGGGTGTTATATAGTTCGGCTCTGTGTCCCCACCCAAATCTCCTGTTGAGCTGTAATCCCCAGTGCAGGAGGTGGGGCCTGGTGGAAGCTGGTTGGATCGTGGGGGTGGTGTCTCATGAATGGTTTTGTGCCATCCTCTTGGTGCTCGTCCCACAACAGTGAGTTCTCTTGAGATCTGGTGGTTAAGAGTGTGCAGTTCCTCCTCTCTCTCTCTCTTGCTTGCTTGCTCGCTTGCTTCTGCTCCTGCTCCTGCCATGCAAGATGCTCACTCTGGCTTCGCCTTCCACCATGACTGGACATTTCCTGAGGCCTCCCCAGAAGCAGAAGCCGCCATGCTTCCTGTACAGCCTGCAGAACCGTGAACTGATTAAACATTTTTCTTTATAAATTACCCAGTCTCAGGCATGTCTTTACAGCAATGCAAGAACAAACTAATGCAGAGTGGTGACTATGTGTGTGGAAGTGGACACGGATGTTAAAGGGGGCGCTGAGGGTCTTCATGCCTGGCAGAGTGAAGGGCCACCCTCAGCAGAGCTCCACTCTTGTCCACGTGAAGATGCCGTCAGTGACGGCAAGGCCTGTGCCCTTCTCTCCTTGGTCTTTTGATTTCTCCTGGCTTCCTCGCTGAGCTCTCTGTCTGGCTCGGCACTGCATCTGTATCTGGCCACCTCCCACGCCTGCAGAGCCTGCTGTCTGTCCTTAACCACGCCGCTCCTCAGAAGGAGGCTGTTTTGTCTTCCGCTGACTCAACTTGACCAGGAGCAACTTCTGGTGGATGGGAGCTGGGAACGCTGCATCCAGACAACCACCAAGTCTTCTGAATGATGATTTTCTTCTTCCTCTCCTGCACCTTGATGGTCGTTCACAACCCACATCTTGGCTGCTGTTTGTGAAGCGTGTTGTCTGAGGATGACAGCTCTACTGATGGTTAAGAAAGATTACAGGAAAAAGCATTTTTTTTTCCAAACAAAATTTTAAAAATGTGTTGAGCAGAGGTTTTAGTTTTGTTTTATGTTTCCACTGTACATATTCCAAGGCCAAAAAGCTATCATTTGCACCATTTTACAGCACATATTTGGCCACCTAACGTGGTTTGCTTTAACTCTCCCTGTGAGTGGCAATCATCAGGCATACGCAGGTGATCGTGGCTGACAGCCCCAGAAGACTGCAGAGCTGCGAGAAGAAGCCCACTGCACAGCCAATTTCCACGGCTATCCAGTTGGCCCTGGAGGATGCAAAGCCCTTCTCTTGGGAGGAAAATTTCCATTCATTCCCAGTCTCTTCAGGTGCGGATTCTCTTACCAAGTCTCAAGAGCCGGAGTGGGTGGGGATCCAGGGCTGAGCAAGACAGACATGTGCTGTGTTCTCTGGGAATTATTGTGAATAATCTCAGATGGTGAAAAGTTCCATGAAGAAAGTAAAAAACAGTACTGGAATAGGCCCAGAAAAGGTCACCAGCAACTCTAGTGGAGTGGCTGCTACTGCCAGGTAGAGCCAGTAAGTGCTTCCAAGGCAGACCCAGAGGGATGGAGGCGTGGGAAAGATGAGGAGCCTGGGCATTGCAAGGCAGGCAGGGACTGGAGGAGCCACCATAGCCCAGATGGAGGCCGGGAAGAGGCCTGCAGGGGCACGCACCCTCACGCCTGCAGAGCAGGACGGACAGCCTGCTGACCGGGGAGAGGGGAGAGAGACCTTGGGCAGTGTGGGGAATTAAGAACTGTGAAACGTGTACTTCATAGTTTTTTTGGGGGGTAAACTCATTATGCTGCTCATAAGAGGGCAAGATTTTATCATTCACTTTATGCATATAGATAACTTTTATAGATCATTCTTAGAACCACTCATGTTTTATCTGTATGATCTCAGGAACTACCTAGAGACCTCAATCAAATATACACTGGTTTACACTGTGTCCTTCCGACAAGAATCCTCTTCCACCTCCAGACCTGAATAAACGCTGCCTCTTTCGCCCTTCCCGGTACTTTACCCTGCGGGACTGGAGCCAGCAGCCCCTCCCTGGGGAGCACTTCCCACCCCCTCAACTGGGCGGGTGCTTAGGGGGTGTGTTCTGTGCTTCTCCACAACGCACTTTTGTGTTTCTTGCATGGTCTCCTCTGTTAGAAAGCAATGACTTCATCGACCTTGTCCATGTTATACACAAAATTCCTGCAGCACAGTAGGCATGTAACAACACAGACTTCATGCGTGAACACAAATTATGATGTCCAGGTATCTTCAACAGCAAAGGGTATTCACCTGGGGAGAAATATGGAGTCTATGTGTTGTTGTGAAGGGCAGATGGAGAACGAGTGCATAAACAGCACAGTAAAACCCAGGCCTATTAGAACATGGAACCACAGTCATCACTGGAATCTGCAGTCACAGCGGAAGCCCCATCACGGGGGCTCAGAGGTGAAGCGGGAAGAAGCTCGGCTGAAAGGAAAGCTCGGTGGAGGTGAGCCACTGACGTTTCACACTGAGAAATACGGCAGGTGGGCAGTGCCATTGACACTTTACACTGAGAAATATGGCAGGTGGGCAGTTCTGAGGCGAGTGCAAGCTTCCCCATCCACAGTGAAGCTCAGGTCTTCCACAGCAACTCCTGGTTGCCTTCCCGGTCTTCTGGACTCTGAGCACTCCACGACCTCACTTGTCAGCTTGTAAACTGTTGCAGGAATCTTGTGCTTCACAATCTGGAAGGGCATGGTAATAGTTATCATATGTGACTTCAAATTATTTTTATCTTGGGAAAGGAAAACTTTGACCAAGAAATCATTACATATTTATTTTAACATTTCTTGAATAGAAACACATTTTCTTTGTTTGATTTTGCCCTTCAGCTAGTATTTTGGAAGAGTTGAAAGAAAAAGACTTTGGAAAATATAAAAGGGAGCAGGATTTTTTTTTAATATGTTGGAAATATTTAAACTTTCAACTCTCTTGGAATTTTATCAGAAATATCATCCTGAGGCTTCAAATCTATTGTTAATTTGATGAGTCCAAGCTTTTTCTATAATGAATTATGCTTATATTCTCTAGGAATTCCTGCGTGTGCTTCCGTAAATTGTAGAAGCAAATTTTACCCTGAGTTCTTTCAGAAAAATAGCAGTAGAGGAGACAGGCCCCAAGGAAGAGTGTGTCCTTATTTAAGGCAAGTTTTCTAGTCTGTTTTATTTATTTACCATCACATCTCACGTAGGCATCATTAGGATCTCCTCTGTTTTATGAAGGTGAAACTGAAGCTTAGAAATATCAATTAATAACTGAGAGTGGGAGCCTCAGGCCTTGTGAGCTGTGTGAAAAGGGAAGTGGATACTGGGAGTGAAATCAATCAGCGCCAATCCAGCCTAAGATGAGATGAGTACCCTGAGCTGAGTGTGGGAGGAGTCCCATCTCTAAAACTAGTGAACTGTGGTGTGTGGAACCGGGATGAAACCATATGAGACACACAGTTGGAAGACTTCCAAACTCTACACACAAACAAGCCAATATTTGCATTGATAGCATAGCCACAAGTGCCTACTAAAACAAAGTCCAGTTCCTACCAGAGTGAACCAGAAGATCCGACCTCCCCTCCCTACCAAGGATGTCTGTCAGCAGCTCACATCTGATCTTGACCCCACAGCTTGAAAACTTCCAGTGCTCCCTGTATCTCTTAACATACAGCATGGAATGCTCAGGGTAGCACATGAAGGCCTTTCCCTCTGACTGCTCATCTTTCCAGCTCCTCCTCCTCCTGCTAATCTTTCCCCTCTCACCTTCCCTGCATCCTCACTGAGTTCCCGAGTTTATTTTAAAACCTGTGTCAGTCTTACGACTCATAAATATCTCTCCTGTATACCATGATTATAACCTCATTGATTTGTTTATTTCCATTTATTTCTCTAAACCAAAACCTTCTTCAATTTTGAATTCATGCCACAGGGATGTCCTGTTTCCAGCTCTGGGGGGTATAGGGTGGCATGGAGTTGTGGGTGATGTGGGAGGAGAGTGAACAGAGAAGACAAATTTATGCTACATCTCTTGTATGAATGGATTAGTCCAGTTTCATGCTGCTATGAAGAAATACCTGAGACTGGGTAATTTATAGTGAAAAGAGGTTTAATTGACTCAGTTCTGCATGGCTGGAGAGGTCTCAAGAAACTTACAATCATGGCAGAAGGGACCTTTTCACAGGGCTTTAGGAGAGAGAATGAGTGCAGGCAGGGGAAATGCCAGATGCTTATAAAACCATCATATCTGGTGAGACTCACTCATTATCAAGAGATCAGCATGGGGGAAACTGCCCCTATGATTCAATTACCTCCATCTGGTCCCACCCTTGACAAGTGAGTTATCATTGACAAGTATATTATTGACAATATTATTATTAACAAGTATTATAATTCAAGGTGAGTTTTGGGTGGGGACACAGCCAAACCATATTCTTCCACCGATGGCTCCTCCCAAATCACATGTCTTTTCACATTTCAAAACCAGTCATGCCTTCCCAACAGTCCTCCAAAGTCTTAACTCATTTCAACATTAACTCAAAAGTCCACAGTCCAAAGTCTCATCTGAGACAAGGCAAGTTCCTTCCACTTTTGAGCCAGTAAAATCAAAAGCAAGGTAGTTATTTTCTAGATAGAATGGGGGTACAGGCATTGGGTAAATACACTCATTCCAAATGGAAGGAATTGGCCCAAACCAAGGGGCTACAGGCCCCATGCAAGTCTGAAATCCAGTGGGGGAGTCATTAAATCTTAAAGCTACAAAATGATCTCCTTTGACTCCATGTCTTACATCTGGGGCATGCTGATGCAAGAGGTGGGCTCCCATGGCCTTGGGCCACTCCTTAACGGGTTGGCATTGAGTGCCTGTGGTTTTCCAGGCACATGGTACAAGCTGTTTGTGGATCTACCATTCGTGGGTCTGGAGGATGGTGGCCCTCTTCTCACAGCTCTACTAAGCAGTGCCCCAGTGGGGACTCTGTGTGGGGCTCCAACCCCACACTTCCTTTCCACTTTGCCCTGGCAGAGGTTTTTCATTAGGGCTCCAACCCTGCACCAAACTTATGCCTGGACATCCAGGCATTTCCATACTTCCTCTGAAATCTAGGTGGAGGTCCCCAAACCTTAATTCTTGACTTGTGTGTACCCACAGACTCAACACCACGTGGAGGCTGCCAAGGCTTGGAGCTTGTACCCTCTGAAGCAATGGCTTGAGGTGTACCTCAGCCCCTTTGAGCCATGGCTGGAATGCAGTGCACCAAGTCCTGAGACTGCACAAAGCAGCAAGGCCCTGGGCCTGGCATATGACACCATTTTTTCCTCCTAGGCCTCTGGGCCTGTGATGGGAAGAGCTGCTGTGAAAGTCTCTGACATGCCCTGGAGACATTTTCCCCATTGTCTTGGTGATTAACATTTGGCTTCTCATTACTTATGTAAATTTCTGCAGCTGGCTTGGATTTCTCCTCAGAAAATGGGTTTTATTTTTCTATAACATTGTTAGGCTACACATTTTCTGAACGTTTATGCTCTGCTTCCCTTTTAAACATAAATCCCAATCCAAACCATATCTTTGTGAATGCATAAAACTGAATGCTTTTAAGAGCACCCAAATGACCTCTTGAACACTTTGCTGCTTAGAAACTTCTTCCACCAGATACCCTAAATTATCTCTCTCAAGTTCAAAGTTCCACAGATCTCTAGGGCAAAGTCAAAATGCCACCAATCTCTTTGCTAAAGCATAGTAGCAGTCACCTTTATTCCAGTTCCCAACAAGTTCCTCATCTCCATCTGAGACCACCTCAGCCTGCATTTCATTGTCCATATCACTATCAGCATTTTGGTCAAAGCCATTTAACAAGTCTCTATGAAATTTCAAATTTCCCCACATCTTTCTGTCTTCTTCTGAGCCCTCCACACTGTTCCAACCTCTGCCTGTTACCCAGTTCCAAAGTTGCTTCCACATTTTTGGATATCTTTATAGCAGCACCCCACTCTCTGCACTACCAATTTACTGCATTAGTCCATTCTCACCCTGCTATGAAGAAATACCCTATACTGGGTAATTTATGAAGAAAAGAGGTTTAATTGACTCATAGTTCTGCATGGCTGAGGAGGCCTCAGGAAACTTACAATCATGGCAGAAGTCACCTCTCCACAGGGCAGCAGGAGAGAGAATGAGCATAAGCAGGAGAAATGCCAGATGCTTATAAAACCATCAGATCTCATGAGACTCACTCATTATCAAGAGACCAGCATGGGGGAAACTGCCCCCATGCTTCAGTTATCTCCACCTGGTCCTGCCCTTGACAAGTTAGGATTATTACAATTCAAGGTGGGAGTTGGGTAGGGACACAGAACCAAACCATATCAATTAATGATAATGAAAATATAGTGTTTAATATTTCATTATACATATCTTAAATGCTTCTTGTTGAAAATGAAAAATGTGGAAATATACGGAAAATAAACTACAAATAACTGCACTTCTACCCTGTAAAAGCAAATATACACACGGGGTCAAGGAGAGCTTTCCCATATAATAGGCAAAATGGGAAAAGAATAAGGCCTTGAGTTGTTTGCCAGCTCAGTGTAATTCAAAGGAGTTCTGTGGCCACCCCTAAATTAAATGCTACTCTGAGGAGACAAACTGGCTTCATTCTGTGCCTTATCTGACCACATTCTGTGAGCTGAGCACTGAGTTAGACACTAGAGACCTAAAGGTAAGTTGCTGTGCTCCACTATTTTTCATGTCTTCATTATTGTATTAAGTAATCGATGACTTATAAAATGTATTGACAAACTGAAGCACGTTTTAAGAAAGCTCATCCATATATGATGAAGACTCTTGAATTAGTCCTCTAAGCAGATTTGGTGGAAATAGGGATGTGAAGCTTCCAAGAGGAAGGATTGAAGGGGTCAGTGTGATGGACACCCAGATATGAAAAGCATGGAACATGGGAGAGAGGGTGTTTCATTCTGGGTTGTTTCAGAGGGGCTGGCCTGTCCTGGCATTTGGAAGCTTAAGAAAAGCAACGTTCAGCTCAGTGAGGTTGACTGCTGGCCTATCACCCTCACAGGTCACAGGTCACAGGGGAGGAGGCCAGGAGCTCCTACCCCACCATGGATACCGCAAAATCTCAACAGCAACTGACCAAAAGGATGAAGTGTGTGCTTGGTCAACTGGACTAGATTATTTTTTAAGAATTATTCAGGGACCTGATTCTTGCTTATCTTAAATATCTTTGCAATTGATAGTGGATTATTTGGAAAAAAGTGTAGTGGTATAAACATTCTTAAAACTGTTATAAATTATTCCTGTGTATGTATCTTTGCCTGATACTCTGCCAAATTATCATCATTTGCTCATTATCTGACATAACCTAATTCTAAGGGTTATCCTATTCTAGACCCGTTTTGCATGTTTGTGTCTTGACACTGCACAGCCTACATCTCATCACTTGGATTCAGGGCAAAAGAGATTTGTTTTACCTTGGTCAAGGCTAAGTCTGAGGACATGCCTGGTCTCCTGCCATTGACTCATCTTCAAATTTATTGTTTTATTTAAATGATAATTAGTTTTATGATAGGCAGATTAGATTTGTGTATAGTGTTATAACTCCTAACAGTTCCACTCCTTAAATGAGCAATGTCAAGAATTTATTTTTGTTGCAAGACTTAAAATTACTCTAGGAAATAATTTTAATGCTGAGGGTATGCACATTTCGTATCTTATTTGCTATACACAATTTTCAGAAGGCTGCAATGCTGAGAAAATTAAATGTCAAAGAACAGCTATTCTTGAAAAAAAAAAAACTCATTTCTTTCTGTTGATTCATTAAAGACAAAATATAAAAATTTCCCATAACACTTTCAGGAGCAAAATTACTATTTATCTTTTTAAACGGATTTTTAACAAATTATTTGAGGGCCTGGAATTTACAGTAGATTTAAATGAATGTCCTCTCTGTTGTCACTCTTTTATATAGAAATGAGCCCCTGACTTGTGGAATCGGAGAAGGAGAGTAAATGTTTATGTCTGAACAGCAATTCCACCAAAAATACTGGGTTGGAAAAATATGGAATGCCAACATTCCAGTGGGAATTCCTGCTCCACATTCATTGGGAAAGATGTGGAGGCTCATTTACATTCTTTATGTTTTCCCAACTCCCATAAGCTTTCTTTCCTTTGTTTGTTTTTGTACTTAAGGAAAGGTTACTTTTTCTGAGGTATTGCGGGGGGTGGGAGCGGGTAGAGGAGTGAAAGAGGGGAGTTTGGGAGTGATTTGAAAACCTACCAACAAGCATTGGTTTTGCAGTTGTTCCCTGTCTTTTCTTTGCTGTCAGCAATCAGAGACAGCTGGTATTTTTCCTTTCCATCTCTCCCTGCCCAGTGTGCATTCCTCCATCCCAGCTTCTTTCACTCCTGCTGCTCACAAGCCAACATGGAAAGCCTCTTACAAATCCTGCAAGGCACTGAATGGAAACTGTTTTCCCTCTTTGTAGTTTCTTGGAGCTACACACTTTGTTTCAGTGTGTTTAAAAGTAACTTACAGGCCAGGTGTGGTGGCTCACGCCTGTAATCTCAGCACTTTGGGAGGCCGAGGCAGATGGATCACTTGAGGTCAGGAGTTCGAGACCAGCCTGGCCGACACAGTGAAACCCCACCTCTACTAAAAATACAAAAAGCTAGCCGGGCATGATGGCAGGCACCTATAATTCCAGCTACTTGGGAGGCTGGGGCAGGAGCATTGCTTGAACCTGGGAGGCGGAGGTTGCAGTGAGCCGAGATCGCGCCACTGCACTCCAGCCTGAGTGACAGAGCAAGACTCTGTCTCAAAAAAAAAAAAAAGTAACTTACATATTGTTGACACATAAGCAGACTTTAGTGACTCATTTTAAAATGGGTTCTCTGTTTCTAATTCTTTAGGTTTTAAGATATGCGGCCGGGCACGGTGGCTCACACCTATAATCCTAGCACTTTGGGAGGCCGAGGCAGGAGGATTGCCTGAGTTCAGGAGTTCGAGACCAGCCTGGGCAACACAGTGAAACCCTGTATCTACTAAAATACAAAAAAAAAAAAAAAAAAAAAATTAGCCAGGCATGGCAGCATGCACCTATAGTCCCAGCTACTCGGAGGCTGAGTCAGGAGAATTGCTTGAATCCAGGAGGCGGACGTTGCAGTGACCTGAGATGGCACCACTGCACTCTGGCCCAGGTGACAGAGTAAGACTTTGTCTCGAAAAAAAAAAATGCATTTCTCATCTCAACTGGTAGTGTTTCATTATGGTAAGCAGGTACTAGTGTTACTGGAAAGGGGTCCCAATCCATACTCCAAGAGAGGGTTCTTGGATCTCGTGCAAGAAAGAATTTGAGGTGAGTCCATACAGCAAAGTGAAAGCAAGTTTATGAGGAAAGGAAAGGAATAAAAGAGTAGCTACTCCATACACAGAGCAGCCCTGAGGGCGGCTGGTTACCCATTTTTATGGTTATTTCTTGATTATATGCTAAACAAGGGGTGAATTATTCATGCCTCCTCTTTTCAGACATATAGGGTAACTTCCTGGTGTTGCCATGGTACTTGTAAACTGTCATGGTGCTGGTGGGAGTGTAGCCGTGAGGACGACCAGAGTCACTCACGTCACCATCTTGGTTTTGGTGGGTTTTAGCCAGCTTCTTTACTGCAACCTGTTTTACCAGCAAGGTCTTTATGACCTGTGTCTTGTACCAACTTCGTATCTTATCCTGTGACTCAGAACGCCTTAACCGTCTGGGAATGCAGCCCAGCAGGTCTCAGCCTTGTTTCACTCAGGCGTATTCAAGATGGAGTTGCTCTGGTTCAAACAGCTCTGACACTAGTGTACCCTGAGCTATCTGGAAAACTCCGAAATTATGTTGATAGTACCTTCTAATAAAGTAGTCGTTTTCATACACACCATGATTTCAGTACGAAGTGTGTATTTAAACACATTTGTAAATTGTCTGATGTAGTTATCGTTATAGAGCTCATAATTTTCAGCCTTTCTTATAGAACTGACAAATACTAGAACATAGTCATTCCGTAGCTATAGCTGTAGATTTGCAAATGTTAACAACGTTTAAAAATGATTAGGGACATCATTCAAATTGAAACATTCAGAGATATCTATGAAAATGGTCAAAAAACCTGCTCATGAGCAAATGTTGTGTGGCTCTCACTACGGTCCCTGGCTCCCGGCACAGCTTTGAGGAGAGGCAGTCTCACAAGAGAAGGTGCTTAGGAGAGGCATATGGCTCACACATTACTGCAGGCCACTGTAAAGCATATTTAGAGAAAGAAATTAAGTGGACTTCTTGTACTAAAGGACTTGAGAATTTGGGGAAATACATAATTGGCAAGATGGAGTCTGGCACTCCGGAGCTCAAGTCTTTGTGTTCATTTCCTGTTTGTAGAGTAATGTCTTCCTGTGCGTATGAAATGGTGCTGGATTCCAATATTGATTGTTAGCTGAAAAACGTTTCCTGAATCGTGTGCCCTGTGCTATCCTAAGTCAAGTGCAGACAGGGAGATTCATTAGTATATTGCTGAGTGTAAAATACATTTGCACGTTTTGTTTGCTGGGAGCTTAAGTGAATTTTTTATTTAACTATTTCTACTGGTTATAAAAGTCATCATTTGTGAAACCCAGTTCAGGGTATGAATTCAGTGAAAAAGCTAACAGTGCTGTCATTTTGGAGTCAGGGGTGTTGGTGTTTGGGAAGGAGAGTATATATCAAGGCTCTTCTCTAAATATCTTTAAATGTCTGTCTCCCAGGAACATTGCATCAGCTGACCACCTGTGGTTGGGTGGAGCCATGTGCCTAGGTCTGGCCAGCGATGTGTATCATTTCTAGTCGGAGCATTTAATCGCAGGAGTGAAATTGTCAAGAACTCTCTTTCTGCCAACATGGTGGGTAGCAAAATTCAAAACGATGGCTTCCCTGTTGACCAGGTATTTTTGCTTCCCTGATGAGCACAGCCCCCTGCTGACCTGAAATACACTGTGTAGACTGAGTGAAAAATAACCTTTCATAGTTTGAACGTAGTATGTTTTGTGGGAATTGTTACTTAACACATAGTAACCTTAGTCCATGCTGCCAATACAAAAATCGGTTCCTAGATGTGGGCTGCTGCCTGAAAGTATCAGGCACTAGATTAGGATACAGGCAGTGAGCAGTGAGAAAGCTGTTGGGGAAACCAGCCCCACATCACCCGGCGGGTACCCCGAGTCCAGCGGAGACAAAGGAGTTAGAAAGAGACAGAATAAGAGTCTAAAAGGCGGGTCCAGGGGACCGGAGCTGGAGGCTTGCTGACGGCCCCGAGCTCTCGGCCTCCACCCAATTTATTGGTTTACAAGCTCTTTGTTCTTAGGGCAGATGGGAGGGGTAGGAAGGGATGAGGAAAAGGATTAATCGGTGAAGAAGAACTCGTGAGTCCTTCAATAAGATGTACAGCAGTGGCGGTTTCTGTGAATTTCCTTGAGCAAAGGCGTGTGTCTAAACTACTTAAGATCTTTAACCTATCGGGACTGAAATGGCGGGGAGCGGGTTTCAGGAGAAGCCAAGATGTTTGATTATACTCCACAGCTTCAAGGGAGGGTTATGTCCCCGAGCAACCTGTGGCATGCTGCTGAGCTGTTCCGCCCTCGGGCATAAAGACATGAAGGCAACAAGGAGACTTTTCTCCTCAGAGGCCGCCCATGGCTCCCCATGGGTGTCTCACACAGGGGCGACCAACTCATCTGGCATCCCAGAAACTCTTTCCCACAAAAGCTGGTATTGGAAATGCGGAGGTAGCAGCCCCGTTACATGGTGGTGAGGCATTTGGCAACACCAGCACCAGTGACGAAATGAAAGGAAGATGATGTACCTTGTAATAGTCACTCTAGGAGAGGCTGCAGGAGACAGGCTGTCTGTAGCATGCTTTGGTTACCTATTAGCTGTATTTGACACGGTCCAACAAAACAAACAAAAAGGTAAAATGAGACAAGTGATCAGTTTGCGCGGGGAAATCCAGAGATCTCAGGAGTGTGCAGACCCTGGGACTTGCAGGGTTGGAAGAGTCAACTGCTTCTCATGCTCAAATTATAACAGTTAAATAAAGAAAAAAAGCAGGAAAAAGACAACAAACAAGAGGGCCTTGGAGAGAGAGAGCCTAATTAAAACCAACCCTGATGCAAAGAACAAATCCAGACCCAGTCGCCACTCCTGGTGTGAAAACTTCTGAATGAATTATGAAGCTTCAGAGCTAAGGCACAGCCCAGGTTTCAGTTCCAGTGAGGCCTGTATGTTGCACAAAAATGGTCTTTGAAAAGGGAGACGGGGGTGTGGCTCTCCCACTGAAGCCTGAGGCCTAACACAGAGAAAGAGTTGCTGGAGAAGAACACACAGAAATATACCAAATCTAAGAGGTGTGTCTGCAAAAGGAGTGTGGATGTGGCAGTTGGTACATGGATCTGTCTAGAATCAAATAAATGAGAGATTTACGAAGTTTTTAAGAGAAATACACACCCCAAAACAACACAGCAAGATAAAAACATGTGCCTGGATTTTAATCTCTGACTTATTTTATCTGAACGTGTCCTTGCACTGCCAGACTTTTCTAGGGAAGGAGCTCACCGTGGGCTGTGTGGGCCCAGGGGAGGCTCATCCCAGGTCACACTTCAGAGGTGACCATGGAGGATGGGGAAGAAGGCCCTGCCGGGCAGCCCAGGGACAGCAAGAGCCCACCCTGGCAGGAAAGGGCTTCCTAGGGAGGAGGGCCAGGGCCTTATCAAGAATCGTGTGCCTCAGGCTATGAGGGTTCCCACGGAACACTGCCTACTGTACCTCTTGGGTCTTCCTGTCTCTCTGTTCCACCACTGTGTGGGGCTGCAGAGAGGCTCTGGCCCCTGTGTCCGGCTCACAGACTCTGTTGGCATCAGATTGAGGGACTGGCACATACTGTCCTTAGCTGCTGCCTCCCTCAGAGATGCTGGGCCATGGTCATGGCTGATGTTTCTCCAAGTGTTCCTGGGTCTTGGCCTTCCAGGCACAGGTAGGATAGGAGTTACCAGCTTCCTTCAGCTTGGGTGGACACCAGGACCGCATCAGGCAGCTGGGTGGTGATGAGCAGCATTGACCTGGGGTGCATTGTGGACTCCAGCACAGAACAGCCAAGGTCTGAGCCCTGTGTCCTCAGAGGTGCTGAGCAGAGGCCCCCAGAAACTGAGCGTGAGGGAGACAGGAGCAGAGGCTGTGAAGGCAGAGGCAAGGGCACCTGCTGTCACCAGGCACAGTCTCCCCTGTCTTGAAATGTAGGTGTGGAGTGGGGGACAGGGTTACAGATTTTGTTTTGCTTCTGCATTGATAAAGTTAGCAGATAATCATTGGTTCCATGGTTCCAGGCTTTCATAAATGTGAGGGCTGTGTTCTCCCGATGTTACACAAGCTTCCGGATTCCACGTGATGATGATTGTACTTTTATGTATTCACTGCACAGATTTGCTTCGTGTTCACATAGATTAAAGAATCTTCACAAACACTCAGGGGCAGGATTGGACCCACTGGTCAGGAGGAAGAAACTCAAGTACCTTCCACTGCCAGGTTTGCAGTAAGAGCTGCAGCTGCCCAGCAAGGCTGTTGGGATCTTGATGACACAGCGGTCAGTGCCCTGTAGGGAGCCCGGTTCAGGGCTGCTGCTTCTTGTTTTCCAAGAGAGACTCAAAATTCAGATTATTTCATGAGAAATACTTTGACTTTTAAAATAAACGAATGAGTGACTAAACGAATGGATGAGTGGGCGCCAAGTTGTGCTCTGTCTCTGGGCTCCCAGAAGGGATGAGATGGAGAAACCTTTAAACTGAGTGAAGAAAATAAAGTCTGGCTTCAGGGATTTTGTGTCTTATTTTTGGTTGGTTGGTTTGGTTGGTGGATCTTGGCTAGGTGGGAATTTTTAATATATGTAAGGATTATGAAAAATGACACTCAAATTATACCAATTTCCCAATATAATTTAAGGTATTTTTTTCCTTCAGTATTTAAAGAGTTTGTTGACTTGCATTACCCACATTTTCCAGATACATGACTTAGTTTTTAAATTAACTTTAAAAGGCATTAATGCCACTACAAAAACATGAATGTTTGATCAACTTCCTCCTGATTTTACTCATCACTACAAGGTGAGAATTTTATGATGGCATTAAATATTCTTCGAATTTGTGATTTTTAACTGTAGCAAGACGTTATTGCACGTGTGTGTCAGTTTCTGTGTGTGTTGGAATGTGTCAGTCATTCTTTTAATAATTATATTGTTTTATTGAACGCGTGTGTCAGTTTCTATGTGTGTTGGAATGTGTCAATCGTTCTTTTGATGATTATGTTGTTTTATTACATGTGCGTGTGAGTTTCTGTGTGGGTTGGAATGTGTCAATCATTCTTTTGATAATTATGTTATATTGCATGTGTGTTAGTGTCTGTGTGTGTTAGAATGTGTCAATCATTCTTTTTTTGATGATTATGTTGTTATATTGCATGTGTGTGAGTTTCTGTGTGTGTTGGAATGTGTCAATCATTCTTTTGATGATTATGTTGTTTTATTGCATGTGTGTGGAGAGTTTCTGTGTGGGTTGGAATGTGTCAATCATTCTTTTGATAATTATGTTGTTATATTGCGTGTGTGTTAGTGTCTGCGTGTGTTAGAATGTGTCAATCATTCTTTTTTTGATGATTATGTTGTTTCAGTTTGCTAAGGCTACCAAAACAAAGTACCACAAACTTTGTGGCTTAAAATTAAAATGTATTGTCTCACAGGTCTAGAGCTTGCAGTTCAAGATCAAGGTGTCAGCAGGGCTCTTTCTGAGGACCACGAGGGGATCTGCCCCAGGCCCCTGCTTGAGTCTCAGGGTTTGCCGGTAATCTTTGGTGTCCATGGCTGTTAGAAACATCACCCCCATCTCTCCTTCAATTGCATGTGGCATTCTCCCCAACCATCTCTGTGTCCAAATTTCCCTTTTTCATAAGGACATTAGTCATGCTAGATTAGAGCCCCTCTAATGACTTTGTGTTGATTTGATTACCTCTATAAAAACCCTAACTGTAATATACGTCCTAAGGCAGTGGGGATTAGCACTTTAACATATGAATTTCTGGGGAACACAATTCAACCGTTGACATAGGGCAATTAAAATATCTTTAGTGTTACACATAGCATTGTAATAAACACCATTTACATAAATTTTTGATGAATTTTTAAATTATTTCCTTATTATAGATTTTTAAAAGTAGGAATATTAGGCCAAATTACATGACTACATAAAGGTTCATGGTATGTAAATAGCCTTTCAAGAAGGATCTGTTAATGTTCACTTCCAGCCCCATTTAGTGTTGGATTTGGGTGATTTGATGTGTATCATCCAATGGTCGTCTATAGAGTCTTATTATTATTTTATTGTGTGTTTATTTGGCTTCTAGAGAGGTTGCAATATATCACATGATTCTATGGCTTCAGAGAAGGAATTTATATTCATTCTGATGTTCTATAAGATGGGAATGCCTTAATTTGGCTTTGTTCTTATTAATAGAGCTAGTAACAAGGCTCTGTTGAGTCTCTATCTTCTGATAACTAAAATAAGAACATTTTAGTCACCAGTCGGTAATTGGGAAATACTTTCGACTGGAAAAACAGTCATATCCCCGTTATTCAGTCCATTTTAAAACATTGTAGTATATCACTACCTTTTACATTTCACAAATATATTCATACGTAGGTATGTATATATGTACATATTTATATGATTGCATACATATATGAGTATATGCATATACATTGTCTTTATCTAGAGACTTCTTATTCTGAAGTAAGTTTAGACTCATAGAAGTGTTAGAAGTGTTGTGAAGGTAGCCCAGAGAGTTCCTGTGTACTGTTTATCCTGCTTCCCCTAATGCTAAAATCACAAATAATCATGGTACAAACATCAAACTAAAAAATTAACATTGGTACCATACTATTAACTAAAGCACAAGCTCAACTCTTAATTTCTCAGTTTTCCACAACTGCCCCTTTTCTGCCCCAGGATCCAATACAGAATCTCATATTGAGGGAAGCTATGCGTCATCAGTCTCCAGCTGTGATGATGCCTCAGCCTTCTTTGTCTCCCATGAACTTGAAATTTTGAAGCAGCTCTGGTCAGTCTTTTCTAAAGTGTCCTATGAATGTTAGTTGGTCAGATTGTATAATAGGGTCATTTATATCGTCTCTATCCATGCTGATGTTTTGTCTTTCTGTTCCATCAATAACTCAGAGACAAGTACTGGCTTGTGTAACTGCAATTGCAAAACCGACCTGTGAAGTTCTATTAGTTTTTAAGTCTCACATATTTTAAAGGGGTATCGCTAGGTGCCTGCATATTTAGGGTAGTTTTATCTTCTTGAAAAATTGGTTGCTTCATTATTATGCAACATTCCTCTTTGTCCCAGGTAGGTTCCTTTTTCTGAAGTCTACCTTGATATTAATATAGCTGCTCCAACTCTCTTTTAGTTAGTGTTTGTGTGGTGTATCTTTCTGCAGCTTTTCACTTTAACTTATTTATGCCTTTATACTTAAAGTGAATTTCTTACAGAAAGACTGCAGTTGAGTCTTTTGCTGTTTGATCCAATCTGGAAGTCTTTGTCTTTTAACAGACATGTTTAGAGTATTCACCTTCGAGGTTATAGTTGATGGAATTGAATGAAAATCCAACATTTTGTTTACTGTTTTCTATTTGTTCTATTTATCCGTATTTGATTTTCTTTTGTTTTCTGCCGTCCTTTGGGTAAAGCGAGATTTTAAAAAAAATGATTCTGTTTAATCTCCTTCATTAACGTATTATTTATAAACATATAAAATTATTTTCCAAGGGTTTGTAATACATATGCTCAATGAATCTTCGTTGATACTGCCTCGCATTGTAGTTGTCCATTCCCCGTTCTAGTGATTCACAACAGCATTGCAATCACAGCCTCACTTACCGCTCCCAGCTCCCATGCTGATGCCAGTGGTGTGTGTGGAATTTGCCTTGTGCACCTGCCCAGAGCCAGATTTGAGTGACAGGTCCATCTTCCTCTCTGCCTGGCAATGCCACAGCAGGGCTCTTTCTCTGCTAGAATGGTCCATTCAGCAGAATGCTGATGATGTTGGCACCCAACCAGAGATTGAGACCTAAACCTTCACCATCCTTCACTAGCCATCCTGGGGCACCCTCCCCACACACAAAGCCCACTCCTCCAGCTTCTAGGTTAGGGGAGAATGCAGTGTCCCCTCCCCACTCACAGGTGAAGGAAGTGTGCATGTGTGGTGTGGTAGAGGGGATGGAGTAGAACTCACCAGAAAGCCAACCTGTATCTCCCTCCTAGTTGTGTTGTCCCACAGTGGGAGGGTGCATGCCCGCCTGCAAAGGGTGTGTGGCGGAGGGTACTGGAATATTGGTGATTTGTGACCCATAGCAGGCCACAGACCAAGTGGCCCCGTGGGATGGTGGCAGGCCCCAGAAGCTGGGCTTGTTGAGTGTTCACATCTCAGAGCCCATCATGAACAGTGTAACAGCTCTCTCCAGGGTTGGGAGGACAGGAAGCACCTCCCTGAGCCCACCATGGGCTCAGGACAAAATGAATTTACTTTGTAATTTCCCTTAGTCAGTGTTAGGTCGTGATGGGATGGTCCTCCTGGTCCTCCTGGAGAAACTCAGGACATGCCCACAGGACTGGACACTTGAAGGATTTTGGCAACTCTTGATTTAATTAGATGCTGCTAAGGCTCAACTCCATGACTCCACAATTAACTGATTAGAGACTGAAGAGTCTTCAGTGCTGCTATTTTCATAAATGTTAATTTAACGTAATTTTGCTGGTCTTTTTTTATGAAAAATAGGCACGACTAGACATTCATTTTCTGTTTCTGAGGCAGTCACCTACGAAAAGCCTCAGCACTGGAGATGCCAAGGCAGCCGTGAGCCATTCTGGGTGAGAAACACCTTCTAGCAGGGCCCTGGGGCCACAGCGCGGTGGGTGTCCCCTGGCTTAGACATCTGCTTCTGCTTCTGCTTCTCTTTGCTTCTACATTCAAAATCTTCTTGCTTTGGTTGTATGAATCACTTTTCTATTCGCCTTTAGAAACCACTAAAAGTGATGTGCTTTCCCTCGTATGGTGTGGGTTCCAAATACACTGAGTGACTTAGTGGGTCTTTAAATGGAAGAAATGGAATTGTACATACTCTTAATTTTAAACAATGTGAAAATATTTTTGCTGTATCCCACGTTTAGTTACACACAGAAAAACAGCACAAAAGTATAAGAGATATGTAGTTTCGCAAGGCTTTTTGTTGTTATGTTTAGTTGGATATATTTCTAATGAAGCACAAAGACCTCTACATATGAATACTTATGTTAACTATTGTCTAAACTCGAATAACGCAACAAAATCAATATCCTAAAATATTCTCCCAAAATCCAGACAATGTATAATTTTGTATGTATCAAGATGTTCAAATTTACTCATAGATTTTTGGGGGGTGGAAGGAAGGTGAAGAGGTTCCTCAAGAGAACATTTTTAAAATTGGAATCAGCTGTTAATTTGAATATAGGTGTAGTTGTAAATGAAAGAATGATTTCTAAAATGACATGAATGTAACATGTGTATCCTTTTAAGTTAGAAAAAAACACAGTTGAAGGTCATACATCCAGGTCAGCTTTAAAATTAATAAGTATAAAAACCATCTTCTTCCTTGCCAGCATTTGTGAGCCAGATGCAGCGTAGAACATAATCTGCCCGTGCAGGGAATGACAGTGTGAATGTGCGTATTATCGAGGTGAAGTCAGTCCCGTCAGCAATGATGGGCCCAACTGTCCCTGCCCGTCTTTGCTCCAACGTCCTAAAATACACCTCAAGTCTGGCACTGTTTTTAAACTCCTTCTATGATGGGTCTTCGTGTCCAGCAACAAGCTGGAGCGGCCTGGTGTGGTATGTGGGTCACGACTCAATTGCTTCAATCCCTTTCTTCCCTGAGCAATCCCCGCTCTCCCAGGTGCAACTGGTCAGTTCAATGAACCTGACCTTCACTGTATTCTAAGCACGCCAGACACACTGAAATCTCCTCCTCATCCTCTCTTGGGAAATTTCTACTCAACGTTTAATAAAGAATCTGAGTGCTGCCCCCTCGATGGGTCTCCCAGAGCCCCGTGCTGTCTTTGCATTCCTGCTGCAGCTCGTGCATCCTTTCCTGTCACCTGTGTTTCGTTCTCCAAATGCTACTCCTGCGTGGGACATATTGATGGTGTCCTGCAGGAAGGGGCTGAGGCACTATAAATAGGGAATCCATTTCTAGCTCTACTCCAAGTAGGACACAGTCCTTCTCAGACAAGCATACTAGAACTCACTATTCCTCACCAGCTCCTCAGAGTGCCGAGGCTCAGGCTTCCCCAGAAAGCATGCAGACCAAGTGCACATGGACCACAAACTGAGAGCTGCAATAGTCCTGAGCCCCAGCTGGGAATCCTCAGAGCCTGCTGGAAAGCACAGTTCTTCATAGACATCAGTGAACTGAAGGCTTCCTGTGGAGCTCGTGGATGATGAAAGGACACTGGTCCTGATGGGCAGGGATGCTTGGTGTGTAGTTCTGTAAAGACGTTGGGACTCACGGGACTCCATCCGTCCAAGCGGGCCCAGCTGGGCCTCCCCTGAGACTTGGGCCTTAGTAGGTGCCTATCATTTCTTCTGGTGCAGATTCAGGCCTGTGAGTGAATATGACCACATAACCTGTGCTTCCCGGGAGGTTCTGGACACATTCCAGTTGTTGCTCTGTCTCCTACTTCTGCAGCCAGACTTCTCACAAGTATTGACTGCATACATTGTGTCAATAATGATGACTTCAGCAGCATCTAACCAAACCAAATTACAGCAGCCTCACCAAAAAAGATGTGTTTTCGGGGAATAGAAAGTTCAGAAGCAAACAGTCCAGGGTGATTGCAGCTGTTCAGGGAATTCACCCAAGGCCCCGGCTCCCTCCCACTTTCTGCTCCATTGAAGGGTAAAGGTCTCTTGCAGATGGACCCACTTCACCCTGAGCTGACCTTGGGCTTATTACCTGTGTTCTCGTTTTTACCAGGCTAGTTGCTGTAATGTTGCTTAAAAACTAATGCTAGGGGCTATAAACTTGCAAACGTAATTTTGTGCCAGACATAAATTTCTAACCATATGCTAGAATTGCTCAAATTGTGTCTATTTTTTCTCAAGAAAACTTGGCTGCCTATCCATTGCTTATGGAATAAAATAGAATCTCCCTCATTTGTTATTTAAAGACTTTTTGAGCAAACTTCTCCCCCTTGCGAGGTTTACCTCAAGTAAACGCCGTCACGTCCTCCACACCCCAGAGGAACTGACCTCCACGCTCCTCAGTCGCTCCCCTGCGTTCATGTCCTGTGGTGGTTCAGACCTCAGTAAGAGACATGGCTAAACTGCTTCACCAGAAAATGTAATGTGATGTAATATCCTTTCTGATTTATTTTCTTTCCGATCTTTGTATTAAGAACTAAAGATCGTGTGCAGCTTGGTCGTGTCATTCCGTTGTTGTGAAATGTTTTCCGAATGAGCTTTGCAGAATTTCTCTGCATCTGTGCAGTTTTTCAGTGGAAGAGAAGCAGGCCACGTGTCCACGACCCAATGCAACTCCTCCCGCGTTAGCTGCCACAGCCAAGAAGGGAGCCTGCAACTTCTCTTCTCCTTGCCTGAGCTGTTGGCCACATGCTGAAAACGAAAACTAAGCAGTGTGTCCATGGCTCCTCCAAAACAACGCTCATTCCCGCTGTGCAAGAATGCCTCAGCCCTCACTGAGTTTCCATTTTTTTTCTGGCTGTCAAAGTAGACAAAGTTTATGTCATACATCTTAGCAGCTAAATGTATGTTCTTAGATTGTTTCTTTGTGCACAAATACTGTCTTATCAAACTGTATGGTCCTTACACACAAGTAAACACATGGGAAGCACATGAGAAGCTTTAGTGACTATTTCATTAACACTTCTGAATAGCGTTAGCCGGAAACAGTAAATCCAGAGCCTTCCTCACATCCTCACATGCCTTCAGATATCCTCTGACCTTCGGAAGTGACCTTAGGTATGATTTTCCTTTCCTCATTTCCAAGTCTTTGATCCAAGTGGGGTTGAAGTATCATCCCGACTCATTTCTGAAGACTTGTAGCATAGGGCAGCCCCTGGCTTATTCTCAAGCTGCCCAATATCTTTAGTTTGTTTATTTTTTCCAAATATGCCAAGACAAACTTTCCCTCAAGCAGAAATGATAAATCCACATGGCTTATTTACAGCAGTTCCAGGGGACTAGAGGGATATGATAAAAAGAAGCCAGGGGGTCCCTGTGAGGCCAACATTCTGTAAGACGCTCCGGTCAGGGCCATTCATTTCTAATCACAGTTAGTCCTCAGAGTGGGAATCATGATATCCATTTTAGGAAAGGAATTCAATTGTATGTATTAAGAATTTGGGGCAAAAGCTTGGTAGGAAAGCAATAAACATTTATTTGATGAAGATGTATATGTCCATGAGTGACAGACAGGAATTGCAACTAACGTGTATCAGATTCCAAAGCATTTTTTTTTTTCAGCAAACTATACTTAATGGTATGTTATGTGATCTGCCAATATCATCACATAGACTTTTAAAAATCTTGGCCGGGCACAGTGGCTCACACCTGTAATCCCAGCACCTTGGGAGGCAGAGGCGGGGGGGATCACCTAAGGTCAGGAGTTCGATACCAGCCTGACCAATAAGGTGAAACCTTGTCTCTACTGAAAATATGAAAATTAGCTGGGGGTGGTGGTGTGCACCTGTAGTCCCAGCTACTCGAGAGGTTGAGACAGGAGAATTGCTTGAACCCGGGAGGTGGAGGTTGCAGTGAGCCGAGATCGTGCCACTGCACTCCATCCAGCCTGGGTGACAGAGTGAGACTCCATCTCAAAGAAACAAAACAAAACAAAACAAACTATTTTGGCCTTTAAAAATATACTTTATTTTTCTCTCTTATCAAAATGCTTACTTTCAAGAAATGGATCCCAGTTTACACTAGTAATTGTCCATGTCTTTGGAATACCTGCCTGTGCTCCTGGGAGGTTGAGCTATTTCCCCATTTTACACATATGGGAACTGAGGCTTCAAGGAGTGAAATAATTTTGCTAAGATGGAACTGTAATGAAAGCACCGAGGTTTGCAGCCGTAGGGGTCTCATTACACAGAGAAGGCCGTTCTCCTGCAATGCACTGTGTGTCATGGCTAAACTCTTTCACAGCCCCGAGTGGCTCTCTGGCATGAAGCTGGTCACATAGTTTTCTGAATTTGCAATGCAGTAATTATCTAGGGTCAAGATGAAGAATTCTGTAGGAGAGGCAGCTGGGATATCTTGGTGAATTCCCAAATACTTCTATAGCCACAGGGTATTTATGAAGACCCATGGTGATGGTCAGCATTCCTAGCAGGGGTTGGGAGCATTCCACTTGACCCCAGCCCTGCTGCTCCGTCCGTTCAACTGGGCTGCTCTGGGGCTGGTGCAGCCTCTCAGGATGTGGAGTCAGGAAACCCAGGAATCCCATTCCTTGCTCCAGGCCACCCAGAACATCAGGGTGGGGCTGGTGTAGGAGCTGCAGCCTCCTGTTGTTGGTCTTATCCAGATTCCAGGCTTCTCTAGCAGACATTCTAATGTAAAGTCATATTTTGGAAAGTGATTTCATCATCTGATTCCCAAGTTTTTCTCCAGAAAATTCTGCTTTTTCATCACTTCTCAAAGGCACACTTTTAAATAAAAACCATAAAGTGTTGGTTCATATTGTTTATTCTTGTGTACAAATCTGCTGTGTCAATAAGAATAAGGTACTTTTGAAATGTAGACACACTGTGGTCCTGATGCGTTTGGTTCAATTCGGGTGAGTGCGGCTCTCGGGATGCCCCCAGTTACAGCGCCAAGTGGGTCCTTAGCTCTGGCCTCTCCCTAGCTGTGATTCCCTGGTCAAAATTCGCTCCCTAATTCTCAGGAACAACTTCAAACTCCTGCCATTCTCTTCAAACCTTGGATTTCAGGTGAAGTCCCAGCCTCAGCCGGATCTGTCAAAGGGCACTGAAGTAGAAACTGCGTCTCGGGATATGTCCTGCCTTGAGGCGAGTGCAAGGGGCTTTTGCCCGGTCACTCCCAGGCCACAGACTCATCTGGGGCTTTGGATTCCTAAGCACTCCTCCCTCCCGATGGGACACCCTGTTCCACAGCCTCTGGATACTCTCATGAGGTCTGTGGTGTGGACCCCAAGCAGCAAACCCACAGACGCACGCTGTGCATGGAATCTAAGAGGATCTGGGCAGGACCCTGGGTGGTCCGGGGCTCCGGGGAGCAGAGGCCACACTGACATTAACTGGGTGAGGATTTTACAAGGAGGAATGCCTGTGCAAGGGAAACAATGTGGGAGAGTGGCCAGGCTGGGACTCGAGTTCTACCCCAGAGGAGGACAGAGAGAAAGGAGGCTGGGAGGATGCATCTTGGACCTCTTTGTAGACTGAGAGACTGCCACTGCTGCTGCAGAGCCCCAAGGCCAAAGCCAGCGGTCAGAGAAGCCCAGCGCCTCCCCAAGGACGGGCTCCGCTAAGCCTTCCTATCCACGTGAATGTTGCTGAGGAACAGCTCCCAGGCAGTGCAGCCTTCACACTAAGGCAGCAGTGGATTGCAGATGGTTGCAGCTGGCGTCCTGTGAAGACATATTCATTGCCGCGACATCAGACATCATAAACGTGCATATGAGCACCAAGGAAGCACACGGTGTTGTATTCATCCATTTTCACACTGCTGTAAGGAACTGCCTGAAACTGGGTCATTTATAGAGGAAAGAGGTTTAATTGACTCACAGTTCAGCATGGCTGGGGAGGCCTCAGGAAACTTACAATCATGGAGGAAGGTGAAGGAGAAGCAAATACCTTCGTCACAAGGCAGCAGGAGAGAGAGAGAACCAAGAACCAAGTGAGGAGCGCCACCTTTAAACCATCAGCTCTCATGAGACTTCCTCACTATCACAACAGCCTGGGGGAAACCGCACCCACGATCCAATCACCTCCTACCAGGTCCCACCCTCGATACATGGGGATCACAATTTGAGATGAGATTTGGGTGGGGACACAGAGCCAAGCCATATCAAGTATGTTCACAGAAGTCTTATTCATTATGACCTCAAACTGAGAACACATCAAATGTCTATCAGCAGTAGCATGTATCAATAAGTAACGGTGTCTCTTTTTACAATGAGTTACTTTACAGGAATGGCATCTTCTCTACTGCATAGGACATGGATGAATGCCACAAACATCATGCAGACTAGAAGGGGTCAGACGCAAAAGACCATGTGTCACGTGACACCACGTGTGCTCAGCTTTGAAACAGACAGAGCCGCTTTGCAGCGTTGGCCCTCAGATTAGGGGTCACCTTCTGGAAGGAAGGGAGGGAGGGTGAGGAGGGCAACAGAAGTCCTTCTGAGGTGTCAATAGTACTCTATTTGCGATTATTGTCAACATAGTTTTAATCTGTAAGCAACTTGCTTAAATGTTGACAGTTATTTTGTGTGCATGTGTGTATGTTAACTATAAACCCAGCTCCCTGGTTTATAACATTTGATATGAATGGTTCCTTAATGCAGAATCAAAAACACAGGTAGGTGCACAGTCCTTGTGCATGAAAATAATTGCTACAACCATGTATTAATACGTGGGGCACAAAAAATCATGGAACCTATCTTTTTTTTTGGTTAACAGTATAAAGAATGTTATCACTCACAGTGCTATTGACTCAGTCCAGGCACTGAACTGGACACCAGGCGCTCTGAGAACAAATTGCTTGGATATTCCTAGGCTTGTTTATTTTGACATCAGTTAAAAGTAATATTGTGAAGAAGGATGGAAATAGATGTTGAAATGCTATCTGGCAGGGCAATGATTCCAATGCTTAGCACGAGGTCTGTGGTCGGTCCAGCTTGAATTCCTTTTCTCAAGATAGGTCACCTCGGATTCTCTAAGAAATGTGCACAATGCTTAAATAAAATGCCATTTTTGTCAAACTGTGTAGACACACAAAACTCAAACAGAAAATTGGCACCACAGTCCCACTTTCTGTCGTAAAACCATCTTCTCCCTCAGGCTGATTCATTCGGTCATAACCCAGCAGCCCATGAGTCTCTAAGCACCTACTGTTGGTGGAGCCTGAAGCTGTATCATGCGCCTCGAGGGGCTGACTCACAGCCCAGGGCTCAGCCGTTCACAGCGACCTCAGCGTGACTCACGCTCAGGACCCAGGTCCTGTCCAAAGTTATTAAAGCTGCACTCAGGCCCTCTGTGCCTCTGACTATCGCGTTCCTTCACAATTATTAGCAGAGAACCCCTCCTGGTGAGAGCAGGCTGAAATATCTGAAATTCATTTTCTTTTAAGGGACTCCAGTTTGGCACATAAATTTCCCCTCTTTGCTCTCCCCAGAAAACACACTGTGAATCTGGCATTTCTTTTTCATCATGCTAAGAACACATGGGAACGTCATAGTTTTAATTTACTGTATTGCATGTATTTAAGGTGTGTGACACGCTGTTTGGATCCAGTGATCTGGTCATGCACACTCATAGGGAAGCAAGGACTACAGTCAAGCCAATTAATGCGGACATCATTTCACACAGTTGCTGTGTGTGTGCGGGCATGGTAAGTGTATCAGTCAGGGTTCTCTAGAGGTACAGAGCTAATGCAATAGATGTATATGTAAAAGAGGAGTTTATTAAGTATTAACTCACCCAATCACAGGGTCCCACAATAGGCGGTCTGCAGGCTGAGGAGCAAGGAGAGCCAGGCCAAGTTCCAAAAATGAAGAATTTGGATTCTGATGTTCAAGGGCAAGAAGCATCCAGCACAGGAGAAAGATGTAGGCTGGGAGGCTAGGCCAGCCTCTCGTTTCAAGTTTTTCTGCCTGCTTTATATTCACTGGCAGCTGATTAGATGGTGCCCACTCAGATTAAGGGTGGGTCTGCCTTTCCCAGACAACTGACTCAAATGTGGATCTCCCTTGGCAACACCCTCACAGACAAACCCAGGATCAATACTTTGTATCCTTCAATCCAATCAAGTTGACACTCAGTATTAACCATCACAGTAAGGTAACCTAAAATTTACTCTCTTGGCAAATTACCAGTGTAAGGAGCAGGAATGAACACCTGGGAAATGGGAGGTTGTAGGTCAAACAGTACAGTTTCAGCTTTGTAGGATAAGTCTAGAGATCTAATGTAGAGCAGAGAAAACACATATGTGTTAAGGGTTTCAAGGAGAACGCTAGGAGCTCCCAGAAAGCCAGAGGTTTGTCTCTTTGGCCACCCACTCATGCAAGACGCATCCCCTGCTCTTGTTGTCAAGGTGACGCTGACGCAGATGGACATTGGAGTAATGAGGTCAGAAGCATAGCCTCAAACTAAAGAATGCAATCAACCAGCCAAAAGGCAAGAATTACCTTAAAATAACATAACAATCACAATAAGAAGCATGGCCGTTCTAAGGATATTCCTCGGAGCAAGCATGTTTAATGGAGCTTCATTCTAAACATTGCCCGAAATGAGAACACGAGTTCTCACCAATAGTGAACAGTAAGTCATGTGTGTGTAATTCTTGCCTATAATGCCAGCAGTCAAATCTGAAGCTTCCTGAATACTTCCTTTGGTTTCCTTGCTCCAGGTTCCTCCGGGTTAGTGGAAGCCAAAATGGGTGGCCTCATCCTGGAGATGTATTCACCTACACAAGCGAACACAAATAGTATTTCACTTCCTATCAGTTTCTGCACGGTCCTCTGAGAACTACCAGACAATGGGCAGTAGCTCAGTGGATACACAATCCACTCAGGACTTCCAGATCACTTAAAAACTGGGGCCCGGTAACAAGGAAGTCTGAATTAGCCCTATTTTCCAGTGTTAACACACCACCCTCACGCAAATGCTAGGTGCACATCAAAAAGATACCCTTGATTTTTAAAAATGACTTATCCGTGTAAGTGATAAAAATGAGAAGTCAATGGACTATGGTGTAACTATTTTTAAACCCTTTGCCTGTCTCATGTGCAAAAGCCAATTCAGATAAAAAAGTATGGAATTTAGTCAAAAATAATGTCTGGCGGCCATGGATGGCAGAAGCCGTTTTAGAGGCTGGGACCCTGGACGCCTGAACATGGAGGCTTTGACGTCTCCCCGTACCACCAGCCTCTGCCAAGAGTTGTCTTTGGAGGACAACCTCACTCAAGATAATCTTTCCTTTCTCTTCTGAATCTGGTTTTGTACTTTTTTGGTTTTCCCTCTCAGCTTCCCTCAAAGAACATGGTGATTTTTCTAGATTTATCTAGGGAAGAAAAACAGCAGATTTAAATAGCCATTGTAGCAGCAATGCCATTTTGGCTGCGTTTATGACAAGCAAGTGATCCGTGGTGCTGTTTACTTGGTCTGACATTTTGGTTCTTTGGTGAAAGTGTCTTATAAAATGGGGGTTGGAACTGCCTGAGTCAGTGGACAAAGGAAATCAGATTTATAGGGAGGTGAAAATGAGCCTTCTGAAGTTAGCCTCGTGAGTAGGTTTTGCGTAGATACCTACAGATTATGCTGAAACAATACAAACTTTTTTTTTTTTTACTTACCAAGGTAGAAGACAGGTCTTAAGTATTTTGCAAAATCAATTCAGAATATCATTGTAGGATAAAAATATAAGTAATTATGTTAATTTTGTGTAGGAAATGAGCTTTTAATGAAAGAACAGAAATCTCATATGTGAACCAAATTGAGCAAAGGAATCTGTTTCTGTATTTCTATATTCTAATGTATGTTTTTATATTTCTATATTCTAATGTATGTTTTAACATACTCCATTGAAAGATTTCAGAGCAATAGCAACTCGGTACCAACGAAGACCTCTAGCAGTCATAAAAAAAAAAGAGAGAGAGAGAATATGACTTACTCTCTAGTGCTTTAGAATTTACAAGGCACTTTTTTACAACCACATATATTTTATACTTTGATTCTTTTAGAAGCTCTGTATCGGAGGTGGAAGTTAGTGTAACTTTATAAATTAACAACAAACTGTGGTTAAAAAGAAAAGTCACATTATGATGCTAGAACACCGAGAGCAATGTTTAGGCCAAGTTTGCAGGGCTCCATGTCTGCTTCTCTTTATCCCGCCCATTGTGATTGGCTCCTCTTTATCCCTCTCATTGTGATTGGCTCCTCTTGATCCCACCCATTGTGATTGGCTCCTCTTGATCCCTCCCATTGTGATTGGCTCCTCTTGATCCCTCCCATTGTGATTGGCTCCTCTTGATCCCTCCCATTGTGATTGGCTCCTCTTGATCCCTCCCATTGTGATTGGCTCCTCTTGATCCCTCCCATTGTGATTGCATAGATTGTATCATATGCAAAATATTTGTTGGCAACAGATGCCACATTAACATCACTTGGAAAAATACTTTTGCTAACACGCTCATAGATTCCTTTGTTCGTTCATTTATGAAGCAGATGGCAATTAAGCGCACAGGCTTCATGCTGTGTCCCACTTTGTCCTGACACCGGAACAGTGCAGAGATTCGATCCGTAACCACTCCTGTGTGTGTGTGTGTGGGGGGGGGGGGGGGGGTGCATATATTTGATGGCATTCCATGGTTAAATTTTATACTAGAAATTCATTCTACATTTTAAAATGAAATGTTACTGCCTTAAACTCCATATTAGGAGACAAGGACTTGCAAGGGAGCCACGCACACAGCACATACCCAAATAAAAGTTATTGAATAAATATCAACCAGTTTCTTCGTCTTAGACTGGCCATGTCCTAATAACATTGCACTTGCTGATAATCAGCACTGACCAGGCCCCACGTCTGCTCTCTTCCTGTGCCAGTTATGCCTTTTACGCCATGTGATCAGGGAAGATACAAAAATGTGAAAGGTCATCTTAAAGCGTTTTCTAGGTGCCTAGTATTAAACCAAAACTTTGAGATGATGGAAATACTGATAAAATAAGCACTGCTTTAAATACGAATTTTTTTCTTCCATTACACATCTTAGATCCAGATAATGCAAACATAAAATTTTCTTACTACATCGGCATCAGAAGATGTGACTATCTAGGAGACTTCCTGACTAATAAATGCTCATTTTACTGAAAATACCAGAATGGAGAGATACTTCAACTGTTATTTCAGCATTTGAGAAGCTATAACACTAACCAAAACAAGTCAAAAGGAAATTTGCTTTTGCAATTCACCCTGCATTGTGTTGGGTTGTATGCGAGAGAATTATGAATTTCACATGAAGTTTTGAAAACAGAAATTGACATGGAATCACTGTGAGTAAAAGTTTAATGAAAAATATCTGGAAGAGATTATGGAGTAAAATATATTAGTTGTAAAATTGATAGACCCTAAAAAAATTATAGACATCCTGGAAAAAGTGTGAGTTGAAGCCTTTTTGCTTTCTTAAGAACTTATTTTTGGTAAATGTATTTTGCACAAATGAGTCTTTAGCTAAGAAAACATTACCCAGTTTAAATAATGGAACCACAATTTAGAAAGGTGTGAGCGGGGAAAGTGGCCACTTTGGAAAGGATGACTTGGAAAAGTCAAGTGGAAACGAATTTTGGAGGGGGGTAACGAGTGGGCTAAAGTTGATTTATATTAAAAAAAATACTGCATAAAGGGTAACCACAGGCATATAAGTATTATTTTTAAGGTTCTGAGTTCAGCCAAGAATAAAGATGCATAAAAAAGAAATAAAAATTCTGTCCCAAAGTATCTTGAGTTCTCTTTTCCAAAAACATGATCAAATATTCTTTGAAGTCAACATGCAGAATCAATAATATTATTAAATAAGGTGAGTCATTTCATATTCTTCGTCTTAAACAATAAGGCAATTTTAGAGTTTAAATGTTAGGGTGGGTAATCAAGACGTTGCCATAGAAATTATATTTGTTAAAATGAGTTGCACCCCTTTTTAAACAGTAAAGGAATACATGTTTGGAACATTTTTCTACCAGACGTTGAACAATGAAACCCAAGTTAAGTTCACGCTAAACCTTGGGCTCTCTTTTTCTTTCTTTTCTCTTTCTTTCTTTCTTTCTTTCTTTTCTTTCTTTCTCTCTCTCTCTCTCTCTCTCTCTTTCTCTCTTTCTCTCTTTCTCTCTTTCTCTCTTTCTCTCTTTCTCTCTTTCTTTCTTTCTTTCTTCACTAACTGTCTTCACTCCACTCCAATTCTTTGGTGAGACCCCGAGGTTCTGTGCATGTTGGCCCCACATCGACTTTTCTATGGTTAACGTTACTCAACAGCTCTTCAAATTGGTAAATACGTGATTCCAGGCTACTGAATATTTCTTCAAGAATTAAGGTAACCAAAGATTTTATAGTAATATCATATGTAAGCGTTTGAAATGGAAAAATTGCTAAACCTTAATGACATACAATGTATCTAATCACAGTGTCTGGAAAGTAAACAGTTTTTTACTGTTTATCACCTTATATAAAATTCAGGGGAATAATCATCAAAACAGAGAATTTAGCTTAGAAAAATGGACATTATTGAATTCATATCCTGTTTGTCAGCATCCTCTGGGAAACAGATGTCAAGCTGGAGTTAGAAACCGCGGAGACGGATTTGAACGTAATACCTGAAAAATGAAGGGAAGAAAGGGTGGGAGCAGGCGGGGGAGGAACAGAACGGGAGCAGGTCTGATGCTCGTGAGAAGGCCTGGAGTAGAGGGGACTGGGTGGAAACGGCCTCGGGCGGCTGCTCTGAGGACGAGTTCTAGGGAGCGCCAGGCTGGAGGCCTGTGGGTCCACAGGCGACACCCGCAAATCAGAGGCACAGCCCAGCTGGGAAACGCGCAATGCGCTGCCTTCTTCACATTCTACCAAAACGTTCCCGTCATCAAGGCGTGTGTCGCCAGCGCCCCAAATCAAATTCAGAGACGTTATTCACTCTGTGTCTGTGAGCTTTCCATTTCTGTTGTAAATTATGGCCCTAACTTCAAAGAGGAGCTAGCAAAAATGATAGATAAAATGTTGAACCGCTATAATGGAGATGAACAGGGGCTCTGGGGCTCACAAGTGAGGTCTGAGGCTCAGACCAGCTGTGTTATCGGGAAGCTTTTTCCAACCGTTTTGTATAAATTAACAAACCCCAAGATTACCACATTTTGTCCATTGACTGCTCCAGAACTTGAATTCCACTGAAGGTGGAATTATTTTACAGTTGGTTCTTCAATAAATTTAACGAAACATAAACTATAAGAAAAATGAGTCTTTTTTTCCCCTTTGAACATCTGCAGTTTAAACCAGGATCCAGCCTATTAAGCACAAATCAAACCCATTTGGATTACTTTAATCCTGATAAATGCCTGAGCTCCAAGACATTCTTACCGCTGATTTAAATCCGTCCACCTTTCCAGACACTAAAAACTCTAAAACTCACATCTCCGTGCAATACAGTAGCTTGTGCTTCAACTTCCAGGAAGCAAAACAATACAATCTGGTGAGGATATTCTTTAGCCAGGTTGCTCTACATTTAGGGAAATCCCATGGGCTGGGAGACTGACTTCATTCACTTTCTTTCAAACGAGTCTTTAAGAACACCGCTATCAATCTTTGGTGTCCAGCCGTGACGATTATTTTTAAAAGTACACATGTGTTTCAACAGGAAATAGTTTCAAAATTTGGTTGTATTTTAGAGGAAAATAAAACATTGTAAACTTTATCCCCAACTTTATACCTTGAATACAGAATCAACAGGCAAATCATTTATTTAAAGAAAATTAAATTAGATTTTTTCCATCATTTATCATTTTCTTTTCTTCTTGAAGTGGAAACTTGCCCAGCAAGCAAAGCCTTGAGTTGTTAAAAGGCAAAATGGAGACTCACATAGTGTCCCAGGCCCCAAGGTACAGGCTTTATGAATATACTCCCTTTTGTATATCAATTTTTAAAAAGTAATAATTTTTTTCCAGGGTAGAAAGAGTAGATTCAAAGAACTGCAGAAGAATAAACTTGAAATGAGACTTGGAGGTGCTGTAGTTTAGTCCTTTTATTACACAAATATACAAACTGAAGCCTAGAGTGCTCCATTAATTTGACCAAAAGTTAATAGACAGGTGGTAGCTATGGAAAACAACGTCAAAAAATTATAATAAAGTTTTGGCTTATCTGTTTTTGATATTATAATATGTTTTAAAGAGAATAATTTTACAGGTATGGTGTAGTGGCATAAACAGGCAGATGCATCATTCCAGAAATGAACACAAGCATTTACTAGAAACTGATTTTATTAAGGTTAACAATAAAAAGAGCAGAAGCTGACATCAGAAAGATGGCAGAGTAGAAGACCCTATCATTTGCACCTCCAAACAGAAAACAACAATTAGCTATTCACAAGCTAACATAACCCTGGGAACGTTCAGAAGTCAAGAAGTTGCAGCACCACAGTGGAACGAGAGAGAGAGAGAGAGAGAGAGACAGAGAGACAGAGACAGAGAGAGAGGAGAGAGAGAATAACTTCACAGAAAGGGTAGGGGGACCAGTGTAATTTTGCCTGCATCACCCCATCCCCAGGCTGGCACAGCTCAGTACCGGGAGGAAGTTCCTTGGCCTGTGAGTTTCCTCATGAGGCAAAAAGGCAGCAGCGTGAGTGACCAGCTTCCTGAGGCACTGCCTGAAGCACCTGCTTCTGTTTCAACCCACCTAGATAACTGGGGAAATCCTCATCATTGACACATCTGAATATAGCTAGGAATAAAGAAGAAAAGTGCCTGTTAGTATCAGCAATGCAGTGGGTACCAGGGCAGTGCCTCATGGCCCGCTCTGCAGGGGACCCAGTAGCCTTTGCCACTAGAATTGCAACAGCCCTCGCAAGCACCATGGACCTCCCATCATGTTCACTGCCGAAGACCCCATAGTGTTCACTGCTGTGGACCCCAGTGGACTGCTCCATAGGAACTCCAGCAAATTTCTCCCTGGGAAAGCCAACAGCCATTGCAGCTGACAAAGACTCCCCACAGATCTCACCACCAAGGGCCCTCACATTTTTGCCTTTACAGACCCCAGATGCCTAAGCCACCACTCCCCTTCCCCTACTGCTGGAGCTGCCCTAGCCAGTGTGACGGTTGGTGCTGCCCTAGCCAGTGTGACGGTTGGAGCTGCCCTAGCCAGTGTGACGGTTGGAGCTGCCCTAGCCAGTGTGACGGTTGGAGCTGCCCTAGCCAGTGTGACGGTTGGTGCTGCCCTAGCCAGTGTGACGGTTGGAGCTGCCCTAGCCAGTGTGACGGTTGGTGCTGCCCTAGCCAGTGTGACGGTTGGTGCTGTGGCTTCAAACCCAGGACAGCCACTGTCCATGCCCACAAATGTCCCTCCCACCAGCAGCCCCTGCACCACTATCACATGCATGCTCACGCTCATACAGCTCCCACCGCCAGCCCTTGGGCTTGCTTTCCTGGAGGCAATCACAACTAGACAACTAGACCTAGACGTGATGCTGAAGCCCCCACAGCCACCGTGGATTTCCCCAACAGCTTTTGGCACTGAGGGCCACGCAATGGCCAGTGTCATAGATCCCAGCTGCCTGAGTCGCTGAGCTGCCACCTGACCCTCTGGAGCTAGAGCCACTGCGTGACGCAGAGCCACCCGGTGCCCTGCACACCACCAGACCCAGTGCCATAACGTGCTTCTGCACGCCCTTCTCAGTAGACATGCCCACGCCTCTCCCCTCAGGTGAAAGCCTTTCCTTACTGAAGTAGCCCATAAGGTCTAGAAGAGGTGACTGCTTATTCACATGTGCAGACACCAGTGCAAGAATATAAACAACACAAAAAATACAGATGCATAACACTGGCAAAGGGACACGATACACTTCCAGAAGTTATTTTAAAAAATGGAGATCTACAATTTATAAAAAATTAAAGTAATTGTTACAAAGAAGCTTAGAAAAATGCAAGAGAACACAGATAAATGATTTAACAAAAATTAGAAAAACAATACAAGAACAAAGTCAGAAGTTAACAAACAAATAGAAAACATAAAAAAGGACCAAACACAAAAAGTGGCACTGAAGCATAAAATGACTGAACAAAAAATTCAATAGGATCTTCAACAGCAGATATTAACTAAATCAAGCAGAATAAAAGAACAGCTAACTCAAAGACAGGCTATTTGAAATCACTCAGATGGGAAAGGAAGTAAAAACTGTTTAAAAAACTCAGAAAGCCTAAGGACTTACAGGACATCATCAGTAAACTAATGCACACATTTTGAGAGTCTTAGGAGGAGAAGAGAAAGAGAAAGGAGCATAAAACTTATTTAAAAAATAATAGCCGGGCGTGGTGGTTCACGCCTGTAATCCCAGCACTTTGGGAGGCCGAGGCGGGAGGATCACGAGGTCAGGAGATCGAGACCATCCTGGCTAACATGGTGAAACCCCATCTCTACTAAAAATGCAAAAAAAATTAGCCGGGCGTGGTGGCGGCCGGCGCCTGTAGTCCCAACTACTCAGGAGGCTGAGGCAGGAGAATGGCATGAACCCGGAAGGCGGAGCTTGCAGTGAGCCAGTAAGCTGAGATCGCGCCACTGCACTCCAGCCTGGGTGACAGAGCTAGACACCGTCTCAAAAAATAAAATAAAATAAAATAAAATAAAATAATAATAATAATAATAATAATAATAATATTACATACTGCAAATCCAGTGAGGAAATAGACATCCAGGCTCAAGAAGCCTACAGGACCCCAGAGGGTAGAATATAAAGTGGACTACACTAAAACACATTATAGCTAAACTGCCAGAGGTCAAAGTCAGAAAGAATTTTAAAAGCAGAAAAAAAAAAAGTGACCTGCTTGTCACATACTAGGGAACCTCAGTAAGTTTATTAATGAGTTCCTCAACAGAAACTTTACAGGCCCAGAGAGAGTGAGGTGATGTATTCCAAGTACTGAAAGAAAAAAAAAGGACAACTAAGAATACATATGCTGCAAAGATACTCTTTAAAAATGAAGGAGATAAAAAGTCTTTCCCAGACAAAGAAAGAATGAAAAAGAGGTTTTTTGTTTGTTTGTTTTTATTTGTTTCCCATTACACTTGCCTTACAGGAAATGCTTAAGGGAGTCCTTAAATGGAGCTGAGAATGCGCTAGCCTGCAGCATGCGAGCATATGAAACTATAAAGCTCACTACAGAGGTAAATACATAGTAAAGTACAGAATAATATAACACTGCAGTGGTGTGTGCGACACGCACATAATCCTAAAGTAAAAATTAAAATACAAAATTATTAAGAATAATAACCACCAAAATTTGATAATACATTTACAATGTAAAAATAAGTAAACTCTGACATCAAGAAAGCAAATTGGGGGAGTGGGTATAAAAGTATAAAGTTTATGTGTATAATTGAACTTAAGTTGTTACCAAATTAAATTAGAGGATAATAAATACAAGATTTAAACAGGCCTCATGATTACCAAAAAGAAAATATATAGTAGAGGCTGGGCACAGTGGCTTATGCCTGTAATCCCAGCATATTGGGAGGCTGAGGTGGGTGGATCACTTGAGGTCAGGAGTTCAAGACCAGCCTGGCCAACATAGTGAAACTTCATATCTACAAAAATACAAAAATTAGCCAGGCATGATGGCAAGTGCCTGTAATCCCAGCTACTCAGGAGACTGAGGCGGGAGAATTGCTTGAACCCGGGAGGCAGAGTTTGCAGTGAGATGAGATTGTGCCACTGTACTCCAGCCTGGGCAACAGAGCAAGACTCCATCTCAAACAAAAAAACAAAAAAACACAAAAAAAGAAAGATAAAATATATAGCAGATACACAAAAAATAAAGAGAAAAAGTCAAATCAAACTACTACAAGAATAATAAAACAACAAAATAAAACAGCAAGAGAAAGAGATCAAAAGAATTTTAAAACACACACACAAAAACCAAATGGCACTAGTAAGTCCTTACCTATTAGCGCTCACTTTAAATGTAAGTGGATTAGAGCCCCAATCAAAAGACAGAGAGTGACTAAATAGACTGTTGACTAAATCAAGAGATATGAGCTCTATAAGAGACTCACTTTAAATGTAAAGTGAACTTCCCTTACATAGGACTAAAATAATTTTTTAAAAAAATTCCGATTTACATTAGCAACAAAAATAATAAAATACTTAAAAATGAATTTAACTAAAGAGGTAAAACACTTCTAAAAATTACAAAACTTTGTTGAAAAAATTTTTAAATATACTAATAAATGTAAATACATTCTATGTTTATGAATTGGGATGAATGATTTTGTTAAAATATCAACATAATAAGCAGATTCAATGCAATCTGTATTAAAATTCCATTGTCATTTTTTAAAGAAATAGCAAAACAATTCTAAAATTTGTATAGAAATACTAAGTACCCCAAATAATCAAAGCAATCTTGATTAAGAAGCATAAAGCTGAACTGATCACATTTCCTGACTTTGAATTACAATAAAAAGCAATAGTAGAGAAGAAATCATGACAATATTTCAGATAAATTATGAGAGCTGGACCAAGATGGTAGAAATTGAGAGTGGAGCAAAATCCCACTTCCTTTCTTTGAACAATCACAACCTACTTAACCACAGTAATTTATTGTATGTTTTCTCTTCCATTTAACAGAAATGCATGTGGATCTAGGTAGGAAGTCTGATTAAGAGAGTCTGGGATGTCACCAGGAACAGGAGATACCAACCTTCATCCCTCCGCAAAAAAACAAATATGAACACCTGTTCACAAACCAAAATAGTTCTGGGAAAGCTCAAGGGCCCATTAAACAATCTTTAGCAACAACACAGTGAAACAAAATAGCAGAGAATATCCACACAGAAAGGATTGCTGGTAAGACTGGCAAACCTGGAATGTCAGGAGACAACATAGAACAAAGAAGAAAGGTGGAGGATTAGACACGTGGCAGGACCCATCATGGTCCCCAGTGGTGCTCCACGGAGAACACCAGCATCTTTTGCTACTGAGGTAACCAACAGCCACTTCTACTGGGGAACTGCAGAGAGGGGGATGTGGCTGCACAGCTCTTGTCAAGAAGCAGCCTCTGTTATGCTACTTCGGGACCACGGCTGCCGCCTCTCCCAGTCCTGCATTCGCCCGGATGCTTGAGCTACGGCCACCCTGCAAGTGTCCACCTTCCAGACCCTGATGAGGCTGCATGGTGCGTACCCACATGTTAAACATCAAGCCACCACAACGATGAGCGAATTTCCATACTAAGCAGCAGAGCCAAGGTCTCTTGGCATGTTCCCACGCTCTGGGCAACGGGCTAGACTCCATAAAAAGCCTGGCCCTGTCCAAACCCCGGAATCACTGTTGCTCTATGCATGCCTGTGCTCCTGTTCTCATCAATTAGGCTGTTTCACAAGCATCTACACCTCATGTACTGTCACCAACAAGGCAGCAAGCGTGCCTATGCTCTAGGCACAAGTTATGTTACCATCCAGGACCACCGAGCCATAGTTCTCCATCCACGTCCCGGATTTAGGCCTCTGCTTTGTTGCTGCTCCATGGGTGCCACTTGTCAGACATTTGTCTGACTTGTCACACTTGTCAGACTGGTGCCATTGCCAACACAAGTAGGCCTATAAGCCAGACCCCGTGCTTAGGGACCTTCTCAGGCACAACTTCTCCAGTGGGAGAAGAAAGATCAGAAGAACCACAGCAGCCATCACCACCAAAATCCCAACAACCCTTGTTGCCATAGGAGACATCCACGGTGTTGGCCGCTGAGTGTCCCTGCAATCTTTGACAACACCAACCTAAACAGAGAAAACCGAATAAAGAACACACGGTTGCATTGTGCTGGCACCATAACTGCTCGCTCCACCCAACCAGTGCTCTCACACCCACTCCCCAAGTAGGAGAAGGTTTTTCACACCAAATGTAGCCTGTGAAGTCTGCAGTGGGGGACTCCTCTACCAAATGTTCACACGTCAACAGAAGGGGAGAAGAAACATGAAAAACAGGAGGCATATCAGCATTGAGATAATAACCACAGTAACTTCCCCGTAATGCATCCTTAAAAAATTGAGCTATACAAAGTGCCTGACCGAAAAAAGAAAACACTAAAAAACTAAAGATAATTGTTTTAAGGAAGCTCAGTAAACTTCAAGAAAATACAGAGAAGCAATTCAACAAAATCATAAAAACAGTACATTAACAAAACAATAATTTTTTCAACTTTTATTTTAGATACAGGGGGTGCATGTGCAGGTTTGTTACATGGGTGTATTACACCTAGGTAGTGAGCATGGTACCTAACAGGTAGTTTTTTAACCTCTTCCACCTCCCTCTCCCCCCCATCCAGTAGTTTGCAGTGTCTGTTTTTGCCATGTTCATATCCATGGGTGCTTATTGTTTAACTCCCTCTTCTGAGAGAATGCAGTTTTGGGATTTTTGTTCCTGTGTTGATTTGTTTAGGATTATGGCCTCCAGCTCCACCCATGTTGCTGCAAAGGACATGATTTCATTCTCTGTATGGCTGCATAGTATCCTATGGTATATATGGACCACATTTTCTTTAGCCAGTCCACCTTGATAGGCACCTAGGTTGATTCCATGTCTCTGCTACTGAGAAGAGTGTGGTGATAAACATGTAAGTGCATGTGTCTTTTTGTTATAATCATCTAGTTTCCTTTGGGTATATGCCCATTATGGAATTGCTGGGTCTGATGGTAGCTTTCAGTTCCTTGAGAAATCTCCAAACTGCTTTCCACAGTGGCTGAGCTAATTTACATTCCCAACAATAGTGTATAACTGTTACCTGTTCCCCACAGCCTTGCCAGCATCTGTTTTTTTGACTTTTTAATAATAACAATTCTGACTGGTGTGAGATGATATCTCATTGTGGTTTTTATTTGCATTTTTCTGATCATTAGTAATAATGATAATTTTTTTCATGTTTGTTGGCTGCTGGTATGTCTTCATTTGAGAAGTGTCTGGTCATGTCCTTTGTGAATTTTTAAATGGAGTTACTTGTTTTATGCTTTTTGATCTGTTTAAGTTTCTTATAGATTCTGGATATTAGACCTTTGTTGAATTCATAGTTTGCAAATATTTCCTCCCATTCTATGGGTCAGCCACTATTTACTCTATTGAGAGTTTCCTAGGCTGAACAGATGTTCTTAAGCTTAATTAGGTCCCACTTTTTAATTTTTACAAAGCAAGATATTTAACAGAGATATTTGAATCATAAAAAATGTAAAAATTTTGGAGCTGAATAATACAATGAATGCAATGAAAAAATGCAATGAACATCAACAGTAGAAGTGATCAAGGAGAAGAAAAATTTTGTGAACTTGAAGACAAGTTATTTGAAAATATGCAGTCAGAAGGAAAAAAGAATGAATAGGAATTAAGAAAGATTGCAGAAATTATAGAATAGAATCAAGACAGAAAATATCTGAATTATATGAATTAAAAAAGAAAAGAGGGAAAGGGACAGAAACTTTAGTTAAAGAAAGAATAGCTTAAAACTTCCCACATCTGGGAAACATAAATATTCAGGTATAGGAAGATCAAAGGTCTTCAGATACAATCCAAGCAGGACTACACTAGGACATAAAATCAAACTGTCAAAAATAAATGACAAAGAAAAGATTCTAAAAGCAGCAAGAGAAAGAAATATATCACATATAAGGAAGTTTCAATAAGGTTTGCTATGACTTTCTCAACAGAAACTTTAGAGGCCAGGAGAAACTGAGATAATATATTCAACGTGCTCAAGGAAAAAAATCTGCCAACCAAGAATACTTTGGCTGGCAAAGCTACACTGCAGAAATAAAGGAGAAAGACTTTCCCAGAAAAACAGCAAAAAAGAGTTGAGAAATCTTATTATCAATAGATCTGCCTTCTAAGAAAGGCTAAAGGAAGTTCTTCAAGCTGAAAGAAAAAGATACTAATTGATAAAATGGAAACATTTGAGAAATCACTTCTCAGCCTTTTGGCTAAGATCAAGTGAAGACATATGAGAGACAAACACTCAGTGACAAAAGTAAGTGCACTGTCAAATTCAGAATATTCTAATAATGTAATGGTGGTGTGTAAGCCATTTCAATTTTTAGTATACAGATTAAAAGACAATTAAAATAATCACAGCTATAATTATTTTTTAAGATACACACAATATAAAAAGATAGAAATGGTGACATCAAAGACATACAATGTGGAAGGGAATGAATAGAAGTTAAATTTTAAAAATGCGATCAAAGTTAAGTTATGGCTTATAATTGTCTGTTATAACTATCAGATGTTTTATATAAGCTTCTTGGTAAACACAAAGCAAAAATCCATGTACATACAGAGAAGCTAAAAAGCAAGCAATTAATGCATACCACTAGAAAAAAATGATCTCATCAGAAAATAACACAGCAAGAGAGGAAGGAACAAAGAATCTACAGAAAAAACAACCAGAAAATAAATTACAAATGGCATTAGCCAGTCCTCACCTATCAATAATTACTTTGAATATAAATAGATTAAATTATACAATAAAAATATATAGGATAGATGAATGGAATTTTTTTTAAAGACCCAACTAAAGGCTTCCTACAAGAGACTCACTTCCCTGGTAATAACACAAATAGAAAGTGAAGAAATGGAAAAAGGTATTTCATACAATTGGAAACTGAAGGAGAGCAGGGGTAGCAATACTTACATCAGATAAAGTAGACATTAAATGCAAAATTGTAAAAAAAGAGGCAAAGAAAGGGGGTAAACTGGCATAATTCATTTTCTTGCACTTCACTTTCCTGCACTCCACAGATATTGCATTGTTTTACAAATTGAAAGTTTGTGGTAACCCTGCATTAAGCAAGTTTATCAGTGCCATTTTTCCAGAAAGCACATGCTTAATTCATGTCTCTGTGTCACATTTTGTTATTTCTAGAAATATTTTAAATTTTGTCATTATTATTGTATCTGTTATTATGATCTATAATCAATGATTTTCAGTGTTAATGTTGTAATTGTTTTGGGGCATCACAAATCATGCCCATATGACAACATATGTGTGTTTTGATCAAATGGACATTCCTGTATCTCTTTCCATCTCCTCAGGTCCCTATTCTCTAAGAAACAATAACATTGACATTAGGCCAGTTAATAACCCTATAATGGCCTCTAAGTTTTCAAGTAAAAGGAAGAGTCGTACATTTGTCAGTTTAAATCAAAAGCTAGAAATGACTCAGCTTAGTGAGGAAGGTATGTCAAAAACTGAGCTAGGCAGAAAGCTAGGCCTCTCCTACCAAACAGCCAAGTTGTGAATTCAAAGAATATTAAAAAGTGCTGCTTCTGGAACACGTGAATGGTAAGAAGGTGAGGCAGCCTTGCTGCTGGTATGGAGAAAGTTTTAGTGATCTGGATAGAAGAACAAAACAGCTACAACATTCCCTTGAGCCAAAGCCACATACAGATCCAGGCCCTCAATTCTCCAAATCAGTGAAGGCTGAGAGAGGTGAGGAAGCTGCAGAAGAAAATTAGAAGCCAGCAGAGACTGGTTCATGGGATTTAAGAAAAGATGTCATCTTCATAACATAAAAGTGCAAGGTGAAGCAGAAAGTGCTCATGTACAAGCTGCGGTAAGTTATCCAGAAGATCTAATTGGTAAAAGTAGCTACGCCAAACAACAGGTGTTCAATGTAGACAAAACAGCCTTATACTGCAAGAGGATGCCATCTAGGACTTTCATAGCTAGAGAAAAGAAGTCAACGCCTGGCTTCAAATCACCAAAGGGCAGTCTAATTCTCTTGTTAGGGGTTAATGCAGCAGGTGACTTTAACGTCAAGACAATGCTCATTTTTCATTCTGAAAATCATGGGACACTTAATTATGCCAAACAGACTCTGCCTGTCCCTTATAAATGAAACGACAAAGCCTTAATGACAGCACATCTGTTTACAGCATGGTTTACTGAATGTTTTAAGCCCACTATTCAGACCTACTGCTCAGAAAAAAAATCCCTTTCAAAATATTACTGCTCTTTGTCAGTGCACCTGGTCACCCAAGAGCTCTGCTGGAGATGTATAAGGAGATGAATGTTATTTTCATGCTTACTAACGCAACATCCATTGTGCAGCCCATAGGTCAAGAAATAAATTTGACCTTCAAGCCTTATTATTAAAAAAAATACATTTCATAAGCTTATAGCTGCCATAGAGAGTGATTTCTCTGGGGGCCTTGGGCAAAGTATATTGAAAACCTGGAAATAATTTAACACTCTTGACGCCATTAAGAATATTCACGCTCAAGGAGAGGAGATCAAAATATCAACAAGATCAGGAGTTTGGAAGAAGTGGATTCCAACCCTCCCGGAAGACCTTGAGGGAGGAACTGGCTGCAGATGTGGTGGAAATAGCTAGAATTAGACATCGAACCTGAAGTCGTGACTAACTAAGTTGCTGTCATCTCATGATAAAATTTTAACAGAAAAGGAGTTGTTTCTTATGAATGAGCAACAAAAATATGCGTTATTGAGATGGAATCTAGGAGATGCTGTGAACATTGCTGAAATAACAGCGAAAATGTGGAATATTACACAAACTTAGTTGATAAAGCAGTAAAAAGGTTAGAGAGGATTGACTCCAATTTGGAAGAAGTTGTACTATGGATAAAATGCTATTAAATGGTGTCACACATTACAGATAAATCTTTTGTGAGAAGTCATTCCGTGTGAATAACTTTATTGTCATCTTATTTTATGAAATGGCCACAGCCTCCTCAACCTTCAGGAACCACCACCCTAATCAGTCAGCAGCCATCAACAGTGAGGCAAGACTCTCTACCAGCAAAAACATTATGACTCACTGAAGGCTCAGATGATTGTTAGTATTTATAACCAATAAAGTATTTTTAATTAAGATATTTATATATTTTTGGACATAAATCATTGTAAACCTAATATACTACAGTATAATGTAAAATAAGTTTTATATGTACTGGGAAGTAAAAAAAAATTCTGCAACTCACTTTATTGCAATATTTGCTTCATTGTGGTGGTCTGAAATCAAACCCGCAATATCTTTAAGGTATGTCTGTATAGTAAGGAAGTATAATAATTATAAATATGTATGTACCCAATATCAGAGCACCCAAATATAGAAAGCAAATCTTAATGTATCAGAAAAGAGAGAGAGAGACTAAAACAAAATTATAGGAGGGAACTTCAATAACACTTTTTCAACAAAGGTTACATTATGTAGACAGAAAATCAATAAGAAAACATTTACTTATTGATTGATGTAAACTACACTTTAGACCAAATGAGCCAGACAGACATATACAAAAACTTCTACCCAGCAGCAGCAGAATATACTTTCTTCTCAGGCACACATAAAACATTCTCCAGGATATATTATTTGACAAACAAGTCTTAACATATTTTAAAAGACTGAGATCATATTAAGTATCTTTTCTCACCACAATGGCACAGAACTAGCAATCAGTAATAGAATTTTTAAAAATTTACAAATGTGAATATTAAACAACATGTTGGTAAATAACCAACTGGTTAAAAAAATAAAATGGAAAATTTAAAAATACGTTTAGACAAATGAAAATAGAAGCACAATATAACAAAACTTACTGGATGCAGCAAAGCAGTTCTAAGAGGCAAGTTCACAGTGATAAGCACCTACATCTAAACAGGGGAACTATCTTAAATCAACAACATTATGTCACACTTCACGAAACAAGAAAATCAAAATCTCTATTTTATGCCATAGTCAAAATTAACTCCAAACAAAATAAAGACTTAAGTGTAAGACCTGAACCTGTAAAACTACTAGAAGAAACATAGGGGAAAATCTCCATGACATTGGTCTAGACACTGATTTTTTTGATATGATCCCAAAGGCACAGGTAACAAAAGTAAAAATAGACAAATGAACTTGCATCAAAATGAAAAGCTTCCGTACAGTAAAGTAAACAATCAACAAAGGAAGAGGCAACCTACAAACTGGGAGGAAGTATTTATAAACCATGTATCTGATAAGGAGTTGATACCCTAAGGAACTCAAACAACTCAATAGCAAGAAAGCAAATAACTAAATTACAAAGTGAGCAAAAGACCTCAATAGGCATTTGTCAAAAGAAGACATACAAATAGCTGGCAGGAATACGAAAAATGATCAAAATTACCAATCATCAGGGAAATGCAAATGAAAACCACAATAAGGTGTCAGTGAACACCTGCTAGAATGGCTATTATCCAAAAGATAAGTGTTGGACAGGATGTGGAGAAGAGGAAACTCTTGCACACTATTGGTGGGAATGCAAATTAGAATGGCCATTATGATGGATAAATGGATAAAGGCAATGATGGGGCTGGAGGACATTGTGCCAAGCAAAATAAACAAGACACAGTAAGAGAAATACTGCATAATCCTACTGATATGTGGAATCTACAGTAGTCAAACTCAAGGAAGCAGAGAGTAGGATGGTAGTTGCCAGGGGCTGGGGTAGGAGGAAACGGGGAGATTATGGCCAAATTTTTCAAAGTTTCAGTTAGACAGGAGGAATAAATTCTGGAGATCTAATGTACAACAAGGTGATAATATTCAACAATACTTTGTTGCATACTCAAAATTTGCTAAGAGGATAGCTCTTAAAGAAAATCTTCTCACCACACACGAACACACACAGACACAGACATAATAACTACATAGAGGTAATAGTTATGCCAATTAGTTTAATCTTGCTGATAATTTCACAATGTATATGCATAACAAGACATCAAGATGTACACCTCAAATACATGCACATTTTTACGTGTCAGTGATATCTCACTAAAGATATTTAACAAAAAAGAAAAAAAGTTAAAAAAGGATGGAGAAAGACTGAATTATTCTTGAAAAACAATCAAATTCTGGGCAAAATTTAAAGTGACACTAAACATGACTGCATTTCAAATGATCTAAGAGCCTATTATAAAAATTAAATCATATAAAGCTACAAGAAGGAAAGATAAGTTGATATTTATATAATCATTTATTAAGGCAAGACATGGCATAAATAATAGTGGTTATGGTAAAATAGGTTTAATTGCATAAATATCCAAACCTTCTGAAAATAAAAAAATTAAAAAGTTGAATGTTAAATAAATTTGAGAACAATTCATCAAATATAAAATATAACTGTCCAAAAATTAATATAAATTTAAAATAAAAACACTCATTAAAATAGTGACCTACTATTACTCACAAATCAATACATCAACATAAAAACTAGAAACAATATTATTATATATTTAGAGAATAATGGAAAATTGATTCTTGGATACACAACTGCTGGAAGTATAACTTTTGAGATGGATACATAACAAAAGCTAATAACACAACAATTATAATTCAATGAAATTATCCTCTGAAATTGCATAATTATTAGAAAGAAGCTAGCATTTCTCCAGTAGGTTGTTGGTTACATAAGTTATGTTTGAATTATGAGGTCTTAGACTAATATTTTGTGACACAGAAAGTATTTCTAATATATTGATACCTAAAAAGTGTATATTAAAAAGAAGAAAAGTAATCTTGCTGACTATAAAGACAATTTTTAAAATTTATGTACTTTTTTGCCAGCTCTAAGAAGATAAAATTAATTAATTTGTTCTATTGATAACATTAAAGATATTTAAAAGCAGCAAATGTGTAAATTTTGACATATGTTAAAACTTTGTTTGTGTAGACTGCAAAAACAAAGCAAAACAAAAACTGAATCAGTGGTAAAAGACTCATATCCTTGGGGTAAAATTGCAGAGAAAGGCAAGAAACTTATTATTAACATTAAAATAAGGCTAGAAGTAACCTGATGTGGGGCCAGGCGTGGTGGCTCACGCCTGTAATCTCAGCACTTTGGGAGGCCGAGGCGGGCGGATCATGAGGTCAGGAGATCAAGACCATCCTGGCTAACACAGTGAAACCCCGTCTCTACCAAAAATACAAAAAAAAAAAAAAAAAAAAAAAAATTAGTCAGGCGTGGTGGCGGGTACCTGTAGTCCCAGCTACTCGGGAGGCTGAGGCAGGAGAATGGAGTGAACCCAGGAGGCGTAGTTTGCAGTGAGCCGAGATCGCGCCACTGCACTCCAGCCTGGGTGACAGAGCGAGACTCCATCTCAGAGAAAAAAAAAAAAAAAAAGAAGTAACCTGATGTGGGTAAGGGAACCACAAGAGGCTTCACGTGGGGTTTTGTTACATATAAAAATTGTAAGTTCTGCGATTATGTTTTAGGCTTTAGTAAGTATCTGTATTTTCAAAACAAATAAGTTAAAAATCCACCACATGATTCATTTAAACAATATTTGCAGGAATTGAGAAATCCATATACAAGTGCATGTATTAACATGCTAACACTGGTTATCACTGTGTGTTCTGATTATGGGGCATTGCAAAATGTATAAGTTATCAAATTTTTAAATAAATATATTTGTTGTATAATTAGATGAAAAAAATTTAAAGTTCTAGGTGTGTAAGCTTTATACAAAAAATGAAAAGTGGGAGTGGAGTGGTAAATAAATACCATTATCCTGTATATTCAGAGAGTGCACATGTGTTTCCCAAAGAATGGGGGAAAAAAAGCCCAAAATGACTTAAATAAAAGCTCGTGGAACACTTTAAATAGACTTTATAATTACTGAGATCCCATACTGAATATTTTGTTATGCCATCATTTATTTCTCTAATGGATTAAAATTGCCGTGTATACGAAACCTCCTGAAGAAAGTTTCAGAGAAATTAATGTGTCCAAAACGTTAGCTAATAATTCCTTGGAAAACTGCGATTATCAGCATTTGAGACTCTGAGTGATGGAAGACGCTGGTTGACAACGGGAGGTGTGGCTGCTGCTGTGTTGGGGTTGCACAAGGGAGGAGCTGTCCTGGGGTGGCGGGGCCGCTGCCACACCGTGATCTCAGGAACCCTAGGGCTGGGCGGGGATTAAGAGAGGAAGCAAGTTTCAAAACTGTAAATGGAAACCTTATGACATCCGTGTAAAATCACAAAATCATATGTAATGATAAGTAGCTTTCTTCTTAACATACTGAGTTTGAATTCAAAATTATGTGAATTTAGTTAAAAACGTGAAGGCAGCCTTGGTCTCTGCTCAGCAGAATGAGGGAGGAACTTCGCTTCGGGTCCCGGCGAATTCGCGCCGGGGTTCTTGCCTTTCCAGTTAGACTCAGCCCACTGTATGATCAAGTCGTGCAGTGAGATGGGAAGGCTTTGACTGTTCTTGTTGTTGCTGTTTTTAATATTTAAATTTCACAGCTTGGATTGGACAGGAAGACTGACCAAAATACACATTTAAAAAAATAGAATTCATGTTGTTCTGTTTAATCAAGAAAAATAACACACTTTTTTGCCCTCCAGCCACACCTGAGGAATAATTGTCCTGAGGCTCCTCCCTTGGAAGCGAGGCCTCTATGCTCACAGAAGAAAAGAGCGCACCTGTTCAGGTGCATAGGCGACTTGAGGTGAGGTGGCTCCCAACGCCCGCTGTGCCGGGCCCTACAGCCCTCGCAGTTTATCTGGGTGGCTCCGCGTGGGGAGGATAATCACCTCTCAGTGACCTCTGCCTCTGGGGGCTTCTGTGTCTTTGTGCTGTGTCCTTTGTTTGTTCTGTGTTTTCAGGCTTTTGTCTTTTCAAATGAATCCAATCATGAACCAATAGCACTACTTCCTCCATCCTTTCTGCCTACTTTACAGATTACATTTTTTAAAAGTCTCTCATATAAGATATATATATATATATATATCTAAAATATACTTCATGGGAAAGCAAGGGGCAGAAGAAGAGGCTGCCCATCACACAGTGAGAAAACACACATTCACTCATCAACATTTCTCTTCTCTGTCTCTGTGTGTGTGTGTGTGTGCATGTGTGTGTGTGTGTGATGGATTCTAGTTCTGTCACTAGGATGGAGTGCAGTGGCGTGATCTTGGCTCACAGCAACGTCTGCCTCTCGAGTAGCTGGGATTACAGGCACCCGCCACCATGCCTGGCTAATTTTTTGTACTTTTAGTAGAGGAGAGGTTTCACCATGTTGGACAGGCTGGTCTTGAACTCCTGACCTCAAGTGATCCTCCCCCCTCAGCCTCCCAGAGTGCTGAGATTACAGACGTGAGCCACTGCACCCAGCAACATTTCTCTTCTTTAAATAACAACCTTTTTTTCTGATCGGAGCACCTTGGAAACGACACATTTCTCCTCTACAACTCCTTTAGTGCCATTTATCTCGTCCCCCGCAACTGCTCCCTCCAAACTGCCTTGTCTTGGGGTCTGCAGGGCAGGGAGATAAGAACCTTCCTCTCCCCGTGGGATCTGCCCTTCCACAATGGCAAACAGCCCTGCCCAGGCCCATGCTCTGCAGGGTGCAGACGCATGGGACCTAACAGGAGGCACATCCCATGGTTGCCCAAATCAGTGCCCATCACACCCTGAGCCCCCAGAGAACACTGTCCTTGTCATCCCTCCTCCTATTTCACCTCCAACATTATTGAGTAATTGGTTGTTATTTTCTCATTCTGAAATTTTATTTTTATTCTGTTTAATTGCGGTGCACAACATGACACTTTGAGATACATGTTCACAGCCCAGCGATCACTACAGCCAGCCAAATAATGCAGCCATCCCCTCCCATGGCTAGTTTTTTGTGTGATAAGAGCACCTAAAATCTACTCTCTCAGCAAATATCCCATCTATGAGGCGGTATTATAAGCTACAGTTCCCACACTGCACACTGGTCCTCTAGACTAATTGATCCCACATAACTGCGATCCATGCCCTTAAACCTCGACCCCTCATTCCGCCACTCCCCTGCCCTGGCGCTCGCCATTTCACTCTTGTCTGCATGGCTCTAGCCTTTTCTTAGCTGCTGCATACACTAGAGATCTCAGTCAGTGGCAGGAATGCTGTTCCTGCCCTGCTTGCAACCCTTCCTTGCTTCTGTTCTGTGGGATGAGCACCCCATGTTCTTTGGTCCTTGTCCTCAGCAGGCCCTTGTGGCCCTCCCAAAAAAATCAGTGCCCCTGTACCCGTGAGTTGCTTCAGATGCTGCTCTCAGCACACTGTGCAGCCTCGTGTCTCATTTTGTCTCTCCTGCTGGTCCCTTGTGCATTGAGGGCAAAGACCATGACTCACTCGGCTCTCCAGCCTCAGTCTCTGGCACACAGTCAATGCTTCATGCATCTTTGTGGAACTGGATCAAAATGAATGGCATCTTGGTCACACTTCAGCCACAGAGGTACAGGCCAAGATTTATTATAAGAAATTGACTCACACAGTGCTGGGGCTGGTGAAGCAAGTTGGAATCATGTAGAACAAGATGGCAGGAGGGAAGAACCTGATCCACTGGGAATACCATGGGCATTAGCCAAAGGGTCGTCCTCCAGCAGCATTTCTTCTCCTCCTCTGGGAAGTCCCAGTCTGCTTCAAGACCTTCAAACTAACGAAGTCAGACCCACCAGGTGATCCCCTGTCCTTAAAGTCAACTGACTAGGAACTGTAATCACATCTGGAATGACAGTCTCAGGCTTGGTTATAACAAAAGGTATTCAGGTCTATGTTTTGGTTGCTAGATGTATTTCTGTGGATATTTCAAAATTATGTAGTTATAAAAATCAGCTGGGTAAACATATCCTAGTATTTAATATAAACCACAGACAGCAGTTGAGTTACAATGGATAATTCACTTACTTCAATGCAGGAAATAGTCACTTGGCATTCAACTTATATATTCCAAATACTCATTTCTTCACATGCAAAGAAATGCCAAGCCTAATAAAATACAGATTACAAAAATAAAGTTGTTTCTTCTGGTTTCATTATGAAATATTATTTCTAAGCATTTCTGTATCCTAGAAATAATACTTTTTCAATAAAAGGTAGTGTAAGATATATTATAATCTTGAAGAAAGTTATATTTAAGAAAATCAATTGACTCATAACTAACATAGAAATCTAATGTGTGTTTGTATCTCTGAACTGGTGTTCTCACTTTGGACATGGTCCTGTAACAATTTTAGAAGGTGATTGTTTGAACCCAAATTGTCTGCAAAGCAGAGCCTGTGGTGGAGGTTAAACTACTGAGCTTTATTTGGCAGGTGCACACTCAGGGCTGCATGGTGAGACCGGAAAGGCAAGAGAAACCCAACAACCTGAGCCAATGCTGTGCACAGCATGCTGTGAGCCAGTGCTGGCAACAAGACACCAACAAGAGGAAAGAGGCCAGGTGCTGTGAGCCAGTGCTGGCAACAAGACACCAAAAAAAGCAAGAGGCCGGGTACTATGAGCCAGTGCTGGCAACAAGACACCAAAAAAAGCAAGAGGCCGGGTGCTATGAGCCAGTGCTGGCAACAGGACACCAAAAAGAGCAAGAGGCCGGGTGAGGTGGCTAACGTCTGTAATCCCAGCACTTTGGGAGGCTGAGGTGGGTGGATCACCTGAGGTCAGGAGTTCGAGACCAGCCTGGCCAACATAGTGAAACCCCATCTCTACTAAAAATACAAAAATTAGCCAGGGGTGGTGGCACATGCCTATAATCCCAGCTACTCAGGAGGCTGAGGCAGGAGAATTGCTTGAACCTGGGAGGCTGAGGTTGCAGCAGTGAGCTGAGATCATGCCACTGCACTCCAGCCTGGGCAACAGAGCCAGACTCCATCTCAAAAACAAAAACAAAAAGAGCAAGGAAAGAAAAGTGCAGGCATGCAACTTGTGGCCGTCATTCCAAAAGGACACAAAAACAATGCCTTTTAACACTTTATAGGAGAAGCTTCACCCTTTCTGTGGTGCAGCTGGTGCTGGAAGTTTATTTAACAAACCTTTGGCTGCAAACGTGTTTGACGCAGGAGAAACGTAAAACCACCGTTGAGAGTTAGGTCTTGTGCTTGACCAAAGTCGACAAAGATCCTTTTAAGTTTAATTCAAACAGTTTCATGGGGCGCTCTCACAAGCAGTGTGGCTTTTTTCTACAGCCTAAATAGGAGGCTGACATTATGAGGACAAGAACGTCAACAGCTGTGCCCAGGTGCTGCACAGATGTGCTGACCACCTTTGCCAGCGCGGCTGGGTCCCTGGCCACGTGAAGCCCCTTCAGACTTAGCTGGATGTGGGCAGAAGCAGCGCAGCCTGTCTCCTACATGTCCCTCTCTCTTCTGCAGCTTCTGGGCTGTTTTTATTTTGTAGTCTTTTATTTTTCTCTTTGTGGAAAATTCCCTGAACCAGCGCTTCTGAAAAGAGCTCCAGAAATCCTGCTAGCATTCTTGAGTCAGAAAACCTTGGCATTTTCTATCTCACTCTGGAAAAAGTGTTTGCAGGCAGCTCTGGGACTCCACTTTGCTGACTGAGCAAGCCTCATTCTTCAGGCCCTTAGGAGACCACACCACTGCTTAGTGAGGAAACTCAGGCTGGAAGGTTGGTGGACAGGCAGACGGGTATGGAGGTTTGCAGTAGCTCAGCCTTGGAGGCCTGAAGATTTCAGAAACCTTTCTTTTTCTTCTAATACAGCATTTCTGTAACACAGTTTCCTCAGTTTTATTGTTCTTATGTACTTAACAATGGATCTCACTCGCTCTCAGAAACACGGATGGGCGTCCTCCCCATCACACGGCACAAGCCCATGGCCAGTGAGACTCAGAACCAGCCTGTAAGCTTTTGTGTCTACCTCTCCTGACTGGCGCGAAAATCCTTTGCTTATACTAGCTCAATAATCTGATTTCTCCAGAATACCTTTTCATTGCTTTGGGAAGAAGGCTACTCATACGAAATACAATTCAGAAGCGCATCTTCAGACAGCAGAGGTGCCCCCACGTGAGTATGAGCAATGGCGTGAATGACGCTGTAAAATGTAAATACTTCTCCAGAGGCTACTCCTTTCCATTCTACACACTGTTTCAAAAATTTTGCTGCATTAGCTAATTTATCTCTCACAGGAATGCTCTGAGGAATTATTTAGATTAGACCCATTTTACAAATAAGAAACGAGAAGCACAGTTTGAATGATGAATGCTGCATCCTTTGAGCACCTAAACGTGTTCTTTTGTTTTGTCCTGTGGGAACGAAAGCCCCGTGACAAGGGAAAGTTTAGCGCTCCTGGCATTGGGGTTCTGGAGGGTGCCTCACAAAACCCGGCCAAAGCCGAGACAGCTGCACAGTCATTGAAACCAAATTTCACTTGGCTGTTTATCATCAGTGTCACGACAGACATCCCATATCCATGACCTTCAAGGTATCACTCCAAATCCATGGCTTCCTTATAAAGTATGCACCAAGTGAAACTTGGAAGAAGCGCTGTTTTGAGAATCATCCACTAGAAAGAGGAGCCTCTGGAGAGGGTTGTGCTTGGGGAGCTTCCCCAGGGCCTCCACGTGCAGCAAGTCCAAGTTCTGTTCTGTCTTCAGGGCTTGGTCTTTCCAAGATGAACCCTACTCTCCTCATCAACTGGCCCTGGGTGGTTGGGGGGCAGCGCTGAGTCACAACACGGACGTGGACGGGTACCCAGAGCCCAGCACTGAGCCTGGCACAGAGGCGCTGGGGAAGAGGCAGCACTGAGGGCTTCCTCTATTTCAGAGCTTGGAGTAACCAGGGATGTGGCAGTAAAAACACCTCAATATATGCATGGGAAGGCCCGCAGCTACTTAGGCAAAGCCAGTGTGAAACTGGCTCCCCTGGCTCTCAGCAGGAGCCCCTGCCTACGTGGTGGACACAGAAGGCACGGGCGCTGAAACCTGTCCTGACCAGCATGGGTCACGTCTTCCATAGACTGAAGAACCATTAGAGAAATCAATAGGCTTTCAAAGGGGGTATTGTTTCATCACAGAACAAAGCAGAGCTGCAGCTGGGCAGGTTCCACTCCTTCTCCTTCCAGGGACACCCGTGGCACAGGAAGGAACAGCCAGGGCTGCTACCCTAAGGCATGAGGGTGCTGGGTTCCCGGGACAAGGCTTCTGCCCCAGGCTCTTCTCCCTTTATCCGCTGCCCAAACAATGCTCTTCTTCAGCATCCAGGAGTGGCCACTCTTTGGTAGAGTTTGGTACTTCTTTGGAGTTGGCATAGCTGTATTATGATTATGATGTTCAAGCTTCCGTTTTACACCAGTTTGAGCTTTCTGGTAGAATTCTAGTTATTTCTCTGCCTGTCCACCACATCCTCCCCCTGTGCCCCCTAAAGTAATCAGCACTTTAATTAATTCTGAGTTAAAGAAAGCCGAACAAAGATTTGGTTAAAATTCCTATTTTGGAGGCATGTTGTTTAACACGTTGGGTCTCACGTGTGGAATACAGCAAGTTGAATTCCATTCTGTGTATAGGAGGAAATCGACTTCATAAATACTCATTCTAATGAGCTAGTTAAATGCTGGGAGTGCCCTCAGTTTAAGCCCAAGTGGATCCTTCTCCCTTCACTGCCAGCAGCTGAGAGGATCTCTTCCTGTGTGTAGCACTGGACACGGTGTTGTGCGTGCTGAAAGTTCAGGAGTTCGAAGTGAAATATTGAGTCCAGGGGTCCTTAAATATGAGCGGGTTATGTATGTAAGAAAAGCAAATCAGTGTCATAGATTCAGCAAGCCCATCTCCACCACCTGCCTGCAACATCCTCTTTCTTCCTAAGTGGGGGCATTTTTATTACAATCTGTTGATTTCAAGTTCTGAAACACCATGAATCACTCTGTTTGCACAACATTGCATACTTAGCAAGGTATAGCAAATACTTTATAACCATAATTTTTTGTAAAAAGAAATTCATATTAAACTATTCAAGTCCTACCAAGGACAGCCTGCTGTTAGCTTTTCTGACAGCAGAGTTTCAGAAACGCTTCCCCAGGAAGCCCCTCAACCAGCCATGGTGGGGAGAATTCTGAGCTTCCCTCGGGGCCATTTTCACAAAACAGCAGTTAACTCTAAACTTAGAAGAAGCCACAGAAAATTCTCCAATTGATCCTGGGGAAAAAGGAAACACAGGAGAGGGGGTGACCACATGCCCCATGTCCTCTGCAGGGCCAAGCCCTGCAAATGGCAGGTCAGCCTTTGCTGGTGGCTGTCAGCGTCTCCTGGATCCTCGTTCTCCCTCGTGAGATCATCTCTGCTCATCATCGTCCCTCATGCGGAATCCGTGTCCAGGCGACCATCCCTGCTCTCCAGGGTCGGTCTCTTCCCTGCACGGTGCTGTCCTCTCAGCAGCCAGGCCTGTGCTCACATCACTGTGATTTGATAAAATGTTCCCCCTCCCCTCCCACTGTGGTTTGCACTATTTCCCAAAAATGGAATGGTGAAGTCTTCAGTCCTGATGCCTGTAAATGGGACCCTATTTGGAAACAGGGTCTTTGCCATTAATTTCAGAGGAGCTCACTAGGGTGGGCCTGATCCCGTGTTGCAAGCGCCCTTGTAGGAAGGGTTTAGGACTGAGCCCACGACGAGGCCTTGTGAAGGGCAGAGCCAGGGGATGGCCCTGTGATGATGGAGGCTGAGCTGGGAGGGTGCGTCTGAGCCAGGGAATGTCGGGGACGGCTGGTGTCCCCAGAAGCTGAGAGGGAGCCCGGCCCTGCAGACATCCAGTGTCAGGCTTCAGCCCCAGAGCTGTGAGAGGGTGAGAGGGTCCATCTCTGCCACTCCCAGCAGCCCGGGGAAACACACACACCACTAGCCCCGAGCCCCAGGCCTGCTTTCCTGCCCCTTCTTCACCTCCTCCACATTCTCTCCACATTTGCCTCTCAGCGTCTTTGCTCCCTGTTCCATTTGCTGGTTGATCTGGGAGCTCGTTTCTTCCTTAATCCCTTATAATCTCATGGAATGATGTTTGGGAGCCCCCCAGATAACTCCGGAGAACAGAGGCTGGGCCAGGTCTTTCAACTGGGATTTATTGCACAGGTTCCTTCTGAGATTCGGCCGCCTAGGCCCCTGAAATCAGAGGCAGTGCCTACCAACAGCTACCAGGGGTGTGGCTGAAGTTAAAGTTTAAGGAATTGGCGGACAGTTCCCTCGCCCATCACTCGTCTAACTCAGAAAACACATCCTGTCTCCATCGCAGGGTGGGCAGGGTGCATCCGTCTAAATTGGCTGTAATCCTCTTTCTTTCCAATCCAGTTATTAACACAGGGTGTGGCAACGCAGTCCAAGCCCACAGGTGGGTCTCCCAACGCCACACATCTGCCGATTGTTACTAAGAGTTTTCATTTTCACCTTTTTCCCTTTGCTTCAGTTCATTTACCATCTTTGGTCCTCATGAGCGCCCCAGGAGCTTGAAAATCCAGATTAGGGTTGAATGAGGGTCCTCACTGGCATCCACTTTTCCCTCTCTCTTCTCCCCTCTCTGTCTCTTCCACTTTCTCTCCCTCTCTCTCATAATTTGTAGTTTCTTCTACAAAGTTGAGAAATATATGAGAAGAACATAAATAAATGAGAAAGGTAGAAAACATACGGTTTCTCAGAACGGTTCTCTCTGAGTCTATGAAGATTTTCTAACAATCCTAGGATTTAAATTATCCTCAGTGGCATTAAAATGTTACTCTGGGCATAGAAAGAGCACAGTCAGCAGAGAGAGAAACAAAGTCTGCTGTGTGTGTCTGGGGCGACTCAGGCCCGGGCCTCGCAGGGCACCCATCCCTTCCTACCCAGTGCATGCACGGGGCTGCTCCTCATGGGAGTCCAGGGTGGGGCAGCTCTTCCATGGATGCTTTATACATCAGCCCACTTTCTATCTACACTAGTTTGCAGCAATGCACTATCATTCTGTTTTATTTCATTTTAATGCAACTCCTTCTTACTTGAAGCTCATACTTGACTTGCAAATATTTCCTTTCTGGTGGAAGACAGCCTTTGCTGTGGCACCAAATGGCGGTGGCTGAAAGAACAGAGGCTGAGTCCAGGGCTCAGGGATGGACTGTGGAGTCCAAACCCCAGCTATGACCCAGTTCATGGGTCCTAAGTAATTTGTCTGTGCTTGAACTTTCTCACTTGTGAAATGCAACAGTCATATCTGTTTCATAGACTTGTAACTGTAAGCAATGAAAGAATCATATATATAAAGCACTCAGCACAACACTCAGTAACAGTAACATCCAGAAAGTCTGGGTCTCCTTAATGCTAAATGGTTTTGCTGTATTCTTGAGTGTTAGGGTCTGCGTGAGGATGGAACTCCCTTTGCAAATAGTAGGGGCTTCAAATAAGCAAGATTCCATTTAAATTTGAAGATTGGATGCCTACAAGTTACTGAGGAATAATGCTAAGAAATTAAGTATTTTTTATTGGTATAAATGGAAGGGATACAAGTGCACTTTTGTTACATGGATATATTGTGTAGTGGTGAAGTCAGGGCTCTAGTGTAGCCGTCAGCTGAATAATATACATTGTACCCCTTAAGTAATTTCTCATTCCTCACCTCCCTCCCACCCTTCCACCCTCCAAGTCTCCAGTGTCTTTTATTCCACTCACCATGTCCATGTGTGCACATTATTTAGCCCCATTTATAAGTGGGAACATGTGGTATTTGACTTTCTGTTTCTAAGTGGTTTCACTTAAGACAGTGGCCTCCAGTTCCATCCATGTTGCTGTATAAGAAATAATGTAATTCTCTTTAATGGCTGAGTAGTATTCCATTTTGGAACAATAACACATTTTCCTTATTGAATCATCTGTTGATAAATACTTAGGTTGATTCCATGACTTTGCTGTTGTGAATAGTGCTGTGATAAACATACAAGGGCAGGTATCTTTTTTATATAAAGATTTTTTTTCCCTTTTGGTAGATGCCCATTAATGAGATTGCTGGATCCCATAGCAGTTCTATTTTTAGTTATTTGAGAGATCTCCATACTGTTTTCCATACAGGTTGTACTGATTTACATTCCCACCAATGGTGTCTAAGAGTTCCCTTTTCTCTTACATCCTCACCAAGATATGTTACTTTTGACTTTTTAATCATAACCATTCTGACTGGTGTAAGATGGTATCTCATTGTGGTTTTAATTTGCATTTCTCTGATTAGTAGTGATTTGAGCATTTTTTTCATATGCTTGCTGGCCATTTGTATGTCTTATTTTGAAAAATGTCTATTCATGTCCCTTGGCTGCTTTTACTGGGGTTATTTGTTTTTGTTGTGGTTGAGTTGTTTGAGTTCTCTGTAAATTCTGATATTAGTTCCCTGTCGTTTGCATAGTTTGCAAATATTTTCTCCCCTCCTGCAGGTTGTCTGTTTACTCTGTTGATTGTTTCTTCTGCTGTGCAGAAGCTTTTTTATTTAATTAAGTCCCATTTTTCCATTTTTGTTTTTACTGCTTTTTGTTTTTATTGGTCTTTGCCTAGACCAATGTCCAGAAGAGTTTCCCTAGGTTTTCTTGCAGTGTTGTTTTTAGTTTTGGATCTTATATTTGAGTCTTAATCCATCTTGAGTTGATTTTCATATATGGTGAGTGATAGCAATCCAGTTTTATTCTTCTGCATATGGCAATCCAATTTTCCCAGCACCATTTATTGAAAAGAGTGTTCTTTCACCAGTGTATGCTTTTGTTGACATTGTCACAAGTTGGCTATAAGTATGTGGCTTTATTTCTGGTTTTTCTATTCTGCTTATTGATATATGTCTCTATTTTCATACTGCTGTTTCATACTATGGTGCCATGCTGTTTTGGTCACTATAGTCTTGCAGTATAATTTGAGGTCAGGTAATGTGATGCCCCCAGCATCGTTCTTTTTACTTAGGATTGCTTTGGCTATTTGGGATCTTTTTTGTTTCCATATAAATTTTAGAATTGTTTTTTTTCTAATTCTGTAAAAGTGGCATTGATATTTTCATAGGAATTACATTAAATCTACAGATTGCTTTTTGTAGTATGGCCATTTTAACAATATTAATTCTTCTAATTCATGAGCATGAGATGTGTTTCCATTTATTTGTGTTAACTACAATTTCTTTCATCACTGTTTTGTAGTTTTCCTTGTAGAAATCTTTCACCTCCCTGGATAAATATATTTCTAGGTATTTTATTTTGTGTAGCTATTGTAAATGGAATTGCCTTCTTGATTCAGTTCTCAGTTTGATTATTATTGGTGTATGGAAATGCTACCGATTTTTGTACATTGATTTTGTATCCTGAAACTTTACTGAATTCATTTATCAAATCTAAGAGCTTTTTGGAGGAGTCTTTAGGGTTTTCTAGGTATGAGATCATATCATCAGCAAACAGTGATAATTTGACTTCCTCCTTTCCAATTTGAATGCCTTTTATTTCTTTCTCATGCCTGATTGCACTGGCTAGGATTTCTAGTACTATGTTGAATAGAGGTGGTAAAAGCGGCCACACTTGTCTTGTTCCAGTTGTTAGAGGGATTGCTTTCAACTTTTCCCTGTTCAGTATGATGTTGGCTGTGGGTTTGTTGTATATGGGCTTTATTATTTTGAGGTATGTTCCTTCTTTGACTAGTTTGTTGAGGGTTTTCATCATGGAGCAATGCTGGATTTTATCAAATGCATTTTCTGTATCTATTGAGATGGTTTTTGTTGTTAATTCTGTTCATGGATGTGTTACATTTCTTTCTTTTTTTTTTTTTTTGAGACGGAGTCTTGCTCTGTCGCCCAGGCTGGAGTGCTGTGGCGCTATCTCGGCTCACTGCAAGCTCCGCCTCCCGGGTTCATGCCATTCTCCTGCCTCAACCTCCTGAGCAGCTGGGACTACAGGTGCCTGCCACCACGCCCGGCTAATTTTTTGTATTTTTTAGTAGAGACGGGGTTTCACCATGTTAGCCAGTATGGTCTCAATCTCCTGACCTCGTGATCCACCCGCCTCAGCCTCCCAAAGTGCTGGGATTATAGGTGTGAGCCACTGTGCCCAGCCTACGTTTATTTCTTTTGCATTCAAAAGTTCTAAACTAAACTATATAAATGTTATTTTTCAATGGGGATGTTTGCATCAATGTTTTTCTACACCTATAATTCTGTGTACTAAAAAAATGTGATCTTAAAGAATAAAGAAATAGATATCTCTTACAGGACACTTAGAAAATTCAAAATTTTAGGAAAATAAATATTTAAAAAATTACCCACAATAAAACCAACAACACCTTGGTATATATCTTTCCAGATAATTTTATCTCTCTGTGTGTTTATATCAAGAAAGATAGATTTATTCACTGCATTATTTAAAACTTAGAGACAAGTATGTCTTTGCATTTTGTCATATCATTTTAGTTATTCTTAATGGATTAATTTATTCATAAAACAACATGCATTTTGAATATGTATGTCCCGATTTCCCATTCATACTGAAACCATCTTAGTTAAGCTAAGCATTCCAAATACTCTTGAAATATTGTGTGTCCTTAGATCAAGAGAGCCAGGACCAACTGACGTATTGAGTCACAATCCTCATCATGGAAGAATAAAAATCTAACTTCAGATATGAAGTGCACTTTGTCAACCAATGAAAAGATATTCCTGCCTCCAAGAGAGACATAGAATGCTTGTTTTCTGATGTTTAGACATTTTATTTTATAGTTCAAAAATAGTATCAGCTGAAACATAAAAAATGGGATGATATTAACTGGCCTGAGTGCTCAAGGCTGCCGGTCTAGACATACGGACTTGTATGTGTGCATACGTGTACATCCACAGGTACAGCTCCACCTGTCTGTGCCTCTGTCCACTGGAGGCCAGAACCAGACTTCTTTAATGGGATAGTAGCAAATAATAATAATATATATTGTTATCCCTTCTTTGCAATTCATCAGAAGAAACCTGGCACATACTTGGGAGTTGTCTTTTGTATTGTTATGTATTGTGCTGTTTAATTCTTTTACATCCAGTGCTGTTAGACAGCTACATACCACATTGTTTTTTTACTTACATTCTAATCATAATTTTGGTGTGTGTTTCTATAGTCAAAGTACTGTGACTCCCCATTGCAACAAAAGCAACATAAGCAAAAATTCTCCAAATTATGAATAGCATGTGAGTGGATTTCTACTGAATATATTATTTATTAAAAAGCTTAAAATTAAGTATGCTTAAAAATTAATGTCAGTTTAGGGAAATGCAAAATCAGCACAAAAAAAATCAGGAGAACATTACTTTGTTGTATTTCTTTTAAGTCTGTTTCATATTGTTAATGGAAAAAAAAATCTCTGCTGAAGCTTAAAAACCAGACATGCCTGTGGTACTTACAAAAGTCTGTCTGGTGTTTCAGTTGGTATGGGCATGAAACCAAGAAAATTATCCTATAGGGTACAAGTTTTCTCGGTGATTAAGTCTGCAATCACAGTTGGCCCTAGGGAAGGAATCCATGCAGCAGAAAATCAGATACTTTCAACAGCAGAGTCGACGCTACCCAGATTCACTTTGGTAAGCAATCGGTGACAACGGAAAGGACCGGCTTTTCTGTGCACACATTGCTGGTGCTAAGGTCCATGCAGTGCAGCCTGCAGCAGCCTGGGCTGGCTCAGCATTCCGGGCACTCTTCCCTGCCTTGCTCTGACGCTCAGGCTCAGCCAGAGGTAGATTTGAGTTGGCTGTTTTTCTGCTTAGAGCAGCTCTCCCACCCAGGATCTGCTTCCCGGTCTTCATTACATGCATCCATGCCATCCGCTTAGGCCTTACAGATTCCTCTTTCTCCCGACGACGGAAGATAATCAGGGACCCCAGAACTCTTGACCTCTCAACCCTGACCCCTCTCTTAGCTCTCCAGCTGAGTGTTCGTTATGATGTGGGCGGAGGGCAGCAGGGAGAACTCTCTCTGTGTGTCCTGATCCCTGGGAAAATGCATGGCTTGTAGTCATGCCCTGTGTCTTTCATGTCCTATGTGTATATGCTAACCACAGACAAGAGACCACCTGATAAAAAGAAATCCATCACAGGACGTGTGAAGGAGGCAGCAACCACGTGGAACTCGTGTCTCGAACACAGTGCAGTCTTCACACCTCAGCGCTGGGCATCGGGAGGCAGCCTTCATGTGATGCTACCCTATGAGGCCAGCAAGGGCTCCCGGGAAATGAAAACGGCAGCAGCCGGCACCCAGTCCCAGCAGCAGACAGGAGCAGGTTAATCCACACCATGGACACTGTCTATGCAAAGCGGATATTTGGTCCCAGATGGCTCAACCCTTGGCTATTACACATCCTTAAAGCTGACACTGGCATAGCACATGGGTATGTAACACTTAAAGTATTGCTGCAACCCTTCAGGAAGGATGTCCTGGAAAGCTGCACACCCCCAGGCGTCAGCCTTCTGACATCGCATGAGGAGGGGCTAAATGACATTTGGAGACCATGTGTGCTGATGTGGTTTGGATGTGTGTCCCTCCAAAACGTATGTGAAATGTGATCCCCAGTGTTAGAGGGGAGGCCTGGTGGGAGGTACTAGATCACAGAAGTGAATCAGTCATGTCATGAACAGTTCAGCACCAACCCCTTGATATGAGTTAGTTCTCACTCAGTCAGTTCACCTGAGCTCTGGGTGTTTAAACGTCTGGGAACCCCCTCCTCTCCTGCTCCCACTCTTGCCATGTGATGCTTTGGCCCCCTTCACCCACCACCACAATTGGAAGCTTCCTGAGGCCTCACCAGAAGCAGACGCCAGCACCATACTTCCTGTACAGCCTGCAGAACTGTGAGCCAATTTAACCTCTTTTCCTTATAAATTATGCAGCCTCAGGTATTTCTTTACAGCATTGCAATAACAGGCTAATGCATGGATCATCAAGAAGATGGATTTCCACATTTGATTAAATAATATGCAGCTAATTGGCCAATAGAGTGATTGTGCTTTATTGATCCTTTCCTACTAGGGTACGGTCTATTTGCAATCTGAGACAGCTTCTTACAAAGCAAGTTAATTATTTATTGACCACAGCATACTAAGCAGACATCTGTTTTTTTGCATCCGTCCATCAGGATACTCTTAGCAATGCTTGAGCATACTTGGTAGCCGACTCCAAGCAGTGCAAGAAAGTGCAGTCACTTTTATTTTATCCTGGAGTTATCTGCCTTAGTCCTCATCCCTATGGAAGTCTCTTCCCTGGCTGTGAACTGCCTCATTTGATTCCCTGGATTTTTAGTCTCTGTTGCTGCCCCCAGGCTACACATCAGATGAGTGCCCTTGACCTTGAAGGATGGGAAGACCACAGCAGTTGAGCTTCAATGACCCCCATTGCCACTTCACTCTCCAAGCTGGCCATTGCTTTTCATAAAGCACCGCAAAACTTAGTGTCTTTAAAAACAACACTAAATCACATTGTTCTCAAATCGAGCGTTCTTAGGGTTCAGGTCATCAGCTCACCCCAGGGGAATGTTGGACAACTGAGTCTGCAGCCATCTGTACAATGATGAAACCAAGGTTGAGCATCTTGGGAGGAGTGTGGGGTAGAAAGGTAAAACACAGTTCCTGGTTGGATTAAGGAAGGCACACGGTGACAGGATTTGGCAGCCCACTGGGGATGTCTGGCCATGTCTAAGGTTTGGAAGATGACAATTCTTTTTTTTTTTTTTAGAGTATTTTATTTTATTTTATTTTATTTTTCAGTAACTTCTTTTTTTAAATTAATTAATTTATTATTATACTTTAAGTTTTAGGGTACATGTGCACATTGTGCAGGTTAGTTACATATGTATACATGTGCCATGCTGGTGTGCTGCACCCACTAACTCGTCATCTAGCATTAGGTATATCTCCCAATGCTATCCCTCCCCCCTCCCCCCACCCCACAACAGTCCCCAGAGTGTGATATTCCCCTTCCTGTGTCCATGTGATCTCATTGTTCAATTCCCACCTATGAGTGAGAATATGCGGTGTTTGGTTTTTTGTTCTTGTGATAGTTTACTGAGAATGATGATTTCCAATTTCATCCATGTCCCTACAAAGGACATGAACTCATCATTTTTTATGGCTGCAGAGTATTCCATGGTGTATATGTGCCACATTTTCTTAATCCAGTCTGTCATTGTTGGACATTTGGGTTGGTTCCAAGTCTTTGCTATTGTGAATAATGCCACAATAAACATACGTGTGCATGTGTCTTTATAGCAGCATGATTTATAGTCCTTTGGGTATATACCCAGTAATGGGATGGCTGGGTCAAATGGTATTTCTAGTTCTAGATCCCTGAGGAATCGCCACACTGACTTCCACAATGGTTGAACTAGTTTACCGTCTCACCAACAGTGCAAAAGTGTTCCTATTTCTCCACATCCTCTCCAGCACCTGTTGTTTCCTGACTTTTTAATGATTGCCATTCTAATTGGTGTGAGATGGCCACACATCTCATTGTGGTTTTGATTTGCATTTCTCTGATGGCCAGTGATGATGAGCATTTTTTCATGTGTTTTTTGGCTGCATAAATGTCTTCTTTTGAGAAGTGTCTGTTCATGTCCTTCGCCGACTTTTTGATGGGGTTGTTTTTTTTTTTCTTGTAAATTTGTTTGAGTTCATTGTAGATTCTGGATATTAGCCCTTTGTCAGATGAGTAGGTTGTGAAAATTTTCTCCCATTTTGTGGGTTGCCTGTTCACTCTGATGGTAGTTTCCAATAGATGCAGAAAAAGCCTTTGACAAAATTCAACAACCCTTCATGCTAAAAATTCTCAATAAATTAGGTGTTGATGGGACGTATCTCAAAATAATAAGAGCTATCTATGACAAACCCACAGCCAATATCATACTGAATGGGCAAAAACCGGAAGCATTCCCTTTGAAAACTGGCACAAGATAGGGATGCCCTCTCTCACCACTCCTATTCAACATAGCGTTGGAAGTTCTGGCCAGGGCAATTAGGCAAGAGAAGGAAATAAAGGGTATTCAATTAGGAAAAGAGGAAGTCAAATTGTCCCTGTTTGCAGATGACATGATTGTATATCTAGAAAACCCCACTGTCTCAGCCCAAAATCTCCTTAAGCTGATAAGCAACTTCAGCAAAGTCTCAGGATACAAAATCAATGTACAAAAATCACAAGCATTCTTATACACCAACAACAGACAAACAGAGAGCCAAATCATGAGTGAACTCCCATTCACAATTGCTTCAAAGAGAATAACATACCTAGGAATCCAACTTACAAGGGATGCGAAGGACCTCTTCAAGGAGAACTATAAACCACTGCTCAAGGAAATAAAAGAGGATACAAACAAATGGAAGAACATTCCATGCTCATGGGTAGGAAGAATCAATATCGTGAAAATGGCCATACTGCCCAAGGTAATTTACAGATTCAGTGCCATCCCCATCAAGCTACCAATGCCTTTCTTCACAGAATTGGGAAGATGACAATTCTAATCGCCCCAGACTGGGGAACTCAATATTTACCTAAGTGTTTTTCAATCAGCTCTGGCTCTGTTGCAGGGAGCGGTGATGCTGAGGAAGTCAGAGGCAGGGGAGATAAGTGTCGGTGGAAAGGAGCATTTTGAGCAGGACTGTGCTTCTGGGTGCTGCACAGTGTGCTAGGTCTGAACTCATGATCCATGAGACAAAACGGGGAGGGCAACATGAATTCGCTCAGGCATACTTCCCTTCAGCCACAGGGCAGGAGGGTGAAGAAACCCAGGGAGGTGCACAAAGTCACTCCTGCACATGCAGACACAGGGAACAGCACCAAAGCAGAAACCACTTCTTGCCGACAGAAGAGGCATTTTCCCCTGCATGGCAGCTTATTCTTTACACAGGCACAGAACTTATTTAGACATCTGCCACATTTGGACTTCAAACTCAGCTATTTTACCAGAGATGTTTAAATTAGGAAAAGCCATGATCTATTCGAGCTTGGGACAAAAATAGCATTTGCTGTATTTGCAGATTTCTCCAGCCAATTTAATGATTGTCTTTGCAGTCAGGTGTATGTCCCAGGACTTTTTCTGCCTTCCTTTCTGCTTGAAAGCTAGTTTCCAGGCAAAATTTTCCTCTTTTGAAAAGCTATAATTACGTCAAGAAACCCTGGGTAAGTTATGCTCATTTACTTTTATTGTGGCAGTTGAAGGTTTGAGGTGCACGATTGCTAATAAAATATCAAGGCGTCACATTTCAACTGCACTTTTTCCAAGAGTAAGTCTGGCGCTTTTCGAAGCTGCAAGAGTGAGTGCACAGAGCACCGATGCTGGGCACCAAGCGTTCACTGGCTCGGGTGGATAATATTTATTAAAGAAACTGGGGCCCATGGTGTGCCATAGCTTGAGGAAGATCAGCATTCTGGAGAGTGAGGAAAACAGGGACATCTAATTTTAAAAAGGATTAAAATCATTTGTGAGGTGGCTCAGGCAGCCAGTCCTGAAGGGGCAGACCCCTGATGTGGGGGACCCCAGAGAGGCCAGATGATTCTTTTCAGGGTGCACCCCTAGGCATCCTGGCATGGGACAGCATCCGAGCGGAAGGCGGGGAGCCCCAGTGGGAGGTGGCAGACAAGCAAAGCTTCTGCGGACCTCAGGGTGCTGTGGACACAAATGTTATTCGTGTGGAAAGCCAGGATTAGGAACCAGATAACTCAGGAGGGTTAAAACAGGAGGTCCTGCTCTCTTCTCCGTCGAAGTGCTCATGAATCCACAGCTGGTACAGACTAAGAGGCTCAGAAGTTCAGCAAAAAAGATGATATAAATCCAACTTGAACTTTTAAAAGTTTTTCTTAAGAAGTAAGATTTAATGAATAATGAGAAGACAAACATTATAGTCTAAAAATCGTTTAGAACAGTAAATACTCTTATAAACCCTCAGGGTCTGATCTGGGACCCCAAGAGTTACTTCAGGGGATCAGACTCAAGAGAGGCCGACTGCCTCCATTGGCTGCTCTGAGGCTTTGCAGACGTGGTCTTCCCCAGTGCTGCCTGGCCATGTACGAGAGGACCAGCCCCCTCCGAGGGAACCTTCCAGAGTCAGTGAAGCTTATCACATAACATGTCAAACATTGTTATATGAAAAATTACCAGCCCTAATGAGATCTGGGACAACAGCAAAAACTAGAGCCCAGAAACAGAGGGACAGAGGCCTGGCTATCAGCTGCAGCAGACAGACTGAAAAGCAACTGACTCATATATTCACTAAAATAGAAGACAAGATGGGGCATTTTTTTTGCAGAAACAGAACCTATGTTAAAATGTCAAATGGATATTAGAAAGCCAACACTGACCTTAATTAATAAATAGATTAACAGATTGGATAGCAGAGGAGAGGCAAAGGCAGAGAGAGCAACAAGGCTGGAAAATGACAGAAAAGAGCACGAGATACTGGCACATGACATAAAGACCACATAGATGAGAGGGGTGCATTGCTCAAAGAGATGATGGCGGAGAATTTCCCCCAGATAAAAACAAATAATAATCAAAGGCAAAGACTCAAGAACTGTTAGAAATCTCAGCAGGATAAATGCAAATAGAGCCAGGCATAGGCATGCCCCAGTCAGAAGCTAAAACCCAAAGACAAGGAGAAGCTTGGAACGTAGCCAGAGGGGAGGTCGCGGCACCCTCAGAGGAGATGCTGGAAAACTGACGGCCAAATACTCAGAAATGTCGGCAGCTGAAAACAGTAAAGTTGATGCAAAAAAAAATGTCCACCAACCTAGCAGTGTATTAGCTCTTTTATAAATAAAAATGCAATGCTTTAAAAACAGATTATTTTCTATTCACATCAAGCAATGTGTTAAACGGATAGAGCACAGCCATCAAGCGAGATGTTCATATAAGGACTTCTACACGCCTGTATAAGGGGCAGGAAGAATGAGTTCACTCACATTACTGAGCGAAACAAGGCAGTCAAAATACAGAGGTTATGGTCCACTTATGTGATATAAAGAACAGGCAATACAAGTCTGCAGTTTTGGAATTCAAGCTAATGCTTACTTTGGGGAGCTATTGAAGGGGAGCTACCTTAAGGGCGCCAGTGGGAGTGCCAAGAGTGTTCTCTGTCTCGATTTGGGTAAATATACATAAGTATATTTACATAATTAAATATACATAAGTATATTTACATGCAAAAATCATAAAGGCATAGACGAGTATGTTTAACATAAAAACTCATAAAGTTGTAGACTTAAGAGGTTTGCCCTTAATTTTCAATGTCAGGTTTAAAACTTCAAAAAGGTATGAAAAACCTAACTATTTAGAATTTAAAAAAAAATCTCAAAAATAATTTCAGCTCACTAAAACAAATTTAAGTGAAAACTATTAAAAATCAAATTCAACAATGAAGATGTCATAGGTCAAAAACTGTTGAATTTAGTCAAATTTTCCTCCAAAAACATTCACAGCCTCAAATGTTACTCTTGTTAAGTAAGATTGACTAATAATTATTGCATAATGGAAGAAAGGCAAAAGAACTGAAGAAGAAGAAACCGCCTCCTGTTAGTGTCATACAGCGTGTTCTCATGAGCCCTGTGTCCTGTGTGAACTGGCTTGGCTAGATTCAGGCTAAAGTCCCAGGTGACACTTTGCACTTGCAGCTGCACCTCCCAGGAGGCTCAGAACATCATGTTCAACTGCTCCTGATACTCACCGTTGAGCATTTGGTTAAGGCACTGGCCATCACATCTTTCCAGTGACATGGTCCTTTTTCTCCCTTGTGCAATTAGCAAATAATCTGTGGGTTAATACCTAAACTCATGTGAGTATTTATTTTTTATTAACTTTGACTTAATAATTTTAGCATCCATTGGTGAACCTTATCTAATCAATTATCTCTTTAGGGATTGCAAAGTTATGATTTTCTAATTCTTCATTTTTCCATATTTTATTAGCTGTTATTCTATAAAGAAGAAACTTCCTTTTACCAACTTGGAAAGTACTAGAGTCTCTCTTTTAAAGGCAAGAGAAAAATGTAAATCTTCCCTTTGAGCTACCCAGTTGCCCAATGAAGAGTTATAGTCACTATAACAGTAGCAAAATCAGAAGTCATTTCTTTTTTGTTTTGTTCTTGAATTTAATAATGGAGTCTTTTTAAAAAAAATCAGTATGTAGCAATTAATTATAATAATTTGCATGCTTATGTCATAATTATTCTTGCCAGTAGGAGCCTTGTCTGTGAACGTTCAGTCGTCCCTATTAGTTTTAATGTTTTCCTTTTCGTTTTTTGTGTCTTCCTCCTTTCTATGCACTAGAAATAGGATTAGCCACATATTAAAATAGCTCTAGATTTTTTGTAGAAAACGGTGTTTAAAAATCCAAAATCTATTTTCTCAATTTTCTCTCCCCGCCTTCTCTTCCTCCTTCTGTTTTATTACTTCTATTAATTACTTTTCACTTATTTCCACCTGTATTTTAATCTAAGATATACCATAAAATGCATTCCATGCACACCATAAGTGTTTTTACTTCCCTTTCTCTGTGCTTTCTGGGTTTCGGTGCTTCTCTCCTAGCAGGTGGGTGAGGCAGCTGTACCTTGAAGCAGCCCTAAGCAGTCACATGCTCTAAGCACCTGTGGTTTCCTAAGATTTGATACCTGCAAGAAACTTGGGTGAATTATAAATTGACCTGGTGCGGTGGCTCATGCCTGTAATCCCAGCACTTTGGGAGGCCAAGGCAGGCGGATCACTTGAGGTCAGGAGTTTGAGACCAGCCTGGCCAACATGGTGAAAACCCGTCTCTACTGAAAATACAAAAATTAGCTGGGAGTGGTGGTGCACACCTGTAATCCCAGCTACTCAGGAGGCTGGGCCAGAAGAATCGCTTGAACCTGGGAGGCAGAGGTTGCAGTGAGCTGAGATCGCTCCACTGCACTCCAGTCTGGGTGACAGAGTGAAAGTCCATCTCAAAACAAAACAAAACAAAACAAAACAAAACTTGACTCACTTTTGTTACTGGAGATTTCTGTTCTCTTACATTGTATAGTGCTTTTGAAAAGACCAATACTGACTTTATTTTTTATTTAAGAGATTTCACCATTTTTCTGGAGGTTGAAGACATTTTTCCCCTGTTTTTAAAGTTAAACACTCTTCTGGATCAATTTTTTAAATTATGCAAAGGGCTCCGTGAGTATATAAAATTATGTATCATATTTGTTTTGTTCCATTGCTTAGTTTTTCTTCTTCAGGGCCACATAATTTAGTATTTAATATCCACCCATTTTTCTTCTTTATTTTTGACTCAACTTTGGACTGTTTTTACCATCTGGGATCCTTACAATAGTTTCAGTTTTATCCATTTTCTCTTAGATACCTAGAAATTAAGTATTTATCCTAAGATTTTTGTCTCTCTTAATGGTGTCTTTCAGGACTTAAATTACTTTCCGTGTCACATCTTTCTACAATTTGCCCATGTCTAGTCAGAGTTTTTTAAATTTTTATTCAGTATGACATTTAACTTTGAAATTTCTTATCCAATTATATTGAATTCATGAAGAAGAAACAATCTTCTCAAACACTTAGATACTCATTTTCTGTTTTCATTTTTGAAAGTTCCTTTGTATGTTGAGTTCCTTTGTTTATTTGCCACAACAGTCACTAAATTGGGTAATTTGAAAGGGTTTGGATGGCTTGCTTGCTTTCGTAGTTCAAATGCTTCTGTTGCTATAGTGAAGGGCTGTTCTTAAAAATAAATCATTCTCTTTCTGTCCCCGCTTCGGTTGTGTGAGTTCATTGATTTCATTATCTTTAGTGTTTCTCGCTTGTTTTCACCACCCAGACTCCAAGTGGGAGGCTCCCTTTTCAAAGCTGCCTTCCTTGACCTTGGAAGTGATGCCTCTGCAAGACCAGCACTGTAAAGTCCTACAAATCGTCCTCCTGCTTCCATTGTTTTTTCCCAGCAGGCAGTGACCTGAGGCTTCCCTATGGCTTAGAACAGCTTCCAGAATTTTCCTCCCAAAGTGGGAGACTCTCTATCAGAGGCAAAGCCTAATCAATGTCTTCTGCTTTCACTTTCACTGGGATCATTAGGTGAACATTTGAAAATGAAGTAGGGGTTGGATAGTTTTAAGTCTTTTAAAAATTGTACTGAGTTCAGTAATGACTTCGTGGCTCCCTGAGAATAGGCCTTTATCTTTTAGAGCCATGCAGGGAGAATTTAGGGAAAAGACCCATGATTTATTGGTGTTACCATAAAATACTATAGTCAATATTTAAATAAAATAAACATAAGTGAAGGGAAGAAATAAACACCATAGAAACATACCCCAATAAGCAAGAGAGAAACCCCTCTTATACACCACGTAAACTAGCTCAGTGTATATATGGATACAGATAGAGATAGAGATTTTTTTTTCAGAAAGTAATGATTAAAGCTCCCATCAGACATCCCTGATATTTCGAAGGTCTCAGCACACGTAGAAAGTGGCATTTGTTGGTGGCTCTGGGTGACAGGACACGTTCTCCACCCACCCCAGTGAGTCCCCGGGCTCTGCACAGCTCCCCGCTGGTGGCTGAGGAGTCAGTGCCAGGAGATGGGGGCAGCGAGAGTTCTCGAAACCAGAATCATCTACTGAGCCCCCATTCATTTCACTAAGATAACGAAAACCTACTCTTTCCTGTCCTTGACCGCCATTTCCTTCATATTTAGGAACCTGGATGGGCGAGGTCCCTGGTCTTTGGGGCGCGGGGCCTGCAGGGACAGGGTCGCTGCGGGCAGAGCAGAGGGGGTGGTGGGTCCTGCCTGGGGGGCGGGGGCAGCACCGAGAACTGGCAGCACCGAGAACCGTCAGCACGGAAAACCGGCAGCACCGAGAACCGGCGGCACCGAGAACCGGCGGCACCGAGAACCGGCAGCACCGAGAACCAGCACCGAGAACCGGCAGCACCGAGAACCGGCACCGAGAACCGGCACCGAGAACCGTCAGCACGGAAAACCGGCAGCACCGAGAACCGGCGGCACCGAGAACCGGCAGCACCGAGAACCGGCAGCACCGAGAACCAGCACCGAGAACCGGCAGCACCGAGAACCGGCACCGAGAACCGGCACCAAGAACCGGCGGCACCGAGAACCGGCGGCACCGAGAATCGGCAGCACCGAGAACCGGCAGCACCGAGAACCGGCACCGAGAACCGGCAGCACCGAGAACCGGCACCAAGAACCGGCAGCACCGAGAACCGGCAGCACCGAGAACCGGCACCGAGAACCGGCAGCACCGAGAACCGTCAGCACCGAGAATCGGCAGCACCGAGAACCGGCAGCACCGAGAACCGGCACCAAGAACCGGCAGCACCGAGAACCGGCACTGAGAACCGGCACCGAGAACCGTCGGCACCGAGAACCGTCGGCACCGAGAACCGGCGGCACCGAGAACTGGTGGCACCGAGAACCGGCGGCACCGAGAACCGGCCCCGAGAGCCACCTGCGGGGACCAGGCCCAGGCACACCCCGATGCGGGGCGGCTCTGAGGGCGCCTTGTTTCACCAAAGGCGGTTTTTGGAACCCACGCCGGACCGTGAACAACTCGAGGGCATTCGATACCCACCGGTAGCCTCGGTGTCCTAGAAACCTCCGGGCATCCGAGCGCACCAGGCACGGGCGGCTCATCGCTCCCCGGGGACCCGCCGCCGAGTGGGGGAAGGTGCGGCGGGGGCGCAGATGGACGGAGGCCTCGAAAAACGCTTGCCAGGTGCCCGGGCAGCCCCGAGACGCCGGGTACCCGCTCCCCGGCTGCACTCCAGCCCATCCTGCTCCGCTGCGCGGCCGGGGCACCCCCGCGGCAGCCCCGAGCTGTCCTGGCAGGCGCGTCTCCCACTCCCGCCCGTCCTCACCCACCTCATGGCCACGCTGACTGCTGGACAGGGTCCAGGCCCAGACTCAGCCCATGGCCCCCCTGCTCCTCCGTGCACTGTCCACCCGGCGGCCACCCCTCCCCGGGCACTGAGCTCCCCGCGGCCACCCCGCCCCTCCCCGCTGCCCCTCTGCTTCTGCTGCTGATTTATAGCCAAGTAGATGAATTGCTCCTTTTGGGAAAAATATTTTGTCTCCGAGGGAGCACTTCCCTCCTGTGAAGCCGAGGAAGCTCGGGTGCTGCGGCCGCCCTGGGGCTGCGGGGCGATGTCACTGATGAGAGCTGGGACCCCAGACCCAGCCAACGGAGCTCTGAGCCCCTGCCGGCCCTTTTAATCCCCACAGCTCCTAAAAGACTTTGAAGAATACACACATTTTAAATTAGGCTGAAACCCATGAATTCACCAGTATTCTTTGCCCTGACCTGTGAAAAAATGGTAATGCCATATGGTTCATCTTGACATGACTCAGCTATGGTTGTCCTGGTATTGCTGCTACTCGAAGCCAGAGACTGACCCCTCCCGCCTTCTCAGGCCTCCGTGTGCCGCCGAATGCGGCGCTGGAGACGTGGCCCCAGAGTTCCGCAGCTCTGGATCTGGGATGTAGTCACCGTGTGCTGTGCAGAGCAGCGAACATCACCAGGGCTGTTAAAGGATATGATAGTATCTCCTTCACAACGCTGAGAAAAAACAAAACAAAACAAAATAAAAACCAGAACATTCCTAGCATATTGTCTGAACAGGCTCAAAATAATTCACTTCCATTTTCCCCATTCCTCCCAACTTCCCCCACCAGCCCCTTAACAGTCCCTTCCACGTGGCCTCTGCTGAAAGGACCTGGACACCCGCTGCCTCGGCTTCCCGCGGTGCTTTTTCTCCTGGGTGCCTTTATCCATCTGGACCAGAGACTCATGGAAAATGACATCTAAATGGAAGTCCTGAGCCCAGGCCACGTGAAGTTCAGAAGTGCATGGTCTGGCGACGTGGGTGTTGGAGAGATGGTGAATATTTGGTAGAGATTTGGGCAAGAAACGAAACAACACTGAAAAGCCAGCCACATGTCTAGACCGACTTCCCAGCCACACCAGTGGAGCGCAGGACCCCTCGGATGCTGAGTCCCGCAGGCCTGTCCCAAAGCTCACTCACCACTAACCTTCTATGCCTGAATGAAAATTAAGGTTTTCAGTCAACCCAAAAATGCAAAAATGGAGGCACACTCCAGTGAAGGTAGCACGTGTTCAAAGAAGGATGCTTTGAAAAAAGTTGCATTTTCTGAGCTTTTTCTTTCACCAGCCCTAGGTACATGATTGTTTTTGAAACCTTTTTTTCAGTAAGCCTTGGATGTCTTTTTTACCTCTGGCATTGTAAAAATTTATTCAAGCTAAAGATTCACGTATTATTGAAAGCAGGAGTTGCGGGCTGCTACATGTGTGCCTAATAAGAACGAGTTTTCATCATGCTATTTAAAGACCAAGTTATACAATATTTTGGATAAAGTGACTCCACCTACTCGTTGGCTACTTTTTCTTCCTGGTGTGGATAAAATCAACATCCAAACGTTAGTGCTAATTCTTCCTGACACTGATACAAAACACACTAGAGGGGACGCAGACGATGGATTTAGGATGCTTGGCCACATTCTGACTTCTCCGTATCACGCCATCTTTGGATTCCCACAGATGTCTGCACAAGCCTGGGGTCCCCACAGCGTGGAGACGTCTAAATCATCAAATAAAAATTGGAAAGTATGGTGAGTGAGGAAGCATTGAAAGTAGAATGAAATATTGTACCCTGAAGATAAATTCTATTTGTAAAAATAAAAATGGTAGCTAAGCAGTCAGCCAATAAATCGTGAGGAAACATATAACCAGCACAGTGGGACGTCGGTCGCGTGGATGGTGCAGTTTTACTCGCCAGGAGATGAGGGGCTTCTGAGAGACCCGGCCTCAACTAGAGAGAGGCTCCTGCTTCCTCACTCGCCACCTGAACGTAGGGCCACACTGCCCCCTGCCCACTGGAACGGCTGGTGTCTGTTGCTTCAGTGTTCACAGGACCCTGTCCTCTCTACCAAGTGACAACCGAGTCCCAAATGGCATCATGCATCAGGTTTTTGTTTTATCGTTATCCTTGTTTTTGGCAAAAGTAAAGAAATGATAATAAAGCTGTTGTCCTCACTGAAATTTGTAAAGAGATAGACCTATATATGTATAGATATTTTACATTTGATATTGGTATGTGACATTGTTGAGTTCCAACATAACAAATATGCAAGTAATTGAGTAGGGGTGAGGGTGGAAAATATATGCGGATGTCTTCTTGGATTTTATTTTAATTCCCTTGGCTCAGATGTAAGCAGCTTTTCATTTAAATGGCTATCATTTCATATTTTCCCTGCTATATCTGTTATCTAAGCATCATCAGTATAGACCATAAAAAGTGATAACATGTTATTCATGATTAGAAGCAAGCGCTCTTCCAATATATTTTCTCCACATTTTGACTTAGGCAACTATATAGAAATATGTAAACCTTCCATTGCCATTGAAAAATGTGTTAAATGATGCTTTGGGATCTTACATAGATTTTTCCAGCAAAACGTGAGCCGTAAACAAGCTCTTGCTCTGTGGCTGCTGGTGCACTTCAGAATGCTGAAATGATTCTGCACTGTTCCCTGCCTGGGTTTGCTACTTTGCTGCTTTTCCTACTTTTTTTGATGCATATTGTAGTTATCCTTGTTTTGCTTTTTGTTTCCACTTACAAAGAAAAGAAAAAACACAAGAGAAATAATAATCTCTAAACTTATATGAACTATAGAGCTTTGCAGTGGTTTGTATAGTTTTGGGGAGTGGAAGGGGAGCGGTCTTCACTGCTGACTGACCGTGAAGCCAACAGCTGGCAGCCGACACAAAAGGCAGGCCCCTGCCTCTCTTTCCTTTTCAAGCAAGATTTGTAAAACAGTGGAACAGGGCTTGAATTTAGCCAAGAACGACAAATTCTGTGGTCAGGAACACATTGCAAAATGCAACTTGTTCGAATTTTAAGGTAGAATAGTTTTCTAAGCGTAGGGACCTATGAGAAACAAGGGCGAGAAGTAACCTGGGGAGTGGGGGTGCAGTGAGAAGGGCCAGCATCTGCCTGTCCCAGGAACTCACCCCACCGTGAAGCTGGAATAAGTTCCGTGGAAGACACAGCATTTGCCCCTTTGTACCCTCCAGGAAGGCAGATGTTGCAACAGTGCTCCACCATAGGCAAGTTCCAGAAGGGGCGTTTCCAGAAGGCAGAGCCTGTACAATGGTCGGGACGCATCTGCCACCATGCCTTGCCATCACATGCCAGGCACTGAGGATACTAGAGTCCCTACTTTCACGCAGCTTATGGTTTAAACTTGTCCTGCAAGGTGCAGCCAACACAAGTGTCTCAGAAGAAGGGCATCATCTGATGTGTGTGAGGGGGATACAAAAACTGATAATAGTTAAGTTGCGGTTTCTGCTGTATTCAACCAGAAATTTCTACAAAAAGAATTTAACTGGCAGTCCTAAATTATTGAAAATTATAGGACTCAGGCAAGTATTTCATACTTTTCCTTACTCTACATTAAAGACATTTCAGTAATTCACTTCCTCATTAGCCATTTATTAGGTACTATCTCTGGAACAGCAAAGATGCAAATATGATCAGAACAAAGTACACTCACTGTCTTATGGGAACGCACACCCAGACAGATACACACCAGAAAACACGTGTTGACACTTTCATATACAAGCTAGGATTTTTGATAACACCTAGATCATTTTGGGCCCTAATAGCTGCAAGCAACTGGGGAAGACAACAACAACAGCAAAAAGCACCTCAAAATTGGTGTAGGGAAGAACGGAATAACTTCATTGGCTGCTGCCCATCTACAAGCCCACGTGGCACGTTGGTAGCTGCAGGTGGATACAGTCCCCTGACTCACTAGGATCCAGTGTCTCCAGGCTTTGCCTCTGGTTCAGTCAGTGCTGACCCCTTGTGTTGCACTTTGCCTATTGGCAGCTACACCCTGGATCCTCCCAGATTCAAGTCCAGGGGCAAAAAGCAAATACTTCTCTCTCCTAACAGCTTCATGGGACGTCCCCAGGTGATTCGGACAGGGTCATACTCATCTCTTATGAGCTAAGTGCCTTGGTCCGTTGGCTGCTGCTATAACAGAATACAGACAGAGTAGTTTATTATAAAGTATAGAAGGTTATTTGGCTCACAATTCTGGAGGCAGGAAAGTTCAAGAGCATGGTGCCAGAATCTGACTAGGGCCTTCAGGCTGTGTCATCTCATGGCAGAAGACAGGAGGGCAAGAGAGGACAAGAGTGAGAGAGGGCAAGAGGAGGCCAAACTCTCTGTTATAACACTACTGCACTAACAATATTAATCCTTTCCCGAGGGCAGAGCCCTCACGACGTCAACATCTCTTATTAGCTCACACTTCTCAACACTGTTGCATTGAGGATTAAGTTCCCAGCACATGAATTTTGGGTAGCACATTCAAACTGTAGCACTAAGCTTGAGTTAAACTCCAAACACATAAACTAGAGATGGGGCTCACAGATTCCCCAAAAATAAAAAGAAAACATGTTGAAGATTTAGCAGAAATCACTGCAAAAAGGTCCAGGGGCAAAACTCAACATAGCTCCATTTAAAAAATACTAAAGCTTTAATTTTTTTCAGTGACTTCTAATATAGTAGAATGGAATCTAGGTCTTTGGGTAATACAGCCCAATGGGATTCTTAACAAATGCTTGAAGATTAAGCTGGTGATGACAAAAATCTGCTGCCACTGATGGTTGCGTTGAAGCAGCAGAATTCTTCTCTGGGGCCACTCAGGTCCAAGGCTCATCAGGAAAGCAAGCAGAGCTCCGTGTCCCCTATGACCAATCCACCAGGCATTTTAATTTTAAAAGTATTTTCAGATTAAAGTAAATATTAAAAGTGTGTCTTTGGGAGATTATAGAAGACTAAAACAATATTACTAATTACCTAGAACTAATTTATGTTTATAGAATATTTCAGTCAACAACTGAAGGGTAGATACTGTTTTCAAATACACAGAATACATTTATCAAGAAAGACTGGGGATGGGGCCCAGGTGGCGAACTAGAAGCAGCTCATGTGCTGTCACAGGAAACAAAAGGGCTGGTAAACACTGACCCTGCAAGCTGATCATCTGAGAAACCACAATGGGATCCATCAAGGAAGCAGGGGACACAGATAGCAGAGAGGAGTGAAGCTGGATACCAGCCTGTCTGGGCTCACTGTGGAGCCAGGAGAACCTCTCTAATGCAAGAAAGGGTGAGAGAGTGAGAGCCCCTGGGGGATTCATGCTCTCCACAAGGACCTGTGCAAGACTGGGAACAGGAGAATTCCCCTGGCCCCCGTGTACCCCCCTCCATGCTTCTACACTGAGGCAGAGAGCCACCTGGACATTTTGCAGGGGCAATTCTCGAGTCTACAAGCCTTGGGCCCCAAAGCAGGCCAGTACCGGTGCCATGGCCCCAGTAGCGGCTGCAGTGACAGTGGTTGGGAGCAGAGGGATTTCTCCATGTCCCCTTGCCAGACAGGGCTCAGCACCAGCTTCAAGCCCAGCAATCCCACTTGGGCCCTAAGTCAGCTGGCCGTTCCACCCACCCCTGCCACTGGTAGCCCAGCAGGCAACACTTGCTAGAGCTTCCAGCCCAGTGGCCCCTCTTTTGTGAGAACTCAGCTGGAGGAAACAGCCTCCTGTTGTCCCAGGAATCACCCAGATGGCAGGAAGTGCAACCCCCCCAACCTGCCCCCACCATTTTAGCCAGGTGTGCAATGCCTGCTAGAGCTTCTGACCCCATGATCCTGCTTCTGTGGGAACTCAGCTGGTGGACACAGCTTCCTGTTGTCTGAGGAAGCATCTGGATGGCAGGGCAGGCTTCCTCACTCATGCTTGCTGCTAATAGCCAGGCAGGCAATGCCTGCTAGAGCTTCTGGACCAGTGGTCCCACTTCTGTCTGAATTTTCCAAGGGACACAGCCTCCTATTGCCCTGGAAACATTCAGATGGCAGTGCAGGCAACTCCATTCATCCATACCTCCCATAGCCAGATGGGTGACACCTGCTACAGCTTCCAACACAGTGATTTGGCTTCCACCTGAAGTCTGTGGGCAGGTGCAATCCTGTGCTTCCCCAGGAAGCACATGAACAGTAGATTAGGGTTGACCTGGCAGGGATACAGCCTGTCTGCCAACTGCAGCCCCTGCCTGAGGGAGCCCTGGGGACAAGAACACCCAGCAAAAGAGATACAAGCATAGAGATGGTAATCAGAAGAGGCTCCTCCAAGACCCAGGAGTGAACTAGAATCAAAGCCAGTTAACTGAACCCACCTTATACCATAATCAAACTCCCAAGGGCATAAAAGAAGAAAAAAAAAACCACCCAAAGGACAGCAACTTCAAAGATTGAAAGAACATCATCCTACAAAGATAAGAAAGAACCACTGCAAGAACTCTGGCAATTTAACAACCCTGAGAGTCTTCTTACCTTCAAACCACCACACTAATTACCCAGCAATGGTTCTTTACCAGGCTGAAATGGCTGAAATGTCAGAAATATCATTCAGAATGTGGATAAAAATGAAGATCATCAACATATGGGAGAGAGTAAAAACCCAATCCAAGAAATTTAAGGATTATAATAAAACAATACAGGAGCTAATAGACAAAATGGCCACTGTAAGAAAGAACAAAACTGATCTGATAGAGCTGAAAAACACATGACAAGAATTTTATAATGCAATTGCAAATATTAACAGAAGAATCGACCAAGCTGAGGAAAGAATCTCAGACCTTGAAGGCTGGCTCTCCAAAATGACTCATTCAGACAAAAATGAAGACAAAACAATAAATACTCATGAGCGAAACCTCTTAGAATTGTGAGATTATGTAAAGAGCCCAAACCTATGACATGTTGGCATCTCTGAAAGACAGAGAGAGAAACTAAACAGCTTGCAAACATATTTCAGAATATCATCCATGAAAATTTCCCCAACCTCACAAGGGAGGCCAACATTCAAATTCAAGAAATGCAAAGAACCCCTGAAAAATATGACACAAGAAGGCCATCCCCAAGACACACAGTCATCAGAATCTCCAAGGTTGAAATGAAAGAAAAAATGTGGAAAGCAGCTAGAGAGAAGGGTCAGGTCACCTACAGAGGGAACCCCATAAGGCTAATAGTAGACCTGTCAGCAGAAACCATACAAGCCAGAAGAGATTGGGGGCCTAAATTTAGTATTCTTAAAGAAAAGAATTTTCAACCAAGAATTTTATATCCAGCCAGACTAAGCTGAATAAGTGAAGGAGAAATAAGATTCTTTTCAGACAAGAAAATGTTAAGGGAATTAAATGCCACCAGACCTGCCTTACAAGAGGTCCTGAAGGGAGTGCTAAATATGGAAATGAAAGACCATTAAAGGTCACTACAAAACCACACTTAAGTATATAGACCATGGCACTATAAAGCAGCCACACATACAAGTCTGTATAATAATCAGCTAACAACATGATGACAGGATCAAATCTGCATATATCAATACTAACCTTGAATGTGAACCAGCTTAATGCCCAAATCAAAAGACAGAGTAGCAGTTGGATAAAGAAGTAAAACCCTACTATATGCGGTCTTTCAGAGACCTATCTCACATGCAATGACACTCATAGTCTTAAAGCAAAGGGATGGAGAAAAATCTATGAAGCAAACAGAAAACATAAAGAGGCAAGGATTGCTATTCTAATTTCAGACAAAAACAGACTTTAAACCAACAAAAATCAAAAAAGACAAAGAGGAGCATTACATAATGGTAAAGGGCCCAATTCAAAAAGAGGACCTAACTATCCTAAATATATATGCACCCAACACAAGAGCACCCAGCTTTATAAAACAAGTTCTTAGAGACCTACAAAGAGACTTAGATATGCACACAATAATAGTGGGAGACTTCAACACCCCACTGACAGTATTAAACAGATAATCAAGGCAGAAAACTAACAAAGATATTTGGGATCTGAGCTCAACACTTGACCAAATAGACCTGATAGACATCTACAGAACTCTCCACCCAAAAACAACACAATATACCTTTTTCTCATCTGCACATAAAACATATTCTAAAATCAACCATACAACCAGGCATAAAACAATCCTCAGCAAATTAAAAAAAATTAAACTCATACCAACCACACTTTCAGGCCACAGTGCAATAAAAATAAAAATCAATGCAAGAAAATCACTTAAAACTATACAATTACATGGAAATTAAACAACCTGCTCCTGAATGACTTCTGCATAGATAATGAAATTAAGGCAGAAACCAAGGAATTCTTTGAAACTAATGAGAAAAAAGGATACAGCATACCAGAATTTCTGGGACGCAGCCAAAGCAGTGTTAAGAAGAAAGTTTATAGCACTAAACACCCACATCAAAAATTAGAAAGATCTCAAATTAATAACCTGACATCATAAATGCTGGAACTAGAGAAACAGGAGCAAGCCAACTCCAAAGATAGAAGAAGACAAGAAATAAATAAAAGCTGAACTGAAGAAAATAGAGATGCAAAAAAAAAAATACGAAAGATCATTGAATCCAAGTGCTGCTTCTTAGAATTAATAAGATCGACCACTAGCTAAACTAATGAAGAAAAACAGAGAGGAAATGCAAATAAACACAATCAAAAATGACAAAAGGGACATTATCATTGACCCCACAGAAATAGAAAAAAACCTCAGAAACTATTATGAACACCTCTATGCCCACAAGCTGAAAACCTAGAAGAAATGGATAAATTCCATGAAACATGCAACCTCCCACGATTGAACCAAAGAAAAGTTGAATCCCTAAAGAGACTAATAATGAGTTCTAAAATTGAATCAGTAATAAAAAGCCTACCAACCAGAAAAATCCCAGGACCAGGTGGATTCACAGCCAAATTTTACCAGATGTATAAGGAAGAGCTAATACGATTCCAACTCAAATTATTTTTTAAAATCAAGGAGGAGGGACTCCTCCCTAACTCATTCTATGAAGCCAGCATCAGATACCAAAACCTGGCAGAGACACAACCAAAAAAGAAAACTTCAGCCAACATCCTTGATGAACATAGATGCAAAACAAAATACTAGCAAACCAAATACAGCAGCACATCAAAAAGCTAATCCACCACAATCAAGTAGGCTTTATCCTGGGGATGCAAAAGAAAGGCTGCTTCAACATACACAAATCAATACATGTGATTCACCACATACAAAGAACTAAGAACAAAAACCACATTATCATCTCAATGGATGCATAAAAAGCCTTGGGAAAAATTCAACATCCCTTCATGTAAAAAAACCTTCAACAAACTAGGCATTAAAGAAACATGCCTCAAAAAAATAAAAGCCATCTGTATTAGTCCATTCTTACATTGCTAATAAAGTCATACTGAGACAGGGTTATTTATAAAGGAAAGAGGTTTAATTCACTCACAGTTCTGCATGACTGCGGAGGCCTCAGGAGACGTACAATCATAGCAGAAGGGGAAGCAAACACATCCTTCTTCACATGGCAGCAGAAGAGAGAAGTGCCAAGCAAAGGGGGAAAAGCCCCTTATAAAACCATCAGATCTTGTGAGAACTCACTCACTATCATGAGAACAGCGTGGGGGTAACTGCCCACATGATTCAATTACTTCCCACCGGGTCCCTCCCATGACACATGGGGATTATGGGAACTACAATTCAAGATGAGATTTGGGCAGGGACACAGCCAAATCATGTCACCATCTATCAAAAACCCACAGCCAACATCATACTGAATAGGCAAAAGCTGGAGGCATTCCTCTTGAAAATTGAAACAAGACAAGGAAAACCACATCTATTCAACATAGTACTGGAAGTCCTAGCTAGAGCAATCAAGCAAGAGAAAGAAAGAAACAAAAAGCATCCAAATAGGAAGAGGGGAAGTCAAACTGTTCCTGTTTTCAGATGACATGATTTTATACCTAGAAAACCTCGTAATCTCTTCCTAAAAGTTCCTGGATCTGATAACTTGATCAAAGTTTCAGGATAAAAATTCAATGTACAAAAAATCAGTAGCATTCCTGTACACCAACAACATCCAAGCTGAGAGCCAAATCAAGAACACAATCCCATTCAAAATAGACACAAAAATATTAAAATACCTAGAAATATAGCTAAGCAAGGAGGTCAAAGAGCTCTACAAGGGGAACTACAAAACACTACTCAAAGAAATCAGAAAGGACACAAACAAATGGAAAAACATCCCAAGCTCAAGGATAGGGAGAATCAATATCAATAAAATGGGCATACCACCCAAATCAATTTACAGAGTCAATGTTATTCCTATCAAACTTTCAATGGCATTCTTCATGGAATTAGAAAAAAAAACTAGTTTAAAATTTATATGGAACCAAATAGGAACCTGAATAGCCAAGACAATTCTTAGCAAAAAGAACAAAACTGAAGGCTTCACATTACCCAACTTCAAATTATACTACAAGCCTATAGTGATCAAAGCAACAGGGTACTGGTATAAAAACAGACACAGAGACCAATGGAACGGAATAGAGAGCCCAGAAATAATGCTACATACCTACAACCATCTGACCTCTGACAAAATAAACAAAAAGAAGCAATGGGGAAAGAACTCCCTATTCAATAGACAGTGCTGGAATAACTGGCTAACCATATGCAGAAGATTGAAACTGGACCCCTTCCTTACACCATATACAAAAATAAACTCAAGATGGATTAAAGACTTAAAGATGGAACCTAAAACTATAAAAACCCTGGAAGATAACCTATGAAATACCATTCTGGACATAGGACTTGCAAAGAGTTTACGATGAAGATGCCAAAGGCAATTGCAACAAAAACAAAAATTGACAAATGGGATCTAATTAAAGAACTTCCATACAGCAAAATAAACTATAAATAGAGTAAACAGACAACCTATAGAATGGGAGAAAATATTTGTAAGCTGTGTATCTGACAAAAGTCTAATATTCAAAATCACACCAGCCAGAATGACTATTATTAAACTTTTTCATGGGGTTGTTTTTTGCTTGTGAAAAAGTGGTCAAATAACATGAACAGACACTTTTCAAAAGAACATATATATGGGGCCAATAAGTGTACGAAAAAATGCTCAATATCACTAATCATTACCGCAATGCAAATCAAGCCACAGTGAGACTCCATCTCACACCAGCCAGAATGGCTATTATTAAAAAGCCAAAAAATAACAGATCCTGCTGAGGTTGTGGAGAAAAGAGAATACTTATACACTGCTGTTGGAAATGTAAATTAGTTTAGCCATTGTGGAAAGCAGTTTGGGGATTTCTCAAAGAACTTAAAACAGAACTACCATTTCACCTAGCAATCCCATTATTGAGCATATACTCAAAGGAATACAAATCGTTCTACCGCAAAGACACATGCACCCATATGTTCATTGCAGCACTATTCATAATAGCAGACATGGAATCAACCCAAATGCCCATCAATGGTAGACTGGATTTTTAAAAATGTGATACATATACACCATGGAATACTATGCAGCCATGAAAAGAATGAGATCACAGTTTTTGCAGCAACATGGATGAAGCTGGAGGCCATTATTCTAAGCCAATTAATGCAGAAACAGAAAACCAAATATCACATGTTCTCACTCATAAATGGGAACTAAACTTTGAGTACATGCAGACACAAAGAAGGGCTCACAGGCACTGGGGCCTACTTGAGGGTGGAGGCCGAGAGGAATACGAGGATCAAAACACTCCCTGTTGGGTACCATGCTCATTACCTGTCTGACAAAATAGTCTGCACACCAAACCCTTGTGACTAGCAATTTCCCTTATAACAAATCTGCACAGGTACCCCTGAACCTGAAATAAAAGTTTAAAAAAGAAGAATAAAATAAAATAATATATTATACCACCATTTTTTTTAAAAAAAGGAAAGGCCATACATTTTAGCCACAAAACAAATCTCAAAACATGTTGTAAATGCTTAAAATTGTACAGAGTACATTTATTCACCATAATGCTATTAATTAGAAATCAATCACAGAAATATCTGAAAAATCATTAAATATTTGGAAATAATCTTATAAATTTTCAAAGTAACCCATGGGACAAAAATAAATAAATAAATAAACCACAGGGGAAACTAGAACACATCTTAAAAACTAATAAAAATAAAACAAATTCAAACAATTTGCAATATAATTAAACAAATGCTTAGAGGATACTATCATGCTTGAAGTGCTCATGTGGAAGTCAATGATGCAAATGTCTTCAAGAACCTGAAAAGGATGATCAAAGTAAATGAAGTAAATAAAATTAAAGAAAAAAGGAAGACAATACAAATCATTAAAATGAAAATAGACAAAGAAAGAGAAAAAAATCAATAGAACCAAAATTGGTCCTTTGAAAAGATCAATAAAATCTCTAAAACTCCAGCCAGACGGAATAATAGTAAATGAGGGAAGAATCACTCTACTAAGATGGTAAGTGAAAGGTACACTTTCTTAAGATTCTACAGATTTCAGAGAATAATTAAGAAATTTTATGTGAAATTTCACACTAACAAATTTGATGTTAAATAAAATGGATAAATTCCTCAAAAGACACAAATTGCCAGAGCTGTCTTAAGAAAAAATAGAAGACCTAATAAATCTTTTATATATTAGAAAAAAATGGAAACTTTTTAACCAAAAATTCCAGCTTGTAGCCCATGTAATAAGGCAAAAACAAAGGATAAAGGGCATATATGTTGGAAAAGAAGTAGTGAAACTGTCTTTATTCACAAATGGCATGATCATGAACATGGAAAATCCTAAAGAATCTATGAAATAGAGACTAGAACTAACTAGTGTACTCTGCAAGGTTTCTGAGCATCAGATAAAAATGTAAATATCGGCTGCGCGCAGTGGCACATGCCTGTAGTCCCAGCTACTCAGGAGGCTGAGGCAGGAGAAGCGCTTGAACCCAGGAGGGGCAGTTGCAGTGAGCCAAGATGGCGCCACTGCACTCCAGCCTGGGCAACAGAGCTAGACTCCATTTCAAAATAAAAACAAAAAGTAAATATCACTTATTCCTACATACTATCAAAAAATGGAAGTTTATAGTTGAAGTCCCATTTACAACAGCATCAAAATATGACATACTTAAAGTTAAGCCTAAAATATGAACAAGATGTATAAATTGACATCCAAAAATACTGCTGACAGAATTAAATTAACGAAGACCTGAATAAATGGAGAGATAGATGTTGTTCATAAATCAAAAGACTCAATGTTATTATAGTGCCAGCTTTGCCCAATTTGATATTGACAAACTCGAAACAATTTTATTCAACATTCCCAAGAGTCTTTTTTTTTTCAAATCGACAAGCTGATTGTAAAATTACATGGGAATATAAAGGATCTAAAGTGTTAAATGCAACTTTAAAAAATTGTGTCTCACAATCTGATTTCAAAAATTGCATAAAGACACCAAAATGAAGAGAGTGGAATACGGCAAGATAGACATATTGATCAATAGCACACAACAGAGCATTCAGAAGCGGACTTACACGCATATGGCCATTGAGTTTTTGATGAGTTTGGCAATACAAATCAATGTGAGAAATGACAGTGTTTCTAACAAATGATATTGGAACAACTGAATTAAAATGCAAGGAAAAAACACCTGGACACTTACATCACACCAGTGACAAATATTAATTAAAAATACATTGTTGGCTGGGTGCTATGGCTCACGCCTGTAATCCCAGCACTTTGGGAGGCTGAAGTGAGTGGATCACTTGAGGCCAGGAGTTCAAGACAAACCTGGCCAACACAGTGAAACCCAGTCTCTACTAAACATGGAAAAAAATAGCCGGGCATGGTGGCACCTGCCTATAATCCCAGCTACTCGAGAGACTGAGGCACAAGAATCACTTGAACCCAGGAGCAGAGATTGCAGTGAGCTGAGATCATGCCACTGTACTCCAGCCTGGGTGACAGATCAAGGCTGTCTCAAAAAAAAAAAAAATGTATTTTAGACCTAAGCATAAAAGCTAAAACTAAGAACTTTTGAGGGAATTGTGGAAAACAATATTTGAGACTTTGGGGTTATCTCTTAGATAGAAAACAATATAAATGTATCATAGAAGAAAAATTTGATAAATTGGACTTTATCAGAACTAAAAAATTCTGCTCTTGAAAAAACGAAAAGGAAGAAAAGGCAAGCCACATAAATCAATAGCCTGTGTCCAGACATGTAGAGAACACTTGTAATTCAATGAGATAAACAAAGCATGAAAAATGAGGAAAATTTTCAAAAACATACTTTCCAGCAGGACAAACTGTCATAAGCACATGAAAAGATGTTGAACATCTGAAGTCATCAACGAATAAAAGTTGGAGTCATAATGACCAAAATATGCATATTAAAATGGCCTAAATTTAAGCGGCTGCTAACAGTCTTTCAACACTGAATATGATCCTAGGCAGCTGAAAGGCCTACACTTTGCTGTTGGGGATGTGAAATGATACAACCACTTTGAAAAGCAATTGAGCAGGATTTTAGGGTTAAACATGCACTTTCCTTATGACCCAGAAATTCCGCAACTAGGTATTTACAAAAAATAAGTGAGAATGTCTGCTCACAAAAGACGTGAATGTGGATGATCATGGAGGTTTTATTGGTAACGGCCAACAGCTGGAAATGATCCCTATGCCCACCAACTGTGAATGAACGCACAAGATGCTGTGTGGCCATACGATGCAATATGGGGCAGCAATTAAAATTCAGAAATAATTGATATCAACAAAAGGGTGGGTTAGCTCAAAAACATTGTGCTGAGCAAAAGAAGCCAGACAAAAAAATTGCAATAATGTATATTTCAATTTATATGAAATCTAGGAAAGACTTACCAAATCTATAGTAATAGAAAGTGGTTGCCTTGGGCCAGGCTTGGTAGAGGGGGTGACTGGGAAGAGGCCACTGGGAGGATGGGACTCTGCTGTGTGTTGGTGTAGTGACTATGAGGCAGAAGAATAGGGTCTGGAGGCTGGGAACCTGAGGCCGATTTGCACTGACTTCTTAGAACTGGATCAAAAGGAAAACCCCACCTCTTCATGCCCAAATGACAAAGGATCAGAGGCTACTCCCTCTATATCAACCCCTTCTGCTGAAAAATGGAAAGTGCCTCTGATTGGCCACAGGTCAAGCATGGGTCAATCCTTCATTTGCATAATGTACCAATTCACTTTGACCTCTGATTGGCCACAGGCCAAGAGTGGGCTAATCCTTCATTTGCATAAGGCTCCAATCTATTTCAGCCTCTGATTGGCCATGAGCCAAACCTTCACTTCAATCCCTCATTTACATAAAGTTTACCCAATGGAAAACCTCTAGAGGGCACTTAAACCCCAGAGAATTTTGTAACCAGAGCTCTTGTGCCCTTGCTTGAGCACCCCCGATCCTGTGGAGTGTACGTTGGCCTTTTTAAGTCTATGCTTCTGTTGTCTTTTGCTTTAGTAAATCTATGCTTTCGTTGTTCATGTGTGCTGTTCAAGTCTTTGTTCAATGTGCCAAGAACCTAGACGACTCATCATCAGGACCCTCCATCTGGTCACAACTGTACCAGTTTATATTGGCCAGAATTCGCTGAAGTATAAACGAAGTATATTTTCTTATTCGTGAATTAGACTTCAATAGTTACTTTAAAAAATAGAAACACACCTGGCTTAGGGGGAAGATGATGGTAGGTACAACAAGGTACCATGAGGAAGCAAAACTGTTGGTGACACTGGGGTCCTGTGGTATCCACAGGGTTAAAGGAAAATACATCTTGGGGCCCCCACATCACTAAGCTAAAGAGAAAAGTTAAGCTGGGAACTGCTTAGGGCCAACCTGCCTCCCATTCTATTCAAAGTTACCCCTCTGCTCACTGAGATAAATGCATATCTGATTGTCTCCTTTGGAGAGGCTACTCAGAAACTCAAAACAATGCAACCATTTGTCTCTTTTCCACCGTGACTGGAAGCCCCCTCCCTGCTTCGTTCTGCCTCTGCTTTGAGTTGTCCCACTTTTCTGGACCGAAGCAGTATTCATCTTACATATGTTGATTGACGTTTCATGTCTCCCTAAAATGCGTAAAAGCAACCTGACCACCTTGGGCACATGCTGTTGGGACCTCCTGAGGTTGTGTCATGGGTGTGCATCCTCAACCTGGGTAAAATAAACTTTCTAAATTAACTGAGACCTGTCTCAGATTTTCAGGGTTCCCAACAGTAAGGGTTTTCTCCTTCTCTCTAACTTCTTCCACCAGCCGGAATTACGTGGACATAGCGGCAGCTCCCCATGCCGGTCCAGCCATCCTTGTTCCATGCCACTCTACGTATGGAGGTGACATTATCCAAGGCTAATTAGCTTTGCTTTTTCTACTTATAATGTGATCTATAGTAAATTAAACAGTAATACTTTGATTGGGTAAAATAAGTGGCATTTTACCCGTATTATCACTTAAAGACATGAAAATTGTTACACAGTGATATTTTCACCCCTCAGTCTTCTTAAGGTGATTTAATATCTATTTCCTTCAAAAGATTTATTCCACAAAAATGGCAACATATCATTTAATTATAATAAAATACTCACTGAAGAAGGCATTATAACTACACCTCATCCAAGAGAAGCTATAGGCTGAAGAGTATATATACTAATTAACTTTATAAACTTGATAAATATCAAATGAAGTGAAACTTAGATACAGAACTTTTGTTCCAATTACTGTTTTAACTCACCAAATTTATCAGATTCTGTAGCAATAACCAGGGAAATTTATTGTTTTGGAAATGTGTCACTTGAATCTGATTTTATTGTTTTCTTTCTGTTTTGCTATCAGAAAGACTGATTACCATCTACACCCAAAATGAAAGCTGGCTAAAACATTCATTTAAGGGCTATACTATATCCAGCATGGAAAGTACATATTAGTTACCAAAAATATCCATTTATTTTTACCAGAAAAGCCTAAATAACTATGCTAAACAAGGAAGAGAAAAATATCAAATAATAGTTTATTGTCTTGTATATTTACTCAGGACTTTAAGATCTGCATTTGAAAGTCCCCTCTTTATCAGTTAAAAGGCATCTTGAATTGCCTCCAGCAGATATTTTTACAAAACAACAAATTGAATTCCAGAGAACTGAAAAAAAAAGGAAGGAAAACACAAGGTGTGTTTATTGTCTTTAATAACATTTTGAGGACGACCTCTACCCAAACCCTAAAATCCTACATGACTGAAAAAAGGGTGATAACCTGAAAGTTTTTTTTTTTATCTTCAAATTTCTGCTTGCAGGTAAGAATAAAGCTTTGAATAACTACGTGGTCATTGGGCGTTTGGGAAGTCTAGTTCTGGTTACAGAATATGGATCATGGGTATTGTGGTGGTTAGGAATTGGGAACTCAGCCACTAAGAAAACTGGTTTTCACAGCAGAAAATTAATAAAACATCTCTGGGGTTCAAGAGAGAATCCATGTTTCAGAATAGTTTCAGTAAGTCCAAATATGGTCAAAGTCGCTGAAGAAAGAAGAAAGAAACTGTAAACCAAAAATAAAACTTGAAGGTCCCTCAATCTTCTCAGTGGACTTCCTCCTGAGCCAGGGTGCTCTAAAATGTAACCTGGAAGACTGGTTCAGCCCATGAAGGGAAGTGGGGCCAGGCAGGCCTCCTTACACCCTCCAGCATTAACATCAACACAGACCTTAAAGTCTAATGAGAAACACTTAGAATCCATTCTCCAGGACACCTGCTACCTGGACGCCTGTCTGCAGGAAAACGCTTTGGTCTCCCCCACCTCTTATGGCAATCCAGACATTTCCTTTCTATTGATCTCAGGTCTTTAAGTAAACTCAACCAATTGTTAACCAGAAAATTTTAAAACCTACCTATAACCTATCCCATGCTTCTGAACTGAACCAATGCATTTTTAAAATGTATTTGGTTGAAGTCTCATGTCTTTCTAAAATGTATAAAACTAGGCTGTGCCCCACCACCTTGGGGACATGTTCTCAGGACCTCCTAGGGGCTGTGTCACAGGCCACAGTCACTCATCTTTGGCTCAGAATAAATCTCTTCCAATATTTTACAGAGTTTGACTCTTATCAACAAAACCAATATTCACTGCTATCTGCCAGAGCAGGCCTGTGCTAGAAGGTTGCTGTCATTTAATCTCCACATTCTTCTGCTAAGGCCATTATTATCCCAACTTCACACATGAGGTGACCTGGGTTGAAACCCACATCTCTGATTCCCAAATCCTTGCTGTTTCCATGGCGCCAAGTTGCCAGTGAGAGGACATACAGCAAGATTGTCTGCTTGGGGCTCCTCATGCTCACGCTTTCTGGGATCGAACTTTGACTCAACATGTGTGAGTGGTTCCAATCGTGGTGAAGGTAGTTAGTGGGGAATCACATGGGTCACCATGAACTTTGGGTTCGTTTATCTCGTTTGGAAGGAATTCCTTAGAACCAAAAGAACTTCAGGCTGTGTAGAAGCAGTTACCTCCAAAGGTAGCATGTTATCTTTAAGCCTTTGACAACTTTTATTTTTATTTCTGCTTGTTTGAGGAAAGCTACACAATCACTTTTATCCTGAGCGTATTGACGCAGGAGACAGCCCGGGGAACTCGCAGCGTCCCTGGAAAGCCATGGAACATGTAAAAATAAATAAGTCAAACATGACTACAGCTTAAAATACCTTGATAGAAATAGCACATTCCACTTACTCTGTGCTTAAGTTGAAATCTTTTCACACATAGCTTAGTCATAAATGTCTTAGAGCTTATAAGAATAGCCTTTTGGAATAGTCATTATTTTTACGTCAAATGGCTTGCCTGAGAATTTTTATATTCAATGAGGGAACTGAGACCATGCGCTTCACTTGCTTGCAAACAGTGTTTCAATTCATGACCTAAGAGATTACATCTCATAGGAACTTGGTGCAGTTGAGCCAACTGAAAACCAATGATTACTAAAAATAACGTCTCGCTCCTCTTGTTCCTTAACTGGAAATTCTTCCATTGAGATCTGAGCAATTTCTTCAAATAACTGGTGGGTTAATAACTGAGAATGCTGCACCACTTGGGGGATGTCTAGGAAGGATGGTGGGCATCAGGGATGGTTTTTGCACCTCTCTATCTTGCTAACAAAGAAAAATGCAAACTTTGATGTTTTTTGTGTGTCCATGGTTCTTACTACAAACTCTTCTCCTTGGCAGCCACCTTTCTCCTGCTGCACCGTTCTTCCTTCACCATCCTCACATTCCTCTCCTCTGTCTACTGTCTTGGTAACATCTGCTACCATATCTTCTGTTCTTTTATTCTTGCTTCCTTTTTTTTGTCTTACTTTGGATTAAGATTTTTTTTTTTTTAAGATTTCATTTTAACTCCTCTGTCAAGGAAGAGTCAAACTCTGTGAAATATTTGAAGAGATTTATTCTGGGCCAAATATGAGTGACCATGACCCATGACCCTCAGGAGGTCCTGAGAACATGTGCCCAAGGTGGTTGGGGTACAGCTTGGTTTTATACATTTTAGGGAGACACAAGATTTCAAATACGTTGGTTTGGTCCAGAAAGGTGGGACAACTTAAAGGGGGGCTTCTAGCTTATAGGTAGATTTGAAAATGTTCTGGTTAACAATTGGTTGAGTTTATCTAAAGACCTAGGTTCAATAGAAAGGAATGTCTGGGTGAAGATAAAGGATTGTGGAAACCAAAGTTCTTATTTGCAAAGGAAGACTTCGGGTGGGAGGCTTCAGAGAGAATAGGTTGTAAAATGTGTTTTATCTGTGTTGATGTTAATGAGGGAGGAGAAAAGGAAAAATTAATTGAGCAGACAGCTAAATCTGGTCTTTGGTAAAATTCTTTCAAACAGAAAGGCAGGCTGAAAAAGCACGGCTACAGGCACAGAGAGAGCAGCATGGGGAGAACTTGGGCTGCAGCTGCACAGATAATGGAGCAAGGCCCAGCATAGAAGCCTTTGTTGTTTGGGTAATACACAGGCTCCTGGGAAAGTTTCCTCCCCTTTTCAGGCATGTGCATGGTGGGGTCCATGGGAACTTGCACAGGGAGGAGGGCTTACCTAAAACATACCTGCAGTTCCACAAACAAGAGAAGCTGCACTTTGTGCTTACCTAAGACACACCCGCAGCTGCACGGATAAAGAGAGTTACATGGACAACCACTGCACGGACAAGGGAAGTTACACAAACAGCTACAGAGATGAGGGAAGCTTTTTCTTACAAATGCTTTTGGATTAATCTGTAAAAAGAGCAATCCTCTTTCAGGCCCCCTCTCTGCTGTGGAGAACTTTCTTCATTCACTTATTGAAATTTCTCTCCAACATCACCCTTGTGTCCACGCTCCTTAATTTTCTTGGTCAGGAGACAAAGAACTCTGGGTACTACCTCAGACAACAAGACTGAAACGTTGTGGTGCATTGGCAAGAAGGCAGCATTAACGCCAGAGAAGTACAGTGAGGGCTGTCTGACCCCCACTTCCCTGAATCAGCCTTTCAGGTTAAATTTTAAGAATGCCCTGGCTGAGAGCACAGTGGCTCATGCCTGTAATCCCAGCACTTTGGGGGGCCGAGGCGGGCAGATCACCTGAGGTCAGGAGTTCGAGACCAGCCTGGCCAACATGGTGAAACCCCATCTCTACTAAAAATACAAAAAATAGCCGGGAATGGTGGCAGGTGCCTGTAGTTCCAGCTACTTGGGAAACTGAGGCAGGATAATCACTTGAACCCAGGAGGTGGAGGTTGCAGTGAGCCGAGATTGTGCCACTGGACTCCAGCCAGGGTGGGGAAAGCAAGACTCTGTCTCAAAAAAAAGAGTGCCCTGGCCGAGAAGGAAGTCCATTCAGATCGTTGGTGGGGCCTTAGGATTTTTTAATTTACACCTCTATCGTGTTTGTATAACTATAAATCTTTACATTATATTTTAGTATTACTATAGGGTTTATAAATATGCATCGCTAATTTAATAAAATTTACTTGAACTAATCTATCGCTTTGTGTATAATGTAAAATCCTTCCAATGGTAAAATGCCATTTATCTCCTTTCAACCTTTGTGTTACTGTAGATTATATCTCTTAAATCAACATACGTTATAGGTCCTACTATGCATTATATTACTTTAAAGAATTAGTTAGCTTTTAAAGATATTTAGTTAAAAAAAAGTCACTTATACTGATCCGGATTTTTACAATTTCCAACAGTTTTATAAATCAAAATTTCCATTTCCCTTCAGACTGAAAAACCTTCTTTAGCAATTCTAGTGTGGTAAATTTGCCAACACATTCTTTCAGCTTTTGATCATCTGAAAATATCTTTATTCTGCCTTTATTTTTAAAGAATATTTTCATCATATGTGGACATCAAGATTAGCATATTTTGTTTCTATCACTTAAAAGACATCATTCCATTTTTTGTGCCTTCTGTTGTTTCTAATGAAACAAATTCATAATTGTTCTACACTATGAAATGTCTTTCTATCTGCTTGCCTCCAGAATTTTTAATAAACTTTAAACTTCATAAATAGTTTTATGCTTGCAGTTTTAGATTTTCAGAAAAACTGCAAAGGTAATTCAGAGTTTTTATAACCCATCTGTCCATTCTTTTTTTTTTCTTTTCTGAGACAAAGTCTCACTCTGTCACCCAGGCTGGGGTCCAGTGGCAAGATCTTGGCTCACTGCAACCTCTGCCTCCTGGTTTCAAGCAATTGTCCTGTCTCAGCCTCCCAAGTAGCTGGGACTACAGGTGCACACCACCACACCCGGCTAATTTTTGTATTTTTAGTACAGACAGCTTTCACCATATTGGTCAGGCTGGTCTTGAACTCCTGACCTCAGGTGATCTACCTGCCTCAGCCTCCCAAATTGCTGGGATTACAGGCGTGAGCCCTGCACCAGGCCCCCATCTGTTTATTCTAATCCATTTATCATCTTAAATCACATCCAGCCACATGACCAACTTAGCACACTCCAGGGGTAACAGCTTATGTCAGTGTAGCCCATTTGTCACAATGGATGGACACTGTTGGTGCAGTCTGACCAACTAAAGTCCACACTCTGACCTCCTTCATTTTCACCCGACATCCCTTTCTCTTTCAGGGTTTCATCTGGAGCCTCTCTGGTGGGTAGTGCCTCCTTGGCTCACTCTTGCCTGTGAGTTTCTCAGACTTTGCTTGATCCTGGTGACCCTGGCAGTTCTGAAGAGCACTTGTCAGGTATTTGTAGGACTTCCCTCTACTGGGATTTGCCTGGCGTTTTCCTTGGGGTTAGACTAAAGTCTAATTGCTGCCACCTCTGAGACAGCAAATCCAGCCCCCCTCCTCCTCTGCATGCCCCATGTGAAGACCATGAGGATGGAGACCTGTATGATGATCCATCCCCACTTAATGAATAGCAAATACATCTTCTCTTCCTTACAGTTTTCTTAATCACATTTTCTTTTCTCTAGTTACTTTAAGAATACAGCATATAACACACATACAAAATATAAACATATAAACACAGATAAAATATGTGTTAATTGACTATGCTATTGTTGAGATTTCGGGTCAACAGCAGGCCATGAGTAGTAAGTTTTGGGGGAGTCAAGGTTATGCATGAGTTTTGACTATAAGAGGGGTTGGCACCCCTAACCCTGCCTTGCTCAAGGGTGAGCTGTTCGCACCATCCTGAGAGTGTCTGGCATGGGACGTGAGGTGCTGACATGTTAGCTGTTGCTGTTAGTATGAACAGATCGCACCTGCAGTACATCTCAGGTTCAAGGTGATCTGGGAGCAGAGTCCCTTCAGCTTGATCTCCTGCCTGGGCATCTCTCACCCCAAGCCTGCCTCATTTGTGTGCACACATCAGCAGGTGCACAGTGGTGTCATAGCCAGGAAAGCAGAGGTTCGTCCAGAAGGCAGAGGTGGCCCTGTGTCCTGTTTGCTGAATGTACTTGGAGTTAGAAAGATGGACAGCCAGGGCAACCCCTGCCCCCCCTTCAGGGGAGTGTCAGTCAAATCCTGCCTTTACCTTTATGATTGGGTTTTTCTATATTTGTTATTACTCTATTTCCCCCCCATTTCCAGCCCTGAAGCTTTTATAAATGCTTTTACAATGCTGTCTTTGAAAGCTGTAGGGTTCACTTTGGGGACACATTTCCTATAAAAATGTTAGCCATGCGGATTGGGGTAGCGTGAAGATGATGTTACAATTCAGCGTTCCAGCAGACCCTTGAGTTTCCGAATCCTCATTTAACCGAGCCTCCTGTTTTCCCCATGGGGTCTCAGAAGGAGTTGGAACAAACCCAGAGGGAAAATCAAGCAAAACTCTGCTTTACTTTGGATGGGCTGGGTAAGAGATCACAGTAGCCTCAGACCCCGTGTTTCGTGACTTGCCGGGCCATGCAGAGGACACCACTTTGTTTTCTGCTCTAGGACGGTCTGAGCATTTCCAGATCAAATCAGGCACTAGGGATCATTCCTATATATTTCCCTTTGATGCCCATATCTTACTGTCAGCAGGCATCCATTTGACGGCACAGAAGACGGATGTGACAGGACCCTGGCTCACAAAGAGCTGCTCAGGCCCAGGCTCTGCAGCAGGGCTGTGCCCAAAGCCCCAGCTCCTCCCCGTTGTCCACATGGCTGGGCCCTGCATGGGAGGAAAGAGGGGGCATGAAGACAAACAGCGAGGAAATTGGGGTTTCGGAGGGCAGGCCTGCCCAGAATGCATTCCTATAAATTCTGAAGGAAGAGGGTGGGAGAGACCCACCATTCTGCTTTACATATGCAAGGAATACGTGAGGAGCCTGAATTCCTAGGAAAGGTGAGACATCGGGGCAGATACCGGCCCATTCGCCATGCTCCTTTCTCGCTGTGGGTGAAGAGAAGACGGTGATGGACACTCTGGCTTCCGCTGCAGGAGCTCCACAGCCAGGGAACCCCTCTGCTCCCTTCGCCGTGTGAAATCGCATCTAGCTCCTCCACCGCAGAGGCACCGGGGCAGCACTGGAAACACAGCCCGAGGGTAACTCAAAAACCCAGGGCCGCTTTCATATACGCCTGAGGTTTACAACCACCCTGTAAAATGCAGGGGGTGGCTCCTTCCACTGAAGTTACTTATTCCTACAGATGAGTCAAAACGGCACTGAAACAACATATCTTCCCTTCTTTCGTTCCCCTGAAAAAAATCCCAAACCATGGTCCTTTTCCCACTTACTCTGCTTATCCTCCCAAGCCAGGAGCTGAAATGGCCCTTTTTTCAAGCCTGATTTGCTTAATCTTCAATTTTAGCCCATGGAGTCATTCATGGGAGCTGATGCAACCACATCAACACCCCCTGAGCCGGGGTTTTTCAACCACAGCACCCCAACATTCTTTGTGTCTCCCCAGTTCTAGGAGCAGTCAGTGCAGATAGGAGCAGCACAGCAATGACACCACACCCACAAAACCGGGCAAACATAATGAATAAGAGAACTAAAAGTGAACGCGGCAGCAGCTTTACATCTCAGTGCCAATTTGAGATTGGTATTGCCATCGAGAGTCAGCAGCCTCGCCCGGACGCTCCGCCGTGCCCACTGTGCTATGAAACCGCCTGAGTCATCGCTTTCCTCCCTGCCATTTTACGTAATAGTTATTTCAAATATCCTCCAGCATCCTCACACCACCACAGGGTTCCCTGCCTCGGGAAACAGAAAAAACACAGAAGCCACATGCAAATTTCTTTTACATTTTATATTAAAGCCTAAAAAGTTACTTAGATTTTTTTTTTTTGGTCTTCCCTCCTTCCTTTAGGTTGATCCCACCCTGTGCCTCCCGAGCTCCCTTCCTTTCGCCTCAGACCTTTGGTTCATTCAGTTGTGATCTGTCTTTCTCCTCTCAACCTCTTCATTTCTAACAACTTCTCGTCAGCACTGTGATGGTTAACACTGAGTGTCAACTGGATTGGATTGAAGGATGCAAAGTACTGTTCCCGGGTGTGTCTTTGAGCGTGTCGCCAAAGGAGATTCACATTTGAGCAGTGGGCTGAGAGAGGCAGACCCACCCTCAATCTGGGTGGGCACCATCTGATCAGCTGCCAGCATGGTCAGAATTAAAGCAGGCAGAAGAACGTGAACAAACTAGACTGGCTGAGCCTCTGACCCTGCGTCTTTCTCCCGCGCTGGATGCTTCCTGCCCTCAAACATCGGACTCCAAGTTCTTCAGCTTTGGGGCCCAAACTGGCTCCCTTGCTCCTCAGCTTGCAGATGGCCTACTGTGGGGCCTCACCTTGTGATTGTATGTGTCAGTTCTCTTAATAATCACCCCTTTATGTATACATCTACCCTATTAGTTCTGTCCCTCTAGAGAACCCTGACTAATACAGACACTAAGCGTGTTCAAGCGCATCCATCCATAAGAACACCTCCCCTGATCTTACCTCTCTTCTTAGTTACCACTCAACACACCACTCTCCTCCATACCATAGGAAGTTTGCGTAGGTTTTCAGCATCCACTGATTCTCTCCTCCCCCTCCTTCCTTTCGTCTTAACCACACTATTTCACTGAGACTACTCCTGACAGGTTCAGCACTTACTTTCCAACCCCCAAATCCAGTCGGTCCTGTGCAGGACCCATTGCTATAATCACTCCCAGGTTTCCAGTTAATCAATGTTTGTTGAGTGTTTATTATGTGCCAGCCACTGTTCTGTGTTCTGAGGGTGCAGTGAGCAACACAGACAAAAACGTTGATCTCATTGAGGGATGCTGGATTAAAAACCGGAGAACAGGGGCAGATTTGTTAACGACAAGCATCAAGGGAAATGGTAAAGAAGAGATAGGACATACAAACCATCGAGAAAAGATACTGAAGATTTAAATAACTGGTCATAGAGAAATCACCGAGATGAGGACATGTGAGTAAAGACAAAAAGAAAACATGCGCTAAGCTGTGCACTTCAACTGGATGAATGTGTGGCAATACAAATAGCTAGCAGCGAATTTACAGTTTATCAACAGAGAAATCAAGGGGAGAATCTTGTTTAAGATTAAGAGAACAATCTTGTTTAAGTGAATTTACAGTTTATCAGCAGAGAAATAAGGCAAGAATTTTGTTTAAGAATGAGGGAAATATTGGGCTGGGTGCAGTGCCTCACACCTGTAATCCTGGCACTTTGGGAGGCCAAGGCAGGCAGATCCTTTGAGTCCAGGAGTTCAACACCAGCCTGGGAAATATAGCAAGACCTTGCCTCTACAATAAGAATAAAAAAAATTAGCCAGGCGTGGTAGCACTCACCTATAGTCCCAGATACTTGGGAGGCTGAGGAAGGGGGATTCCTTGAGCCCAGGAGGCAGAGGTTGCAGTGAGTTGAGATTGTGCCACCTCACTCCAGCCTGGGGGATAGAGAGAGACCCAGTCTCAAAAAAAATAAAAATAAAAATAAAAAAAGGGAGATATTGTACAAACTAAACATGTTAATTTTGAGGTTATGACAGGAAATTGAGGAGAAAGTGGAAATTGAGGGATGTAATTGAGGGATAGAAATGCTTGTTCAGGGCCCAGAAAAGACATCCAGGCATGAAGAGTGTGCAGGCACTCCCGGGCCCACCAAGTCTTATCCCAGATCTATTCAGGTATAATCTTTTTTTTTTCTTTTTTCTTTTTCTTTTTTTTTTTTTTTTGACACAGAGTCTCGCTCTGTAACCCAGGCTGGAGTGCAGTGGCGCAATCTCAAATCACTGCAACCTCCGCCTCCTGGGTTCAAGCAATTCTCCTGACTCAGCCTTCCAAATAGCTGGGATTACAGGTGCCTGTCAACACACCTGGTTAATATTTTTTGTTGGTATTTTTAGTAGAGACAGGGTTTCACTATGTTGGTCAGGCTGGTCTCGAACTCCTGACCTCAGGTGATCTGCCCACCTTGGCATCCCAAAGTACTGGGATTACAGGCGAGAGCCACCGCTCCCAGCCCTAATATTCCGGCATAATCAAAATTGCTGCTCTACCCTCAGCATTCAGGAGAACTCAAATTTGACTCCTTCAAATCATCAATTTTTGGTTATTCTATTCATACTTTGTACTTTGAGAGATTTCAATTTATAGTCTGAGACTATAATTGTGTACTTAAAATTTATTGCTGAATTTAGAAGTAATTTAATTTTTGTGAGATGTACAGTCACAGTTACTGACTTAAATAAATTTCATTTCATAAGTCATAATAGTGGAGTTTGTTATTTTAAAATAAAAAATTTGAAAATGTAGAATAATTTACTATGTATAATTTATGTTGCTTATTGAATTTTAAATCTTTTTGCATTTAGTCAAATATACAGTGCTAATTGTATAATCAATTTAAGAAACTGATTTCAAGTTTCATTTCATTTGACCAAATGGGAAGATTTGGTTCAAAGAAAAAAATTTCCAAGGATTTCTCCTCATTAATCATTTCTTATAAAGAGCTTCTTCAAAATGTTAATCGTAACTTAATCAAATACACATGGCTTGATATTCTCAGCAAATGCAGTGGTGAAGGAAAAAGAAATTTTATGCAGAAAATACTTGCCAGAACCTTTCAAAAATAGGCTGAGGTGCATTTTGTTGAAAATGAAAGGCTGCTGGTTTCACCCAGCCTATCAACAGATGTTAGTGGAAGTAGGAGAGCCCCCACGCCAGAAAGGGTCTGACACTGGAGGCAGACTTGGAGGCTCACATAAAAGTGCTTCATAACGTCCGGGAGACGAACACTCCCCGTTGTGGTTACCGTCGAATGGAAACTTCTCGGCTCCAGGCCCTCAGCTGCACGGGGCTGAGGGGTTCCAACCCTGCGAATGCCTCGGGGCGGGTCCAGGAAGACCTTCCCTCCTCTTGCTTGGTCATCTCCAGAGTCACATCCTCCACATTCGTCTCCACCGAGCTCGTCCAGCCCATGGCCCGTGCTCCGCATGCATCCCAGCACGGCTTTGAATGTGGCCCAACACAAATTCATAAACGTCCTTAAAACATGCTGAGATTTTGTTTTGTTTTGTTTTAACTCATCAGTTGTTGTTAGTGTTAGTATATTTCATGTGTGGCCCAAGACGATTCTTCCTCCTCCATTGTGGCCCAGGGAAGCCAAGACTGGACACCCTGGTGTAAACCTCATCCACGAAATAGATACACATATAGTACTTTTATCTATTAAACACAACTGCACTTTATGACATGTGGAGTGCCGAGTGCGGTATGGCCTCCGGAGCGGGGCTCTCGGGACCTAGTGAATGCATCTTCAAGTCCTGCCGGGCCTCAGCTTGCTTTCTGTGAGGCCTGTGATCTTGAACAGCCCGTGCCATAGGCAGGTCCCGTGTGGTGGATCCGCAGTACTCACTCATGAGCGTACTTCCTGTTCCTCCGCACGAGGGACCGGTGTAGTGGGAAGCACCCAGCTCTGGAAACACAGGGATCTTCCTTAGCATCTTGACGTCAGCGTTCCTGCAGGCATTTTCTTGGCCTGTGTAGCCGAGGTTCCATGAGTAAAATGGGTGATGTCACCTGCCTTCCCATTTGTTGGCCACTCAGTGTGGCTGCACACCCAGTGTAGAAGAGCGGCTGGTAGGTGGCATGATGCCCTCCAGGCTCCTGGTGACCAGGAGAGGTGAGATGGGAAGCCTGGTTCAGGAGAGGTGAGATGGGACATCTGGTGACGAGGAGAGGTGAGATGGGACGCCTGGTGACCAGGAGAGGTGAGGTGAGATGGGACGCCTGATGACCAGGAGAGGTGAGGTGAGATGGGACGCCTGGTGACCAGGAGAGGTGAGATGAGATAGCACACCTGGTGACCAGGAGAGGTGAGATGGGACACCTGAGATGGGACAGTGGCAGGGCTTATTTTCTGGTCACAACCCTGCTGGCCCAAATAGGACCTGGTCCAGATGTGAAGAAACCACAGGAACCAGGAGGTGGTAAGGAAAGAGATCCCTGGCTGCCGTCATTACTCATTGGCATAAGACACTCCCACCAGTGGCATGACAGTTTACAAATGCCATGGCAATGACCTGGACGTCACCCCTGCTTTCCACAGCCATGATCTGGAAGTTACTGCCCCTTTCCTGGAAAGTTCTGAACAACCTGCCCCTCCATTGGCATTGGCCCGCCCCTAACTTGCATGTAATTAAAAGTGGGTATAAGTGAGTAAAAATACAGGTGCCGGAGCCACACACTGCCTGCCCACGGTCAGCCCTGCTCAGCCAGATGCAGCACCGTGCAGGAATGGTTGCTGTCTAACACCACTGGCTCACTCTTGAATTCTTTCCTGGGTAAAGCCAAGAACCCTGCCGGGCCAAACCCCAGTTTCGGGGCTCATCTGTCCTGCATCACAGGCCCAGGGTAGAGGCTCACCAGGTAGAGCTGAGGCTCACCAGGGCTGCAGGCCATGCCTCAATTCAGCTATATTCAGGGCCTTTTGCTATGGCACTGCAGTGATGGGTCAAATTTTTGTCACAATCCCTGTTTTCTGTTGTAACTGAAATCCAAATGGAATAACAAGAAGTAAGATTTATGGGAAGAGGACCTCGGTAGACAATGAATGTGTCAGGGGCTCTCACTGCACCACTCTCAGCTCCCTCGCCCCCCTGCGCCCCCCACTCCCCTGCTCTGTATTTTGTTAGTGCTTGTTGGGTTTCCCGTGTCAGCTCGGTGCACCAGTGCCCCTGACCGCAGCGGGGCACACAGCAGCTAGAAGCCCAGGAAGCATCTCCTTAGAGTTGGGAGAAGTGTTAGTGGGAGACATCCCCAGAGAGTTAGAGGGGAAATTGAAAGAAGGGCTTCTCCCGGGCTGGCTGTTGTGGAGGGGTGGAGCCTGCGGTCCAAGGCCTCAGCCAGGACCTGCCCTGTGTGCGGGTTGGGAGTGCGTGCAACGCCCTGGGCCCTGGCCATGGGTGCAAGAGATGTGACTCCACGCAAAGAAACTCTCATTTCCCACAGAAGCAGCAAAACATACTGAGCTACAATTATCACCAAGGTGTGTGTGAGCACGAGTGTGTAACTTCACACAGACATCTCTGTCTCCAGATAGGGTTTCTAGACATACCCAAATATGGAAACATTTGAACATAGGTTGATCACCTTAGGTGGTTCGAATCATTAGGGTATTTTAAAACATTAGGATAGGCCGGACGCAGTGGTTCACACCTGTCATCCCAGCACTTTGGGAGGCCAAGGCAAGTGGATCACCTGAGGTCAGGAGTTCAAGACCAGCCTGGCCAACATGGCAAAACCCCGTCTCTACTAAAAATACAAAAACTAGCCAGGCATGGTGGTGAGTGCCTGTAATCCCAGCTACTCAGGAGGCTGAGGCAGGAGAATCACTTCAACCTGGGAGGCAGAGGTTACAGTGAGCTGAGATTGCACCACTGTACTCCAGCCTGCTTAACAGAGCGAGATTCCATCTCAGAAAAATGAAATAAAACATTAGGATAAACAAATCCTCACCCAAATGATGCTAATGGTCTACTCACAACTGAAAATTAGCCAAGAAGAGAGAGAATGTAGGCCAGGCGCAGTGGCTCACATCTTGTAATCCCAGCACTTTGGGAGGCTGAGGTGAGCAAATCACTTGAGGCCAGGAGTTCGAGAACAGCCTGGCCAACATGGCAAAAACCCATCTCTCCAAAAATACAACAATTAGCTGGACGTGGTGGTGTGCGCCTATAATTTCAGTTACTCAGGAGGCTGAGGCAGGAGAACCGCTTCAACCCAACAGGCAGAGGCTGCAGGGAGCCAAGATCGTGCTGCTACACTCCGGCCCGGGCAACAGAGCAAGACTCTGTCTCAAAAAAAAAAAAAAAAAAAAAAAAAAGAAGAAGAAGAAAAGGAAAAACAGAATGAAAAGAAGACAGAATGTAAATCCTTTGCAGATAATTCAGAAATCATGCTTTCAACAAAGAAGCAGATTTGAAGTTCCCTTGTCCTCAGTCATAACCCCTGATTCTCACTGTTAAAGAGCACTTGTTTAAAATGAGATATTCTCGTCCATCTTCATACTCTCCTCTCATTCACTTATGGGTTAAAAATATTTATTAAAGTCCTATTAGGTGCTAAGCACTATTCCAGAATTGGAACATAGCAAGCGATATCATACAGAGGATTTATTCCTTAAGAAACAAGGCTCTGAGTGTCCCAATAGTGATCTCTCAGTGGAATGCCTTTTACATCCTGGAAATACGACTTCACTGTGTGTCCCTGGGGACCCTATCAATAACTCTTTCATTATTTCTTATGTTGCAGTTAACCAAGCGTTTTTATGAGAGCATTAAATTGTTTAAATGTTATCTTCCATGGGACACATAGATTCAAAAGATTATATTCCCACTTAGTTAAACATAGTTTTGTTTTGTAACATTTAAGTCAAGGACAATATCAGATGCTAGGAACACTCGCAGTCACCCTTCTGCTTTGTTTTATCTCTGGAGCCCTCTTCACTTTATAATGCACCATAAAGTGTGCTTATTTATTATATTGGCCATCCATCTTCTCCACTAGAGTGTGGTAGACGGCAGCTAAGGGCAGCTCAGCCCTTCTGCGTCTGTGAATGGGTCTTGTCTTCAAAGGTCAATTCGGGGAGCCCTCTTTCTAAGACAGTGACTAAACTCCTACTGAGGTTGACGTGCTCTGGCGGGGTAAGGGCAGGAGACGTGAAAGCTCAAGTTAGATGGTGGGTTACAAGAACTCAGTGGTCCATTGCCAGGGAGGTCGCCTCATTTTCTGCTTAGTAGATGACTGGGAGCTGCTGGGCGAGAGGTGCGGTCCCAGCGATGCAGGAAGAGCAGCTCAGGGGGTTGGGGGCTGCTCGGGGTGCAGGGACACATGGGGGGCAGGGACACATGGGGGGCAGGGACACATGGGGGGCAGGGGCACATGGGGTGCAGAGGCACACGGGGGGGCAGGGGCACACGGGGGGGCAGGGGCACACGGGGGGGCAGGGGCACGTGGGGGTCAGGGGCACCCGGGGGGCAGGGGCACGTTGGGGGGCAGGGACATGTACAGCTGCCTGTGGACCTGAACCCGCTGAGATGCCGGTGCCTGCCCCTCTGAGGATGAGGCCCCCTCTCCCAAAAGTAACGTTCCTCGGGGTCATGCAGTGAGCATGGGCAAAGAGAACGGACGACAGTTGCATCAGACACAGGAAAGGGCGATTCACACAAAGGTCCCAGCACTGGGAGCCATCCCCTTGCTCTACAGCTGCGAGAGCCTGAGTTCAGGGGAACTGAGTCACAGGCCCCAGGCCCACAGCGGCCCCGTGTGCAGCGCCTGAGTAACGGGCTCCAGGCCCACAGCGCCCCTGTGTGGAGCGCCCCTGTGTGGAGACCTGAGTAACGGGCCCCAGGCCCACAGTGCCCCTGTGTGGAGCGCCCCTGTGTGGAGCACCTGAGTAACTGGCTCCAGGCCCACAGCGCCCCTGTGTGGAGCGCCCCTGTGTGGAGCACCTGAGTAACGGGCTCCAGGCCCACAGCGCCCCTGTGTGGAGCGCCCCTGTGTGGAGCACCTGAGTAACGGGCCACAGGCCCACAGCGTCCCTGTGTGGAGACCTGAGTAACGGGCCCCAGGCCCACAGCGCCCCTGTGTGGAGCGCCCCTGTGTGGAGCACCTGAGTAACGGGCCCCAGGCCCACAGCGTCCCTGTGTGGAGACCTGAGTAACGGGCCCCAGGCCCACAGTGCCCCTGTGTGGAGCGCCCCTGTGTGGAGCACCTGAGTAACGGGCCCCAGGCCCACAGCGCCCCTGTGTGGAGCGCCCCTGTGTGGAGCACCTGAGTAACTGGCTCCAGGCCCACAGCGCCCCTGTGTGGAGCGCCCCTGTGTGGAGCACCTGAGTAACGGGCTCCAGGCCCACAGCGCCCGTGTGGAACGCCCCTGTGTGGAGACCTGAGTAACGGGCCCCAGGCCCACAGCGCCCCTGTGTGGAGCGCCCCTGTGTGGAGCACCTGAGTAAAGGGCTCCAGGCCCACAGCGCCCCTGTGTGGAGTGCCCCTGTGTGGAGCACCTGAGTAACGGGCTCCAGGCCCACAGCGCCCGTGTGGAACGCCCCTGTGTGGAGACCTGAGTAACGGGCCCCAGGCCCACAGCGCCCCTGTGTGGAGCGCCCCTGTGTGGAGCGCCTGAGTAACGGGCTCCAGGCCCACAGCGTCCCTGTGTGGAGACCTGAGTAACGGGCCCCAGGCCCACAGCGCCCCTGTGTGGAGCGCCTGAGTAACGGGCTCCAGGCCCACAGCGTCCCTGTGTGGAGACCTGAGTAACGGGCCCCAGGCCCACAGCGCCCCTGTGTGGAGCGCCTGAGTAACGGGCTCCAGGCCCACAGCGTCCCTGTGTGGAGACCTGAGTAACGGGCCCCAGGCCCACAGCGCCCCTGTGTGGAGCGCCCCTGTGTGGAGCACCTGAGTAACGGGCCCCAGGCCCACAGCGCCCCTGTGTGGAGCGCCCCTGTGTGGAGCGCCCCTGTGTGGAGCACCTGAGTAACGGGCTCCAGGCCCACAGCGCCCCTGTGTGGAGCGCCTGAGTAACGGGCTCCAGGCCCACAACGCCCCTGTGTGGAGCGCCTGAGTAACGGGCTCCAGGCCCACAGCGTCCCCAGTGTGGAGCGACTGGCTCCAAAGGCTTGTCTGTTTGCGAACTCAGGCTGGTGCGTGGTAGGGTCTGAGTTCAGGGACTGGTTTCTAGGAACCTACGACCTGCGTGTTGATGGCGGCAGGCCTCAGAGGGGAGGCTCCATCTGGGAGGAGGAGAGACGATACCTTCTGGGGGTCTTGGCACAGGTGCTGCTTGTACTGTTCTTTATCAGCTAGAGATTTGTGTAGACTTTGCTGTATGTTTGCTGTATCCCAGCTGGAAAAAGAAAAAACTAGATTCATCCTCAGATTTAAACTTGGGGGTAGAACAAGCCAGCTTATCCCATAATGAAAAGAATTTCCTGACTCCAGCTCAGTTTCTGAGCAGAAGTGGCAGCGTATGTACTGTGGAAATGAATTCAGCCACGAAAGACAGAATTACTTAATAGTTGTAAAAGGCTTGGAGCAGGGCCTTGGAACACATTATTATATGCCTTTATAAAAATTGCATTAAAATAACTGCGAGTGGTTGGAGAAGGCCACTGCTGGTGATAAATGTGTGACGAGATACATAGAGAAACAGGCACATAGTACTAATGAATTTTAAAAGAAGATAGAAAAGAAATGGAAATGGATGGGAAAATAAAATAGGCAAGTTCTTTTTTTTGTTGTTTTTTTTTTTTTTTTTTGAGACAGACTCTTGCTCTGTCACCAGGCTGGAGTACAGTGGCGCCATCTCACTGCAACCTCCGACTCCCTGGTTCAAGCAATTCCCCTAAAATAGTCAGGTTCTTTTAAAAGCGTATAAAACTTACAGCAGAAAACTGCTGTTCAAAACATTTTGAATCAAAACCCAACCCTATGTAATTCTGTGGTAATGACCTCACCAGGGAACCCCGTATAATTGTGAGATTATTTTGTCTGAAACATGGGTATGAGGCAAGTTCTTAAGTGAGATGTTCCTTTTTAAAGCAGGCTATGGGAAGAGGAACATGAAAATATCATTTCTCACTGAGCTTGCCGAATAAAGGTTGTCATGGAAGAATCGCTTTGATGGAAAGGTGATAACAGCAGGGCTAAGGTCCTTCATTGTTGCAGCTAAAGATCAACTTGTCTCTATTCTGTTCTTTCAGAAGCTTCAGTGGCACCTTGTACATCGAGCTAAACTTTAAAAGCAGTTCAAGTATGTGTTTATCCTTAGTTCAATCTTGGATGAACTAGAGTTGGACAGAAAGGATTTTCTGTGCACAGATATGAAAAGAATACAACCAACTGAAATTACCTTTGGAAATAAATCTCTCACCAATGTCATTAATGAAAGAATGAGAGCTCCTATTTCTGGGAAAAACATAATTTCAAGTATGTTGCGTGGGTTTGAAATGTCATTGTCACCCTCCCTTCTGTATTTTACTCTTGTGAGGTTACACTAGCAGAAGGCCTTTAACCTGTGCCGTATATGTATTTTGAGTTCCTGGGTAACAAACTGCAACCTAATTTAGTACTTAAGCACACAGACATTGAACTTGGTAGTATATTGTTTTGTAACAGCCAGGTTTTAGCCAATTGCAAGCAGTTGGACTTTAGCCAATTGCAGGCAGCCAACTCATCACAAGATAGTCAGTGTATTCAATGGGTATTACAGCACATGGAAATGAGAAGTATTATCAGTATTTTTACAAAGATTTTAACGTCTTTAAACAGACTTTTCAAAGCAGTAGTGGAAGAGAGAGAAAGTAAGAGAGTGCAAAAGACTGAGAGTGAATTTGTGGATACAGTGAGGAGGGAGACAGCAGCATTTAAGGATGTGCTGAGTTGAATCGAACCTATGGGAAGATGTTTGTAGACAATTGTGCTAATGAAAAGAGAAGAAAAAATAAAACACACTGATGAAAAGACTGGACCATTACTACTGACATCTTGCTAGACTAAGGCTTGATTTGGCTTACATTTTAGTCATGAGAATGGTCATTTTCCTCTCTGGAAACCATTTTCAAAAATTTATGAGTAAGTAAAATTTTCTGCTTTATAGCCCAAGTCTCTTGCCCCATCTCCAAAGCTAGGGAAGGATGGAAGTGTGCTGGCAAACATGTTCAGACTCTGCTCGGAGGACACGACACTATTCTTAGTACTGCCGACTTAAGAGGAATGTCCATTGAAGTGAACCGTGTCGAACAGTTTTGAAACCAATGTTTCTTGGAGCCTGAGACCTCAAGTTCTGAGTATTCAAAATTTGTGACCTGGGGATTGCATTCGTCCAAAAGGAACCACCTTATGTGACTCCCTGCAAGGCTCCTGAAATAAAAAAAGAGGCCTGTCCCACCAGACGCCATCAGCCCAGAGTGAAGGGGTCACTCTCAGGCCAGGTGGCCCTGATTGTCACTAGTTCCTTTGAATTGATCAATTACCCACATTAACGTGGATCTAGGGATAAAATTGTGACTGAGTACTTCTCTTGCTCTTTAGCAATACAATTGTTTATCAGTTTAACAAAAGTCACTTCCCCAAGTCTATTTACAACTTTGAACCTCGGAATCTCCATCTCAGAGCCACCCTCAAATAAAATGGCTTCCCACCAAGTTTCCTCTCCTGCAGCCACTGGTAACACAAATTTATGCTACCACCCGAGGGGTCCAGAGAGCCAGCGCTCATGGTGCTATTACCAAACACCTGGGTTTTGATTTTCCTTTGCTCCTCCTCAGCCATGTCAGAAAATTTAATAATACAATAAACATTGACAGTTGACATAAATTATAGCTATGTATTATCCCTTCATAATAATTTATCATATGAATGTAGAATTCACCATGCTCTTTACCACATTCAAATTCTTTGATTTATTTAATTTGTAAAGCATACCATGAAATAGGTATTATTTTCTATATTTTAAAGATAAGAATATTAAAACTTGTATTTATGCAATGCCACAAAGGCCACAAAACAGCCAGGACCAAACATGTATCTTGTAACAGAGTAAGTGCTCTGTTCATGCCAAACAACTGTTTTCTCCCTCAACTGTCTGAATGATGCCACTTAAAACATTATAAAACCATTATTTTTAAATGTGAATTTTATGATACAGGTGCAGCTAGATCAGTGGAATAGAATAGAAAGCTAAGGAATACAGTGGGACCTTGCAGCACAGTCAAAATTCTGAAGCAAAATTCTCAGTATAATCATCCTCAAATAAATTCTCACATGTCCTTAATAAATGTGTTCACTAAAACTTGACACAAATGCAATGTACCACTAAAATGCATGTACAGATGCACACGTGATGCATGCATACACATACAAGTATGTGCACAGAGTTACGTGCATACACACGCATGCACAATAACACTGATCAGACAAACATAGATGGAAGAGAAATGAATCAGAGGGAAAAAGCACACAGAAAGCAACACACCTTCTCTCCACGAGCTTTCTAAATGGGCCATTTCTCATCCTAGAAATGTTGCTCTTCTGGAGTAAGGGAGAGTCATGACTTTGGAGCCAGGCAGCCCAGGTCTGAATCCCGGCACTGTATTATTTATTTATTTTTTGAGGTGGAGTCTCCCTCTGTTGAGCCAGAGTTTCGCTCTTGTCACCCAGGCTGGAGTGCAGTGGCACAATCTCGGCTCATGGCAACCTCTGCCTCCCAGGTTCAAGCAATTCTCTTGCCTCAGCCTCCTGAGTAGCTGGGTTTACAGGCATGCACCACCAAGCCCGGATAATTTTTGTATTTTTAGTAGAGATGGGGTTTCACCATGTTGGCCAGGCTGGTCTCAAACGTCTGGCACTTTGTAATCTTTATGCTATTTACAGCCATTGTGACCTTTTGGAAAGTTAACCAAACTGTGTTTAATGGCATCAGTTGAAATATTGAAAAAATAACCATGCCATCTCCTAGGGTTTGCAGCGATCAAATGAGCGAGTGTCAGAACAGTGCTCAGAATAAGGACTCAGTACGGATCAGCAATATTGTATTTTGGCCTGGCAAAACTTGAATATTTAAAAAATAGAGTTTACAAAATAGGAGAAATTAAGGGCAATGACCCTGGTGTTAGCTAGACCTAAGTCCTACTCACAAACCCTACACTAAGCACATCAATAACCCTCTGTGAGCCTATTTTTTCTAATATACAAGAATAAAGGTATTAATCACCTCATTATATTATGAAATTTATAACAAGAACAAAGGCTTTAAATGGTAAATGTGTGTTAGTGATTTCATTTTCATTTCTTTTTTCTTCCATCTTACTTTAGTATGGTGCATGTGGCAATTAATGGACCAATACTGATATATTCTTAACAACTCAAGTTGTACTTCATTCAGATGTCCTTGGTTTTTACTTGAGGTCTTCTTCTGTTTCCCCACCCTGCCCAGGATCCCACATGCTACCGAGTCCTCAGGTCTCCCGGCTTCCTCTCAGCTGTGAAAGTTTCTCGAGCATTCCTTGTCTCGATGACCTTGACAGCTCTGAGGAGCACTGGCTGGGTGCTTTGTCGAATGCCTCTCTATTGAAATTTGTCTAGTGTTTTCTGATGGTTGGACAGGGCTTTCGGATTTTGTCTGTGTGTATGAGGAAGACCACAGAAGTGAAGAGACATTTCCATCCCATTATACTCTGGTTATGTACAAACAACATGATTCATCACTGTTGACGTTCACCTTGATCACCTGGCGGAGGAGGGATTTCCTGGGCTTCTCCACTGTGATGTCACTGTACTTCCTCCCTGTGCACATTCTTTCGAAGGAAGTCACTATGTGCCATCCATACTTAAGCAATGAGGGTTGGTGCTTCCCCCCATTGAGGGTGGGTTATCTACCTGTTATTGGGAATGCTTCTGCAGGGAAATTTGCCTTCCTTCATATTTATTTACTTATTTAATCATTTGTTTATATTTTTATGGAATCATGGATATATATGTTATACTTTTGGTTATAATCCATTACTACTTTTGTTTTGTTTCAAATACTTCTAGCTTAGCCACTGGGACCCCTTTCAGTTGGCTCCTGTCCCCCTTTAACAAGTCCCTCAGTGGGGTGCTGAGAGATAATGGCCTCTGGTTTCCCTTCTGATAATGTTTTCATCTGGCTTTGCCCTTAGTGTAATCCTGATCACATAGAATTATGAGAGGTAGGAAGTGAGATCTCTGTTTCTATTTTCTGAAAGACATGACAGAGAATTGGCATCACTTCTTACTTAAAGGGTTGGTGGGACTCACCTATAAAACCATCTTGACTTTGTTTTCTTTGTTGAATAGTTATTAATTATTGATTCAATTTTTTAATGGATATATGCGCATTGAGATCATTTATCTTTGAATAAGTTTTTGTAGTTTGTGTATTTCAACATAGCAGCCCATTTCATCAAAGTGATAGATTCACTGGGTATAGTTGTTTATAGGATTCTTTTACTATCCTGTTACTGTTCGTGAGATTTGTAGTGGACTCTACTCCTTCATTTCTCATGTGGGTAACTTGTGTCTTCGCTCCTTTTTTTTCTTGGTCAGCTGGCTATAATTATATCAATTTTATTGGTCTGTTCAAAGAAACAGCTTTTGTTTCATTGTTTTTCTCTATTGTATTCCTGATATGAATTTCACTGATTTCTGCTTTGACTTTTAAAATTTTATTTTCTCCAGTTGCTTCATGTTTAAATCGCCCATATTTCTCTAGTCTCCCACTGAGGAAGGTTAGATTATTGATTTCAGAGTTGTCCTTTTTTTCTAAGATATAGAGTCAATGCTACAAATTTTTCTAAGCACTGTTTTTTTTTCTTCCCACAAAATTTTGTAATTTCTATTTTCATTTTCATTGTTGAACGTTTGTCTTAATTTCTCTTGGGACTTCATGTTTAACAGATATGTAATTTAGTAGCACATTGCTTAATTTTCAAATATTTTGAAGCATTTCAGCTATCTTTCTATAATTAATTGTATTTTAATCCCACCTGGTTAATACTCTGCTGCTACTAAACAGAGGTGCTTAAAATCGCCAGTGTAGCAGTGCATTTGTTGATTTCTCTTCGTTGTTACATTAGTTTCTGCCTCACATAACTCGAAGATCTTTTATTAGGTGCATACTTGTTTTCTTTGCAAAGAATTGATCATTATATAATGTCACTCTTGTTTTAGCTTTATTGAGGCGTAATTGACAACATGTATATATACTTAATACATACAAGGTGATAATACATGTATACATTGTGAAATGATTACCACAATCAAGCTAATTAACACACCCATCACATCACATAGTTGCCATTGTGTGTGTGTGTGTGTGTGGCGAGAACACCTAAAATCTTCTGTCTAAGCAAACCTCAAATATAATACACTGTTATTAACTATAGTCACCATGCTATACATTAGATCCCCAAAATGAATCTATCTTATAACTGACAGTTTGTACCTTTTACCAACATCCTCCCAGTAAGCAGCCCCCGACAACCAGCATTATACTCTTCATTTCTACGAGTCTGACATTTTTACATTCCACACATAAATGAGATGCTACAGTATTTGTCTTTCTGTATCTGGCTTATTTCACTTAGCAAATTGTCTTCTGGATCTAGTCATGTTATTGCAAATGGCAATATTTTATTTTATTTTGAGGCTAAATAATATTTCATTATATAAATCGGGTTTGTTTGGTGTTTTCTTTTTCTTTGGTTGTGAGCACGGCCAGGCTGGCTGGAGTACAGTGGTACAAACATGGCTCACTGCAGCTTTGACCTCTCAGGCTCAAGTCATCCTCCTGCTTCAGCCTCCTAAGTAGCTGGAACCACAGGTGCACGTCACCATTAGGTCCTGGGCTTTTCTTTGATGAGAGACTTTTATTACAGCTTCGATTTTGTTACTTCTTATTTGTTTGTTGAGGTTTTCTATTTCTTTATGGTTCAATTTTGGTAGGTTGTGTATTTCTAGGAATTTATTCATTTCTTCAAGATTTTTCCATTTTGTTGGCATATAGTTGTTCAAAATAGTCTCTAATGACTGTATTTCTGTGGTCTCAGAAATGGCTTCTTTCTTGTTTCTAATGTTATTTGAATCTTCTCTGTTTTATTTAAGTCCAGCCAAAGATTTGTCAATTTTGTTTATCTTTTCAAAAAACCAACTTTCTATTATGTTGAACTTTTGTATTTTACTTTAGTCTCAACTTCATTTATCTCTGCGCTGATTTTTATTATGTCTTTCCCTCTATTAATTTTGGATTTGGTCTGTTCTAGCTTCTCTATCTCCTTGAGGTGCATTATTAGGTTGTTTATTTGAAGTATTGCTAGTTTTTGATATAAGCTTTTATTGCTATAAACTTCCTTGTTAGTACTGCTTTTGCTGTATCCCGGAGGCTTTGGTATGTTGTATGTCCATTTTCATTTGCTTCAAGAAATTTTAAAATTTTCTTCTTATGTTCTTCATTGACTCATTGGTCATTCAGGAGGACATTGTTTAATTTCCACGCGTTTGCAAAGTTTCCAACAAGCTCCTCTTGTTATTGATTGCCAGTTTTATTCTGTTGTGGTTGGAAATGATTTTTAATATTATTTCTCCTTTTAAAATGTGTTCAGACTTGTTTTGTGATCAAAGATATAGTCTATTCTGGGAATGTTCTACGTGCTGATGAAAACGTTTCATGTGCAGAAGATTTGGGTGCAGCCTTGCTTGTGTATTTTGTTTGCAATGCTTGCGTTCTTCGTGACATAACTAAATTCATTGCCACAATCAGTGTCAAGAAGATTTTTCCCTATGTTTTTGCCTAACAGTTTTATTATTCCAGATCTTACATTTAAGTCTGAAATTCATTTCCTTTTGAGTTATTTTTTGTGTGTGTGGTGTAAGACAAGGGCTTAATTTGTTTTTGCTTTTGTTTTGCTTGTGGATATTCACTTTTCCAAACACCATTTATTTGAAGAGACTATCCTTTCCACACTGTGTATGCTTGGCACCCTGACCAAAAATTACTTAGTAGAATATGTGTGTGGGTTTATTTCAGTTCTCTCTATTCTGTTCCATTAGTCTGTGTGTCTGTTTTTATGACAGTATCATATTGCTTTGTAATGCTGTATCATATTAAGGCTTTAAAATGCAGTTCGCTATCAGGAACCCTAATGCCTCGGGCTTTGTTCTTCATTCCCCAGAGTGTCTTGGCTATATATTTATATACTTAAGTGTTCCAACGTTGAGTGCATATGTACTTGTAGTTGTTATAATCTATTAATGAATTGACCTCTTTATTATTACATGATGACTACTTTGTGTCTTGTGATACTTTTTACTTAAGGTCTATTCTGTTTTGTACAAGTATAGCCACTCCTTCTCTCTTTTGGTTACCACATGCATGGAATATCTTTTTGCATTTTTTCACTTTCAACCAATATGTGTCATCAAAGTTAAAGTAAGTCTCTTGGAGGTACCATATAGTTGAATTTTTTAAAAAGTACTCATTTAGCCACTTATGTTTTTGATTGGAGAATTCAATCCATGTACATTTAAAGTAGTTATTGACATGTAAGGACTTACTACTGCCACTTTGTTAATTGTTTTCTGTTTATCCTAAAGATCTTTGTTTCATTTCTCCCCTCTTGCTGTTTTTCTTTATGATTTGATGATTTTTTGTAGTGATATGTTTGCATCTCTTCTCTTTTTCTTTTGTGTATCTACTGTGCTTTTTTTTAATTGTGTGATTACCAGGAGGTAAATAAAACAACTTATAAATAGTCTACATATAAAAACTCTACATTTTAACCTCTCCACTCACATTTAATGGTGTTGATATCACAATTTACATGTTTTATATATTGTATGTTCATTAACAAATTATTATAGTTATAGTTATTTTAATACTTTTATCTTAAACATTTTTATTACAGTAAAAGTAATTATACACCCCCATTACACTAACAGAGAATTCTGATTTGACTATATTCTTTCCATTAAAGTGAGTTTTATACTTCCATATGTTTTCACGTTGTTACCTGGCATCCTTTCAAATAAACTTGAAGAACCTTTTTTAGCATTTCCTGTAAGGCATGTTTAGTAGTGATTATCTCCCTCACCTTTAGTTTGTCTGGGAATGTTTTTATGTCTCCTTCATTTCTGAAGGTCAGTTTTTTTCAGGTAAAGTATTTTTGGTAGGAAGTTTTTTCTTTAAGTCCAACACATTAAAACGATTATGTGTTATCCCTTTCCCCCTCACCTGCAAAATTTTGTCTGAAAAATTTGCTGATAACCTTGTGACAGTTGTCTTGTACGTGATGAGTAGCTTTTCTCTTGCTTCTTTCTAAGTTATTTTTGTCTTTGAGTTTTGACAGTTTATATATAAAGTGTCTCAGAGTAATTTTCTTTGGATTTTTTTATTGGCAATAATTGAGACTCATGAATTTGGATGTCCATATCTCTTCCAAAATTTGGGAAGTTTTACCAATAATTTCTTTAAATAAGTTTCCTGTCCCTTTCTCTCTCTTATTTCCTTCTGGAACCTCCATAATGTTTATATTTGTTGGTTTGATGGTGTCCCATAGGCTTTATATGCTTTCTCCAATGTTTTTCTATTGTTTCCTCTAACTGGCTAATGTCAAAGAACCTGTCTTCAAGTATACTGAGTCTTTCCTCTATATGACTGAGTCTGCTGTTGAAGTTCTCCATTAAATTTTCAGTCTGTCATTGAATTCTTCAGTTCCAGGATTTCGAATTTGTTCTTTTTATGGTTTTGGTTTATTTATTCTCATTTTATCCATGCATTGTTTTTCTGATTTTTGTTTAGTTGTATATATGTGTTTTTTATACCTCATTAAGCTTCATTAAGGTGATTATTTTGAATTTATTGTCAAGTAATTTCTAGGTCTCTATTTCTTTGGGATAGGTTACTGGAGCTTTATTAGATTCCTTTCATGGTGTTTTGTTTGCCTGATTTTTTGAGATTCGTAGAGCCTGTATTGGTTACTGTGCTTTTGAAAGAATAAACACCTCTACCAGTCTTTAAAGATTGGTTATGGCAAGTAAAGACCTTTCTCTGCCAGTTTCCTGGGCTGATGGAATTACTTCTAGGACTGTAGTAAAGTGGAGTTTGAGGCAAGTTTGGTGACCACTGCTGGGTCTGAAGTGGGTTCTGCAGTTGGCAGACCTGTTATCAGGGATGCTGGCAAGCATGGATCCTGCTTGGTTTATGGATGAATTGGACTGCTTCTGGAACCTTGGTCCATAGGGCTGGTGGACAAAAGTTCATTTCAAGGTCCACAGTTAGGTCTGTAGATTACCTGCCACCAAGTGCACAGGTAGATGTAGTTCCCACTGGGTTACTGGGCAGATCTCTGGGTGGGAAGGTCTTGCCCTGGACTATAGCTGAGTAGGACTGAAATTGGGTGACAGTTACTCTAAGATCCACAGTGGGACTAAGTTTGATGAGCCTGTCTTCCAGAGTACAGAGAGGCATGTCTTCTGCTGGGTCACTGGGCTGGACAATGCACTTCTTTTCTTTGATAATTGTCCTTGTTCTAAAGTCTGTTTTGTCTCAATTTAATGTAGCTACTCCAACTTCCTTTTGACTAGTGTTAGCATAATGGATCTTTCTCTATCACTTTACTTGTGCTCTATGTAAGTGGCTGTATTTAAAATTGGGTTTCTTGTAGACAACATATAGTTGGATCTTGCTATTTTCATATACTCTGACCATCTCTGCCTTTTAATTTTATCTGGCTAGAAGTCAGAATACATTAAATATCTTATCTAATTGTAGGTGTCTAATTGTTTCTAGTTTTCATGTTTTGGTCTGCAGCATATACTATAAGCTTCTGTAAGTGCTCCTTCACAGAGAGAGTCTGTTCCTTGACACTCTTTCTGCTGTAACCCACTGTTATTATATCGAATCCCTGTTAATGTGGTGGTAGAGTATGGGCAGATACTCTAAAATAATCTAGAATAAACTATTTTTTCTAAAGTAACTGTTTCAGAAGTCCTCTGTTCCTGGACTGTGACTTTCCAAGTGTTTATTTGCTTCCTTTCTTCCTTAAGTGAAACATAAAAACTAAAATGAGCTGAAGTTGAATAACTGTCCTTCCTTTAGCTCTGGAAAGGCTCTTGCAAAGGCCTTACCCTTTTGTTATGTAGAAGGCTCTAGTTGTGTTTATAATTGTTACTCTTTCCATCCGCCTGTCTGAGCCAACAGGAGGTCTTTCCTGAGAAGATTTTTTTTCAGATCTTCACCAGCAGAAACTGGTTTTCTTCCTGGCTGTAAAGCCCAGGAAAATTTTGAGGTCTCCATAAGAATACGTTTCCTGGAGTCTCTCAGTCTCACGTTTGTCCAAACTCAGCCTCTGATAATTCACCAAAATGCCATTTAAGTGTTGCTACCATTGATAGCACCTGCAGCTTCTGCTGTAGGTAAGTTTATCTCAGCTGTGATGCTCTGTATTCATCTCTCGAGAGAGATTTGAAGATAGCAATTTGCTCTGCAAACTTAATTCTCTGATTCATCCAAGGGAAGTCAGTGATTTTTAGTTTTTTTTCTTTTGTTCCCATTTCTTCTTCTTTTTTTTTTTTAATTTATTATTATTATACTTTAAGTTTTAGGGTACATGTGCACAATGTGCAGGTTAGTTACATATGTATACATGTGCCATGCTGGTGCGCTGGACCCACTAACTCGTCATCTCTCATTAGGTATATCTCCCAATGCCATCCCTCCCCCCTCCCCCCACCCCACAACAGTCCCGAGTGTGATGTTCCCCTTCCTGTGTCCATGTGTTCTCATTGTTCAATTCCCACCTATGAGTGAGAATACACAGTGTTTGGTTTTTTGTTCTTGTGATAGTTTACTGAGAATGATGATTTCCAATTTCATCCATGTCCCTACAAAGGACATGAACTCATCATTTTTTATGGCTGCAGAGTATTCCATGGTGTATTTGTGCCACATTTTCTTAATCCAGTCTATCATTGTAGGACATTTGGGTTGGTTCCAAGTCTTTGCTATTGTGAATAATGCCGCAATAAACAGACGTGTGCATGTGTCTTTATAGCAGCATGATTTATAGTCCTTTGGGTATATACCCAGTAATGGGATGGCTGGGTCAAATGGTATTTCTAGTTCTAGATCCCTGAGGAATCGCCACACTGACTTCCACAATGGTTGAACTAGTTTACAGTCCCACCAACAGTGTAAAAGTGTTCCTATTTCTCCACATCCTCTCCAGCACCTGTTGTTTCCTGACTTTTTAATGATTGCCATTCTAATTGGTGTGAGATGGTATCTCATTGTGGTTTTGATTTGCATTTCTCTGATGGCCAGTGATGGTGAGCATTTTTTCATGTGTTTTTTGGCTGCATAAATGTCTTCTTTTGAGAAGTGTCTGTTCATGTCCTTCACCCACTTTTTGATGGGGTTGTTTTTTTTTTTCTTGTAAATTTGTTTGAGTTCATTGTAGATTCTGGATATTAGCCCCTTGTCAGATGAGTAGGTTGCGAAAATTTTCTCCCATTTTGTAGGTTGCCTGTTCACTCTGATGGTAGTTTCTTTTGCTGTGCAGAAGCTCTTTAGTTTAATTAGATCCCATTTGTCAATTTTGGCTTTTGTTGCCATTGCTTTTGCTGTTTTAGACATGAAGTCCTTGCCCATGCCTATGTCCTGAATGGTAATGCCTAGGTTTTCTTCTAGGGTTTTTATGGTTTTAGGTCTAACGTTTGAGTCTTTATTCCATCTTGAATTGATTTTTGTATAAGGTGTAAGGAAGGTATCCAGTTTCAGCTTTCTACATATGGCTAGCCAGTTTTCCCAGCACCATTTATTAAATAGGGAATCCTTTCCCCATTGCTTGTTTTTCTCAGGTTTGTCAAAGATCAGATAGTTGTAGATATGCGGCGTTATTTCTGAGGGCTCTGTTCTGTTCCATTGATCTATATCTCTGTTTTGGTACCAGTACCATGCTGTTTTGGTTACTGTAGCCTTGTAGCATAGTTTGAAGTCAGATAGTGTGATGCCTCCAGCTTTGTTCTTTTGGCTTAGGATTGACTTGGCGATGCGGGCTCTTTTTTGGTTCCATATGAACTTTAAAGTAGTTTTTTCCAATTCTGTGAAGAAAGTCATTGGTAGTTTGATGGGGATGGCATTGAATCTGTAAATTACCTTGGGCAGTATGGCCATTTTCATGATATTGATTCTTCCTACCCATGAGCATGGAATGTTCTTCCATTTGTTTGTATCCTCTTTTATTTTCCTTGAGCAGTGGTTTGTAGTTCTCCTTGAAGAGGTCCTTCACATCCCTTGTAAGTTGGATTCCTAGGTATTTTATTCTCTTTGAAGCAATTGTCAATGGGAGTTCACTCATGATTTGGCTCTCTGTTTGTCTGTTGTTGTTGTATAAGAATGCTTGTGATTTTTGTACATTGATTTTATATCCTGAGACTTTGCTGAAGTTGCTTATCAGCTTAAGGAGATTTTGTGCTGAGACGATGGGGTTTTCTAGATATACAATCATGTCATCTGCAAACAGGGACAATTTGACTTCCTCTTTTCCTAATTGAATACCCTTTATTTCCTTCTCCTGCCTAATTGCCCTGGCCAGAACTTCCAACACTATGTTGAATAGGAGTGGTGAGAGAGGGCATCCCTGTCTTGTGCCAGTTTTCAAAGGGAATGCTTCCAGTTTTTGCCCATTCAGTATGATATTGGCTGTGGGTTTGTCATAGATAGCTCTTATTATTTTGAAATACGTCCCATCAATACCTAATTTATTGAGAGTTTTTAGCATGAAGCGTTGTTGAATTTTGTCAAAGGCCTTTTCTGCATCTATTGAGATAATCATGTGGTTTTTGTCTTTGGTTCTGTTTATATGCTGGATTACATTTATTGATTTGCATATATTGAACCAGCCTTGCATCCCAGGGATGAAGCCCACTTAATCATGGTGGATAAGCTTTTTGATGTGCTGCTGGATTCAGTTTGCCAGTATTTTATTGAGGATTTTTGCATCAATGTTCATCAAGGATATTGGTCTAAAATTCTCTTTTTTGGTTGTGTCTCTGCCAGGCTTTGGGATCAGGATGATGCTGGCCTCATAAAATGAGTTAGGGAGGATTCCCTCTTTTTCTATTGATTGGAATAGTTTCAGAAGGAATGGTACCAGTTCCTCCTTGTACCTCTGGTAGAATTCGGCTGTGAATCCATCTGGTCCTGGACTCTTTTTGGTTGGTAAGGTATTGATTATTGCCATAATTTCAGATCCTGTTATTGGTCTATTCAGAGATTCAACTTCTTCCTGGTTTAGTCTTGGGAGGGTGTATGTGTTGAGGAATTTATCCATTTCTTCTAGATTTTCTAGTTTATTTGCGTAGAGGTGTTTGTAGTATTCTCTGATGGTAGTTTGTATTTCTGTGGGATTGGTGGTGATATCCCCTTTATCATTTTTTATTGCATCTATTTGATTCTTCTCACTTTTTTTCTTTATTAGTCTTGCTAGCGGTCTATCAATTTTGTTAAACATGGAAAGGAACAACCGGTACTAGCCGCTGCAAAATCATGCCAAAATGTAAAGACCATCGGGACTAGGAAGAAACTGCATCAACTAACAAGCAAAATAACCAGCTAACATCATAATGACAGGATCAAATTCACACATAACAATATTAACTTTAAATGTAAATGGACTAAATGCTCCAATTAAAAGACCCAGACTGGAAAATTGGATAAAGAGTCAAGATCCATCAGTGTGCTGTATTCAGGAAACCCATCTCACGTGCAGAGACACACATAGGCTCAAAATAAAAGGATGGAGGAAGATCTACCAAGCAAATGGAAAACAAAAAAGGCAGGGCTTGCAATCCTAGTCTCTGATAAAACAGACTTTAAACCAACAAAGATCAAAAGAGACAAAGAAGGCCATTACATAATGGCAATACAGGAGCACCCAGATTCATAAAGCAAGTCCTAAGTGACCTACAAAGAGACTTAGCCTCCCACACATTAATAATGGGAGACTTTAACACCCCACTGTCAACATTAGACAGATCAACGAGACAGAAAGTCAACAAGGATACCCAGGAATTGAACTCAGCTCTGCACCAAGCGGACCTAATAGACATCTACAGAACTCTCCACCCCAAATCAACAGAATATACATTTTTTTCAGCACCACACCACACCTATTCCAAAATTGACCACATACTTGGAAGTAAAGCTCTCCTCAGCAAATGTAAAAGAACAGAAATTATAACAAACTATCTCTCAGACCACAGTGCAATCGAACTAGAACTCAGGATTAAGTATCTCACTCAAAACTGCTCAACTACATGGAAACTGAACAACCTGCTCCTGAATGACTACTCGGTACATAACGAAATGAAGCAGAAATAAAGATGTTCTTTGAAACCAACGAGAACAAAGACACAACATACCAGAATCTCTGGGATGCATTCAAAGCAGTGTGTAGAGGGAAATTTACAGCACTAAATGCCCACAAGAGAAAGCAGGAAAGATCCAAAATTGACACCCTAACATCACAATTAAAAGAACTAGAAAAGCAAGAGCAAACACATTCAAAAGCTAGCAGAAGGCAAGAAATAACTAAAATCAGAGCAGAACTGAAGGAAATAGAGACACAAAAAACCCTTCAAAAAATTAATGAATCCAGGAGCTGGTTTTTAGAAAGTTTTTTTTTTCTGTAAAAATATGAGTGACAGTGTCCAGATTCTTTACATGTTGGGGCTGACATGTTATATTTTTCTTTTTCTTTTTAAGGAAAAAGTTACATTTTAAATCTTTGACTTCTTTTATGCAGTATGTTGGAGCTCTGTTTTATGACCTGTCATGATAAAAATGTATTATTAGCCCATTGTCCAGTTATGAACAATTCCTTGCTAGCTGTTTTGTATGCTTCATTCTATTTTCACAAAAGTCTCGTTATTGAAATAGTTAAGTTTATGCTAAATTGGGAGTAAAAGTGATGAAATATTTGAGGATGCATTTCCTAAAAAGGATGAAATAGAATTTAAATAGTCAAATGACTGCACCAAATCTAATGAGGTATTTCTATCTAATGGAAGAATAAAACATTGTATGTATTTCTTTCATGCTGTTTGCTTTGCTAAGTGCTTTTCATGCATTTTCTTATTTAATACTAAAATGTCCTTGAGTTGTAAACTCTTATTAGCTCATTGTATAGAAGATTATTATCTCTAAATCAGCTAATTGAATATTTAGAGGAAATTTCAGTGAGATTTATGACATTTGCTCTCCAACAACCCTTCAACAATCTAGTTGTTTAAAAGTCGATTTGGCTATTAAAAACAAATATAACAAACCATGAATCTTCATATGGGTTGTTTAAACATGTAGAGAATATATATATATATATGTGTGTGTGTGTGTGTGTGTGTGTGTGTATGCTTTGGGGGATATAGATTTGGGAGATTCAATTACAGGTTATAACTGAGATCATGGGAATGCAGGAAATCAAGTTGTGTAGAGATTGCAGAGTGAGAAAATGTGTTAGGTTTGGAATCCTCAGATGTGCCTACATTAAACATGAAATTTCTATAGACCTCTTGCAGTGAAAGGCCTAGGATTGGGATTAAAAAAAATATTAAAGAAACAAGAGTCTCCACCTCTATCAAACATGTGTGACTTGAGTCAGAAAAGAGGAATTTTTATAAAGGACAAAGTTAGGAACATCATACTATCATTTTGAGGTTCACCAATGATTTGTATTTATCATTTAAGAAAATAATGCCATTTATCTTACTTTCATCCAAAACATGCAAAATAAATTATGCCATATATTCTGCATTGAACACATTTCTTGATTCAATTCAGTAGGCATAGTACTAATTTCCATTTTCTTAAAATTAGAAAAAAATAGATAGTTTCATCTGATCAGGCTTGGATATTCCTAAAGGGGATGAGTGGTATCTCTATATCCCTTCCATCACTAGTCTTTATACCTCCATTCTCCAACTTTCACCATTTGATTATGGCAGCCAATATTACAGAGTATGTATTACATGGCCAGTTCTTGTCTTATGAACAAAACAGATAATGAAAGTTGCCCATGAAAAAGTTGTACTTTATCAATTATCTTTAATTAATCATGGGCAGGGAAAATATTCAGAAGAGGCTGAGAGATGAGCAGGGTAGGGCCAATGTCCATGGCAGCCTTGTTCAAATTTAGGTCCTGTTCTTATAAATTGAATGCCAATTAGGAATGTTTAAGGAATGCCATTTGTTCCAGAGACTTAGTGACACCTCAAGAAAAATCTGGTCATTTTCCTAAATGCTCAGTGCAATGATCTAAATTCCTGTAAAATGTTTCACTAGACTGTGTCCTGAAAAGGCTCTTGAATATTCTAACATATTACAACACTAGATAGGCTTTGACGTTCCTTTAGGAGTGGAAAAAATTATAATACTCATTTTCTGGTTAAGCAAAAAGAAAACAAAATTTATTTATGGGAGTGAATTGAAGATAAAATTGTTAAGCAAAATGGAACCATATACATATACATATACATATAAGTGTGTGTGTGTGTGTGTATGGAGAGAGAAAAAGGGAGGAAATGTTTGTATTTGTACATATATGTGTGTGTGTGTTTGTGTGTGTGTGTATGGAGAAAAAAGGGAGGAAATGTTTGTGTTTGTATATACATATGTGTGTGTATATATGTGTATGTGTTTGTGTATATATGCGTATGTGTTTGTGTGTGTGTATGGAGAGAGAAAGGGAGGAAATGTTTGTGTTTGTATATGTGTGTGTGTGTACTTATATGTGTTGTATATATGTATGTGTGTGTGCGTGCATATGGAGAAAGAGAGAGAAAGGGAGGAAATGTTTGTGTCTATGTCCCCTTCAAAATCCATATGTTGGTTGAGGTCCAAATCCTCAGTACCCCAGTGTGATAATATTTGGAGGTAGGGCCTTTGGGAGGTGATTAGGGTTAGATGGGATCATGAAAGTGGAGCCTCCCTCATGGGATTAGTACCTTTACGAGGGGATAAAGAGATCAGAGCTCCTCTCTCTCTCTCTCTCTGTCTGCTATGTGAGGCTAGAGCAAAAGGCAGCTGTCTGCAAACCTGAAAGAGGGCACTCACCAGAACCGTATCATGTTGGTGCCCTGATCTCAGACCTCCAGCCTTCAGAAGTGTGAGAAATAAATTTCTATTGTATAAGCCAACAGTCTATGGCATTTTTTGTTACTGCAGCCCAAATTGATTAAAACAGAAATTGGTATCAGATGAGAGTTCTGCTGTAACAAATATCTAAAAATGTGGAAGCAGCTTTGGAACTGGGTAATGGGTGGAGGCTGGAAAAGTTTTAAGGCCCATGCTAGAAAAAGCTGATGCGGCTCTGAAGGGATTGCTAAAGGCAATTCTGGTGAGAGCTAAGGAAGAAAAGAAGGCTGCAGATAAAACGTCCCTCTTCTTAGAGATAAAATGTAATCATGTGTAGGATGTTGATAGAAATATTGTTAATAAACAATCTTCTGATGAGTTCTCAGGAAGAAAATGAAGAACACGTTATAAAGGGGATCTTTGTTACAAAGTGGCAAAGAAATTTGCTGGGTTGTGTTCATGTTCTAATGTTTTGTGGAAGGTAGAACTTCTGAGTGTTGGAATTGGATATTTAGCTGAGTGGATTTCTAAGAAAAGGATTGAAGGAGTGGCTTAGTTCCTCCTGACTGATTACAGTAAAATGCAAGAAGACAGAAATAAAGATTGAATTGTTAACCAAAAGGAACCAGATTTTGAAGATTTGGAAATTCTAAACCTGTACATATTACAAAAATAAAAAAGCATGTCAGGAAGAGAGCACTCGAGGTGGGGCAAGCTGAGTATTTGACACGAGATTAGTGTGGATATGAGCCCTGGACCTAGTCAACCACACTACCAGGACAATTGCCAGTTTTTAGCTGAAGGGGACAGAAATGGAACAGAATGCAGGAAGACTGCTGAACTTGCAATCACAGAATAGGGCTATAGAGCGGTTTAGCTGCCAATGTGCACTGTACGTCAAGCAAAGGAAAGAATGACCCAAATAGTAATTCAGAGATGACCAGGGCTGCCTCTTCAGTTTTAAAAGAGGGGGGATATTACCTGGGTCTTAAGAAACAAAATAGCCTACACCCAATGCTGTGGAGATTAGGTCACCTGCAGCCTAGGGTCAGGGCCACCACACATCGGAGTCCTGGGGGCATGGCCCCTGCCCAGCAGAGCTGTGCAGACAAGTGTGCTGCCCCAGTGGACCAAAAGTTGGGCCTCTACTTCACCAGGTCCTGCTTGGTACCCATCACTCCATTTTTGTCTCCTGTTTGTCCCTTTTGGAAGGGCAGTATCCATGCTATGTCTGTTCCACCATTGTGTTTTGTAAGCACGTAGCTTATTTGGTTTCACATGTTCATAGTTGGAAAGAAATTTCGCCTAGGATAAATTCTACCTCATGTCTCACCTAAATCTGACTTAGAGGTTATGTAGTTGAAGCTTTGGACTTTGGAATTTAGAGTTTCTGATACAACAAGTTCAGATTTTTAAAGCAGTTGAGATGAAATGAATATATTTTGCATGTGAGAAGATGTAAAATTTGGAGGGACAGGGAGAAATGCTATAAACTGAAGGACTGTGTCGCCCTAGAATACAGATGTTGAAGCTCTAATCCCCAATGTACTGGCATTTGGAAATGCAGCCTTTAGGAGGTAATTAGGTTTAGATGAGGGCATAAGACTGGAGCCAAGCCCCCATGATGGGATCAGTGCATTTGGAAGGCAATGAAGAGATCAGAGCTCTCTCTCTTTCTCTCTACTGTGTAAGGTTACAGAAAAAGGCACCCCTTTGCAAGCCAGAAAGAAGGCCCTCGACAGAACCTGACCATACTGGTGCCCTAATCTTGGATTTCTGGCCTCTAGAATTGTGGAAAATAAATTCATGTTTTTGTTATAGCAGCCCAAACTGGCAAAGATTGTGCATGCGTGTGTGTGTGTGTGTGTGTGTGTGTGTGTGTGTGTGTGTGTTGGGTATGTCTCCCTAACCCAATCTAGTCTCTCTCAATTTGTGTTTATATAGATACATCTCCATGATCTGTCGAAATCACAAGGGCTGACCCAGTTAATGGCACTAAAGGCTCTTCATGACCTGGTTCCTCCCAAACCCTTGAATGCCAGCTGCACCACTTATTGCCGTGCTGGGCTCCACTGATCCAATCTGCTGTTGACCTTAACATCCGATGCTCGGTGCTTTCATCACTCTGTCTCCACTGTCTGTAATATATCACCTCTTTCAAAACCTTGATAACTTCCTGTCACACTCTATTTTCCTATAACGCATGCTCATTACAGACTCATCAGTGAAGGTATATTACAGCCCATGATAACTTCCTATCACACTCTATTTTTCTATAACGCATGCTCATTACAGACTCATGGGTGGAGGTGTATTATAGCCCACCTGAGCAGGTCATTAAAGCCGCATATTTAAACAGTGAACAGCAGACCTCTTTGCTCCTAGAAGTAAACTTTTCATATTTCCCTTTTCAACTTGGAATATATATGATAATCAGGTACAGGGATTCTTTGCCTTTTAGCTTCCTCCAATATCCTTTCCCTCTATCTTTAAAATTTCTATTTTTCTCTTACGCAGTGCATTTTAACTATCTCTTAATCTAATACAGGTTCCAAATGATACTTAGGAAGCCTCATAGTCATAACAAAATGCATCAGTGATAGAATGATTTTTAAAATATCAGTTATTTTCTTAGATATATTCACAAGTCACTTCCCTTTTTTTTTAAGACATGGGAAAATATACTATTTTATCTCCCAGGATGATAGAATTTACTAAACTACCTAGTGACGATTACAGATAAAGCTAACTGATCACATAATTCTTATTTCAAAGATTCGTGTAAGAAAGGCCTTATCAAACCAGCGAATTAAAAAGTGTGCAGTATTACTTCAGAAATGGTAACCTTGACATGAAAACTGGATGTGTTCATAGATCATACATTTTACAAAAATAAAACAAAAAAATTAAATGACATCAAAAAACAAAACATTTAAAAACAGAAAGAAAGCCAAAGGGGCCCAAGGAAGAAACAAAAACAAAACAGGACTCAGTGGAAGATACTCAATAGAAGATAACAGTCTCATCTTTTATTCTCATTTTTGGAAGAAACTTTGGGAGGTGGGTTTGATTTCTCTCTTTGCCACTTGAGCCACTTGCAGAGCCATTAAAACTATGGTCTAGTCTAAGGATAATCAGTTCTCAATGAACTTTTGCAAATATTTTATATGTAAAGCATATAGTCATTTTTTCAGGGTTGAAGTTTGGGAATATTTCTGAGTATGTCTGCATAGAATATTTGTTTTTAATTTTAATGATAATTACAATAAACTAACCAAAAAGGATTATTTCTATTTAATTTAAAGTTGTGTGTATAGAAGTGTGTCCATGTGTGTGAAGAGAGAAAGAGATACCATTAAGATGTTTTAAAAACTACACAGCAGTCTGTGAGCTTCTATCAGTCTTGTGCAGCACTTAGCTTCTTCAAAAATGCCAAAGATGAGGTAGAAAATCCACCCCTATGTCCATTCCATTCTAAGCATAATAGGTATTCTAAACTTCTGCCATCATTCTTTAAGGCAACATTCAGTGGGAATACCTGTATGTTGTCATTCTTTAAGCATTTGGTAGCACATTAGTTATGCTAGCTTGTAAGTTATAGTAACTTTCGTCATTTTAGTTCTAATCAAGTAAAAAGGTCAGTAAGTATTTAAAAATAACTTTTCAAATAGAGATAATTACCCCATCGTAAGCGTCCATATTTAGAGAAACAACCTCAATTCCACAATATGTGAGGAAAGCCTACTATGAATGAAGCCCCAGGCATTTTTAATACAAAAATGATTTGACAATACAAAAACATATTGCTCTGGACTAAAGGACTATATTTTGTGTCACTGAGTAGTTTCCTCGCCAACCATCAAACTTCAACTTAATTTATGTAGTAATAATATCTACATAATATCAGTATTTACATAAACTTTTAATCATTTGTATGAAGATACATACATGACCAGGCATGATTCACAGACACGCATGTGCCGATGCATGAGTCACCAACACGCGTGTGCCGATGCCTGAGTCACCAACACATGTGTGCTGATCTATCTGCATTCTGTCACCCAGTGTCTCCTCAGTGAAGTCAGCCAAGTGAGTAGAAAGGGGAATGTCACGTGTGACTGGAGAACAGGGTGAAACTAATTGGTCCCACGTGATGAAACCGCAACCTCAGCTTTATCACCATGGTGACCTAACAAACGGAGTTACAGCCACAGCTGCTTTGGTAAATACTGACACACTCATGCTCATCGATAGTTATTTAGAGTCTATTTTAATAGAAAGCAACACTCTCTGTTATTACCTGCCAACCTCACAGAGTCTAAAGCTACTAACATTGTACAGACAATTCAAAACGTATTAAATTTTGCTCAGTATTCTGAGTAGTAAACATAAAACAAGATGAATAGAACCATCGCCTATATTCATAGTCAGTTTTATTATATACAATTTTTAATGTTAGTATATGCTCTTACGTTGTGCATTGATATTTGAAAACAATACATACTTGTAATGTTTGATTGTGGAAATAATAAAAAACATTAAAAGAAGAATGAATATACAATAACTATCCTTATCTATGAGAATATTCATGAATGGTGAAAAGAGAAAGGCATTGTTGAACTGATTTAGACAAGAGAAACACTTTGTAGATTATTAGAGAGCCTTGGAAGTTCCAGGGGACAAAACACGGGTCTCTCAATCATGGAAGCAGCAGAAGAGGCCTTTTAAAGAATATTAGACTCTCCAAGGTCAAGGTAAGTTCAGCCAGGCTATTAGCAATGGTGGACATGGTGGGATGGATTAGAATCTGGAAGATTACCAAATGAAACAATAATTTGTTTATGCTGAATATTATCCATGGCACAAAATCAACTTTATGGAAAAAGGAAAAAAGAAAAAGTCAGTGAAATAGAAACTGAAAAACAGAATTTGCACAGTCTTGCTTATTCTCATGGTGTGTGGAATTGAGGGCCTGATACAGCTGAACCTGGCCTCTTTCTGGATCAAACACTCTATGATGAAAATATAATAGACCGGTCCTTCCACTGGGGCCACAGTGGGGAAGTGGAAGGCTTGAGGCTGTCCTCAGTGCAAGCGAGCTCATTCTTATAAAAGTAACAGCATAGCACTGGTTCAACATGACTTTTGGTAAAACCTGATGATAACTTCCTCATTTTACTCCACAGACACAGAAAAGAGCTCACATTCTCTGGAAATCAGATAAACACAAAACAAAACATTAGAGTATTCCAATTCCCTTCTATATACAATGTTTTATACACCATTAAAAATTCAGAGGTGTGCAAAGTGACATGGGGCTCATGAACAAGAGGAAAAAAAAAGGACACTAACAGAATGTTCTTCTGGTTCCAGAATTCGAGCTAGCAAACAGAACTTTGAAGATAATTATTATAAAGATATTCAAGTATTTTTAGGGGGAAAAGGAAAGAACAAGTGAACAGATGAAGAATGAGAACAGAGAAAAGCAAGTTAGAAAAAGGAACCAAATGGAAATTCTAGATCACAAAGTTATAACATCTGAACTCCAAAAAATACATTGGATAGGCCGGACCACAGAATGGAGAATGCTGAAGAAAGATGATTAAATTTGAAAGTCTATCTGTAGAAACTATGTAAATTAAAGCTTAGAAAATAAAGATGAATAAAAACTGAGCTGTGTGCCAGTGTCAAGAGGCCCAACAGGCATGTAATCAGGTCGTCAGGAGAGAGTAGGGAAGAGAAAACCATCTGAAGAAAGAAAAGTGGAAATGTCACAAATCTGATGAAAAGCAACGGACAGGTACAAGACACTGAAGCCCCAAGGGGATAGATGCAAAAAAATCCACACCTATGCACATCATAAACTGTGAATACACTATCTTTCCTCCACTTTCTCCTCCACCTGGGTAAAAGTTATTCTAAATGTTGCATAAATCATTCCTGCTTTTTAAATAACTTTGCTGTATATATGATTTCTGGGTAATTCATTATTCAGTTGGTTTTTGACTAACAAATAAATGTAGATATACTATACACATTCTTCTGGAACTTGTTTTTTACTCATTTGGTTTTTGAGAAACATCTGAGATAAGTACACCTATAGTTCACTAACTTTCCTTCACATTTAATGTTCCATTTTATGACTGCCCCTTTTAACCATGTCATTTGTGATAGTTCCACATTTCTGCTCTTGCTGACATTGCTTTGCACATTTTTGTGTTTCTGGCAACAAGAACAATAATTCTTCTCAGGCAGCATTTTTCAAATTAAGAGTTTGATCCATTAGTGGATCATTAAATACATTTAATAGGTGGTGAAAATATTATTTAATTCAATAAATAAAATTCAGTGGAAGAGAAGGGAAGGGAAGACAGCAGAGAAAAGAGGAGAGGGGAGGAAAAAGAAAACAATAAAAATCAGATTGCATTGCACAAAGTAAGCAAAATTAATGTTTTGTGAAACTTTTATATAACTGTGTTTTGTCTTATGATATTAAATGTTTTCTGTTTTTTATCATTAAAAAAAGGTTGAAAGCTGTGAGTTGAATTTATATACTTTGGAGTGGGATTTCTAGCTTTCAGTAATGCCAATTTAGTTAAATAAACTAATTTGGTTAGATAATGCAAGTGACTTTGCTATGTAATGGTATCAATTTACACCCATAAGAGGTGTGTCTCAGAGCTTGCTTTGTCTAGGTTCTCAACAACTATCTTGTAGTTACAATAATAAAGCACTCTAATAATAACAATAACTATTTTTTACTAACTTCCAGAAATTTTCATGAGTGAGTTCACCTCTTTGGGTCTGTTTCTTCATCTGCAATAAGTAAAGTCTGCAATATGAGAATTTCTAAAGTCCCCGTGTAAAGTGTTTTGATTACAGAACACTTGTAAAAGAATCATATTGTCATTCTCAGGAAACAGCAGATGTGACTACTGGAGAGAAGGGCTATTGTGGTTTCATTGTTGTAACCATCACATAGTAGTCATTCAATTTGCCTGGATTAAATGAATGATTATGTGCTTTCCACTTGGTAAATATTTAACATATAAACATAGTCCTTTCCCTGGCAGTGGGAAAGGTGCCAGCTGAGCTTATCATTATCCTTGATCTGATTCAGTAACAAAGGTTTGTAAAACTTGCCAGTTATACATATGTTGGGTACTTACTGAATGCAGCATAATTCACTAAAATAAGCAACTAGTAGTTTCTTGTGACCATTGAACAATTCAAGTGACTTGAAAAATACCGATTTTCCACCAACTGCCAGATTGCTTAGGATTTCACCATGAAGATTTGGCTTGAATACAGATGAGTGGATAAATCTAGAAACACATTTATGAATGGAAAACAGAAGGATTATGATTGTGAAGCGAGGAGAAGGCTCATCACCTTGCTCCAGTGCCTGGCTAGGCTGTGTTACGCGTGCTGTCCACGATGCAACTGGAGCGGGCAGTGCCTCTCTCCCAAGCATCCTCACCCCCAGAGCTCTGTGTTCCGCAATGATGGGCCCTCTCTTTGTTCTCCACCTTCAAAGTGATTCACTCAGCTATATCCTAAAAGTACAAAGTCACCCAGCTCTGTCTAAAAATGCTTGAGGCTTGAACCGCCTGTTGGAATGCTCACTTTATTTGTGAGAGATCACGTTTATTGAGCATTCTCCTGTGCCATTATAAACCAACCAAGGAATCAAGAAACCATCCGTGAGTGAGGGTCAGAGCCTTGTCAGGAGCCGTTTCTGGAAGATGTGAGGGTGGCAACGTTGCATTTGCCAATGATAGTTTCTGTTCAGATGGCAACTTTGCCTCAGTATAATCCCAAATGACATGTCCAATTTCCCTTTCTCAACTCTTGAGTTTTTCCAGGGAGAAAATGTGGTTTTGCCCTTCTTTTAGAAAATTGATGTTTCTGTGCTTTTGCTTTGCTAGTGCATCTGAAAACATATGGACACTTCTGGCTAAAAAAAGAAAAGAAAGTCTTTTCTGATTCATTTGGCTGAAACATGAATTTTCCAAATTCAGTAAAAAACCCTTTTATGAGACACTTTCATCTACCATAGATTCCATTAGACCACGGAGCAGATCTTCTCCCGGGACACACAGTCATGCTGTCATCACAATTCCCAGTGTTCCGGAATGCTAGACACTTCCTGACCTTTACGTCTGATACATTCTTTGAGAGAACTTCTCCACCGACCCCGTCACCTGGATTGGATCACCGACCTCTCCCAAGAGGGGCCTGGCTTCCTCCTCGCTGGGGAAACGGTAGGGAGCTCCCCTAGGTAAAGCCTCTAGGGAGAGTGGCCAGGAGCCGGGTCAGGAAAGGCTCTGGTGCCCAAAGGGCTGCCCGCAGAGGCTGAGGTCCCTGCAAGTGCACAGGGAGGAGAGGTGAGATCAGATTCCAGCCGAGTCAGGCTTCCATGTCAGACTGCGTGTGTTTATGCAGAGGTGCAACTCAGGAATTACTGAGGAGAAAGTACAGGGCCAATTTAACCTCCTCTGAGAGACCTCTAACCCTGCTCATCACCACTCCTCGCTAAAAAGGGCCCTCTCCAGGGAAGAACCCAGAGGGAGAGCGGGAATTCTCCTCCCCTTGGAGGAAGAGTGCTTCCTCTACCCTTAATGTATCAACTGACAACAATTCAAACAGAAGGAAACTAGGATGTGACAAATAAAGGAAGCCTTTTCATGCTCTATGTCCACTGGCGTCGGGCAAGCCCCGGTGGAAGTCCAAGGAAAAGAGTCTAAGACCCAAACAGATGGTTTGCGCCAAAGTTCTGAAGTGTATCAGACGTGAATAAAGGTATGTTAATTCTAAAAGGAACTAAAATAGAAACATGATGTGGTTTAGACTCAGGTATTAAAAAATGAGCCATCTCAGAAGTGGAGACCAACTGAATATCTTCCTGTATAACTTCTTCTATAACTCTTCCATGCCTCTATGTTTGGTTGACTTTCACCAGTTTTCCCAGTCTCCAATGAACCTGATTCTATAGGCAGTTACTCTGTGTTCTTTTTGATGGGATTCTAAGAAGTGAAGAACAGCATAGGAACCAATTTGCTGTGTAAAATCAGAGAGAGCTCGACTCACTGTGGGTCAGAAACAAAGGGAGACTCTCCATTGAAAACAGGCTCCCTGAAAGCAGACATCAGCTATAAACTGGTTAGGAATTTATTATGAATTTCCTTTGCATTCTGAAGCAGAAGGCTTAAAATTAGGCTCTAAGTCGGAACCCACAGTACCATTTCCCACAGTATGACAAGTTTATATGGGCAACACATATACTTTAGAGTAATTTGATCGTCCCAGGCACTATCTGGAGTGCTTTACACATGTAGCTGCTTAGTCGTGGCCCCTCATGGCCTGGCCCTCTGGGTTGGAATGATGAGTTGCCAGAGGGTGAAGTCACTTTTGGATCATCACGAACACTGAGAGTCGAAAGACAATGCCAGAGGGTGACGTCACTTCCGGTTCATCACGAACACATGGAGAGTCGGAAGATGACCCTGGGCTTGTCTTCACATTTTCCGTGTTGTCACTTGCCGGTCCTTTGGAAGCCGACCCTAGATGTACACTGTCTTGCCGGGACCTTTCTCTTCTCTTCCCCTGTGACCACGCAGGTCTTCGATTCCCTGCCCCCTGCCCGAGGACCTGCCTCCTCCCTGCCCGAGGACCAAGCTTCAGAAGAACTGCACATGGGAGGAAATACCAACCGCTTAACTTCTTCAGAGACAACCTCTAACCCGGCTCACCACCACGCTAGCTAAAAAAGGGCCCTCTCCCAGGGAAGATCCCGGAGGAAGAGTGGGAATTCACCCTCCCCTTGGGGGAGGAGTGCTTTCTCTACCCTTAATTTATGAACTGAGAAAAATCCTAACAAGCCTACTATGAAATAAAGATGCCCTTAACCCATTTATGCCTAGTGTTCCATTATTGGAACGCTAAGCTTGTGGGAGTTATTTATATCCTACTGCTCAAAACCATTGCCAAGGTCTGATTTTTCACACAAAAAAATTTGCAACCTTCGGTATAAATGGGTTAATTCCAAAGCCTAAAGCAACCTAAGACATCTCAGTCCACAGTGAGCCCAGCCTCCAGCTGCAGGTGTTGGCTTCCACACAGCGCAGGACCAAGCAGTTTTGTGCTGAGTCCATCTCTGTGGCCACCGGCCACCCGGTGCTGGGGCTGGTCCCCAGCTCATCTGCACAGGGTTGGTGGAAGGGGCCAGAGGCAGCCTGGGCTCTGAATTCCACCCAGACCTGGGGAATAGGCCTGGTAGGGGAGTGAATGCCAGGGCCGCTGGTGGCCTTGGCTCTTCTGCACGGCAGCAACTGTGGTGGCCTGAGAATAAGGAGTTACCATAAGGACGTAGAGGTAGATCACCAGAGCCGCATCCACACCCAGAGATAGACTCACACATCTGTGGTGTGTTCATTTCAACAAAGGTGCAGAGAAAATTCCATGGAGGAAAAACAATAGCCTATCAACAAATGGTGTTAGAACGATTGGATATCTCACGCAAAAAATTAACTTTTATCTGTATCTCATGTTATGTAAAAATGGAACCAAAATAGATTATAAACATAATGTAGAATATAAAAGAAATTATGGTAAAAATCATAGGAAAAAAATCTGTGCGACCTTAGTTAGGCAAAGATATTTTAAATTTGACAGCAAAAGTACAATCCATAAAAGAAAAGAAACTGATAAATTGGACATACTCAAAGTGAAGCACATATGCTAGTCAGAAGACACTACTGTTAAGAGAATAAAAAATATAAGCCACAGATCTGGAGAAAACATTTGCAAACCATATATCTGAAAAAAATGGCTTGTACTTCACATCTAAAAAGACTCAAAAGTCAATAATAGGAAAGAAGAGACAATTTAAAATGGGCAAAATAGTTAAAAAGACAGATCAGCCAAGAAGATATATGGATGAAAATTAAACACATTAAATACATCCGATGTCAATAACCCTGCTCCCTACCGGTTAGACAGCTGATGTCAGAAAGGCCGACCCCATCGCGCGTGCGCGAGCACAAGTGGGCAGGAACAGGAAATGCCACGAGGACGCTGAATCAAACCTGCCTACGTGAAGGGCTGAAGACGCGACATTTCCTGACAGAGGTTGCTATGTCTAGCAGCATGAGCCTCTCCATGAAGGCATGAGGGGAGAAGACCTCTTCTCTACCTTGTCCCAGGTCTTCCAGGATTGGTGTCTCCTTTGAGAAGCAGGACTGCTTTTATAAGTAAGAAAAATATTGGTTCTTCATTTTCAAAATAACGTCTCAGCTACGTGTCCAAGTGTGTCACATTGCAACAACTGCCCAGCTGTGGGGCTGGTCTTGGGGAGCAGAGGGGACTGAGGGGCCTGCCTCATTACGAGCTGCACAGGAGGGCTGAGCTTGCATTAGCAGCTTCTCCCTCCAGTGCAGGAGAACGCATTAAGATTTACGGTTCATCTGAAAGTAGCTTAGAAAGAAACCATATGCTCTTATCATCTCTTGCAGAAGTTGCAGACAAGTTATTTAAAAATCTCGTTTTCTTAAACTGTCTTTATTGCAAAGAAAAGAGCCTCTGGGATCCACTTCAAGTAGTCATTGTGGAGGGTACAGCAAGCCAGCCCTGGGCTAAGCATTTACCCCACTAATTCACCACCACAGCAAGGTGGAGATCCTTGAGTTTTTGCCTGTGTTTCACAAATGAGGAATCCGAGGAGCAGAGACCTGAAGTGACCTGTCCAGGACACAAGAGTGAACCCGGGGACAAAGCCAACCCGCTCTGCTGGGGCTAGTGCCTTTCCACACTCCTCTGTTTCTATATTTAAACCGAGTGAAAGGAGACATGGAAAATACATTAGCCCATTTGGAGGTGAATTTGATACACTCTCATTTGTCATAGAGGGTAGAAAAAGATGGAAAAGAGAAACGGGCTGGTGGGGAGGAGGGAAGAGCAGAGACCAGGGCCTCAGCCCAACCTCCATCCGCTTCCCACTTTCTCTCCCTGTCCCTTTCCTGGAGGCCTTGCTTGCTCCTCACAAAGCTGTCATTCTTATGCCTTGCATGAATTTGGGTATTTTAACTTGTCTATTAAAAATATAAATCTGGCCCCATATATATGCTTAATTAATATTATCATGTATCCCCTTCAAAATACTCTGTGGCCAAAGTTTGTGCCCTTTTATGCAGGATCGGGAATGGATTCCCTAATAAATGTCTTGCATTTTTCCCATCACAAAATGTAGTTAAATTAGCGTCTCTTCATCCTAATTTTATTTCTCCATTTGGACAAAGCATCTTCACTTCCAACAGCTGAGCTTTTCAAAGATATTTATTTCTGTGTAGAATTAAAAAAAATTGAATATTACCATTTCTGAAAATAAGTAACTCAAAACTTTCCTTTAAAATTATTGCAAAAGTTTCATAAATTCAGTTAGATATATGCTTAGGGAAAATACAGAGTTTGAAGGAATTTTTAAAAGACCACATATTCTATAATTCTGTTTATATGAAAGTTTTAGAACAGGCAAACCCATGGAGACATCGAGTAGATTGGTGGTGGCCAGGGACTGGTGGAGGGAGGTGGCAGGCAAGAGAATGGCTGCTGACGGGTATGGGGTTCCTTTCAGAGTAAAAATGTTCTAAAATTACCTTGTGGTTGTGGTTGCACAGCACTGAGACTATACTAACTGGCATGTACGGTTTATTAATTATATTTCAACAAAGCTATTAAAATATTCAGTTTCCAAAAATATATCAGTGCATGTAATTGCAATATGTTTAGATCTACCGGAATTTAATGAAATCTAGTAAGTAATGTCTAGTTAATACACTTCCATGGGGATTTGCATTTTATATGTGTTTAAGTTACTCTTCTGAATTTTTTTTTTTCCAGTTCTTATCAATGCTTCACAAGGTTGGAATTCCAGCTGTTAAACTTACTATAGGCCAGGTGCAGTGGCTCACGCCTGTAATACCAGCACTTTGGGAGGCCAAGGCGGTCAGATCACTTGAGGCCAGGAGTTTGAGACAAGCTTGAGCAACATGGCAAAACCCTATCTACACTAAAAATACGAAAAAATAATTAGCTAGGTGTGCTGGCATGTGCTTGTAGTCCCAGCTACTTGGGAGGCTGAGGCAGGAGAACCACTTGAACCCAGGAAGTAGAGGCTGTAGTGAGCTGAGATCACGCCAGTGCACTCCAGCCTGGGCAACAGGAATGAAACCCTGTTTGAAGAAAACAAAACAAACAAAATCCAAAAAACTTACTATGTAGCCTTGGGCAAAGTGACTTTTCAAAGCCTTGTATTCTTTATTCTCAAATAATACAACCAGCACCTCCCCCATTACACACATACACCGGTGTACACACACACACAGACACACACAACCAGCACATAATTCTTTTTTGCAAAGACTTCTTAGAAAGATAAAAAAGAGATAAGTACTAGTTTTTCATACATATGTATGCTATGAGAACCAGTCAATAAAATAAAACAACAAATAATATACATTGTAGCTTCTTAAGAATCTTCAGCTTTTAAAGTCCCAAGTCTTTCCAGGGCTCCCAGAGCCCCAGTGACTCCTCACCAACAGAGATGGGATCCCGGAAGAGCCGGGATCATGATTGGAGGGAGAAAGATACGGAGACCCCAGTCTGTGCCAGAAGAATTTCCTGAATTAACGTTTTTATCAGGATGAAGTGTGGATTATCAAGTTTGTTAGAATAAATGGTAGGTTTCGGTGATTCTTTTAAGATGAAAATTGATTAGGATTGGGTAAAGCCTGTGGTGTGATCTTGTAAGGTTTGTGGACAGAAGACAAGAGTTTCGAAGTGAGCCTTCACAAGAACATTGCTACTTGGTAAATGAACTTTTTGCTCAGATTAGCAACATGTTGTCCTGATAGAGAGAAGTTTGCACAGATAAACAAACTGTCTTGATAAACTGAGTTATAGGAATGCCTTGAAACAAATATTAGAGTTTCATGCAAAATGTCACTTCATGTTTGAGTAAAATTACACAGAAAACCAACGTATATGTCACAAGACACTGATACCAAGAGTCTGGCTATCGCACAGAGACAGTGAGACCAAGCCTAGGAGTGATTCTGATTGTCAGAATGAGCCCCATTGTGAGAATATCAAACCAGAAATTAGACTCATGACAAGAAGCCACTAGGGATGAGCTAGTGGCTCATAATAGTAGGGGGAGGAACATTATAGACACCATTGCTGAGAGGCAGCAGGTGCCTGTTAACAGAAAAGAACCATACGTAGGCAACATGCCAAGAAAATGCCCAGGAAAACAGGGAAGGAAAGCCCCCAGATTCGAGGATGACACTCTAGAGCCAGTCATCTGGCACACTTGCAGTGGGTATTGGCGGAAACTTCACTTCTCACAATTTTCTCTTTCTTTTGAAATAAGTTGTCTTCATCTGCGTAATTTGGGTTCTCCAGAACATCATCTGCTCTGGTACATTCCTGACTATCTTTGCTGTAAATGTTTCTGACGGGACAGGGGACCAGGTGTTGTACCTGGGTGACATAACTCTCAGGTTAATTGTGGACTAGTGGCCAAAAGCAAAGTATGGTCTTCCTTCCATGTGAATCTAGGGCATGTTTTTTCTTTTCATCTTTTCTTATAAGACAACATTTCCAGGTCTTAGGTCTAGTGGAAGCTGCTTCGGAGCCATGGAGAAAAGGCAGCCTGCGCTGATTGACCATGAGCCTAAGTACACTGCATGAACCTTTGGAAGTACCTCTTCTATGTCTGCCTGAAGTAAGATAAAGTTGAAATTTTGGGGTAAATACTTTGCATAATGGCGAACCTGTGATAGTTTCACATGGTGAGAGTTTATAGGGCTCTCAGGGAGTGTGGACTCATGAGACTAGTGTGACATCTTTACCAGGGAAGCTACGCCAGATGCTTTGGATGGCTTTAGCTCTGTGGTGCCACTGGATGCCTCAAGGTTCTGAGCAGGCAGAAGGCTTCTTTCAGAGCTCTTCAGTGACAACTCCAGCAAAACTAGAACAATGAATTCATTCTTTACATTGGGAGCCAGCATAATTATGCTTATTTATATGTTTGCTTTCTCTACCATACAGTCCATAAATCTCCAACCAGTAAAACTCCAAGTAAATTCTGAGAAAAATTAAACAATGACCAGGACACAGTCAAAACTCATTATACAGTGTAGTCATATGAAATTCAAAAAGGGGCCCAGGTTCTGTGTGTAGAGGCTCGGGCTCCTGTGCTTTTTCCATTTTTCAGTTTTATCGGTGTCATGCTGTTGACCTGTAGACGTGCTCCAGGGTTGTGTTCAGCAAGTGTGGCAGTGTCCTCACTGGTATTGATTGAGTGCAGTGGCTGAGCCTTCTTTGCTGTCTGGGTAAATTATGTAAAATCATGTGCAAGCTTCTATTGGAGGTCCTCTGGCACCACCAAGTGGCTGGCCTGACAGCTCCCAGCCTGCCCGGCTGAGTTCCCCACCAGATTCACACTTCTCTTCTCTGATTCTGGAGCAACATTTCTGAGTTGTGTCATCATTTGTAATCAGTTAGATTCATTTGTCACAGTCATCCTTCTAGTTTGAGATTTCCTCAAATCCTAGTTGAGTTTTTATTTACTTTGCATACGATAAATTTGACTTTTTAGCTTTTCCATGTCTTTCCACAACACAGAAATGCAGTCAAAAATCTTCCACCCACTACCACACAGAACAGTTCCATCACTCATCAACCCATCCCCAAACCCTTAGAAGCCCTGCCCCCTTTTCCGTTCCTACATTTTTGCCTCCTCCAGGATGTTATATAAGTGGAACATGTAATATGCAGCCTTTGGGTGCTGCCTTTTTCACTTACCAAAATGCAGTTAAGATTCATCTACATCCTGTGAGTCGGTTACTCACTCCTTTCACTGTTGAGTAGCCTTACGTCGTGTGAACACACCACAGTCTGTTTCTCCACTCGTGTTGAAGGACAACTTGGTTGTTTCCAGTTTGAGGTGTTATGAATAAAACTGTTATAGACATCTGCAAATTGTTTTTTGTGTGAACACAGTTTTCCATTCACTTAGATAAACATCTAGGACAGGACTTTGTGGGCCATGAGATGATTGTATGTTTATCTTTATAAGAAATGGGCAATCTGTGATCCAGGGGGTGTGGACGTCCAAGTAGAATACTACTTTTGTATTCCCACCAGCAATGGGAATTCTTGTGGTTTCACATGCCTATCGACATTTGGTGTTGTCAATTTTATTTTAAGCTTTAACTTTAGTAGTACTTGAGGGTAATAGGGAGAGAGAGAAAAAATTCTGGATATAAGTACTTTATCAAATATGAAATTTGCAAGTAATAGCTCCAAGTCTGTGGCTTGCTTTTTTACCATATTTACAGGTCGTTTGCAAAGCAAACACTTTAAATTTTGTTAAAGTCAAATTTTAAAAATTCTTCTTTCATTGAGCATGCTTTTGGTACTGTATCTTAAAACTCACCACCAAAACCAAAGCCATGCAGCTTTTCTGTTATGTTTTTTTTCTAGAAGTTGTATGGTTTTGCATTTTACATTCAAATCTATAATCCACTATGAATTAATGTTTGTATATGGAAAAGGTATATATTGGTCCTATTTGGGACATTTGCATATCAAATGTTCCAACACAATTAACTGAAAGGATTCTCTTTCTTTCCTAACATGACTTGTACCTATGCCAAAAGTCACTTGTCAATATATGTCTGAGTCAATTTCTCTATTCTTACTTTTGTTCCATTGATTGCCTATCCCAGTGCCAATGCCACATTTTATTGTTTACTGTCACGTTATAGTGTCTTAAAATCAAGTTATGTGAGTACTTTACTTTTGTTGTTTTGTTCATTTTCCAGAATTTTGTTTTGTTTTTCTTGCAGAATTTTTGTGATTATTATAGTTTCTTTGCCTTTCTACATGAATTTTGATTCAGCTTGTTGTTATTTACAAAGTAGACTTGCTGGAATTTTATTGAGATTGCATTGCTCAAATCAGGGAAAATGGGAGAATGGACATCTTTGAAATATTAAGCCTCAAATCCATGAAACTGCATATTTCTTCATTTACTTAGATATTTCTTCCTTCTTTCATCAGTGTTTTGTAGTTTTCAGCATACAGACGCTGCACCTATTTTGTTATATTTATACCTAATGCTTCATTTATTTTAGTACGATTTAGTGCCTTTTAAATAGTATTGTGTATATTTGAGGTTTACAACATGATGCTATGAAATATAGATGGTAAAATGGTTACAGTGGTGAAACAGATTAACATATCTATTATCTCACATATTTTTTGTGACAAAGGCAGCTAAAATCTACTTATTTAACAAAAATCCTTAACATGGTATAATTTTATGAAGTTTGGCCCTCACGTTGTGCATCCAGTCTCCGGAACTGTTGTCCCACCTACCTTCTATGATATTTTGATCCCTTTGACCTACATCCCCCCATGTCCTCTTGCAACCCCCACCCATGGAAACACTGTTACACACTCTGTCTCTGTGTGTTTGAGGGTTTTTAAAAAAATATCTCACATATAAGTGAGATCATTCAATTGTTTTCTTTCTGTGTCTGGGTTATTTCACATAGAATCATGTCCTCCAGGCCCAGCCATGTTGTGCAAATGACATTTTTTTTAAAATTCAAATTCCAAATGTTCATTATTACAGGTAGAAACATTTTTAATTTTCATGTAAGTTGTTTCCTTTTGGGCATAGAGATGTTTGTAATATTACTGATTTTAGGTGTTTCCTGATTTCTATTACAAGCACTTAGTACTCTACATTTCCCTCAAAGCACTGCTTAGCTGCATCCTGATAATTTTGATATATTGTATTTTAATTTTTGATTCAAAATATTTTTAGTTTAGTGTAAGACTTCAGTTTTGACCCATCATTCATTTAGAAGTGTGTTGTTTATTTGCCATATATTCAGAGATTTTCCAGATATATTTTTGTTTATTTTCAGTTAATTTCATTATGGTTTCAGAACATACTTTGCTTGTTTTCTACTCTTTTTTCATGTTTAAGGTTTAGTCTATGGCACAGACTATCAGCTATCTTGGGAAATATTTCAATTTAAAGATATACTTTGCTGCTGTCTGGAGGAATTTTCTATAAATGCCAATAATAATTAGTTAATAGCATTTATGGAATAAAAATAGGACATAAGATTAGTGATCTTCTGTTTGGCAAAGTTTTCTTAAAGAGGACACAAGAAATTATACATTATAAATTTAAAAAAATGAAAATTATAATCTTTTATTCTTCAAAAGACATCATTAAAATTATTTAATAGACTGAAAGGAAGTATTTGCAAAATAAATATCTGAAAAAGAGCTTTTGTTCTGAATATATAAATAATTTATAACACAATGGTAAGAAAACAAACAACTCAGTACATTTGTGGACTGAGTTGGACAAATATTTTAATGGATATTTCAACAACAACAACAACAAGAAGAAAAGATGCACAAATGGCAAATCAGCAACGGAAAAGATGCTCAACAGTACTAGTCTTTAGGGAAAAGGAGGTTAAAACCATAAGAGCAATACCATTGCACTCGTGTGAGAATATCTAATATTTAAAAGTATGACCATAGCAAACGCTGGTGAGGATGCAGAGCAATTTCAACTCTTATACACTTCGGCTGAGAATGTAAACCGTTTTGGAAAACAGTGTGGTCAATTTATAAAACATTAAACATTCACCTACCATATGACTCAGATATTCTACTCCTAGAATTAATACATTTGAGACCCAAATTTTTGGATACAAATGCTCATATCATTTTTTATTTTTAATATAAAAATAATATATTAAATAATATATTAAATATATATATTAAATAATATAGAAAATAATATAAATGTCTATTAGCAGGTAAATGGGTAGATAAATTGTGCTGTGCTCATGCAACGGGCAACGACTCAGCCATAAAAAGGAACAAACTACTGGGGGACGCAATGAGTGGACGATGCACCCAAAATTGTCAGGTGAAATTAAAGCAGCCAGGTTAAAAGTAAGAAAGAGCATGCACTGCAAGACTCCATTTACATGAAATTCTGGAAAATGAAAACCATTTTACAGTGGCAGAAATCAAACTGACAGTTGCCTCAGGACAGGAACAGAGGGAGGAATGGACACCAAGGAACATGAGGAAGCCTTTTGCTTACAGAAACACATGTTTTCATGGGAAATCAATATGTCACTGTATCAGTATTCATCAATATATGCAACTTATTTTACAGCAATCATACCTCATTAAACATAAGATGAAATAAAGACATTTCAAGTCAGAGAAGAGTTGATCAATTTCCTGCCACAGAATGACATTAAACAGTAAAAGAAGTTTCTTGAGCTGAAAGAAAAGTCCAGAAGATCCTACAGGTAAGCAGAGATCATCAGGAAGGAATGAAGCACACTCCAGAAACTGTGAAAATAAGAAAAACTGTTTAAAACAACAACTGTAAAAATGTAGTGCAAGTTTTATAAGGTGTGCATAAGTAAAATTTTATATTATATTAGTGCAAAATGGAGTTAACTATTGGAAGCTTCTTGTATTTTCAGAGAAATATTAAAATTACTACTTTAAACATTAGCTACTCAAAGATGCTTAGGGTAGCTGCTAAGAGAATAATAAAATAATGTACTAAAATATAATGAAAAAGAAAAATCAGCACATGAAAATACTTGATTTATCTGAAAGGAATTAAGAAAAATGGAACAAAGAAATAAAAACAGACAAGAGAAATAGAATAGTAGGATGGTAGACTTACTTAAACACAATTATTTTAGTAATTAAATGTATAAAACTGAACAATCTAATCAGAAGACAAAGATGGTCTGTATGAAAAACCGAGAACCCAACAATATGAAATTTGCAGGAGGCACATTTTAGATAAAATCATACAGGCAGGCTGAAGATAAATGTCTATAGAGTGGGAGTCATGGACACATTGTGTTTAAGAGGCAGCTGAGGTAGCTATAGCACTACGAGACAGTTGAGTTTAATTAAGGCAAAAATATTCCTAAAGATAAAAGCTACATTTCATAAAAACAGGAAGATACAAAACTCATAATTGTGTGTACGTGCCTAATAACATTGCTACACATGTATAGAAAAAAAAAAGACTTAACTAAGCAGAAGAAGAGAAATATCCAAAAGCATAGTTGAGGATTTTAACACCTGTTTCAGAAGCTGAGAGAATAAACAAACCAAAAAAAAAAAAAAGTATAAAAATAGCCTTTAGGGACACAACTAAATGTTCCTAACTGGTGTATACAGAACACTGCACCCAACAACTGCAGTGTAAACTCTTTATCAAGGGAACAAGGAACATTTACCAAAACAGACTGGACCATAAAACACATCTCAACAAATTAAAAATAAAAAGATAAGTAAAATCACACAAATTATGTTTTCCTGCACAACACAATCACACTGTAACACAACAGAAAGATGACTGAAATAATCACACAAAACACTTCCACGCTGTTACGCATAGGAGCACGATGGATGTTGAAAATGTTTTGAATTGAAAAATAATAAAAAGTGTCGTATCAAAACATGAGGGACGAAGCTAGAGCAGTGCTTAGAGAAAATTGTATAGCTTCAGTTGCATATATTTAATAGGAAGAGTTTTGGAGTAAAGGCTCAGAGCTTCTGCCCCCCGAAACTAGGAAAAGAACTGCAAATTAAACCCAAAGATATAAGGAAGGAAATTATAAACTAAGTTGGAAAACTAAGAATTTTCTGATTTGAGCAGGTGATCGTTTGATTTTTCATTGCTCCAATTAAAAAGCAACCAAAATTCTTTTTTAATAGTTCTAATTAAAAAGCAGCCCAAACTGTTTTTAACTCACACACTTACATGTTCCAGCCATCGTGTTGAGCTTGCAAGAAATATCAAGCACAGTCTATCTGAGGAGTCAAAACGAACCCATTAAACCTTCAATAACAGCACAAGAGAGTAAGGGATACAAGAGTTTCCACAAGGCGACTTTAAAGAAAACGATAAATCCTGTTGTGAACCATCCGACATTGCAGAGGGGGTGTGTGAGCACAGCTGGGCTGGTGAGGGGCGGCTCCCGCCTTGCTTTGCCGGGGCTGCTCTTGGGACACTGAGCGGGTCTGGCTGTGCTGCCATCTGTCCTGTCGGGAACAGGTCTGACACGTCCACCCAAGAACTGTTGGCTTCTTGTCTATTTTTAAAAGCTAAAGCAATTTCTTTGATCTTCCTACCACCACAGCCCTGCTTCGGGATGGGAAAGGTAAAAGTTGCTCTCCCCACTGTAAAGACGAAGAAAGTGGGATGTGGAAAGGTGATAACCCTGCACACAGCACAGTCAGAGTCAAGACTCAGGACAATCTCCCACCCTGCTCCTGTCCCCTTATAGCAATGGTACTTGGAGCTCAGAAGGAGGAGAGGAAGCTGCGGCTTGGAGACCGTTCAGAGGCAGCCGTGGAAAATCCCGGCTTGAGCTGGACTGGGCAGCTGGCGAGTGCCGGGGCAGAAAAGCGCGCAGGCCGGGCCAGTGGGGGAGCACACGCAGCTGCACACAGGACAGAAGGCCCACGCATCTCAAGATGCGCACATGCATTCGGTTTCTTCCTGCATAAAGTCACTGACTAGGTAAATCTGCCATGTTTAGTCATCACCAGCTGCATCAGTGCTGCAGAGTTTGGCCTACATATGCGTTCTATCACCCAGGAGACTTGGATAGAGATGCTGGCTCCGTCGTGGCAACTTCACACTGCAGGATTGAAATCACAGGGGTTCTTCACAGAAGGGTGCAGGGGTCTGGGTGTGAGCAAGGCTGAGAGGCCAGAGCCACGGCCTCCAGGGCTGCACAGCCTGTGCAACTCACTCTGGCCATTTGTGCTTAGGCCAGCAATAACCTCCCTCGGCAGAGGGACATCAATCTTGTTTTAATATGCCATGAATCTTTTGTTATTCCTGACTGTTGACTAGACATAGATTATTGCCATATTATATGCCATATTGCAAATAACAATAAATAACCAGGCTCTATCACTGTGGTGAAATGCAAATCCTAGATTTAAAACTGTTTTTCAACATAAAGTCATGGGAATGGAAGTTCAAGCGCCAAAACAAAGTTATATAACAGGAATAATAAATTAAAGATGTCAAGCAGCAGATGCGGAGAGAGAAAGCACACACACTCACTTACGCCTGCTGGAGCCACAAAAGCTAAGGCCGCTGCCACAGTTTATTTGAAATGTATAAGCACGTATAACTCCCAAACCTGGCAAATCACTGCTTAGGCATTTTGACAAGCATTTAGATAAACAGAAAGAATTAGCTGTTGTAGTTCATTTTTTTAATAACTGGCTCAACAAACAAAAGAAAAATACTGAAAGTTTCACAGCTGAGGCTGCAGGAATTAGGGCAGTAACAGTGCTCACAATTGTCAGGTTCTGTGACTCAGAGGAATCATAACACTGAAAGCAATCCATGGACTAAGTGCCAAGAAATATGCAGTAACTTTCACTGCTCCTTTGCTCTAATACATACATCTCATAGCTGCTTTGAAGGGATGTATTCCTTATTTTCATGTTTCATGAAATTTTATAATTGTTAAAGTTTTCTAATCCCTGCCCTGACATTACTGGCTGTTTGATCTTGGGCAATTTAGTTCCTTTCTCAAAGCCTCTCTTTGCTGATTTCTAAGATGAAATAATAGTGTCCACCTTATAAAAATACCATGAGCATTTATAGAAACGATGCATTTAACACCATCTCGGTATGGGGCTTTCCAGTTAGAAGATCTTTACCAATTCAGCTTTTATTGTTTACAGTTTATGGTGTCATGTATGATCTGCTTTCTTCGTTAGCTACTCACTTTTGTTAAGTTATAAATTACGCTTTTCTATGTGACGTAAGCCAGGATAAAGGGAACCCAGAGCATTGCGGTGGGAAGTGGATATATTCTAACTTTAAAGAAAATGACCAGACTTGGGAGTGAGGGTGTGATCTGGTGTGGGGTCCTGATTAGGAAAAGGAGCCAGGCTAGGGGGAGCAGGGAAAGCAAAAAGACAAAGCAGATAAACTACAAATCTGCCTTTCTTCATGGTCCAGGACACACAGCCCTCCTGCGCAAATAGCCCATCTAACACACAATCTCCCTATGCCTGACTTACCAGCAGACACCTCAGCTGACAGAAAAATGCAGGTTCGCTCACTGCAATCTTAGTGTTACCAGTACTGCACGTATTCCTCTCCAGCACAAGCACCATCCTGTAAAATACCCAGCAAGCTTTTGTCTCCTGGAACTCAGCTCCTTTCTTGCTGATCTACCCATTGCATCCTTGCAACATATTTTCATACTTTCTTTAACAAATCCACCTTCCTTTACCTTGTAGGTAAAGGTAAACTGCCTTTGTAAATCCCTTTACTGTATGCACCACTGCCCCCAGTTAGTCACTACCCACAACACTCGATCCTTCTGTTTAGGAAGCCTGGAGAGTGATGCACATGGATATCTGGAAGCACATTCTAGGTAGAAATGATGGCAACTTCAAATTCATGCTTGTTGTTAAAGTGATAGGAAGGAGGACCACCTGGCCAGGCCACGAAAACAACAACAGGCAGGTGCATAGCAAGAAAATAAGTGCCCTAGCAGGAAGCAGATGGCACATTCAAAAGAGAAGTATGGAGGTGTGATCAGTTAAGCAAACCATTCCAAACCCTTGGCCTGAAGCAAGGCGAGGTATAACCATGGAGCCCCGCAAGAGCCTGCCTGGGCTGTAGGGAGCCCACTGGACAGGATCTGTGGACACAAAGAAGAGCAACCCTTGCCAACACCTGGCCGAGGAGAAGGGAGAAAGAGAGACTTCCCCAGCTTCACCCTTCTCCCACATCCTGACTTCCTCCTGGTGTTTCCAGTTCTAAAGCCAGCTGAAAACGGAAAGCAAGGAGCCTGCACCTAAAGGTCATGAGGTTCAGCCTCCTGGCACGTAGCAGTGGGGAAGAACGGAGAGCTCTCTGAGACTGGCGGACAGGACACGGCCAGCATTAGATAGAGAAGGAGAGGTTGTGGGATGTATTACACGAGATCTTGAAAACCCTGCAAGAGATTTCACCCTGATGGAGTGGGAAGCCGTAGGAGACACAGTCAGGAGAGGGACTGCATCCGACTCAGACTTAACAAGGTCCTTCTGGCTGATGTGTTGAAAAGGGCAGAAGAGAGAAACCGGTGAAGCAGGATCATATTAGGAGGCTGCTACCATCATCAAATGAGAGGGACAACAGCCTAAGAAGATGGCTAGCTGGAATAATGCAAAGGAGAGGTTAGATTCTTGATATGCTCTGACGGTAGCACCAACTGGACTTGCCAATGATTGGATCTGAGTAATGAGATAAGGAGAGGCATCAAAAGGCGACTCCAGGATCTCTGACTGGAGTGGCTGGAAGGGAGAAGTCATCACTAACAAATGTGAGGGATCTGCAGGAGGAACTAGCGTGCAGGGAAGATGGAAAGTGGTTTGGACATGTTGAGTTTGAGGTGTTCACGTAGCAAAATAGAGACTTTAATGAAGCAAGCTGATACAAGCCTGAAGTTCAAGAAAGAGGTTAAGTCTCAATATATTAATTTAGGAATACTCAGCAAGACAGAACCTAGATTCCTACAGTCACAGAGCACATATGCATATGTGTAAGTGTGTATGCCCAGCACAACGTCAGCTCTACATAAATCTTTGATATTATTTTTATTCTTAATTCTTCTTCTTTCCCTTCAGTACACTCAATTAGGATTTATACACTATTTTTTGTTTTGCTAAAATAAACCCTGACATTCTGTGAGACTATAGCTTTAGCAGAATTTCTGACCTGTTCAAGCTGATATAGACCTGTTTCTTCCTGCTCACACCAATAACTATGACTAGAAACTCTGAAAATACTGCAAGAAACAACCAAAGGAGAACTCTGAATGGTGGCTGGATAAAGGTGAAAATGGTTTGGTACCTAAGGACTAAAAAAGAGGAAAACATGAGCACAGTGGCAGGGCATCTGATATACCCCTACCCATACAAGAAGGAGACCCAGAGGCGTCATTTCCAGACCCTCAACCAATGGCAGAACCAAGCCCAGGTAGATGTGCAAGTGATAAACATCATTATTACAAACATTTTCTCAGGCTGTTATCTTTTTATCTTGGATGCTTTTCCTTAGAGATGCTTTACAATGGAATGTTGTTCTAATCTGTGGATCACTGACTTTCCATGCCGTGGTGGTTTTGAAAACTTTAGTCGTATTTAGACATGCTTTTCTCATTGCACAGATTAGCTGAGTTAATGTGTGCACAACTAACGGGGGAAGGACGATTCGAGCTGAATCCCACAGCGCAACACACACCTGTAGGTAATGAAAACAAAGAAAAAACATCTTGAAATTGGCCAGAAAGAAACCCATTACCTATAGGTGAACAGCAGTTAAAATATAAAGGATTTATCACCTGAAATAATGAAAGCCAGAAAGAAGCAGCCCAATATTTTTTTCTTGTTTTTCCCATACCATTTAACTGCTGAATGAAAAGAACTTTCAACTCCAAATAAAGACATACTCAGATGAAAGAAAAGTAGAAAGAAAATTGTTGCTCGCAGAAACAGAGATAAGCCCTAATATATCAATAATTATATAAAATGAAAATGGCCTAAATACATCAATCAAAATACACAGATTGGCAGAGTAAATAAAGAAAATACCACTCACCTATATGCACCTTATTAGAAACTCACTTCACATTCAATTATATGGCTCGTTTGAAAGGAGGAGGATGAACAAAGACAGACCATGCAGCATTAATCTAAAAATCAGAAGTGACTCTATTAATATCTAATAAAGTCGACTTCAGAGCAAAGGAAATTACTAGAGACAAAGAGGGACAGTACAAAAATGATAAAAAGATAAATCTACCAGGAAGTTATAATAATTCTAAATGTATATGCACCAAACAACAGCACCTTAAAATACATGAATCAACAACTGAAAGGAGAAATAGACCAATCAAACATTATGGTTGTAGATTTTAATACCTCTCTCTCAGCAACTGAAAAATAAGCAGAAAAACAGCCAGGATATATAGGATCTGAATAACACAGTCAATTAACAGTATCTAATTGACATAAGCAATACATTGCCTATGACAACAGCAGGATATACATGTTTACAGGTGTCCACGGAACATTCACTAAGATAGACCACATCCTGAGACATAAAACAAACTTCAATACATTTAAAAATTGTAGTCATATAGTCTATTATCTGACATAATGAAAGCGAACTAGAAATCAATCACTAAAAATCAACAGGAAAATATTTAAACATAAGGAAATTAAGCAACAGACTTTTAAATAATCCACGTGTCAAGAAAAAGTCTCCAAAAGTTTAAGAAACACATAGAATAGAATGAAAATGAAAACACAGCATTTCAAAATATGTGCAGCAGCTAAAGCAGTGCTAAGAGGGAAATCTATAACATGAATTGCTTATACTACAAAACAGTAACGGTCTCAAATCAATTATCTAAGTGAGTGCCTCAAAAAAGTAGAAAAGTAGAACAAAATAAACTAAAATCAAGTAGATAGAAGGAAATAATAGGGAGCAAAATCTGTGAAACTGAAATAGAAATTTAATAGAAAAAATTAACAAAACCTAAAGCTGTTTCTTCAAAAAAAAAATCAACAAAGTTAATAGACTCTAGCAATACTGACAAAAGAAAAAAGAGAAGATACAAACCAGAAATATCAGGAGTGAAATAAGTGATATCACTACAGATCCTACCATGATCTAAATAAAATAAAGGACTGCAACAACCAATTTATGTTCATAAATTTGACACTTGGAAGAAATAAACCAATTCCTTGAAAATCACAAACTGAAAAATCTCAACCAAGATGAAATAGATAATTGGAAGAGTTTTATAAACATTAAAGACATCGAAGCCTAACTAAAAATCTCCCAAAAAGAGATTTTCAGGCCCACATGATTTCACTGGAGGATTCTAACAGACATTTAAAGAAGAGCTAACAGCAATTTTATACAACCTCTTCCAGAAAATAAAGAGGGGAAAACTTTTCAACTTATTTTATAAGCTCAGAATTATCCTGATACCAAAACCACCAAAGAAAATACAAGAAAAGAAATCTATAACTTAAACCTTTTCAAGAGGAAGACTAGACTTTGGCATTAGGAAATTTTCATTTCACTAACCATTCTTCCAATTTATTTGCAATTGTTTCCTTGTATTTTAGTTGCATATCTTTTAAAATCCCAAGATATATTATTTTATTATTATTTATATCATTATGGTTGTTTACATTTAGTCACATAATTATCACTCTCTTTTCTCTTACTTGTTTGTAGGATTATTTTCTCCTTACTGAAATCCTTCAAAATAATCATTTAGCACTATATTTAATAATAATGTTCTCCCTATAGGTGACTCAGTTTTTTGTTATCTAAAATGTCTTTATATTGCTATAATTCTTGAAGCTAATTTTGCTAGGTACACCATCTTCAGTTGGTACTTCTTTTCTTACAGTGCTTGGAAAAGGTTATTCTTCTGTCTCCTAATTCTCATTGTTTCTGTTCACTAATCTTCAGGCAGTTGAATTATTTCATTAGAGATGTTTCTCATGTCTCTGTAGCTGCATTTAAGATCTTCTCTTTGTTTTTGCTGTTCTGAAGTTTTATTAGAATATGCATAAGTGTGGATTTTTTTATTTTCTTAGTATTAGTTCTTCCATAATATGGCTTTCATGCCATTCCCTTTACTCTTTCATCTGTGGCACAGCTTAAACTTAAGCTAGAGTTTTTCAATTGACTTTTTATATATCTTAACCTCTTTTATATTTACCATCTCATTATATTTCTGGGTATCTCTGTGTAATTTCTTCAGAGAAATCTTCTATTTTACTTCTCTCGTCATTCATTTTAACAACTATTGAGTTTTTAATTCACTGATTTTTTTTATTTCTAAAAGTTATCTATTCTAATTATGTCTGGTTATTTTTAATATTCTCTTTCCTTGGGCTCATTTTTGGTTTGCTTTCTGTGACTCTCATTCCTGGTGCCACTCTTTCAGGTTTTTCTGGTAATTTTTAATCGTTAGCTTCTTTGTGGTTCGCCCTGCTACACAGACATACAAAATGGGCCAAAGAAATGCTCTTCTTCAGAGAGGATTTGCATTTGCTTCTGTTAGAAACCAGGGAATACCGTTAGTTTAGGAGCACTCTGGGTGCTAGGAATCTTCAAGGAGCTCTGACATAAGTCTCTGGTGCTAGGACGTGCAGGGTAGTGGCCGTCTTCACTCAAGCCTCAGCTGGGCTCATACACATCCAAATGTATCTGAAAGATTGATGGGAGGCGCCTGCTAAAATCTTGTTTGAAAAAGAATCTAGGAGCCTCCTGGGAAAGAACTTATCCCAAAGGAAATAAAAGCAGGAGTGATAACTGCCAGTCAGTGGGTCTAGGTGGTCAGGGGTAGAGGACTGTCAGTGGAGAGCACTGTCTGTCATCCACCCATCTCCCCTTGTCCAGCCCCAGCTGGCCCCTGCATGTCTCTCGTGGAAGTGGAAGTGCAGCAGGACCCAGGCCTGGGCAGCTGTGATGCAGATTGCATTCTTGCAGGTGTTAAAACTGTGCATCTGGATATACAGCTCAGACAGCCTCTGCCGTCACCCCAGAGGTTCAGTCACCACTCCAGCTCTCACCCCTCAGTGAAGGTGTTGCTGCCCATGCTCAGTAGGACATTGAGCTTTTCAAGAGGACCTCAGATATCCTTCCACAGTGTAGATACAAATACTCTGTCCTCAGTCAAGGCCTGCTGCATATCGGGAGCAGTACAGTCTGGTGCTTTGGACCAGGGGTCAGCACACTTTTCCTTTAAAGGACCAAAATATGTATTTTAGGCTTTGCGGTCTTGCTTGCAATTATTCAACTCAGCGGCTACAGCTTTGCAAGCAGCTACAGACAATGTCTATGTGGAGTGAATGCCTGTGGCTGTGTGCCAGTAAAACTATTGACCGAAACATTTGTGGGGTGGGCGGCAATGACCACAGGCGCCAGCCCCTAGTTTAGGGGCAGATTCAGGAGCTGCCCTGCTGGGTTCACCCGATGCCTCCCAGTCTGTTGCTGTCCCGTGGGTGACTTTGTTCCTCTGTGGCTCGGTGTCCCTGTCAGCAGCACGTGCTTAAGAGCCGCACCTGCCTCCTTGGGTTCTCCTGAGGTCTGAAGGGTGCAGGACAGTCATGGTGAACAGCATGCTGTGTCCAGTCCCATCAGTCCCTACGTCTGAGGTCTTAAGCAGCCCACTTCACTTCTCTGAATCTCAGCTTCTTCTGCATAATGAAGAAAACAACAGTAACTTTCTCAAAATCGTGGGGGAAACCATGGCCACAGCACGTACTACTGCGCCTGGAATACAGATCTTTACACTTTTGTCACAATGAATGGGAGGAGGAAGAGTGAGACCGCCAGGCACAGAGCTCAGGTGTGTTCCTGGAGAGGATGGACATGCCTGTGAGCCGAAGGAAAGCGAGGAACTGGTGGGCGGTGCCTGGGCTGCTGGGGTGTCTTGGCCTTCCCGGCCTAGGTCACAGGGCGGCATGTCTCAGCCAGCGGGAGGAGCCTCAGGCATCGCTTAGGAGCCTCTGTGCGTCCACGTGGCCTTAGTGCTACTGGCGGGAGGCCCACTCCTCTGGTCCCCAGGGCCATGAATCTGACCCACAGGGAGGCCAGCCGGCACACAGCATGGTGCAGGGTTTCTCTAAGGGACAAGGTGTCAGATGGAGACCGTGGGGTGCAGAGCTACAAGAGCTGAGGGACGACTGAGTGAGCAGGAGGAACATGCACTCCAGACCCCTTGGCCAGCAGAAGGCACTGCCTCCTTGACAGTACACACAGCCAAGAATCGGGGACTGGGAGGAAAAGACATGACTTCAGGAACCACACGAGGCAGTCTGCACCTTGGGTGTTCCCACCATCCCCCATCCACCACAGGAGGGCTGACTGCACACCTGACCCCGTGCACCTGGTGTTCCCACCACCTTCCATCACAGGAGGGCTGACTGCACACCCCAGACCCCGTGTACCTGGTGTTCCCACCACCTTCCATCACAGGAGAGCTGACTGCACACCTGACCCCGTGTACCTGGTGTTCCCACCACCTTCCATCACAGGAGGGCTGACTGCACACCTGACCCCGTGTACCTGGTGTTCCCACCACCTTCCATCACAGGAGGGCTGACTGCACACCTGACCCCGTGTACCTGGTGTTCCCACCACCTTCCATCACAGGAGGGCTGATGGGACACCTGACCCCGTGTACCTGGTGTTCCCACCACCTTCCATCACAGGAGGGCTGACTGCACACCTGACCCCGTGTACCTGGTGTTCCCACCACCTTCCATCACAGGAGGGCTGACGGCACACCTGACCCCGTGTACCTGGTGTTCCCACCACCTTCCATCACAGGAGGGCTGACGGCACACCTGACCCCGTGTACCTGGTGTTCCCACCACCTTCCATCACAGGAGGGCTGATGGGACACCTGACCCCGTGTACCTGGTGTTCCCACCACCTTCCATCACAGGAGGGCTGAGTGCACACCCCAGACCCTGTGCACCTGGTGTTCCCACCACACTCCATCACAAGAGAGCTGACTGCACACCCCAGACCCCGTGTACCTGGTGTTCCCACCACCTTCCATCACAGGAGGGCTGAGTGCACACCTGACCCCGTGTACCTGGTGTTCCCACCACCTTCCATCACAGGAGGGCTGACTGCACACCTGACCCCGTGTACCTGGTGTTCCCATCACCTTCCATCACAGGAGGGCTGACTGCACACCGCAGACCCTGTGCACCGGGCAGCCCCGCAGTGGCATACATAGTGAGGAATAACGGAGGGCATTTAAGGGACTGCGTTATATTTTAAACTGCATAGAAAAAAGGGATTTTAAAATGTACTCCAGCCCCTAAGGGAAGCCTTTTGATAAATATCAATTTAGTTCTAAGCTCAATACGGGGGCTCTGTAGTCCCTGTTCCTCCAAACTCTGTAAAATGTGTGCTTCTGCTTCTCCAATGGCACCAACACTTGAGAGGCCATCCAGGCACAAGTGTACAGCCTTGGTTTCCTCTGATAGTGCCTGACCCAGAGAGATGAGGGAGGCAAGGGAGGTCTCCACTCTCACGTCCAGCCAGGCAGCCTTCTGCTCTGGAATCTGGGGAATTGTGCCAGTGCAGATAGGAGTTATGGCTCCATAGCTAGTTGGCTCAAACTGTTTCCAAGTCTGTGTGAGAGAGTCATCTTGCAGAGGGCCAAGATGTCTTCAACTCCCGTACAATCTGGGCTTTTATTGTTAGCCTGACCCTGTCTCTTTATTCACAGGTTAATGAGGCATCCTGGGTTATCCTGATGCTGTGATTTTATAATTGTGTGTATGTGTGTGTGTGTGTTATAGAATCCTTACTTCAAACACAAATGGAAGCCCAATGTATAAAAACAGATCCAGTACTTTGCTTCCCTCTCTCCTTGCTGTCCCTTCCTCCACCCTCTTCAGTGGCTCTCAGAGGAGCAGTGTGTAAGGCACACGGTCTCTTGACCATGGATGAGAACCATGACCCCAGCATGATGTTATCCAGTGGAGGGCAGGACGTGTCACCAATGGCAGCCACAGGAAGTGTCAGGGCATCCCTGTTATGCCCAGTAGGATCTGCCCAGAGCTTCAACTCCAAATACAAAGTGTGTCTTCTCATCCAGTGGGGTTTAAGTTGCATTTCTATAACCACAAATATATAACAAACCTGCAAAGGCAACTCAAAAAGGGATAGAGACCGAGACAGAGAAAACCAGAACAGCACAGAGCCACCTTCTTCAGGGAAAACTGCAGAGAAGAAAAGGTTCCCCATCATGAAACTGATTAAAAAGCTGCTCCTTCAACACCACACTTGGAAAGTGTGCAGGAGCCATCGCCAAGGATGTTCTGTCATTTCTGGTAAGAGAAACAGCAGGCAAAGCAGCCCAAACCGTAAATACCAGACACATGCTTTTACAGCTACTTTCTGACACGGGTATGTGTCATTGAGATGGGCACAGCATAGGTGGGTATTAAACAGGGTGGGTGCATTGGACACCATTGAGATGGACATGTCATAGGTGGGTATTAAGCAGGGTGCGTGCATTGGATACAGTTCTGATTCCACTGTGCCTCTGGGTGCATTGGATACAGTTCCGATTCCACTGTGCACGTGGGTGCATTGGATACAGTTCCGATTCCACTGTGCACGTGGGTGCATTGGATACAGTTCCGATTCCACTGTGCGTGTGGGTGCATTGGATACAGTTCCGATTCCACTGTGCATGACCCATCAAGGCTTGGGGCACAGAATCCTTCCACACATTTTTCATGAGAAACCAAGACTAAGTGGATTATGCCCAATTACCACAAATATGTGCTTAACGGGAACATGTTTAAGTGGCACAAATACCAAGCTAAGTAGTGCCTTCCTGCGGTGTTTATAGGAATGGGGTCAAAACAGGCTAGGACTGCACTGCAGAGGACCAACATGAGTGACAACAGTCACCTCACACATGAAAAGCAGTTCACGCGTTTTATTTATTAATAGTCGTCTCCGAATGCTGCGTGCGTTTACTTTTCAGGAGAACTTTTCCATGGCTTTCCCACACTCCCTGACAGCACGAGCCGGGTTTTTCTTCTTTGCAGAGCTGCACGCCTGGTGGAGAGGACATAGCAGGCACCTGGTAAACATGGATCAGACGCCCCATGAGAGGATCCAACCCATCAGCACTGATGACGATTTAGGCTTTGTCACTGGAAGTTTGTAAAACCCCAGTTTTAATGAAATCTTGGGCTTCTCCTGAATGAAATGGGTGAAAGTCTGAATCCACCAAGACTTTTGGTTAAAGCTAAACAAGGACAGGAGCCCCGAGTTTATTTGTAAATAGTGGAGAACACTCTCCTGGGATAAAGGGCAGAGAGAAAAATGAGACCACGAGGCAAGAAAGTGTGGAAAGCGTTGTTGCCACCTCTGCTTCTCTTCCTGCTGGTCTCTCCACATTCTGCTCATTAACAGACCTTCCTTCACCACCGCTGGGTGCTTCATCCTCAGGGTCACTCGCAGAGGCTGCCAGCTGTACCAGGCACCAGGCAAGGATCCCTAGGGTCAGTCACAGATGTTGCCAGCTGCAGCTGGGCACCAGGCAAGGAAGAGCTGCTGGCCAAAGACCCTGGCACTCAGCAGTGAACGGCTCCCACTGATGGCTGGGTCTCCACCTCCTTTGCTGTAACTCTGTCAGTTACATGGGAATTCAGAATGAAAGGAAAACTACCAGCAGGATGAGAGGTTAGAATGGCTTCTCAGGATTGATTGATTTTGCCTTGAACCTATAAAAGGTCATTTTAATGCCAGGTCACTTAACTCTTCTGGAGGACGGTCAAACTCTCTGCAAGCTCTGGACAGGAGAGAGAGAATAATGCTGTCCACTCAGGTCATGTTGACATTTACCAAGTGAGAAATAGCCTCCTGTTTCTCAGTAGGGAACATACGTTTAACTCTTCGCTGGGCAAATCACACCCGAGTGAAATGTGGCTCTGTGTCTTGGGCCCCTGGCATCTGAACACTAGTTTGTGACACTCTCCCACAGCTGCGCCTTTGCTGACCCTCTCTTACAGCGGAGGTGAGACAGCTGTTTTCGTGTGATGGATTTATTAACAAAGAAGTGAACCCATCCCGCGTCATGGGTGAACGTGTCCAGCATCCTGGGGCCCAGCGGCTGTGGGCATAAGCCCTCCTGATCCTCAGCTTTCATGAGTACAAGTCCCATCTCGAGTTTCTCAACAGCCAATTATGGATTTTCTCTTTTCCTCCAACAAACCAGATATTATCGAATCATAAGATGACAAGATATGTTAGAATTTTCATGCAGTTACATCAGAACTTTTTAACCAGTTGGCTTATAAAATAATCTATTTTAAAATCCAGACTTTTTAAAATATAAAGCTTGGCTTTATATTCTGTTTAGTGGATGCAAAGGATCTTAAGTTACGGGCTTTCTTTTAGAAAATATTTAGTGTATGTTGGGAATAATATCAGCTCCTGAGTCAGACAGACCTGGTGTAAAGCACAGCCCTGCCACTGACTAACTGTGCATCAGACAACTTAGTTTATTACTGAGCTTCAATTTTCCTGTGTGCAAAAAGGAAGTAACAAAGTCTACCTTAGAGAAGCATTTCTTATGTTCTGAACAGATGTTTCCTTTTACTGCAATCCAGAAGATCTTAATTCGGAACTGAGAATCAGAATTACCTGGAGCACTTGTAAAAATGCAGAATCCTTAATTTCCTTGCTAACCTGAGTTTTTAAAGAGGAAATTAATGTAAGCAAAAAAATATTTTCAGAGTAAGTGGGCCGGGCGCAGTGGGTCACGCCTGTAATCCCAGCACTTTGGGAGGCGGAGTCAGGTGGATAGCTTGAGTCCAGGAGGTTGAGGCTACAGTGAGCTGTGATTGCGCCACTGCATTCTAGCCCGGGCGACAAAGCCAGGCTCTGTCATCTTAAAGTAAAAAAAAAAAAAAAAAAAAAAAAAAAAAGAATAAATAAACTTGTAAAGAAGTGTTCGGCCTTATTATCAAGATGTTGAGGTACCATTTTATCTTTTTTGTTTCTGTTTTTGAGAGAGTCTTGCTCTGTTGCCCAGGCTGGAGCACAGTGGCGCGACGTCGGCTCACTGCAACCTCTGCCTCCCATTTTGAAGCAATTCTTCTGCCTCAGCCTCCCCAATAGCTGAGACTACAGGCGCAGGCCTCCACGCCTGGGTAATTTTTGTATTTTTAGTAGAGACGGGGTTTCACCATGTTGGGCAGGCTGGTCTAGAACTCCTGACCTCATGTGATCCACCTGCCTCGGCCTCCCAAAGTGCTGAGATTACAGGCGTGAGCCACCGTGCCCAGCTCCACTTTATCTTAAATAAGTCACTGTACTGTAGTAACCAACATTGTTGCAATCTGGTAGACATCCGTGTTAAGTTCTTTCAATGATTTGAGCAAATTGGACCTTCCAGCATTTAACTTCAGACATCTCTTCAGTCCTGGCCCTGCCGGAGGCCAGCTGCTCAGGTGGCCGGCCCCACTGCTGGGGAATGAGTGAGGTGCCCACAGAGAGGGTGTCTCGGATACTGGATGTGGAATGCATCTGTACTGCCAGGCATGCAGTAGGCATGCAGTGAGTCATGATTTAATTACAGGATTATTTAAACTGAAGTTTCCCAATCCTTCCAAAGAGCCCCTCCCGACTTGCTCAGGCTCAGCTCTCTAAGGGCTGAGGGGGTGAGAAACGAAAATGACACTGAGAGCCTGGACCCTATCTCCACGCTATACTGCAGGTCTTAGGACTCCGGAGATGACTTTTCCGGAGAGAAATCACGTTCTTCCCAAACTTCTGATCCCTCAACATCACTACATGTATGATTTCTATTAAAGCAATGCCCTGATTGAAATTCCTTACGTCTTTTTAAACGTCTGGAACACTGTGACGTTTGCTGCATCAAACGAAGGGTGCATCAGCCACTGTGTCAAATACATGGATAAAAACTGTTCAAACATGTTAAGACATAAACACTGCAAAGGCTCTGAAAAAAGTGGAGAGACACAGAGCCAGATAAATAATAGTAGATACTTTTGAAAAATATGAGCTTGAAATTAAAAAGCAGTGCAGGCACAGACCCCCTCGCAAATCGCACGTGTGAGAGCTGGTGCAAGATTACTGTGGTTCCCAGGAACCTGTCCAAGACCTCCAAACCATCTACACTAAAGAAGATAAGCCCAAGAAGGCAGCTAAGCATTGGCCCTGTTTCTGTTCCTAGCTTCTAACTGCAGATTTTACTTTGGTGTTGGAATACTTTTTCCTTTGTTATTCAGTTTTTATCAGGACCTGCCTCATTACAGGATCACACACTTTTTAATGAATCTGGGTTCATCTATATCCTGTTTCTTTCCTTCTTCATTTCATAAATGTTTGCATTAATACATATTCATTGGACACTTACTCTGTTTGGTTATTTCTTTAGCTATTTGGGGGCAAAATGAATTAGACATAATCCCTGCCCTCAAGAAATTTCCAGTCGCCCACTCACAGGATCACCGACCTCTCTTCATTTTCATCTACAGGAAGATTTCCTCTTCCTTTCTCCTTCCTTGGCACCATCTTCTTCCCTTCCCTCTGCCTCTAAGTCATGAGCATAAACTCTTTACCAGGCCTAGTCTTAGGCTGAAACCACAAGTTATTTTCTGTCTTGAAAACAAACAAAAAACAAAAAAAACCCTCTAAATCAATAAATCACAAAGGGCTTCTATTCCTATCTGAAACAAAGAGAAAATACTATAAAGAAAGAATGCAAATTTACATTTTATATGTTTTTTCTGCCAAACCAATTTGCCTGAATTTGAGGCAGAAACTGTGGTGTCTGAGTCTGTGAAAACCCTGGATTTTCAGAAAGAGGAAATGCTCTGCCGACAGCCAGATCTTGCTGTTCCTAATTGAGGACCAGCCAGGCTCAGAGGGCAGCAGCGATGCTGAGCTGAGACCACACCGCGGCAGGGCCTGGAGCAGGAGGGAGGCAAACCCACCACACATCAGACACCACCCTGCAGCCCCCTTGGACTAACAGGGACGCCTGACACTTCATCCGTGGCCACGCGCGCCCCTCTTGAATCTCCCCTCTCAGGACGAAATGCATGAAGATATCTTCACCCATCAAGCATTGGCTCCCCTCTCCTTAATCTCTCCTTGGGATCACCTAGCACAAGCCCCTATCCTATCAGAAGCCCCTCTTAACTCCCCCTTATTGAAAGGGTTTCCTGGTTCATTTTAATTCCACTCTTCCTTGTCTCAGAAAGTTAAATAAATTTAATTTTTTGGACACAAGAGTTTCTGGTGTCTGTGGATGAAGAATGTGAGTGTAATTGGAACCTGATAGCCAGTTTGCTATTGGGCAATACCAAGAAATCCAAATCTGTTTGGTTCTTGAGTTCAGACAGTGAAAGAGTTTGGCAAGCCAGGGGTACCTGTCACCGTTCCTCCGATCTTTACACATCTAACCCCACTGCCTCCAGGATGCAACAACCAATACAATTTCATGCCAACCTGATCACTGCTGCTCGCTGCTTGCTGCTTTTTGAGTTAGCGCCTTTCTTTCTGAAAGCAGTTGGAATTTTGTTCCTTCCCTCTGGCTCCCTAACTTCATCCTGGATGCTTTGAAATTCACAAGACTATACACAGGCGTGTGCTATGACATGTACATACTGCCCGTCACTTACTGATCCCCGAAGGCCTGTGCCTTCCTTCAGCACCAGGGAGTGACCTCCTGAAGCATGCTGGGCACAGACACCCTCAGTAAAAAACGTGAGACAGAGTTGACAGCACCCGCTGGGGTGTCAGGTTGCCTGGTTTTAAATCCCGGCTCCACCACTAAGGACTGTGGGATCCAAGACCTCTTAGTTAAATGCGCCATGCCTCAGTTTCCCTATCTGTAGAAGGAAGATAACAGAACCAACCTAATTTGGAGAAGTATAGTTCTCAAGTGCCTGGGAGCCAGGAAGCCTTAACAGGTGTTACTGGCTGATATTATCACCAACTCCTCGTTCGTCTGTTTTCCCCGTTAGGAGCGTTTATGAGCCGGCTTGCCTCACGGCTCGCCTCACGTCTCGCCTCACGTCTCGCCTGCCCCGTCTGCTGTCGCTTTGTCCTTTGCATTCAGTTTTCAGACAGATCCTCGGCACCTTTCAGTCCTCACCAAATATTCTTTATGACTATTAATGGAAATAAATGTTAAAAGTGTATACACAGAAAAGAAATGTCTCCCCGGCTCAAAGTCTTTTTAGAGATGTGTTCTAGTAATCATTAAATGAGCAAATAACTGTATAACCACACATATTCTTCCAGAGACCAGGAAATGAGGAACACTCCCCAAATCACTGAATACGATATCAAAATCTTAGCCCAGCAAAATATAGCATAAAAATAAAACATGTCGATCTTATTGATGAATATAGATGCAAAAGTAATAAACAAAATGTTAAGAAAGAAAATCCAGAAAAAATATACTAAAATATTTACATCATGATGTAGTTGAGTACATTCTAAGTCAACAAGACAAAAACGTTAGAAAACCTATTAATGCTTTTCAAAATTTACTATGGCAACAAAATCAAGGAGAAAAAATCCTACATGGTGAGATTAAAAAAAATTAGCGAACTAAAAATATAAAGGAACACTCTTATTCCAATAAGGTATGGCTAACTAAAGTAACCATGTCAAATATCAGAACTTACAGTGACACGGAAGCAACATTCCCCAGAAGACTTCAGATGAAACCAAGGAAGCTCATGACCCCAGCTTCTATTCAGTGTTATGCTGGAGGTGCATGTTAGCACTGAGCGGGGAACACAAAGTGCAGGATAGGAAGAGAGGATGTTGTAATCATTCCCGAGCTACCCGAGAGTTAACTTAGAGAACGAGCAGCTTTCCTTACTTTTTTAACAAACATTTATGTAGTATTCAATATAGAGCAGGCACTATTCTAAATAGGTTAATAGGAAAAATTAAAATAGTTATCAATCACAGTTAAAATTCCATTATACTCCCTTGCACCATCAAAAAGAATAACTCAAGACTTAGAAACATTACATGTAACAGAAAAAAACCCCACAAAAATAGAAAGTAACTAACAAAATGTTCATGAGATACAAATAGAGAAAATTACAAATTTTTGAGGCATATTAAAAACATAAGTAAATGGAAATATTTACCATGTTCATGGATAAAAAGATTCAATATTGTGAAGATCTCAAAACTCTGCAAATAATTTATAGATTTCATGCCCTTCACATTATAATCTCAGCAGGATTTTTTTTACAAAATATGGCAAGATTGTCTAGGCCTTATAATAAAGAACAAAGGTCATAAAGTAGTCACAAAAATACAGGCACAAAAGAAAGAAGAAAAAAGATGATGAAAATTATGCTACAAGATATCACAATTCGTTATGTCAGTACTTGTAAAGCAACATAATTATGATGGCTAATCTTACGTGTTGACTTGACTAGGCTGAGGGATGCTCAGATGTTATTATGGATGTCTCTGTGAGGATCCTTTTGGATGAAATTAATGTTTGAATCAGTAAACTGAGTACAGGATACTCAACTTTACCAGGGAAAAGAAATACACATTCTCTCTCTCCCTCCCTCCCTCCCTCTCTCTCCGTGGGCTGGAACATCCATCCTTTCCTGCCCTCGGACACTGGAGCTCTAGGTTCTCTGGTCTTGGACTCCTCAGTCAACACCAGCAGCTCACCAGCCTTCAGGCCTCAGATTCAGACTCAGCAACACCAGAATCTTTCCGGCTTGCAGACAGCAGATCATGGGACTCTTCAGCTTCTATAGTTACAGGAGCCAATGTTCATAATCCATCTGCTCTTATATCTCTCTACCTCCCATTGGTTCTGTTTTTCTGGAGAATTTGGACTAATAAGTAAGTTTATGAACAAAATAGAAACCTGGAGAGGGTTAAGGGAACTGTTCCACACTCATGGGAGTGGGATTCCTGCAACGACTGGGAGACAACGTGGCTGCGTCTGAAGTTGGAGAAGTGCATTTCTGTGGCTCCAGGGCCCGGCTATTCCACTCCTAGATTTCAAGTGCATTCCCGTGGCTCCGGGGCCCAGCTATTCCACTCCTAGATTTCCAGTGGGTTCCCGTGGCTCCGGGGCCCAGCTATTCCACTCCTAGATTTCAAGTGCGTTCCCGTGGCTCCGGGGCCTGGCTATTCCACTCCTAGATTTCCAGTGCGTTCCCGTGGCTCCGGGGCCCAAATATTCCACTCCTAGATTTCCAGTGCGTTCCCGTGGCTCCGGGGCCCAGCTATTCCACTCCTAGATTTCCAGTGTGTTCCTGTGTCTCCGGGACCCAAATATTCCACTCCTAGATTTCCAGTGCGTTCCTGTGGCTCCAGGGCCCAAATATTCCACTCCTAGATTTCCAGTGCGTTCCTGTGGCTCCGGGGCCCGGCTATTCCACTCCTAGATTTCCAGTGCATTCCCGTGGCTCCAGGGCCCGGCTATTCCACTCCTAGATTTCCAGTGTGTTCCCATGGCTCCGGGGCCCAAATATTCCACTCCTAGATTTCCAGTGCATTCCCGTGGCTCCGGGGCCCAGCTATTCCACTCCTAGATTTCCAGTGCGTTCCCGTGGCTCCGGGGCCCAGCTATTCCACTCCTAGATTTCCAGTGCGTTCCCGTGGCTCCGGGGCCCAGCTATTCCACTCCTAGATTTCCAGTGCGTTCCCGTGGCTCCGGGGCCCAGCTATTCCACTCCTAGATTTCCAGTGCGTTCCCGTGGCTCCGGGGCCCAGCTATTCCACTCCTAGATTTCCATTGCGTTCCCGTGGCTCCGGGGCCCAGCTATTCCACTCCTAGATTTCCAGTGCGTTCCCGTGGCTCCGGGGCCCGGCTATTCCACTCCTAGATTTCCAGTGCGTTCCCGTGGCTCCGGGGCCCAAATATTCCACTCCTAGATTTCCAGTGCGTTCCCGTGGCTCCGGGGCCCAAATATTCCACTCCTAGATTTCCAGTGCGTTCCCGTGGCTCCGGGGCCCAAATATTCCACTCCTAGATTTCCAGAGCGTTCCCGTGGCTCCGGGGCCCGGCTATTCCACTCCTAGATTTCCAGTGTGTTCCCGTGGCTCCAGGGCCTGGCTATTCCACTCCTAGATTTCCAGTGGGTTCCCGTGGCTCCGGGGCCCAAATATTCCACTCCTAGATTTCCAGTGCATTCCCGTGGCTCCAGGGCCTGGCTATTCCACTCCTAGATTTCCAGTGGGTTCCCGTGGCTCCGGGGCCCAAATATTCCACTCCTAGATTTCCAGTGCGTTCCCGTGGCTCCGGGGCCCAAATATTCCACTCCTAGATTTCCAGTGCGTTCCCGTGGCTCCGGGGCCCAAATATTCCACTCCTAGATTTCCAGTGCGTTCCCGTGGCTCCGGGGCCCAGCTATTCCACTCCTAGATTTCCAGTGCGTTCCCGTGGCTCCGGGGCCCAGCTATTCCACTCCTAGATTTCCAGTGTGTTCCTGTGGCTCCGGGGCCCGGCTATTCCACTCCTAGATTTCCAGCGCATTCCTGTGGCTCCGGGGCCCAAATATTCCACTCCTAGATTTCTAGTGTGTTCCTGTGTCTCCGGGGCCCGGCTATTCCACTCCTAGATTTCCAGTGTAGAAAAAGTCCTTCCACAAGGGTCTAATGGGATGAAATATTGGAAACAAGTAAACGTCTACGAAAACACTGGACTGTGTGAATAGTAATGCATTCATTGATGTGGTAATAAATAAACAGTGTCTACACACCTCAACCTGAATTAATCTCATGAGGAACATGTTTAACATATGAAGCCAGTCATGAAAAATGTATAATGTAAGATTCCCCTTATACACATTAAAAAAATAGATCAATATCAAATATTGCACAAGCCTCCATACATTTGTAGTAAAATACGAATAGATGTTTGGGAAGAATAAACACCAATGCAGTCAGTGATAACTTGAGGAATGGGAGAAGGCAGCGATGGAAGTGAAGCCTTTGCTTTGCAGCATTTGCCACATTTCATGTCTTCTGCTAGTGGCTTGTACTCATCTATTACCTCATTATTCATAACTGCTTTGAAATATTTCATTAGACCTTTAAATACTGTTAGTCAAAGAGACAAGAGGTTCAGCAAATGAGCAATAGATAGAAACGGGAGAGAATCTTAAATGGATAAAAAACGGGCTCCTATTCTTGGTGTACGCTCTGAATACAACATTATTTCAGAGAATAAATTGGAAAAAGTCCCCAAAACATACCACAAAATTAAAACAGTGTTTTAGTATGACACAATCAATAATGGTTAGTTGTTTGTTTTTGTTTTCATATTTATGCTTTTTTGTAACTGCATTTTAAAATATATATGCTGCTGGGCTTCACAGTTTGTTTTTTGGCACAGGATGATACGTAGCCAATGAAATAATTCATCTAAGTAACTTTTAAAAATTAATTAAAACGTGAAATGCAGACAACCTCCCCATCCAGTGAACCTCAAGGAGACCCAGCTGCTGACGAGAGCCGACCTCAGTGTCTGGTTGAAGATGTCAAGAACAAGATGTTCTCATGCATGGTTCTTGTTTCTTTCCTCCAGAAAACAACTAATTGAATTTGTCTGTGCTTGGTTTTGTCTATCTCCACCCAATCTCTGGTGCCTGTCGGGGGCTTGGCCCACAGTAGGTGCTCCCTGTCCATTAGCTAAACAGATGGCAGTGGACATGGCAGCTGATGGTGGTTAGAAGCTGGCACCTGCCAGATGGAAAGGAGAAAGCCCGGGTGAGATGCTGCTGTTCCCCGGCTCTCGGGCACCATCTGCACGCACAGCGTATCAGAGCCTCTCCAACAGCAGTCATGATTTGTACTGGAGCCGTGCAAAGAGGGAGGGTTTTGTTACTTTCATGACATGAAATGCCCAGATGTCTCTAAGTTCCTAAATAAATATTCTATTTATAACTAAGTCTAATCTTTAAAGTTCTGATACTCCCAAATATTAAAGAATGTCATGGGCCTAGACTATTACTACCAATGATAGTTATCTTGTAAGCATTAAATTCTTTTTTAACAGATGACCAGAAAAACTGTAGATGGGTCTATTTCATATCATTCCAGTTTCCAGCAGCTCCTTTCCTGAGCTGGGCCTGCAGCCACAGACCCTCAGCTCAGGCAGGAGGCATAGGAGCTGCCACCATGTGGAGCCAATGACTCTTTGTCTGAACCTACCTGTATTAGTGTGTTTTCATGCTGCTGATAAAGACATACCTGAGACTGGGCAATTTACAAAAGAGAGGTTCAATGGACCCAGTTCTGTGTGGCTGGGGAGGCCTCAAAATCATGGCGGAATGTGAAAGGCATGTCTCACATGGTGGCAGACAAGAGAAGAGAGCTTGTGCAGGGAAACTCCTGTTTTTAAAACCATCAGATCTCATGAGACCCACTCACGATCATAAGAACAGCCCAGGAGAGACCTGCCCCCATGATTCAATCACCTCCCACCAGATTCCTCCCACAACATGTGGGAATTCGAGATGAGATTTGGGTGGGGACACCCAAATAATCTTATGATTTTTCAGCCCCTGTATTATCCACATGGCACCTTCTGTTACTGATGCTTAAGGAGTGGCTTTCTCATTCCCATGGCATGTGCCTTCATCAGCTCCCTGAACAAGGGGTCAGCTCGAGGTGCACTTCCCCAGCCTGCAGGGTTTTCTCACCGGAAGCCTCAGTCTCTCTCCTGAGCAGAACATCCTTGACAAATGCCATGTAGGACTTTTTAACAGGGCCATCTTGCTTCTCCTTCTGAACATGAACACCCGGAAAAGTTGGCAGCAACTCAGATCCACAAAATGAGCAAAGGACTTTCCGTGCAGGTGATCTGTTTGGCGGCTGGTTTACCCCCACAAAGAGAGAGCTCCAACAGATGCTTCAAGAGCGCAGTGAATTTGCCACTACTGTTATTTCATCTTATTATAGATGTCTAAAAAAAGAAAATATTTTGGAAGGTGTTCCAGTCTTAATGGGAAATAAGGCCTATAAATTTAAAAAGATAGCCAAGCAGAGGGATCCACAAAGTGGCAGAAATGTGAAACCCCTTTTCCTAAATATACAGTATGTCTTTAAAACAGTACACATGCAGTATATACCACTCATTGTATATTGGTCATTGAAGAAAAAATTCAGATAGATAAATATAGGTAATTAGTACATGTAGACATATTTTAAATTATTAAAATAAATATATGGGGAAAACATCTTTGATTTAGGTGAACACTGAGCCTCTACTAAGCAGCATTTAAAATGTTTTTGAAGCATTCTTTCCTAATTCCTTTCGGCAAATCCTTTTTAAATATCTGATTCCATTTACTTAAAACCCTGCCAGTGTTACAGTATCCGCGGAAGAAGGCGTTTTCATTACTCTGATACTAAATTAAAAGCTTTCTTTGTCCTTCTGTCTAATATGGAGCACTGGCATTGCCAGCCCGGCACAGTGGCGCTGGATGACAGGGACTACACCAGAATCATGAGGGCAGCCATCCTGGGACCGAGGGAAAAGGCACAGCATTTGATTGGCGAGTCTGTTTCTTGTCTCCGGGCTGCTTTATGCTTTTCCCTCCAGCATTGTGGCCCCTCCATCCCCAAGTTTATAGCATTCTGCGAGCCTCGGGTAAGAGAGTATTTCCATCACTGGCCCTGGTGCATGAAAGCCACACTGCCAACTTGTCATTATCACCAGTCTGGGTTCCTTTCCGATGGAGTAAGGGAAACTCCAGGCCCAGACTGGAAGAAGCTTATCTCCGCCGGGGAAATGTCTGCAGGTGACTGAAGCTTTCGTTCCACCATAACACATTTCAAGAGCACATATTCACTCACCCCAACACTTAGTAAGGACCCGTTTACAGGAAAACACTTATTTTGAAGCATACGTCTCAGCCAAAAGATACAGAGTGCTAAGATGTTCCATTCCTTTTTAAGGAGATTCCACTGGCCCTTTAAGCAAGAAACGACTTCACAGTTGAAACCTTGGTTTGGAAGACTCTTGTTTCAAATCTCGGCAGCATCCAATGAGCCCTCCTCATCAGCTGATGGTGGTAAGCACCTAGGACTTGGGCCAGTAGAACGAAGGAAAGAAACACAACCATTTAGTAAAAAGGTACCATAAAACATCGGATCTGCCGTTTGTGGCTGTGGGTGTTTTGGAATGTGCACACACACGGGGTTTTCCTCTCCCTGCCACCGCCTCCTTCTCTTCTCACTCTTCACACAGAAGTAGCTGCATATCAAGAATTGGTCTTCCCAAAGCCTAGGCTTTCAGGAGAACTTGGAAGTTTTCAGACAAAAAAGAACGGTGTTTGTAAACCAGGTAAGTCTTGGAAAGGGCATCTTGGAAGTGGCTGGGATAGAAAAAGGACCCCGGTGCATGCCAGCACCATGACAGACGGAGACCCCTCCTCCGTGTGCGGAGGGGAGGTCTAAGCATTTGGAGACAGTTGGAGACAGTCCTTTGCTTCTTGGCGTGAAGTAAAGAAGCATCAGACAGGAATATAAGGTGTGTTTAGGAAAACCGGGTCAACAGACACCTTCACAAAATAGTTCTGGGGCCCAGCCTGGTGGGTGTTGTAACTAGAAGGCCAAGCGAGCAGAGAGATGTTGTGGCCTCAGGAGGTCTGACCGAGAGGATGAGGTTTGGAGCCAGGCAAGGAGTTCAGATGCCAACTCCCTTCCTAATGCTATGTCGCCTTAGGCAAGTTACTTCACGTCTCTGTTCTTAAGCTTCCTCATTTGTAAAACCACGCATCCCTCTGAATTTATTGTAAGGATTAAATGAGTTAATATTTACCAAGCATTTGAAGCAGTGCCTGACACTGGGTGAGCATTATATAAATACTAGGTAAATAACCTATTGGCCCCGTGCAAGTCTCCTAAACTGAGGCATACATCTGAAGAATAATTAAAGTTAGGTTTACCCCAATCTTAGTGAAATTTGAGCTCAGAAATACAAAGAAATAGCATTTTCAATAATAAGGCTAGCGATAGTTATTGCATACTAAATACATGGACTGAGATTTATAGGCAATATCACTGCAGATACAATGGCTTTGGAAGGTTTCCTCTCGACGATGCTTCAGTCTTTTAGTTGTGATGTGAGTGTGTGTGGGGTGTGTGTGCATGTGTGTGCACTGTGCACACTGTGCGTGGTGTCACATGTGTACGTGTTGCTGTGCGTGCGTGTGTGTGCATCATGCACACTGTGCGTGCGTGTGTGGTGTCACATGTGTATGTGTTGCTGTGTGTGTGCATGTGTGTGTGCGCATGTGTGTGTGTGCATTGTATCTCGTGTATGTGTCGCTGTGCTTGTGTGCATGTGTGTGTGGTGTCACATGTGTCTGTGTTGCTGTCCTTGTGTGCGTGTGTGTGCACTGTGCACACTGTATGTGTGTGTGGTGTCGCATGTGTACGTGTTGCTGTGCTTGTATGCATGTGTGTGTGCATTGTGCACATTGTGTGTAGCGTTGCATGTGTACGTGCTGCTGTGTTTGCATGCATGTGTCTGTGTTGCGGGTGTGTGTTCCTGCATGCGATGGTTCCCATTGCTGGGCTCATTCTCAGCCCCTGAGAGACAGTGCTCACAGATAAACTAAAATTCCCACTCCAAACAATTTGGTCAGAATCAATTTACATATGAATGTGTGGGTAACGTTTCCTTAACCAAAAATGTGAAGAATTGTGCTATTCTTTTCATGCTAACAGGCAATAATTAGCAGTGAACTCGTTAAGCTAGTTTTGTTTTCCGCTTGTGCTTGTTTACGTCTTTATTGGTCAGGGCCTAAAATGTGCCTCAAGAACTGCAGAAGAGCAAAATTCGGCAGAGGGAAGAGGAAGGAGCAGAAGATGGAAGGAGACCGGAAGGATGTTGTCAAACACATCAGACTCAGAAGTGGCGCCCGGCCTGCCTGTGTTTTCACGGAAACCATTCCCAGTCTTTCTTCATGGCACCATTGCAGCCTCCCCTTTCACAGAGATGGTTCCTACCTAAGGAACTTGCCTTCGGAAATGGAAGACACGAGGGAGGTTACAGGTGGGTCCCGAGACAGATACTGAAGATAGAGAACTGGAAAGGGTGAAGCTGAAGAAGACCAGCACATTTGTGTTCAGAGCTGTCTGTTATCATAAGAACAGGCTCAGGCTCCTGCAAGAACAGGCTCAGGATCCTGCTGCCAGAGACTGAGGTACAGTCGTTTGGCTTCTTAACAAAAGCAATTCAGCGATCAGTTTTTTTTTTTTTTTTACCATACCCATGTGTGAACATGTACATATATATTTGTTTAATTGTATTAAAAGCCCAAATGTCCAACAATGATAGACTGGATTAAGAAAATGTGGCATATATACACCATGGAATACTATGCAGCCATAAAAAATGATGAGTTCATGTCCTTTGTAGGGACATGGATGAAATTGGAAATCATCATTCTCAGTAAACTATCACAAGGACAAAAAACCAAACACCACATGTTCTCACTCATAGATGGGAATTGAACAATGAGAACACATGGACACAGGAAGGGGAACATCACACTCTGGGGACTGTTGTGGGGTGGGGGGAGGGAGGAGGGATAGCATTGGGAGATATACCTAATGCTAAATGATGAGTTAATGGGTGCAGCACACCAGCATGGCACATGTATACATATGTAACTAACCTGCACATTGTGCACATGTACCCTAAAACTTAAAGTATAATAATAAAAAAAATTGTATTAAAATACCTTTTTGCTTAGCAAAACGTGTCTAAAGTTTTGATAGATTTATGAATAAAGTTAAAAGTGATCATCCAATTTCAATTAATAAAAAAAATTTCAAAACTTACTTCTTGATATGTTGCTTTATTTTAGCAACTACCCTGTTCCATCTTATGGGTTGACTGCAGTTACATATAACTATTCTTGCAACCCATGTTAAATGAAGAAAATTAGATAGAATTAGAAAGCAATCTGATTACAGTGCGCACTGCATTAATGGGATTCATGTGGCTTCACTGTATAGCTTGTCCTTGGGTTGCCATAAAGGAATACCTGAGACTGGGTAATTTATAAAGAAAAGAGGTTTATTTGGCTCATGGTTCTGCAGGCTGTACAGAAAGTGTGGTGATGATGTCTGCTCAGCTTCTGGGGAGGCCTTAGGAAGCTTCTAATTATAATGAAAGGCGAAGAGAGGGTGGACATCTGAGGGGGTGAGAGCAGGAGCAGAGTGGGAGGCACCACACACTTTAACAACCAGATCTTGTGAGCACCCACTATCATGAGGACAGTGTCAAGAGGATGGGGCTAAACCATTCATGAGAAATCCACTCCCGTAACCCAGTCACTTCCCTTCAACATTAGGGATTCCATTCAACAGGACAGTGTCAAGAGGATGGGGCTAAACCATTCATGAGAAATCCACTCCCATAACCCAGTCACTTCCCTTCAACATTAGGGATTCCATTCAACATTCCATATTCAACATGAAATTTGGGCAGAGAAATATCCATACCGTCTTAGTCATGAAGGAAAACGTGGATTTTTGGCTCAGTCATTTTTTATCAAGAGGCTTAGTACCCAAGTAAGTTATTTTGTATCTGCAAAATGAATGTAATAAAAAGACATCAAATTTATTTACCAGCACTCACTATAAACACAGATCTTACTCTTTAAAACTCATCACCCTGTCTTGGCCGGGCATGGTGGCTCACACCTATAATCCCAGCACTTTGGGAGGCCAAGGCAGGCAGATCACTAAAGGTCAGGAGTTCAAGGCTGAGCCTGGCCAACACAGCAAAACCCTGTCTCTACTAAAAATACAAAAATTAGATGAGTGTGGCGGTGCATGTCTGTAATCCCAGCTACTCAGGAGGCTGAGGCAGCAAAACCGTTTGAACCTGGGAGGCAGAGGTTGCAGTGAGCTGAGATCGTACCACTGCACTCCAGCCTGGGTAACAGAGCGAGACTCTGTCTCAAGAAAAATAAAAATAAAAAAATAAATCTTATCACTCCGTCTCAGAAAAAAAAAAAAAAAGTGAGATGAAGGAAATGGCAGCAAACCCAGTGAGAACATGTTTGAGGCTGTGCTTAAGTACAAGATACAGGTATCCATTGCAGATGTTCCAGAAGACATGATTCAGTGCAGCAGGGGCCAAATAAAGGTGATCTAATTGACAGGAAAAGAGCACGGGGCCCGGCCTGGTCGGGGGCTCCTCAGATGGGGAGAGACTGGTGTGGCTGCCTTTTCAAGTGAAAAGTGCTCCCTGAGCAACATCTCTGTGGGCTTGGACAGGACCTTGGTCTCTCGGGGCCTCCCTGAGTCATTTAGACCCTGAGGTCAAGGATCGCTTGTGACTTGAAAGATACAGAACTGGCTCCCAGCCTCGGTGGGAGCATCTTGCTTTGTGCAAAGCAAAAGGAAATCACATAATACAACTTTGTCTTCAAAAAGGAAGATGCAGTGAGTCTGATTCTGGGGCAGGACTCCTCTGGGGGCATGAACGCCAACAGCAGGGCTCAGATGTAAACACGAGACCACCTGTGCCCACCATGAAAGGAGAGCAGCCCCGACTCCGGATGAGGGGCCTGTGAAAAGAAGTCTTTTGTGTCAAGCACCCTGGTCTTCCCCTCACAAGGTCAGGAAAGCCGATGAGGGAAGACCAGCAGAGATTCATCTCCACGGACCCGCAACAATAAAACATCAGAGCTGGATTTCAGGTTGAGAAAGATAAAAAACATAAACGAGTCTTTTCTAAAAAGCATATTTTAGTGAAACTATATTGTTGATCTTTTAATAAAAACCCTTTTTTCAAACTTTTAGAAACTATGCTTTGTCGCCTCATTTTTTTTTTTTGGAATGTTGGAAGAGCTATGTCAAACCCTGGTAACCCAAGGTGCTATGGCTTCTTCCCCCGGGAGGATGGCATGGCCTGTAGCTTCCCACCCTTCATTGTCCTGCCTTCAGTGTGGGCTCAGCTCCTGGCCTCCCTGGGGCCTATGGAGACAGTAATACTCATTTCTGCACAGTGAGCTGTAAGCTGTGGACAGGGGCAGATATCCCTCCCTGAAGGAAAAGACAGAGTCCTACAAAGCAAATGCTTTTGACTCAGGTTTTTCCTCCTGCTGGGATGCTGACGTGATGCCTGGGGGTGTGGCAGCCATTCTGAACCTAAGAGACAATGAAGGGTGGACAACGGAAGACTCATGTTCCCGGCAGACATCCCGAGTGCGCAGAGCCCGTCATTCCCTCTTTCCAAGTTCCTTCTAACAAACGGTAGCAGGAAAAATATTACTTAAACCATTGTCAATTTCTGATTATCTACAGTTGAATACACAACTATGTAAATACAATTCATTTGTATTTATGTTTATAAATGTAGATTTAGAAAAGATGTGGAAAATGGCCGTGACATTGGGCAGTTAAAACAGGTTAAAATCCAGAGCACCTGTAGGTCGTAGTGAGCAGCTGTGGTTAGTTAGTGCTCGTTCCCAGGCCTGCACTTTGCTTGAGAGAAAGCACCACGGCCAGCACTACCTCAATCTTCCCGGAGCGGCCTTAATCACGTAAAAAAGGATGAAATTCGCTTTAACGATACGTTTGATCTAGCCCAGTCTATCCCTAAGGTTACTGTTCCAGCATGTACTCAATATAACAATATTAATTCCATACTTTACATTCTTTCTTTCCTACAGAGTCTTTGAAATCGGTGTGTATGTTACACCTACAACACATCCCACACTGGAGGAGCCACCCTCCCAGGGCGAGACAGCAACACAGGCCTCCTGGCCACCCACACAGGTAGTGAGGATTTGGGTTTCCACAGTTACCAAACCCAAACCTTCCCCTAACCACACAATACCTGAAGTCAATAATTAGCTCAGAGCATGAAATAAAAAATCTAAAGTAATAATAATTTACTGAAAATATATTTCTGTCTTCAAAAGTTTTAACAAGTATGACCTCATTTAATGTCTTTCCCTCTGAATGTAAGTAATGGTAGTGCTAATGCCTTAGCTTTCTGCACGACTGAAATAAGACACTGCTTGTGAAGATGTTTTTGTTGTTGTCTCACAAGCGCTTCTGAAACATTTGCTAAGCTTGACCCAACTCTGAATCCCGCTACATTTTAAAGTATTGGCATCATACCGAGCACATTCTCTGACCACAGTGTAATAAACCAGAAATTAATAACAAAAAGATGACTAGAAAATACTCATATGTTTTAAAATTAAACAATGTACTTCCAAATAGCATGTGCCAAATTAAAAATGTAAACTAAAAATTAATATGAAGTAAATGACAAGGAAAATACTCCACATGGAAACTTACAAAATACAACTATAGCCATGCTTAAGGGACATTTATGGCCTTGAATGTGTATACTAGAAGAAAGGAAAATGCAGGTATAAGCCAGTAAGTTAGCCCTATCCTGGAGTTAGCGCCAGCCAAGAAGGGGGAAAAATTATAATGGGGTCACATATACATTAAGAAATTATTTTCACAAAAGACCCATTAAGAGAGTAAAAAGGTAAGCCACCGAGAAAAAGGAAATATTTGAGACTCATTTAACAAAGGACTCTTATTAAAAATACATAAAGAACTTCTGCAAATCAACACAACAAAAACAATCAGTTCAAAACAAAATTATGTGAGATACAGATATCCAATGGCCAACTAATATATGAAAATATGCTCAATCTCAATAATTATCAAGGAATGAAAAATAAGTCAAGAGGAAGGTGCTATTCCACAACCCCTGGAATGGTTGAAGTTGAAGACTGTTGGTCCCAGGCATTCGCAAGAGGGCATGTGGATGAGAATTATCCTCACACACTGCCGGGGGGACATAAATTGGTGAAACCACTTTGGAAATGGTTTGCAATGTCTACTAAAGGTGAAGGTGTCTACACCGGGGTCCTAGCAGTTCCACTCCTGAATGGGAATTTATGTTTATGGGCATGGAGAGACACATACGATTATTCAGAGCCATGTTATTAGTATTAACTGTACAAACCTACTTTTTTCTCAACCAGAGAATAGATACATGAACTTCGGTACATTGATGCGGCAGAATAAGACGGTGTACAGCAGTGACACCAAAGGAACCATGGCTACAGGTAGCAGCAGCTGAACCTCACAAGTAAAACCGAGAGACTGCAAAGGACTGTAGACTGCATGATGTTACATGTCTGTAACATTCAAAAGGAAGGCAACACCGTTGTACTTAGTGATGTTGAGCTAAGCCTCTGCAGAAAGGCGAAGCTGTGATTGCACTGCAGCCCGTAGCATAGTGAACTTTGCAACGCAGGGAAGGGCATACAAAGCGCAGGCCTTTGGGAGTTCTGGCCGTTCTGTGTACTGACCTGGGTGTGGTCACATTTCTTGATAAACAATTGAGGAGCATGTTTTTGCCTTGTGCCTATTTTTATGTTATATTTCACGATATTAAAAATGTTAAGAAAGAAAGTGAGCTATTCAAATCATAGTACATTCAAAAATAAAACAAACATTCTCATGAAGCTGGGATCAAAGAGAATCTGAGAGCAGGGAGTTGAGGCTGAATCTGCAGCCCTCGGAAGCTCCAAATCTGATTACAAGTAGACTCAAAATACGGAGCACCGGGTGAAGGGCGGAGGCCAGGCTCATTACTGGGCTTACGGGAAAGATCTTCTGCCATGTCATTTTAATTCTGTGGGAAATATGTCTTCCTCTGACTTGTCTTTTCTGCCAGAGTGCAGGCAGAAGGACTTGACGCCTGGTGCTCCAGCAGCTGTCTTGCCACCAACAGGGTAAGGCGAGGGAAAGTGCAGAGTCAATAGCCCAGAACACTGAGATCCTCGGGCCACTGGAGGGACCTGCACCATCAACCTCTGGTCTTCTCAAGTAAACAAAAATGCCTTATGGTTTCTAGAAGATTAATTTTATGAAGTTTCTAAAAACTCTTTTTCAAAACATTTGTTAATCAAAAAAAATAGTTTCAGAAAAGGTCTCACTTGTAAGTTTACACAGCGTAAAAGCTGAAAACACACTGTCTTTGTATGACTTTTGTTGCAAGGTCGGTTGTCAGGAGAGTTTAATCAGACGTTTTTACAACCACGTTAACTGTACTCAACCAAAACCTCAGGTCGCTGTGTGGAAAGCAACCACTGTAGCATGAAAATTAACACTTTCAGAGTGTACTAGAACACTGTAATTTGAACACGCAAATGAAAGTAGATACAGCATGAGAGCAAGGTACAAGATATGCTAAGACGAGGTTTTACCTCAAACCCAAGTTTCCTGGACTGTGGGTTCAAGTCCCATCTGCAATGTACTTTAACACATTTCTGTGGCTTAATTTCTGCCGGTTTTCTTTACAGTCATGGTTTGAAGAAATGGATGAACTGATCTGAACTTGCTTTTTAACATTTAAAAATACAAACTAAATTCATCTAGCTAGATTTGAAAATTGGGGGAAAAAGCTTTGTAATTGTTTTTTAAAAGTCACCTCACTTGCTGATCATTTAATGAGAAACACAAAAAGAAACGCCTGCTGAACAAGGACGCCATGTCATTGTAATGGGATTACTTGGTTATCTGTGGTCATGCAGGTATTGTGGGATTTCTTAGATTAATTTTGTTAGATAATTTTTGAAATGAATTTAAAATTTCTTGTAGAACACATTGTCACCCCTGCAGTACCAGAAATGGTGACTTTATCAGGAAATCAGAGCTCTGCACAGCTTACGGGGACACCTCAAGCCTTCAGGATGAGCCAGGCTGCCCTCTATGGACCCAGCAGGTCAGCTCAGGGATTGCCACATAAAATACAGGACACAAGCTGAATTTCAATTGAGGGTAGACTGTAATTTTTTTTTAGCATAAGTATGTCCCAAACATTTCATGGCATATAATGACACTAAAAGAATATCCCTTGCTTGTGTGATATTTGAGTTTAATGAGGTGCCCTGTTTTGTTTGCATGTTGGCCAAGTCTGTCCATCCTAAAACAGACATCCCAGGGCAGACAGTGGGGGCCTCTGGTGAGTTATCTCACTGATAATTTAGCTTCAGTGAACAGTTCCCTTAAGGCTGGGCTGTCAGGACACCCCCTCCCCCATCTCCTGCCCGAAGCCAGTTTTAAACAGCGTATTCTTCAAATCACTACTTATGTCTCATTCGATGCATGACAAAACACACAAAAAATGGGACCATATCTGGCCGTTTCTAAATTAATCCATAACTTATCTTTTCCACTTCTTCTACAGTTGCAAAATACCACTCCAACTAAGAAGCTTTTGGGAGAAATATGACTAGATGGTCTGGCCCACCCTGTCCCATCCATCGTAGGGTGGCTGAGAAGCCACAGCAAGGCAGGGCCCATGGCAGAGAGAAGCTGCCAGGGAGGCCACACTGGCTCCTGATGCCTCATACAGGGACACACTCCCTCTTCATTTTATATAATCATTACAGCCCTCACCAGGAGTCCAGGGAGGAGCAGGATCATCCTCATTTTTACTGATGATAAAACTGAGGTTCAGAGAGACACACGACCTGCCTGCATCTCTACAGTGGTGGCGCCTGGGAGCTCGGCTGCAAACTCACACTTGTCTCCTGCCCACCCCCAGTCTCTCACTGCCTCTCACTGCTCTCTTGCAATATACAACATTTAAAATCTATCTCATTTCAGGAGTTCGAGACCAGCCTGGCCAACATAGTGAAACCCTGTCTCTACTAAAAATACAAAAATTAACCAGGTGTGGTGGCAGGTGCCTGTAATCCCAGCTACTTGGGAGGCTGAGGCAGGAGAAATGCTTGAACCTGGGAGACAGAGGTTGCAGTGAGCCGAGTCCACACCACTGCACTTCAGCCTGAGCAACAGAGCAAGAATCCATCTCAAAAAAACAAAAAAACAAAACAAAAAAACCACTCTCTACCTCATTATCTCAGTTTTCATAATTAAATAGACATTTCTTTTTTAATGTAATGCTCTTAACTATAATCCTCATTTTTAAAAAAGTATTTTATTAATTTACAAGAAAGAATTGTACATAATCATGGGGGTGCCTAGTGATTTTTTTTTTCCAGACTGAGTTTTACTCTTGATGCCCAGGCTGGAGTGCAGTGGTGTGATCTCGGCTCACTGCAACCTCTGCCTCCCAGATTCAAGCAATTCTCCTGGCTCAGCCTCCCAAGTAGCTGGGATTACAGGCGCCCACCACCATGCCCGGCTAATTTTTGTATTTTTAGTAGATGCAGGGTTTCATCATGTTGGTCAGGCTGGTCTTGAACCCCTGACCTCAAGTGATCCACCTGCCTCGGCCTCCCAAAGTGCTGGGATTATAGGCGTGAACCACCACGCCCGGCCCTCTAGTGATGTTTTGATAGATGAATTTCTCATATCATCATCACTAAGACGTAGTTCTTAATATATTCAACAATAAAGGTTTTTGAAGTTAAATAAATTTCTACCTAGGAATGAGGTATCGCTTTGAAGCACACAATCCCTATTGCTAAATTAACCATGGAAGATGAGGCCCTGCACGAGAGTTCATAGAAGGCGGCTGTGATTCTGGAGCATCTGTGTGCACGGGGAAGGCACCACGTATCTCTGGGAAACCCTTCCCCTCCTTTTTAAAAGCATTGGAAAAAAATGATGCTTGGCCCTTTAATAACTAAAAGCCAGGCCCTGGCAGAGTTTGGTTGTGAAATAATAGAAGGGGAAAGTTTGAAAAAGAAACATGAACTGATGCAGAGTGGCTTTTCCCCAGCTGCAGCCTTCAAAGGCCAGGAATTTGGCAGCCGGAATGCCTGTGGATTAGAGATCTCGCCACTGGCAAAGGCCATTTCCAGGAATAGGTCTGCCCAGGGTGGCCACAATTTTCCTCTGATCTGGCAAAATCTAAGCCATAGGATATGAAGAAATTCCTCGATTCTGAAAAGCAATGTCAGAGATCCTTTATATGAGTACGAAGCATTCAAGCAGTGGCTTAAAAATAAGAGGAAGCGATAGGACAGCTGCTTGTCTGTCTGAAGCCGGACACCGGGCACTGTGGGGCCCCAGGGCAGCTTGGTGGGGCTGCATCTGCCAGGAGTCCCCCAGCTCCTCAGGGATGAGGAGGTGCTCCTGCGTGGGGTCCCCTCCACACGCCTGCCGCAGCACCCCTGAATCAACGTGGGAGGGCCACAGTCTACACTGTGACATGTCTCTGTGCACCAAGGCAACACCTCCCAGGCTCATCTCAGAGGGCTTCAGAGCAACATGACAACACAAATTACACAAACCTCCTCAAAATAGAGAATCAGCACGTGCCCGTTTCACACACTTCTGACCATCAAACAAAAAGTATGACGCAGTCATCTGCTAACACAGAAACGCTTATATATCAAGCAATGACCGCCCGTGTTTGTTACTTAGGTGTGTAGTATTTTGTTCAAGAATAATGGTATTTTTAAACTCTTCACTTGTTAGTCATGTTTTAAAATTTGACAAAATCCCTCACTCTTTTTCTATATCCATAAATTAAGCTTTCTTATATATGTGATTTTCCGTTTAACAGGGACACCCAGATCAGCTTTGTCACAGCTGCTGCTCTGTGAATATTTTGGATTCGATGAATGAATTGTTCTTAAGTAATAATGAATGAGTATGTTTGCTTTTCTATCCTTTTTCTCCAGGCCAGTAGAGCCTGTTGTAAAGCTGTATGTAAACAGTACATAGCGATAACTTCTCTTGTTCTAGTTCCCAGTATAAAGCATCCCCTCCCTGGACTGTTGCTGGAAGTCCTGAAAGCCATTTTATATGTGCTTGTGGGTGATCCCTGGGGCCACTCCTGAGTCCTCTCCTGTCCCCGCTGAAGCCACCAGTGCAGCCGGCCTCTGCCTGCTGCAATGCTCCTACCTCTGTAGGCAGAAGTCATGCTCAGGTGCCAATATGTCAGAAGGGAGTGACATATCCATGTGAGAACCAAGGCTTCTATGCCACCGGGGTTTGCCACAAGTGTCAGCACTGGATAGAAGCAGAACCCTGATAAAAACTAAATTCAAAATGTTCCAAAATTTAAATTAAATACCAATCACTGAGTCAGGATAGGTAGTCAAGGAAGTCGCCGTGTCCTTGGGTGGTCCACAGTGGTGGTGGACATTGGTGGACAGTGGTGTACGGTGTACGTGGTGACTGTAAAATCAACACAGCAAGCCTCAGCATTGACATTGTCACTGAGCTCCCTCAAGCAAAGCTACCTTCAGTAGGGAATTTCCCCTGCAGAGAGCATGTGCACTTTGATTTTACCGTCCTCAAACTGACCCTTTGCTCTTTATAATCATAAAAAGCAAACCATGGGTGGAGATACAAGACCCTGAGACATGTGACGTGTGAGCAAGCACGGACAACTACCATGCGTGCATCCAGAGGAGCACCCAGAACATGCCCCAAGCAGCGCCTCCTCCCACCCCCTCATGGGTAATCGTGGAAGACTCCCACAGAGGGAGCCTCCCTCCTGCTGCTCTCTGCTGTCTCACCTTGGAGAGCACCCACCCTGAATCCTCTCTCTCCCAAGCTGTCCTGTCTTATTCTGCACCTAACTGTAAAAATATTATTTTTCCTTTGCAAAAAATTACTTCACGCTGCGTCTCCTTTGCTGTGTGTCTCTTGCTTAAATCCTTTTAAACTAAGACCAGACCCAAGGTCTCACAACTTCCATCACTATCATCACTTTCAAGCAAAAATAATACAGCAGCCTCCTCTGTTCCAGTGTGGGTGAATCGTGTAAGAAGATCTGATGTGTGAATGCTCTGTGGATGGGGGGGGACCAATGATCTGGGCTCATTCAAGAACATACCACACCACGTGGGTGTCCACGGACTGCCCTGCTCATTCCGCGTGGCAAAGTGTTTGGTGCCACTAGTCATCATGCTGTAGTCACTACCAACACCCCCTCTTCCGTGCTGGAGGTGTTGGCGTTATTTGGGGAGTCCTGGTGACTCCCCTAAGGTCATGTAGCACCGGAAGTGCAGCCAGATGACTCTGACGCAGGAGCCCCTCACCACTGCGTCCCAAGGGGCTTCACATCAGCCACTGGTTTCAAGACCGCAGTTCAGATTCTCCCTTTGCCACAATGGGTGGACAAAAACTATGGAGATTGATTTGTGATTGTCAGGCTTTTGGGCCCTGAGTCTTCCAAGTTTTCTTTTTGCCAATTATCATGCTCTAGTAAAGCCACACAATTTGTTCAAAAGCACATTTTCTAGTCTGGGGAATTTGGAGATCTATGTGATATGGAATTGCTCTAAGTCAAGGATAACCAGGGACTCAGTAGAGGACTATAAAAAGGAGAAGAAAACCTTACACTGAATAAAAAGAGTAACAGAAAATACAATCACCCTGCGACCAGATGTCAAGCACTCTCGAAAGCAGAGCTCACGGTGCCCGGCGGCTCCAGTGTGCACGTCTCTGTCCTGGGGAGCCGCCATTATTCTCTGGATGGCTCCTCATGGCTGGCAAACATGGTGTTTCCCACTCTCCTCTGGTTCTGTCATGGGGTCTACCACACTGGGGTGTCTCCCCAAGTCACCACTCTTGGAGGGCCGGGCTTCGTGCAGTGGTTAGATGCAAAGGTCCCGTGGGCTCATCCTGCTTCCATCTGCCCAGACTTAGCAGTCCTGTGCTCTCAGGCAGGGCCTTCACCTCTGAAGCCCCCTCTTCCTGTTTGTAATAGAAAATCCTTGTCACTAAGTCATTACATAATCAGGTTCATGTGAACATTAATGGGCTGTTGCATGAGAAACGCTTACGATGTTGCCTAAACATTTGCTAGTGAAAGAGGGGGCAGTCCCCTCAGCACTAAAACAACACTGTGCCTCCCAGGACACCCATTCCACAACTGACAAACACAACCCTGCACCAACTGGGGTAGGGAGTGGAAAGACACAAGTGGCTTAGGGAGCTGGGGCTCAGTTCTCCGGCAGGACTCGTGCTTCCCCTTAGATCACACAGATGTAAACCTGGGGAGACTTTCCAAATTTCCTTGCCGGCAGATTGTGGATGGCAATAAGAACCCATGAATGAGATGCACTGCATGGCATGTGGAAGGCGGATGAAAGTAGAAGCCCCCTCTGTCTTCCTGCAGCACAGGAAGCAGGTGACCTGAGCAGGTGGGGCTTTCAGCAGGTGACCTGTACAGGTGCGGCTTTCAGCAGGTGACCTGAGCAGGTGCGGCTTTCAGCAGGTGACCTGAGCAGGTGGGGCTTTCAGCAGGTGACCTGTACAGGTGCGGCTTTCAGCAGGTGACCTGAGCAGGTGCAGCTGTCAGCAGGTGACCTGAGCAGGTGCGGCTGTCAGCAGGTGACCTGAGCAGGTGCGGCTTTCAGCAGGTGACCTGAGCAGGTGCGGCTTTCAGCAGGTGACCTGAGCAGGTGTGGCTTTCAGCAGGTAGGCCTGAGCAGGTGTGGCTTTCAGCAGAGATCCTACCCTCAGCACTATGTGTGGAATGTAGGAATCCTTTCCAAAAATGTTGAACTGATTTCATTAGACAAATAGAAATCGAAGCAAACTCAACAGGACAGGACATTGAGAAGTACACAAAGTCATTCAAGTGCAGGAGGGGCCTGTCCTGGATGAAGACAGAGCTGCATCCATGTTTTCATTGAGTCAGAAGAAATGGAAGAAAGTTGCAGGTTGATTTTGTTCTAGGCCAGTGCTGTAAGGAAATCCATGTTGGATAGGCAGGAACAGGAGGGTGGGGGTGCAAGGCGAAGATTCCAGGCAGTAGGTGATCACTGGGGTCTTCGGTGTGCAATGTGATCTGAGGATCGTGGAATCGTGCTGGCTTTCAGAACAGATGAGAAGCCGGGAGGAGCCTGTGCAGAAGAGGAAGATCTATCTGGAAAAAGGTGAGGGTGTGAGGAGCAGCTGGGATAAGGCGCTAAGCAGGAACGCACCCAATGATGGGAAGGAAGGGAACCTGGGGGAGGCCCAGGGCATGCTGATCACAATGGAGAACTGAGGCAGGGAAGAGAATTGCTAGCTGAGAGTTTCAGGATGTAAGCTGAAATGAAGTGTCCTAGAGGGACGTACATGGCAGCGGGCAATGAAGACAGAAAAAGTGGGTTCTAAGTTTAAGCCTTTGCCGGATTCAGTGGGCAGTGTGAGATCACGTAATTGCAATTTACCTGTGTGCTACAGGGGAGCCGCCCATGCCTTTGGTGCTGCAGGAGATGAGGGAATCTGAGCGTGAATGAGAGAAGGAACTGGATCTTTCAGCTCCTGACATGAGTCAGTCTTTTGATTCTGTTATTTGACTTAATTCTCTCAATAACTCGCCAAGGTGAGTGTATTAGTGAGGGTTCTCTAGAGGACTAGTAGGATAGATGTATACATGAAAGGGAGTTTATTAGGAGAATTAACTCACACAATCAGAAGGTGAAGTCCCACAATAGACCATCTGCAAGCTGAGGAGCAAGGAAGCCAGTCCAAGTCCCAAACCTCAAAAGTAGGGAAACCGACAGTGCAGCCTTCAGTCTGTGGCCGAAGGCACGAGAGCCCCTGGCAAACCACTAGTGTAAGTCCAAGGTCCAAGAGTCCAAAAGCTGAAGAACTTGGAGTCTGATGTTCGAGGGCAGGAAGCATCCAGCACGGGAGAAAGATGGAGGCAGGAAGACTCAGCCAGTCCAGTCCTTCCACGTTCCTCTGCCTGCTTTTATCCTAGCCAAGCCGGCGGCTGATTAGATGGTGGCCACCCACATTGAGGGTGGGCCTGCCTCTCCCAGCCCACTGACTCAAATGGTAATCTCCTTTGGCAACACCCTCATGGACACAGCCAGGACAATACTTTGTGCCCTTCAATCCAGTCAAGTTGGCACTCAGTACTATCACAACGAGTATTAGAATGTTCTACATTTTTGACTCAAGGAAACCAAAGTTTACGGAATTTTGAAGATTTGGCTAAAAAAAAAAATTCTGAAATACCAGAACATGCTTGTGGTGGAGATTGTGTGAGGATATGCACTCCTGAGAAGGGGCAAGTCAGACAAAGAGAGAAGCAGGGAGAAGAAAAGAAGGAAGAGGAGAGAAGCAGGGAAGAGGAAGAGCACAAGAAAGCAGGAGAGGTGGAGAGCGGGCAGACAGAGACAGGGAGAGCTGCAGAGAGGACCCCGCTCCCCACCCGGGAGGACAGAGAGGATTCCGCTTCCCACCTGGGAGGGCAGAGAGGACCCCAGTCCCCACCTAGGAGGACAGAGGATCCTGCTCCCCACTCAGGAGGACAGAGGATCCCGCTCCCCACCCAGGAGGACAGAGAAGACCCTGCTCCCCACCCGGGAAGACAGAGAAGACCCTGCTCCCCACGTGGGAGGACAGAGAAGACCCCGCCTCCCACCTAGGAGGACAGAGGACACGGCTCCTCACCTGGGAGGATCATCGCTGCTCTGTAACTCAAACAACCACAGCAAGGGTTAGATAAATGTCTACTTTACAAAACAAAGTCGGATGGGACTTCAGTTTTTATTTATTATTTATTATTTATTTATTTCTGAGACAAGGTCTTGCTCTAATACCCAGGCTGGAGTACAGTGGTGTGATCCTGGCTCACTGCGGGCTCCACCTCCTGGGGCTCAAACCGTCCTCCCACCTCACCCTCCTGAGTAGCTGGGGCCACAGCCTCGACAGCCTGCACCACCATATTCGGCCAATTTTCCTTTGTATTTTGTAGAGATAAGGCCTCACTATGTTGCCTAGGTTGGTCTTGAACTCCTGGGCTTAACTGAACCCAGCCTGCCTCAGCCTCCCAAGGTGCTGGGATCACAGGCATGAGCCACTGTGCCTGGCTATTTCTTTCTTTCTGTCTTTTTTTTTTTTTTTGAGATGGAGTCTCGCTTTGTCATCCAGGCTGGAGTGCAGTGGCTCAATCTCGGCTCACTGCAAGCTCTGCCTCCCGGGTTCACACCATTCTCATGCCTCAGCCTCCCGAGTAGCTGGGACTACAGGTACCTGTCACCACGCCCGGCGAATTTTTTGTATTTTTTAGTAGAGACAGTGTTTCACCGTGTTAGCCCAGGATGGTCTCGATCTCCTGACCTCGTGATCTGCCCACCTCGGCCTCCCAAAGTGCCGGGACTACAGGAGTGAGCCACTGCGCCTGGCCCTGGCTATTTATGTCTTAAAGGGAAATTTAGAATTCCACTTTAGATAATGGGCTTTTGGAATAATTAAGAAGAATCTGAAACACATTCTTTGAAAAGAGCACATCAAACTGTCACAGAGCAGAGGAAGCTGCGGAGACATGAGGACTAAGTGTCACGTGGGATCCTGCGCAGGAGGGAAGACTGAGGGGACGCGGATCAAGGACGCCCTGAGCTGATGTTGATTATCAACACTGCCTCCATGACGCTGACTACCGACGCCGCCTCCACGACGCTGACTACCGACGCCGCCTCCACGACGCTGACTACCAATGCCGCCTCCATGACGCCACCAATGTGGCCTCCACGACGCTGAACACCGACGCGGCCTCCACGACGCTACCGACACTGCCTCCACGACGCTGACTACCGACGCCGCCCCCACGACGCTGACTACCGACGCTGCCTCCATGATGCTATCAACGTGGCCTCCACGACAGTGACCACCAACGCCGCCTCCATGACGCTGACTAACGACGCTGCCTCCACAACGCTGATTACCGACACTGCCTCCATGACTCTACCAACGTGGCCTCCACAACGCTGATTACCAACGCTGCCTCCACCACACTGACTACCGATGCCACCTCCACGACGCTGACCACTGACCTGGCCTCCACGATGCTGACCACCGACGCCACCTCCACGACGCTGACCACTGACCTGGCCTCCACGACGCTGACCACCGACGCCACCTCCACGACGCTGACCACTGACCTGGCCTCCACGACGCTGACCACCGACGCCACCTCCACGACGCTGACCACTGACCTGGCCTCCACGACGCTGACCACCGACGCCACCTCCACGACGCTGACCACTGACCTGGCCTCCACGACGCTGACCACCGACGCCACCTCCACGACGCTGACCACTGACCTGGCCTCCACGACGCTGACCACCGACGCCGCCTCCACGATGCTGATTACCAACACTGCTTCTATGACTGAGGCAGATGCACCACACCAGGAAAAACGTTCACGGCATCAGAAAGTGGTGTGGGGCTTGTGGGATTCCAGTACTGCTTTCTCAGTTTTTCTGTAAATGTAAAATAAAACAGAGTTCTAAGAAGTTTGCTTAAAAAAACCACATCCATGTCAGACATTTCAGACATGTGGAAAGCCCCGATCACCACATCCGACCTCTGAGGTAGGGAGGGCGAAGGGCGAAGGGCGTATGATTCGTCTGACCTGTGTTCAACCACTTCTGTCTCCAAACTTCCGTCTGACGCAGTGGAAAGCACATATAGAGATTTCAATCATATTTTAAGTTTATTTATGTGTAATAAGTGAGATTTATACACTGGGACATAGCCTACTTGATCCAATAGGAAAAAAAAATAAAAAACATCTTAACGCTTGGGCATAGGGGAATAAAATCAAATGATCATGCATAAGAAACACTGGAATTAATCTTTTTCTAAGGACGCCTTTGAAGACCCTGCAGACAAAGTGGAAAGGAACTCTCAGTCCCACTTGGACAACAATGAGGAGTAGTTATGGCCTATGAGGGAAAAACCATGAACAATGACAAATCCTGAGAATATTTCCATGACGTGGGACTTTGGATGCATTAGTAAGTTCATGATTTGAGCAGCCTCTGCTGGTCATAGGTATGCAAAGTGAAAACGTTTCTGGGAAAAATATTTTCTCTGATTTTGAGTTGTGTTTGATTATTAGTAATAAAATTATAAATAATGGCAATATTACAAATAAAATAGCGATAGTATTAAATATTAAATCAATAGCAATATTATTCAGTAGTAGTTAACATTGTTAGAGATCTTACTGTATAGGAGATTTATATATTTTCTCAGTGTTTGCAACAGCCTTGCATGGCAGGCAATACTGCTATATTTGCAGAAAAGAAGTGGAAGCTTATTGATGTTTTATGACTCCACCAAAGTCCCACTTCATGGAATGCAGAGTTCGGGCCCAAATCTGGCCTGCTTGCCTCCACAACCTCCATCACACTCCATACGATTTGCACAAACCTCATATCCCAATGATAAATTCTGCATCACTTCCCAACCCTCTGCTTAAGACAGAGAAAGTCATTAAATGTTGTCGTAGTATTAAAACTCCAGAAAAATAATTAGATGACTACTTGTAGGTTTGTCTTGTTGTTGTGGTTGTGGTTGTGATTGTTAGGAACGTTTTGAGCAGTCTCTGCTGGTCATAAAAGTAGTGGTGTGTTAACTTTAGACTTCTGAGGCCTTGACTTTACCACCAACCTCATGTTGGCTGTGTGAGAACCTATTACTTGGCCATCACTAAGTTCATGATTCACAATGTGTGACTCACACGGCATTCATGATTCGGATACATTCGATAAAACCGGTAGGAAGAACACATATGCAAATATATACCAGTGGATAACTTCTGCTTCAAGTGTATGAAAGGGATTTAATCCATCTCCTACCAAAAGAGGGATGGAATCTATTTAAAATGGCTTTTGAGACACTGGACATGGAGCAACAAAGGGCAGTGACCCATGAGAGAGTGCAGTAAAAAACACTGAGCCCCACAATGGCCCAAAGGTGCTGCTTTGAGGGGGTTCCAGGCCACAGCCCAGACAGGAGGAAACCGAGAAGAACCCTGGTGACTCCCTGAGCAGAGGAGGCAGAGCTGAGGCCTCAGGAAGACCGAAGGGGCTACGCAGGCTACTGGAGTGAGTCCCTGAGATGAGAGAGCCAGAATGAGAACTCCACTGATCTGCCCAGCGTAATCCTGCAGCATTCAACAGAATATTAATCAGCATGTGCCTACGGGAAAAAACCATCTGAGGCCAAGGTAGTTACTCCCAGGGAGAGAACCATCTGGAAGGATTGAGAGAAACACTGCCCACAGCTCACCCAGGCCTGGAATGGTGCCTTTTCCCACTAGTCAGAAAGGCCTCAGAAGCACAGCCCATTGGAGAGGCTGCACAAGGGGTTTGCCCAGCTGGGGGAAATATCAAGGGCTGGACAAAGCACTGCTCTGGTCTCTCCTAAAATATATAAAAAGCAAAACTCAAATGGCTCAGAATCAAACTGCTTTCAAGTAACTTACTGTCTCTCCCAGAAAAGCTCAAGAATAGGATGGCAAACATGTCCCATAAGAAGAAAAATAACTATGTCTAGCTCTGAGACAAAAATTACCAGACATCAAGAGAAGCAAGAAAACATGTTTTATGATGCAGAGAAAAGGAGATCATAACTCATCCACAGTTGATAAAAATGAACAAATAGCAGATAAGATGATTAAAATCATTATTGTAACTATGCTCTATGTGTTCAAAAAGCTAAGAAGAGAGATGGAAGATTTCAAAAAGGCCCAAATCAGATTACCAGAAGTGAAAACAATAATTTGAGATGAAAACTGTACTGGGTGGGATTTATGGAAGATCACATGTTACAGAAGAAAAAAAAACTGATAAACATGAAGACATAGAAATATTCTCAAATATAGGTACATTTAGATAAGAAAAATTTTGAAATATGCTAATGAGTAAACAAGTATGGCATGAGAACTAAAAATAAAATCCTCAGCCCCCTGCGACTAACCCACCCCCTCTTGGCCAAGGGGACCCCAGAGAAAACTTTACATGTTAGTTCTCAGCCCTGATGGGATGGGAGGTTAGACACGCCTCCTTATACCCACTCCTTTTTGCGGTTTAGACACAACAGCTGACCAGCACTAATGTTAAAATAGAGGTCATAAGACTGATAGGACTGACTCTTTGTGGCAATAAAATGCCAAGTTATCAATAGGACCTAAGGCAATGCCAGGAAAGGGTTAAGTCATGCAGCCTATGCTAAAAGAGTAAACTATGTTCTTACCGACACAAGGCTTTTATTTTTCTCTAGCAGCTAAACAAGCACTGGCCAAGAGATAAGCAATGTTGAAGGAACTGCAGCTTACCAATCATGAAACGTGGACTGACCGCCTGCTCCACCAGCCATAACTATAGCTTTGATTGACAAGGGGCTGATTTCAATACCTGTCTCCTGTTGAGGTCACCGACCATGGACTGGTTCTGGCTGGTTTACAGCAGCTGTGCACCGAGTGCCTGTGTCCCTACTTCACACTGTGACATATAAGGCTTAATTGTCATGCATTTGAATGTTAAGTCTCCACCTCAGAGTAAATATGGGTCATATGTAATATGCATGTTTGTTCAATGGGTCAGGACACCTTCATGAATATTCATCGCTCCTCCTATAATCTGTTGAATATGTATGTTGAGCCAACCCCTTCAGCATAAGTTCCTGTCTCACCTTTTCTCCTTTGAAATGCCTGCTAAAGGTCCCTGCCAGAGGCTATACTTCCCAGCCTGTCAGAAGGAGCACCTCGTAGGCTGTAACCCTCTGTAAGAAATAAAGTTGGCTTTCAAAATTTATAGACCTTATCATTTTTAAGTTGAAAGGCATGTGGCACAAGCACGGTTGGGGGAACTCATATGAGACAAAATTCTGAGATGCAGCAAGAGTGTCCCCAGATGTAGAAGTGTCCCCACTACTCTGACATAGTTCTGTTTCATGTGATTGTAGTGACTTTGAAACGTCTTGACATAGCCAGGCAGAATGACATTCCTCTGAAGCCACCTTTCGTATGTGTCTTTTTAAGGTAGACCACAAGAAAATGTTTGTTTGAGACTTGGAAGATGGAGAGGAAGCAGCAGCCATTTAGTAGCTCACACCCTTGCAGCTGATCCGCTGACTCACTGCATCGGTGTGAAGCAGCAGCTGGTTCTGCAACAGCTTTTTTTTTTTTTTTTTTTTTTTAAACTGGATTCTCTCTCAGCTCTTCTGACTTCAGGCTAGATATGTGTGTGTAATGCGCTAGCAAAAGGGCAGCTTCTGCAGGAAGCTCACACCAAAGTCAGAGGCAACAGGAATGGACATGGGTTTCAGCCCATCCCAATGGGATTCCAGTCAGGCTTGTGATTGTTCCTTCCTGAATGCCTGGCTTCTAAACTTCAGGACCCGGTGTCAGGTTCAGCCTGATAACAGCAGCCTGACACAGGCTGCTTTAGGAGTTCCCACAGTTGTGTAATCCAAGTCCCTATAGCCAATCCCTATATATGAATATGTACGTATATAAGTATATACACAGGGACAAACACACACACACACACACTGAGTACGTACTGATGTGGTTTTCTGCATTCATGTTTTTAAATGCCTGGTGTTCTAACAGAATGCTCATGAGTGTGCACTCGTCCTGGCTCCTATATTAACTGACTGTGTGTCTTTGGCCAAGTGACTTATCTTCTCTGAGTCTCAGTTTTCTCACCTGTAAAGCAGGAATAATATTTTCTCCCATAGAGGTAATCATGAGATAATATATGTAAAGTTCTTAATTTAGCAATGGACTTACAGTACCCAATTTGGTAGATACTGTTTTCTTCAGTATCTTTATCTTCTCCATTAGACACCAGAAAAGTATGACCTCAGAAAAAGTGCATGATGATGACACTTTAGAAAGCAGAAAATAAAATCCAAGACAGAGAGGAAAAAAGGGTAGCCCAGAGTCTGAGGCATGATTGTGGTCAGGGTCCCTCAGCCTTGGGAGGGGAGAAGCAGCAGAGTCAAGGCTGGGTGTAGGCAGCAGGGGAGGCACACAGGAGGAAAGGAGGGGAACCTAGGCGAGGCCGGGTAAAGCAACGGAAAGAAATGTGAGGTGATCACACGTCTGCCTTAGGCTAGCCCAGAATACAGAAGCTAGCATGAGGCTGACCTCATTATCAGATGGTATTACTGATCACTGTCCATTACCTTCATTTCTTAACGAATAAAAATTTTCTTAACAAAAGTTTAAATACTTAGTGTTCATTCATAATGTGTAGTTGTATTATGAGCCCAAATTGTTTATGATAATTTTTACAAAGATTCACATTTGTCCTCATTTAGAATTCATACAGAGCTTCCTGATGTGCAGAGCTCACACCCCACTTAGGCCTTGTTTGTTAACTGAATAATAGTCATTTTCTGTTGCACAACAGTTAACCGCTAAGAAAAGGCATGGTCAGGCTAATTCTTTGACTGTAGCTCTCTATTCATTTTATGGTCACAACCATATTCCATGATCATCTGTTAGATTCAAAACATGAGGAACTCAAGGACCCAGTGAAAATTACCTTCACATCCCCGGCCATAACCCAGTATGACAGGACATGTGTTTAACTGAATTATAAACCATCAAAATGAAACAGCCGAAAAGTCAAGCTATTAAGAATGGGGCATTTTCCCCCGAGAGGAATGGCTCCATTTAGAGTTCATTTTGTTAGTTTATTTAGAAAATACAAAAGTGCTTACCTGTGTATACTGCCGCTTGCTGAGGAAGGTTCCAGTCTGAGGACCTTTAATACCTTCTAATGGAAGCGAGTTATTTCACAGAGGAACTCAACTTTCCCTGCAACATGCAGTTCCTCCCAGTGAGTGAGGGCATTGTAGGCCCCGGGTGCAGGAGGTGACGCTGGCCCTGCTCCCTTACCACGGCCCCTGGTTAGCTCCTGTTCTGTCTTTAGTCTCCTCTCTGTGCCTGCCCCCACCCCACTTCTCGTCCCATTCACTTATCCCCCCCGGCGCATTTCAGATGTGTGCTCGGAGATGCATATTTACAGGTGGGGTATGCAGTGCTGTTTATTGTGAGTGTGTTTATTGATTTATGTAAACAACTTTTTGCTATGAGGTATATCCTACTTTTTATTTTCTCACTCAAAGCTACACTTCTGAGATGTGCCACGTCACTGCTGGGATTTGTCTCTTAGCTGTGTAGCATTTCCCAGCAATGGCCGTGCCTGTGACATTGCCATCTGCGTGACAGTGAAGACATGGCAGGCTCCACTCCCTGCACTACAGATGCACGATGTTGGCATTGTCACTGAGCTCCCAGCATGGGGGTGCAACAGTGTCGCAGCGTGGGGCAGCGGAGTCAGTGTGACAGTTCATGATTCAATTAAGCACATTTGTTGTCATAATCTGCGATGGCTGTGGATGTGGAGATTATTTTAAATGGGTCCTCAAGGCTCTCATAATATTTTGAATCTAATAAATGATAATGAAATAAAATAAGAATGTGCCCATAAAATAAACTGAGAGCTATTGCCAAGGGATTAACCTAACAAATCGACTGCTTTATTTACGTGCTTAATTCTACTTAGCACTGGTGCATTTCTTTCCACAATGACTCCGCTAATGACAGGACCGCCAAGGGCACCTGAAGTCCTACCTTGTTGCATTAAATCATTATTCAGTCACCCCTTCATACCTTTCATTGACCTGAATAGCAGCTGAGCTCCTACTACAGGCGTAGTATTGTTTTAGACAGGAAGAACCAGGGACTAGTGAGATGAACAGGACCTTGTAAGTATAAAGTGTACATCCTCGTGGGGAGACAGATAATTCACCTAGACAAATAGTCAAGGTGATTTCAGATAGTGGTGATACACTATGAATAACCAAAATGGGAGAAAGATTAGAGAACACCTTAATATTTGTTGAAAATAATGTGGGGGCTGCAATGATTTTGCTGATTAATTCATTCCAGGAGCAGGTGCTGGCCCCTACCGGACATCAGCCCTCAAGTGCCCTGGGGGTTTCCGTGGCGTGTGGAAGTTAGGTGCCCCTGTCCTCAATGGGGGTAGGAAGGTTCTACTTTTAACTCCATTGAAAGATGCAAAGGAAAATGAAAGGCTGGCCCACGTAGAGGGTCCTCAGAATACCCCTCCTGCCATCCACATTGTGGAAGGAGGGAGCACTGGGGCCCTGGGATGCTCCATGCAGCTCCCATGGGTCTTTGGTGAGTCCTCCCTGGGCCCGTTCTCTCCCCACTGCTATGCAAAGGCCTGGTGAGCAAGAACCCTGGATGATACCTCCCCAGTGCCTCCATTTCCTCAATGCTCACGTCTGGCTTCCTGCCCTCGGAGATGGGGACTGGTAGGGCCTATGGCTCCTCACTTAGAGCATGTAGGCACAGAGCCAGGTCCCTGAATAAACCAATTCCCTGGACTTCTGCATTCCCAAAAGGCCAAGTGCACCAGGCCCCCCTGAGCACACCTGAGCCTCCAGGCTCTCCGTGGGTAGTCCCCTCCCCGCCTCCTCACCCTGCATCACCAAGCATGAGGCTCACCACAGGGTGGGAATGCAGTGAATACCACTGGATAGAGGTACTGAAGGATCTTATCACTTTCAATCATCACAGGTGAGGTTTAGTGCTGGGAATCCTGAGTTCTACAAAAGGCTTAAAACATCAAGAGAAAAAGAAAGAATGACACCCTCAAAAAACATGAGCCCAGGTATTATTAGCGTCTAGCCTCCAACAAGACAGCAAACTAACACAGGTTACAGGGAAGTTCCTCCAAGTTCAGTCCTGGAGACGTCAGATCGCTGAGAAGGAGGTTGATTGGTAAGGAACAAATGTCAAAACTATTAGAAACGGTTAGGGAGATTGAAGGTGGCTGAATCCTAGAACGTAAAAAATAAATTGGATTCCACCACATGACACCTGGTGAATGCCAGATCCATGAAAGCCCTAAATGTGAAAGGTAAAAATGTTAAAGATGGTATAAGAAGACGTGTAAGGATATCTGTAAGTTTGGGATAAAAAGACTTTTTAAATAATATGCCAAAGAACAAAAGTTAACATAATTGATACATCAGAATTAAGGATTTCTTTTAAATGAAGGACAGAGTTAAGAAAATTAAGAGAAGTAGTGCAACAGGAGACTGTTCTCCAATGTATAAAATCCACGAGGGGTTCACAGACGGAGCAGATCAGCGCTTAACAGAGAGTGAAACTGACCGGCCAGCAAGGTCCAGTCGCAGTAGGAGCTCCAGAAAAAGGAGGTTCCCGTCTTCCCTCTTGTTCTTCCCAAGGGCCAAAGTGCCTCAAGCATGACATTTTTCCAGGACAAAGATGAGCTGTTTCAGGAAGGAGGGCAAGGAGCATTGCAGTGCAGCCCAGCTTGGATCCAGGGAAAATTCAAAGATAGAAGATTAAAGTCCGCAGTCTCGCCCCCAACGAGGCATGGAGACCAGTGAGCCGGGAGCTCAGGGCAGGTGGTTCTGTCTGCCCCCGGCGCTGCCCTGGCGTAGACACTCAGGTCAAAGCACCCACCTTTAGGGCCAAGTCTTACTGGAGAGAGGCTACTCATGTGGAAGGGTGAGAAGGTGAAACTGTGATAGTTTATTAAACAATTTCAGAGTGGGGTTGGAATTTCAGAAAATCCTTTGAAGAAGAGGAAGGAATGGCTCCAGCTGTGAGGAAGCGCATGTTCCCAGCCTGAAGAAGAGCGTCCAAGTGGTGAGTGGGCCAAGGAGAGGCCGCGGTGTCGCGTCGCGCGAGCTTGCGGGGGCAGAGTTTACTTCTTCCTTTGCCAGTTCGAGGATTCACCACGTTTGTCCTTTGAAGATCGTTTGTGATTCATTCCGTGTGACCACTCTCACCTGCTGGTATTGTTTAGTTACAAATCCAGACAGAGTCAAGACGCTTGACGAACTGAAAACACGATGCAAATCCCGTCATTTCCAGACTGTTTTTCCAATGTGCAATTATGCGACTGGAGTCAGACAAAAACAACCTAGGAGCCAAGTACTGTTTCTCTCTGTGTCTCATCTCGGGCCTCCCAAGTCCTGGAGCCGCTTTTTCTCTCCTACTAAATGTTTAATTCTGATACCCTTCAAAACTCAGTCATGTAGTATCGCCCTAGGTCAGCGTTTCTTAACGGTGATCCACTAACCAGGATCACCTGGGGTTCCGGCTTAAAATAAGGACTTCCAGGCCCTACTTGGTAGCTGGTATATGAATTTCTAGTATTGCCAAGAACAAATTACACAACTTTATTGGCTTAAACAACACAAATCCATTGCCTCGCCGTTCTGGAGGGGGAAAGCCAGGGACGGAGGTGCCAGCCAGCAGGGCCGCACTCCCCCCAGGGTGGGGAGAGAGTCTATTCCTTCCTCTTCTCACCCCTGCTTCCCTCTTCTCACTCCTGCGGCTGCCAGCATGGCTGCACTCCCCCTGGGGTCAGGAGGGAGCCCCTTCCCTCCTCTTCTCACCCCTGCTTCCCTCCTCTTCTCACCCTTGCGGCTGCCAGCAGGGCCGCACTCCCCTGGGGTCAGGAGAGAGCCCCTTCCCTCCTCTTCTCACTCCTGCTTCCCTCTTCTCACCCCTACTTCCCTCCTCTTCTCACCCCTGCTTCCCTCCTCTTCTCGCCCCTGCTTCCCTCCTCTTCTCACCCCTGCAGCAGCCAGCGTTCTCGCACTGGTTTTTCTCAGCACATGGCCTTTGTCCTCATATTCCCTCCGCTTCTCTGGGTGTCTAAATCCCTGCCTCTCTTTTATAAGGACACTGCTTATAAAAGGACCCAGGATGACCTCATCTCAAGATCCTAAACTTAATCCCATCTTTCCAAACAAACTCACATTCCCAGGTTCCAAGGATGCCGGCCTGCACGTTATCTCTGGGGTCACTACTTAGCCAATTATACCTGGTGAACTGCAGATTGAAGTAAGGGAAAAGAAATCACCAGAAATATGCATTAAATTGAGAAGATCACTACCAGGGTAATTTTATGGACTCCCACGGCTTTAAATCTCATCTGTGTGCTGATTCCAAAAGTTCTCCCTCCAGCCCAGAACATACATTAGAATTCCCAAATCATATATATTCAATCACCTATTTGTCATTTCCAACTAAAATATCTTACCAGCATTTGAAACTCAATACACAAAAAGTGTACATCTTCAGGTTGTTTTTCAGAAACCACTTTCTCTAAGAGTTCTAATTTCAATTCACCATCCTGCAGCAAGTCACATGAGCTGGAAATCCTCATGGCGTCCTCTGCATTCTGCTCTCCTCCAACCCACCATCAGATCACCAATGTTTCCTCCAGGACACCCAGCTGGCAATGAGGAACAGAAGATGACTCTGAAGCCGAGCACCTGTCTCCCTAACCTCTCTATCTGTTCCTTCTATGCTGGCTCAGAAGTGTGTTGCCTTCTACCTGATCTTCACATTCAGATGTTTTTAAGGATTCAGCAAGGCACGCCTTCCCAGAGCATGTTTTGTTTGTTTGTTTGTTTGCTATTTTGAGACGGAGTCTCGCTCTGTCACCAGGCTGGAGTGCAGTGGCGTGATCTTGGCTTACTGCAACCTCCACCTCCCGGGTTCAAGCGATTCTCCTGCCTCAGTCTCCCAAGTAGCTGGGACTACAGGTGCGTGACACCATGCCCAGCTAATTTTTTTTTTCAGTAGAGACAGGGTTTCACCATATTGGTCAGTCTGGTCTTGAACTCCTGACCTTGTGATCTGCCTGCCTCGGCCTCCCAAAGTGCTGGGATTACAGGTGTGAGCCACCGCGCCTGGCCCCCAGAGCGTATTTCTTATGACACAACCCACTGAGCCTGACTGGGTTCTTGAACAGCCAGGAACTTCCATATCTCCACTGCCCTAACCCGAGTCCAAGTCACAAAAACCTGCCGCCCACACAGCCTTAGCTTCTCCCAATGAGCCCCCTGGATTCTTCTTTTGCCCTCTCTTCCCCTCTTTAATCCGCTGGTAATTCAGGTCACAGTTATCTTTTTACCTATGAATTATGTCAGCCACTCCTGACTATGCTGTTTCAACGTCTCCCCATTGCAATGTATAAAACCCAGGCTCGTGGCTTAACTTGGTCTGCAGTACTCTACATGGCACCCTTTCCTGCTTTCACTCCTACCCCTTCCATATCACTGTCGCCTGATTACTAAAATCCATCCACACTGGCTTCGTTCAGTTATTTTGACATGCTGAAAAATTCTTTCTTATCCTAGGGAATTTGGCACAAGGTTCCTTATACCTGGAATGTTCTGGAATGTTTACTTCTTAATTCTTCAGTTCCTTAGTGAACAATTTCTTCTCATCCTTTAAATATTAGCTTAAATATTACTTGCACAGCCAGACATTCTACAAACACACTCTCTAATGAGTTTCTCTATTATTAGGGCAATTGTATCACAGTTTCTTTACTTCATGACGTACAAGTTCTTGTAATTATGAATATACTTGTTTACATGGTTATTATCCAAGCAGTTAATAAATCATTTTGAAGGAATGACTGAGTAAGTGGTACATTTGCCACTATGAGCTAAGCTTAGTCTTCATGACAAAACATAAGAGTTGGTGAATAGCCTGTGGGACTAGAAAATGTGAAAGTGTTTCTTGTAACCAAGTAGCCAGTGTTTGTAGAGAACATGTGAGAAACTTCCCTCTCTATAGATGGGCACAAATGTATTTCAGTTTTAATAGATGTTTAAATATATTAATTGTGTTAAGTCACAAATTGATTATGAAAAGCCTTAATATGAACATTAATACTGATCAAGCCAAAAATTAACCTAAGGAATGAGTAGAGATGATTGGATCAGAAGAGCCTGTCATACGAACAGAGATCACATGATGTCTAAGAAAGAAGAGAGAGGATCTTTTTATTGAAGATACATTGAAAGGGTTTTTGTTTATAATGATGGCTGAAAGGCTCCCATCAGAGCCTATTCACCTTGTTTGAGATAACAGCTATGAGTTTTCTTTTGTAGTTGTTCTTTTGTAGAACTACTACCGTACTCCTAACACACATACACACACACACACAGAGAGAGAGAGAGAGAGAGAGAGAGAGAGAGAGAGAGAGAGAGAGAGAGAGACATATAACAGTTATCTGGAGGAACAGAGAAAAACCATAAGCTGGCAAGTCCTGAGTGAGAGTTAACATTTGAGGAAATAAAGTGGTAAATGTCTTGGGTAGTAGGGTACTCATTAGTTGCCCTCCCCACAAAAGAGAGAGAGAGAGAGAGAGACAGACAGACAGACACACCTGGTTTGTAGTTTGTCAAGTACCATGGTATAAATGGTCCCACCATGTTTAATCAACTTCTGGTTTCAAGCTACAAATGATGGAACAGCCAGCTTGGAAATTGCAGAATGTTCAACAATCACTCTTGCAAATCAATGCAAGCTGGTCCCAGAGCACCCTGGGGTGGTTGTCCCATTTCCGTGGTCTGTATGTAGCATGAAGGGAGGCCAAGTTTACATCATGCTCCAAAGCAGGCAGTTTCTGGGCTGGAATTAGCACTTGGAGGAGAGGAGTTGGCACAGAGTGAATATACCAGCTTCACAGCTTCTACCCCAAGGCCAGGCTCCAGCAGGCCATGTGGGGCAGTGAAACTCCAGTAGGTAACCTGCAGTCTTTCTCATCTGAAGAACACCGCAGGGTAAAATTGGGGGTAACCATAGACACAAAGACATTAAGGAGAAATCTGTGGAGAAAGAGACAGAGAGGGGCATCCACGCATCTTGTATATAAATTCTACCCTAATACCTGATGACCCCTGAACTGTGCATATGCAAGACACACCTCCAGCAGCCCAGCTAGAGATGAAAGGTCTGAATTGAGATTTGACCTGCTGTCCAAAGACAGAGCCTGCAGTTTGCTTCCAGTCAAGTGAGTGTCCGCTCTACCAACAACAGCAATGACACAGCTGAGCACTGTTTGGAGGAATACAACAGAACCCAGAATCTGAACACGTGACCTTCAGTGTCCAGGACAGTGGCAAAACCTTTACAATCTTCAACCGAGGAAACAGAAAAATAGGACCCAATCCCAGAAGAAAAGTGTCAGTGGAGACCGACCTCCATGTTGTAATTAGTACACTATTCCTTTAAAGCAAGTGTTAATAGTATGCTCTGAGACATAAAGAAACATAGATTCATAACAAATTGAAATATGGGATCAGTTTTTTCAAGGGACTTGTTGGAGAGCACAAGAAGCTGGGGAGAGCTTCAGGCTCCTGGGGAGGGAGAAGGACTGGGGGAAGGGACCCGGAGGGCAGCATGGTTCTGCAAAAACTTCAGCCAGGCTGGTGGAGGGTGGTTGAGCCTTGCCTTCAACACCACAGTCCTATTCTGCCAGGAAGGGTTCACTGCGGTGTTCCTGCTCGAATTAATTCCTGGTTGAAAGCAGATGGAGAGGGGAGAGGACTGAGGCTGCCCACAGCCTGTCACTCTTGGAGCCTCGAGGAGGGTGTGGGGGGCAAGGGAAGGCAGGAGCCCAGCTTCGGGGGCCACAGCCACCGTCCCGGCAGGAGACAGGAAGGTCAGTGGAGCAGTGATGGGAAACACCAGGCAATGCGGGGCTCAGGGCCAGTGCAGCTTCCTCTCTAAATGGAATGTGAACATGAGGGATGGGGCGCAAAGCTGATTGGAGAGAAAACCCTGGGGAATGTGTGAAAACACCTGGGTCCTGGCTGTAGAGGAGAGGTTCTAACGCAAGCTGAAGATGGCCTGTTCCTCTGAGAGTCTGAAGGTGGGAGTGGAGGGAAGGGTGCTGTCCTGACGTTGGAAAGTGTAAAAAGAGAGGGTGATGGAGGTGTCCGGTTCCTGCCTTCTTCTCAGGGCAAGAATCAAGTTCCGTGAGTACACAGGAGAAGGAACAAAGTGATTTCTTGTAGTTCTGAATACACACTCGCAGAGGACACAGCACGGCACTGTGGTCGGCCCCTCAGACACTCATTTAGGGAGTAAAGGGATGGGGGAGAAAAAGGGAAAAGGGAGGGTGGGATGGGGAGAGAAAAGAAAGAAGGAAGAGAAGAAAGCAGGAAGGGAGGGAAGGAAGCAGGAAAAAGAGACAGGCCTAGAATTCCAGAGTTTCAGGGAACGGAGAGGGCATCTAATCAAAACTTCATCCTCATTCATCTGAGACGCAGACCTGCACAAGAGACCGCCGAGTCCTGCCACACCGCTGCCGGCAGCAGACCCCAGCACACGTGTGGATGAGCAGAAAGGTGATGGTGGTGACCTCACAACACATTTCTGTTTCTGCTGGTCAGTGCCAGTTATGGAAAAGGCAGAAATCGAAAGGGAAGAATTGTGGACTTTGGACTCCGGCAGATGTAAGGCAGGCCCTAGACAAAGGCCAGCCTGTTTCCTTCTTAGTTGATGGCTTATTTATCCGGGACACACACACACACACACAGATATGCACACACAAGAAAACATGCAAGCGATGCACGTGCACACACATGCACACACATGCATGCACACACATACACACACATATGGATACATACACAGACGCACACACATGCATGCACACATACACAGATGCATACATACATACACACGTATGGATGCACACATACATGCACACACACACAATGTGCACACACATTTTCACTCGTGGAGACAGTGAGTGTCATAACATTCTTTTTGGATGTTAAATACATTTTTGAAAACGTGCACAAAGGGGGTTTTCACAGGGCTTATTACCCTTTTTAAAGTTCATAAGCTGCTGAGATCTGATAATGAAGCCACACACCCCGGAGGCAGACAAACAGGAAGGGAAATAACCGGAAGGGCAACTTTTCACTTCAGGGGACGACGACCAGGCACCGAAAGGCAGGTTTCAAGTGCCCCCTCGTGGCCAAGCCTGGACACTGTGCCAGGACAGAAAAGCAGGCAGCGCTGTTTACAGAATGGGGCAAACGTGGTTTAATTTGTTGTGTTATTAAAATTCATTAGATTGAACCGTCTGGTCTTTAAATGATGAATATTATTTTCTTTAACAAATGCTAAGATTTTAATAAGACCCCATAAGAATAAATAAGGAGAAATAACACAACACTTCACAATATGTAGGTGAATAATTTGCCCAACATGGCAGAATTTTGATTCCAACTTACTCATCTAACCTCATATTTTGCACTGGTAAGTTATTCTGTTTAAATTGAGTTCAAAAGCCTAGTGAGTAAAAGTGACCACATGGTAGTCACAAAGATGAAAACCTATCATATTATGAAATCAAGACAAAATGTTATTAGCTGGTTAAGGGGGATGCAGAGAAAAGAACTAAAATAAAATAGTCTTAGAAGTGAAGACAAGGGTTTCTCCTCAAAAATTTTAGGATCTCAGGACAAATCATGAACATCATAAACCAAAATACTTTGTATTCAAAAGCAATTGTACTTGACAAGAATAATGTCATAAGAAAATAAAAGGAAAAAGGCAAATTTTAGGAAATTGAGGGAAAATGAGAGAAAATGGGGAAAATATTATATATATATATATATATCCAAACACAGAAAACAGAAATATGGATACTTAAGTTTAGACAGGCCAAAGAAAATAGGAGAAAGCCGTTTTAAAAATATTATTGTAGGCCGTGCGCGGTGGCTCACACCTGTAATTCCAGCACTTTGGGAGGCCGAGGCAGGCGAATCGCCTGAGGTCAGGAGCTCAAGACCAGCCTGGACAACATGGTGAAACCCCATCTCTACTAAAAATACAAAAATTAGCTGGGCATGGTGGCAGGTGCCTGTAATCCCAGCTACTCAGGAGGCTGAGGCAGGAGAATGGCTTGAGCTGGGGAGGCGGAGGTTGCAGTGAGCTGAGATTACACCACTGCACTCCAGCCTGGGCAACTGAGCGTGACTCTGTCTCAAAAAAATAAAAATAAAAATAATTATCATAAGAAAGCCAGTTAGAGGCTCAATGCAGCCATATCGCCCACGCCCAGGTCCACGGGTCGCAGATGGAAGAATGAAAAACACACAGTCTACACTCAAGAAGACAGTGCCTGTCCACACACGGCCCAGGAAGCAGAGGTGTCAGAGCTATGAGTCAGGTCCTGCACTTGGAAGGGCTTTGTCTCACATGCCCTTCACACAGGGAGGATGGGGTACGGGATAAAGGGACCGGCTCAGCATCGGAGAAGCCCTGGCCCCACCACTGGCTCAGCATCAGAGGAGCCCTGGCTTTGATGTGTGATGGCTTTTGCTCTGTGACTTTGTCAAAATGACCCCATCTCTGAGAAGGTCTCCAACACACACAAGGCAACCGCAGATGAGCAGGTTCTCGGAAATGAGACTAAAACATAAGATCAATGACCAAGTAAGCCAGTGTGACTTGCTGGGAGAAGTGAGTTCGAGTCCTTAAAGGGAAATGGAGCAAGTGTAATTGCTTAGAATTCTTTTAGGGGAGAAGGAGCAGTGCCAATAACTAAATGCACAAAAGGAAAGTGGATAGAACCTTCCGGACACAGAGGAGGAGAGTTCGCAGCAGAATGTGGGATTTGAATTGTAAACAGCTGTCACTCCCAGGCATTAATGCACTAAAAATCATGAAAAAGGGTATAGCTATAAAACATAAAAAGATAAAAAGTAATTTAGAAACATAAGACAACTATTATAGACATGCATAAAATTAGAACAATTAGAAGACAGGATAAACATGGACTAAAGCCTAAAACATCAGAATCAGAGTTGCCTTTAAGAGTGTGAAAACATAAACGTGAAGAGCTTACCTGTATTTCCTTGATAGTAAACTCACGAATGCACGAAAGGAATAAAGTCACAGGCAACTGGCTCATGTTTTAACATTGAAGGAAATTATGAGTTGGGATGTACATTCCCTGCTGGAGCTCAGCGCCTTCGAGAGAGCTGCACCTTCCTCCGGAGAAACTTTTGGCATTAAGCTCAAATATCAAATGATAACAACAGTGAAGAGTCATGGCTTATATTACCAAGTGCCAGGAGCTGATACATTTGTCCCGACATAGTTATTAATTCAATTAATCTTCACAAAACTCCTATTGCACACGGAGAAACTGAGGCATGAAGACACTCAGGAAGTTACCTGAGGTCATACAGTGAGTGAGGAGAGACCAAGTAGATGAGCTCAGAAAACCTGAGCCCACGTCCCGGGCTGCCCTGCCTCCTGGACGCTGAGCTGTGTCATGTCTTCATTCCCAGATCCAGGTGGAAAACCTGAGCCTGAGTCTCGGGCTGCCCTGCCTCCTAGAAGCTGAGCTGTGTGATGTCTCTTTCTGAGATCCAGGTGGAAAACCTGAGCCTGAGTCTTGGGCTGCCCCGCCTCCTGAACGCTGAGCTGTGTGATGTCTCTTTCCAAGGACCAGGTGGAAAACCTGAGCCTGAGTCTCGGGCTGCCCCACCTCCTGGACGCTGAGCTGTGTGATGTCTTCATTCCCAGATCCAGGTGGAAAACCTGAGCCTGAGTCTCGGGCTGCCCCACCTCCTGGACGCTGAGCTGTGTGATGTCTTCATTCCCAGATCCAGATGGAAAACCTGAGCCTGAGTCTTGGGCTGCCCCGCCTCCTGGATGCTGAGCTGTGTGATGTCTCTTTCCGAGATCCAGGTGGAAAACCTGAGCCTGAGTCTCAGGCTGCCCGGCCTCCTGGATGCTGAGCTGTGTGATGTCTCTTTCCCAGATCCAGGTGGAAAACCTGAGCCTGAGTCTTGGGCTGCCCCACCTCCTGGACATTGAGCTGTGTGATGTCTCTTTCCAAGGTCCAGGTGGAAAACCTGAGCCTGAGTCTCGGGCTGCCCGCCTCCTGGACGCTGAGCTGTGTGATGTCTCTTTCCAAGGTCCAGGTGGAAAACCTGAGCCTGAGTCTCGGGCTGCCCCGCCTCCTAGAGGCTGAGCTGTGTGATGTCTCTTTCCAAGATCCAGGTGGAAAACCTGAGCCTGAGTCTTGGGCTGCCCCCACTCCTGGACACTGAGCTGTGTGATGTCTCTTTCCCAGATCCAGGTGGAAAACTGGGGCCAATGTTCCTGGTTATCCCCCCAGCAGCATGTGTTCCTGGGATAAGGCCTTGCATTCCCACAGAGCTGTGCGGGGGCTCATGCCTAAAATCCCAGCACTGTGGGAGGCCGAGGAAGGATTGCTTGAGCCCAGGAGTTTAAGACCAGCCTAGGCAACATGGCAAGACCCCATCTCTACAAAAAAAAAAAAAAAAAAACAACTAAGCCAGGCGTGGTGCAGGCACATGCAGGCACGTGGTTCCAGCCACTCAGGAGGCTGAGGTGGGAGGATTGCTTTAGCCCAGGAGTTTGAGGCTGCAGTGAGCTGTGATGGCATCACTGCACTCCAGCCTGGGTGACAGAGTGAGATCTTGTCTCAAAAATTGAAAAAAAAAAAAAAAAAACCAGCTGTTGGGGTGGTCTTCAGCCAGGCTGTCCCCTCTCAGTGCTCTTTGATAAAAGTCAGATTATCATAGCAAAAGTCTGATTTGATATATTCTGCATGGTAGTGCACCCAAATCTGAGGTTGGAGGGGTGGGAGGGTAGAGACAGCGTTGTTTCTGATCTGAAAGTCTTTCAAAGATGCCCTTTTTGTTGAAAAGTGGCCTTAAAGTTTTGGTAATGATGTTTGCGTCCCCAGAGGTCCCTCTTCTCTTCTGACACCAAGTTTGGGAGGGAGGGATCCAGGCAGAAGCAAAGGAGAGGATGCAAGCATCCCAGCCAGAGTATCAGGCACCCAGCACAGGAGCCTCTTGTCCTGGATGGCAGCAGGAAGCACCTTGCACTGTCTCCAGAGAATACTTGTAAATGTGTCCCTTTCACTCCCAGCTGACTGAGACCGACCTCGAGATGAGACCAGAAGTGGAGGTGCCTTTCCTGGAGCACTTGCAGCTGCAGGACGCTGGCTGGCTGTGCTCAGTGTAATGAACTCCTGCCACCATCTGTAAAACTTGATTCTCATCCCCAGGCCTGAGCCACTGTTTTTTTGTTTCTAGCAGGAGAGGTCATTAAATGCAGTCATTGTCCTGAGCAGCTAAACTCTTTTCCTTGCTTCCTTTGGTCAGCAAAGGTCTGTTGTACTCAGCCAGCAACTTCTGGGACAGGTCCCAAGGCCACCATCAAAGCCCCGGGGGGCTGAGGGGAGCCAGGCCCTGAGGCCGTAGTTGGGTGAGGTCGCTGCATTCACCTAATGATCCTAAAACCACCCTAAAACAAAGGTGCCTCTCCCGGAGCCCATTTTACCTAGAGTCAGCCACTTCACCTCCTGAGCCCCTGAAGCCCTCAGCAGGGGCACTGCAGGCTCCCCGAGGACACCGATCTCTGATCACCCAGCCGGGCTCTCTGTGTCCTGGAGTGTGATGAGGTCAAACCAGGGCAGAATCCAAGGAAAACTCACTTTCTCCATTACAGCCAATGCACACTCTGAGAGACGGGCCTAAGGGACACCCTCGAGGTCAGACCAGTGAGCTGTCTTGAACTTTGCAATAAATGTCGATCCCCCGACTTTTGATGCTGAACGTTAGTGGGAGACGTGTGCAACCACGCCCACGGGGTTCTGCTGGGTCGGGGCAGTGACGGCCGCGTGGGTCCAGCCACCAGCCCCTTGAGGTCTGTGTTAAAATGGCAGCGTCTATGTCAGGACAACAGGAGCCACGGCTTGGCGGAGACCTGTCCACGGTCAGCACAGCAGTAGATGTTGTTTGCAGAGACGGTTCTAACGGTGCTGTTTAAAATAGCTCTGGACTCCTGCACAAGCCGAGAATGAAAAGATGAACAATCAGTGAATAAACCTGCCTGGCTCCGTTCTTGCTGGACTCCCTCCCAGTCAAGTTTCAAAGCCGGCTTCGTGCCGAGTCGTCCTCTTCCCTTCTTCTCTGTGTGGCCAGGTGCTCCCATCCTCCCCACCAGGGCAGGCACTGGCTTCCCTCACTGAGGAGGCCTCCAGCGTCAGCATCTGAATGCCCTTGGCCTTTAGGACCCCGGCCCTTGGGCTGTCCCAGTGGATGCTTCATCCCATCTTTATTTCCCTTGTCATAAGGGGAAACTCATCTCACTCCACCAGGTTCGCTGGGCACCAGGGGAGCCTGTGCTCTTTCACAAACCCCACACTGCTCCAGGGCTCTCGTGCAGCTAAGCCTAAGGTAAGTGCTCATCCAACATTCGCAAAGCAGTGCTCAGCTCGGGGCAGCCCTCAGCAACTGGACAATTGTGTGTGCAGAGGCCAATCCAGAGTGCACACTTGGCAGTGTTCTCAGGATATCAGGTGCATTTTTCATAAATAGAATCAGCTTCTGGGATACTAACAAACACAGAATTATTAAAAAGTGAGCATTCAAAGTATAGAAATAGATTTCCTTTTTTTTTTTTTTGAGATGGAGTCTTGCTCTGTCGCTGAGGCTGGAGTGCAGTGGCGCGATCTTGGCTCACTACAACCTCTGCCTCCTAGGTTCAAGCGATTCTCCTGCCTCAGCCTCCTGAGTAGCTGGGACCACAGGCACACATCACCACGCCTGGCTAACGTTTTGTATTTTTGGTAGAGACGGGGTTTCACCATATTGACCAGGCTGGTATTGCACTTCTGACTTCAGGTAATCCACCTGTCTTGGCCTCTCAAAGTGCTGGGATTACAGGCGTGAGCCACTGCGCCTGGCCTAGAAATTACTTACAAACATTTTTTTTCAGTGTACTTTTCCCTTATTTGTGAAAGAAGGGAGCTCCTAATCTTAGAGAACAGACACAGAACCATTTTCATAGAGTTTAAGTGTGTAGTCAAGTAAGACATAAAACAGAATATCCAGACCAGTGAGCCGTCTTGAACTTCGCAATAAACGTCGATTCCCTGACTTTTGATGCCGAATGTTAGTGGGAGATGTGTGCAACCATGGGGTTCTGCTGGGTCTGGGCAGTGATGGCCGCGCAGGTCCAGCCACCAGCCCCTGGAGGTCAGCGTTAAAATGGCGGCGTCTATGTCAGGACGACAGGAGCCACGGCTTGGCGGAGACCTATCCACAGTCAGCACACCAGCGGACGGGGTTTGCAGAGACAGTTCTAATGATGCTGTTTAAAATAGCTCCGGACTCCTGGACAAGCCAAGAATAAAAGGATGAATAATCAGTGAATAAAAGTGCCTGGCTCTGTTTTTACCCTGGCATCTGGAAATACCCTTTGTGGTCAGTTTTGATAAAAATAATTAGCAAGTCGCATGGGTGATTATAATCAGTATTAATCTTGCACAGCTGAAACACGAGTTTAGTCTACCTTTTTTAAAAAAAGGATCTGCTGGTATTCCTAATCTGTCCTAGGCTGGCCATCTTCCTGATTTAGGTATCTCTGAATCCTTAATGCTGGGCACATTCGAAACCTTGGCATCTCACTCCTAGAGAACAACCCACTCTGTGCCCAACAGCCTGCAGGTTGGCACCTGCCTGGCCTGGGATCTCCCTGTCCCCAGCACCCCAGCGTATCTCCTGCTCTTTCTCTCCATACTCCCCACAGCTGGGCCACAAACTCCAATCCATGGACCACAGCCTCTGTGCAGGCCTTGCCCTCTGAGCAGCTGGAGAGCAGAACGATGTCCATCATGTTGAAAGAGGCCAAGTTAGGGGGGCAGGTGAGCCAAGCCCCTCGTCTGGGACAGGGGCCCTCAGAGGCCAGCAGAGACCCTGTGTGAGGGGAACCGGGCCCCGCGTCTCATCCTGAGACCCCAGGAGCAGCTGGGATGAAGATCCTAGGACTGCTCATTTGTTTCCATTGCTGCTGTAACAAATCACTGCAAATCACTGCTTAAAACAACACAGATTGGTCCCCTCACAGTTCTGCAGGCCGGAAGTCTAAAATCCAGGCGTCTAAAATCCAGGTGTCGGAGCTTTGAGGGAGAATCCCTCTTACTGCCTTTCCCAGCGCGAGAGGCTCTCTGCATCCTGGGCTCCCGGCCCCTTCCCCATCGTCACACCTCAGCCTCTGGTTTTGGGGTCACAGCTCCTTTTCCTGACTTGGATCCCCAGCCTCCCCGCTATGAGAACCCTGTGTCAGCGTCCCCACCCCCAGATGGGCCAGGGTCACCTCCCCATCTCACCAGCAGATTCCCAGCTTGAAACAGTAATTTAATTGCACTGCAGAGTCCATTTTGCCAGGTAAGGAAAAGCGCAGGTTCCTAGGTGGGTGGAGACGCGCAGATCTTCAAGGGCCGTCGTCCATCCTCCTACGGAGGGGCCCAGAGGCACAGGTGAGGTCAGCCCCGGGCAGTGGTGCAGGCACTACACACACGATTCTTTTGCTGCTACAAGCTCTTCAAGAGTCTACGGAAATGTTTCTGAACACAATTTTATTGGCTCCCAAACAGGAAAAGTTACTGCAAACTTTAATAAAGGTTTACTCATTCACCTACAAAAATTTCACTTGTGTATTCACAAACGATTATAACTTTTTTTTTTTTTTTTTGAGATGGAGTCTTGTTCTGTTGCCCAGGCTGGAGTGCAGTGGCGCGATCTCAGCTCACTGCAACCTCCGCCTCCCGGGTTCAAGCGAAGGAATGAGGCACCTGGCCTCTAGTGAGCACGGCTCTCGGGCGAGGTGGGTGACGCTGGGTTTGCTTTTCTCTCTGTACTTTTTGTTTTTGTTTTCTGAGGTGTGCCATATGATGAAAAGATGTTGGGTCCTTAAATTCAACTTTCAGTGGGAGAAATGCTTTCATCCTGGGCTATGATTCTGCGGGAGAACCAGGTGGTTCTTCTCACGAGATACACTCAATCCTCATTTTCGACTGTGAATGTTTCTGAGGGAAGGGTAACAGTAAGTGGGGAAGGGAATAGGCCCTAAGTCAGGGATAATAACCTTTTCATTCCCTGGGTTCAAGCGATTCTCACTCTCAGGGCGAGCACCGTGCCTGTGCGCTTCCTGAGATAAGTCTCAGCGACGGACCGGCACAACCTCCGTTTGACTCCACAAATGCTGAGTGTGGGCAGGAACCGCTTTTTAAATATTAACTAACTTTAAATTACATCAGTCCCTTTTTCAGAGCAGTGAAACCCGCCAGGGTGCAAACACAAAGGTTCTTTTTAATAAAGAAAAAAAAATCACAAATAGGAATACAGAAAGAACATCTGTTATTTTTAGAATACTTCTTACACTTTTTACTTTCTCATTAACAACTGATAGTATGTCATGCATTTTAAACTTCTTTTTTTTAAGAGGAAAAGGAAAAAAGAAAGAGAAAAAAGAAGAGAAATAAACCACAGAAGCTGACAAAAATCCATCGGCCCACAAATATTAATATTTTATGAACTCCTAATCTGTGTCCAGTGCTGGGCTGGGCTGAATATTCGTTCTGTCACAACCTGCTTTCACATTTTTCCGTTGATGGGCTGCCTGACATAACCTCTCAGTAGATACAGAAATACAGAAATAGCCCTTGCATAATACATTCTGGAGGTGACGTAGGAACTCTCTGCTGTGCCATGTGGGGACGCTAATGAAAAAGCTGAGCTGGCCCGTCGACTCTGTGGGCGCCGATGGTGTGTAAATCTTGTGCGCGCCCGGCCAGGGTGGCCAGCCTGCGGCCTGGGGACGGAGGGGCGCGGCTGCCCCAGACGCTGTCCGTGTGGCCCGGCCGGCACCGGGGCCACCTCCCGGCCACAGCCTCCGACGGCCACCACCTGGGGAGGCCCCGCCAGTGACAGCGCCCAGTTACTGGAAACTGCGTGGCTATGTCTTGGGGTCGGTTCCTGAGCAGCTCATAAATAAGGGCTTCCAGAGGTGCGTTTTCTATTTGCAGTAACCCCCTTCTCCTCCCACCTCCTCAAGTGATAAATCTAGCAGCGAACTCAACGGCGTCGTTGTTCCCGCAATACTAGGGTCAGAAATGAATCAATGCCGCAGTGTCGCTCGGCCGCAGACAGGCCGTAAATATACCATTATTAATCTCTGCTTAATAAATGAAAAGGCGGGGCCGCATGGCTGCTGGCTGCGGTGTCTGTGCGGCCCGGATCAGTGGCCTCTTTGTTTGGGGTGAGGTGGGTGGGGGACTGGTGTTGTCACCTGAAAACGGAGACATGGATCACACCCCTGTCCCCAGAAGGCCCCACCGTTCACCATTGATGACTCACAAACACAACTGTGGGGCTCTGAATCCAGAAAGAATGCACACTCGCTGGGCGTGGGAATGGTGGTGCCTCTGGAATAAACATTTACCCTGGAGGTGTGTGTCTGCTTGCAACACAAACGTCTGTCCATGCTGCAGTCTCTGTGTTCCCATCGCCCCGCATGACGCTGCCTCTTCACAGGGTCAGGAACAGCGCCTGTCTAGAGGGTGCAGGGAGAAGGGAGCAGCAGTTGTTGGCTCCGAGAGCAATTTTTCATGTCCTTCCACACAAGCTCTCCCTCCTCACTTTCAGTCACCTGCAATGGTGGAATTTTTTTACCCTTATTTTAAAAATTAAAATGTACACACATGAAGATTCCAAAATAATTCGTTACTTCCTCAAACTGCAGCAAATGGGGAAAGTCAGAGCAAGACCCAGATCTTTGGAATTCAGATCCACTCTTCACACCGCCAGACGAGGCTGGGATGGCCTGGGATTCAGGAGAGGCGGTGAAGTTGGAGGGGGTCAGCAGCCCTCACGGCTACATCTGCAGGAGGACCACCAGGGGCCAGGCCCAGCGCTGGGTGAGCCTCCCTCCTCCTCTGCAGCAGGACCCCCATGGGGCCAGGCCCCGGGCTGGGTGAGCCTCCCTCCTCCCAGGCTCTGCAGGCCTCCTGGGCCTGGGCTCTCCGTGGCCCCTATCTGAAGCCCCGCTCTTCATACATTTGGCTTCCCAGCTTCTTCCCAGGTAATCCGACCATTGGCTTTACCCAAATCACTCAGGATTCAGGAGGAAAGAGCAGGTGAGGCAAAAAGGAGAAAGGGAAGCACAGAAAACTACGAAGAAATAATTAACAATCCTTCCATGCTAGAAAGAGGAAAATGCATTCATCCTTTCAGAATCCCGCGGGGCGGTTCCCGCCTGATGGAGCCAAGGTCCCCGCGGGTCTGGAACCCCTGGACAGGCCCGGCCTGATGAGCCATGCACGGTCCTGCAGGTCTGGACCCCCTGGACAGACCCGGCCTAATGAGCCATGCACAGTCCTGCAGGTCTGCGGTTCTCAAACCCCTGGACAGGCCCGGCCTGATGAGCCATGCACGGTCCAGCAGGTCTGGAACCCCGGGCAGGCCCCCAGGCAGCCCCGGCCCTTGGCGGCACCCGCGGAGCCGGCGCGCTGCGCAGCCTGAGCACCAGAGGGCGCTGGCGCGCTTTAAACGCGGACGGGAATTGGAAGCCCTGGTTCTGCCGCTCCCCGGTCCTTCCCGCGTCTCACGCGACGCCGGCCATGCAATTATTTGTGCACATAATTACGGCATAAAACGGACGCACGGTGAGCCCTTTAACGCACCCTGTCTAAATATCTGATAGTTTTCAGTTCCATGGACACATTCTGGTGGATTCAGGTTTTGACACTTCAATGATTTCGGAAGCCCTGTAAGAAAAGTAAAACCGAATTACAAACAGGAAGGACAGCAGGAAGCCCTCGCCTGCAGTGAGAAGAGAAACCTCAACAACACTACGCGTTCTGAAAACCTAGCAAATCTTCTCCAACAAGGCCCATCTGAACGTGATACAATGTTTCTACTGAATAACGGCCCCACATACACATTTCCCCCAATTTTTCTGCATATTATTCAACCACCTTTTCATGTGCCAATGGCTATCTCTATTTTAATATTGTTTTCCTTAGAGAGAACAGAAAGAAAACTCAGTTTCCAGAGTCGCAGGAAATAGAGTTGTATTGGGACTGCGCGGTGAGCCTAAACCCGTGGTCCGCCGCAGAACTTGCTTTTCCGACTGCCAGCCCCGCCCGGCACTGCCGACGCTGGGGTTCTGAAAAGTTCTACCTTGCACAAGTAATTGCCATTGTGTTTGTGCCACATGCCTTTTCCTGTGTGTGATGTGTTTATCGCTGCATGTACTGCATTCTCGACAGGAGATGCTTGACAGACGAGGACTTTTGTTTGGATAAGGTGGGGATGAACCTGCATATAATTTAGGGTGTACAGATTGGAAGAATTTCCTGCAGAGCAGCTTCGGGGTCGGCGCCTTTGAGCCTTGTGTCTGCCTGGCTGTCCATCCCCCTGGGCCCTGGAGGACCCTTCTGCGTCGGAACTGACCTCTGGCCCTGCTCCTTCTTGTCACAGGCCGGGTGAGACACACGGTGGTTGGGTGAATGTTCTGGAAGCCACTTCCACACTGGGAAGATCAGCAGTAATTCAACTATCCACAGACGTGATGGTGAACCATGAGTGGATCCCACCATGCCAGAGTGAAATTACTGCAGTTCATCTCTTTTCAAATTGGATCTCAAAGTCCTCATGATCCCTTCGATGCCACCAGACACCAGGGAATGGCGGCAGAGAGGACATGGGAGGGGATGGAGAGCTGTCCAGACTCCGTGAAGACAGACATGTGTCCAGCTTCCCTCCTGAGTCCCTGCAAGAGACGGCAGCTGAGGGAGCTCACATTCAAGCTTCATGGACTGCACTGTAAATCCGTCTCCTAACAAGTTTGAAATGATTTAGAATAAATGAACCTAGAGTCATAGAATCACTGTTATTTGAGATTGAAGGGAACTTTTACATACACTGTCTGGCCTGTGGCTCTATCTGACAAATGAGAAAACAGACCCAGAATCTCAGAGCAGGGGCATGATACAGCACCAGCTCCCAGTTGGCCCTTTTTCACCTTATAGATTAAAGGTTTTCTTCCTTATTGGCAACCTACTTTAGAAGTCATTAAGTATCTCTCTGAGGAACTGCATGTGCTTCC